>NC_000013.11:98752979-99377979 GCF_000001405.40 Homo sapiens
AACGACACTTTGGAAACCACTGTGGGAGGAACGCACGCTTCTGGGTGGGGAGGCAAAACACGGTGGGACAGTGGTCAGCTGTGTGTGTGTGTGTGTGTGTGAGAGAGAATGTGTGTGTGGGTGTGAGTGAGGATTGTGTGTGAGTGTGTGTGTGTGAATGAGGATTGAGTGTGAGCATGTGTGAGAATATGTATATAGTTTGCATGTGAGAATGTATGTGTGATGTGTGTGTGAGAGTGTGTGTGAGAGTGTGTGTGTGGCTTTATTTTGAGATTCAACCTTTGAAAGCATTTCTGGGGGATTCTACATTTCCTTTCTTTAAGAATCATCCTTTCTTTAAGAGGACACAACCAAATGGAAGAATATTCTATGCTCATGGATAGGAGGAATCAATATCGTGAAAATAGTCATACTGCTCAAGGTAATTTATAGATTCAATGCTATGCCCATCAAGCTACCAATGCCTTTCTTCGCAGAATTGGAAAAAACTACTTTAAAGTTCATACGGAACCAAAAAAGAGCCCCCATAGCCAAGACAATCCTAAGCAAAAAGAACAAAGCTGGAGGCATCATGCTACCTGACTTCAAACTATACTACAAGGCTACAGTAAGCAAAACAGCATGGCACTGGTACCAAAACAGATATATAGACCAATGGAACAGAACAGAGGCCTCAGAAATAACACCACACATCTACAACTATCTGATCTTTGACAAACCTGACAAAAACAAGCCATGGGAAATGGATTCCCTATTTAATAAATGGTGCTGGGAAAACTGGCTAGCCATATGTAGAAAGCTGAAACTGAATCCCTTCCTTACACCTTATACAAAAATTAATTCAAGATGGATTAAAGACTTAAATGTAAGACCTAAAATCATAAAAACCCTAGAAGAAAACCTAGGCAATACCATTCAGGACATAGGCATGGGCAAGGACTTCATGTCTAAAACACCAAGAGCAATGGCAACAAAAGCCAAAATAGACAAATGGGACCTAATTAAACTAAAAAGCTTCTGCACAGCAAAAGAAACTACCATCAGAGTGAACAGGCAACCTACAGAATGGGAGAAAATGTTTGCAATCTACCCATCTGACAAAGGACTAATATCTAGAATCTACAAAGAACTTAAACAAATTTACAAGAAAAAAATCAAACAACCCCATCAAAAAGTGGGCAAAGGATATGAACAGACCCTTCTCAAAAGAAGACATTTATGCAGCCAACAGACACACGAAAAAATGCTCATCATCACTGGTCATCAGAGAAATGCAAATCAAAACCACAATCAGATACCATCTCATGCCAGTTAGAATGGCGATCATTAAAAAGTCAGGAAACAACAAATGCTGGAGAGGATATGGAGGAATAGGAACACTTTTACACTGTTGGTGGGAGTGGAAATTAGTTCAACCATTGTGGAAGACAGTGTGGCAATTCCTCAAGGATCTAGAACTAGAAATACCATTTGACTCAGCGATCCCATTACTGGGTATACACCCAAAGGATTATAAATCATGCTACTATAAAGACACGTGCACACATATGTTTACTGAGGCACTATTCACAATAGCAATGTCTTGGAAACCAGCTCAAATGTCCATCAGTGATAGATCGGATTAAGAAATTGTGGCACATATACACCATGGAATACTATGCAGCCATAAAAAAGGATGAGTTCACGTGCTTTGCAGGGACATGGATGAAGCTAGAAACCATCATTCTCAGCAAACTATCACAGGGACAGAAAACCAAATACTGCATGTTCTCACTCATGGGTAGGAGTTGAACAATAAGAACACATGGACACAGGGCGAGCAACATAACACACCAGGGCCTGTCAGGGGGTGGGGGGCTGGGGGAGGGATAGCATTGGGAGAAATACCTAATATAAATGATGAGTTGATGGGTGCAGCAGGCCAACATGGCATGTGTATACCTATGTAGCAAACCTGCTCGTTCTGCACATGTACCCTAGAACTTAAAGTATAATTTACAAAAAAGAATCACAAAACAAAAATAATAACACAGTGATTGTCTCCAGATTATTGTTCTGTTTTCTTGCCTGATCTCAGGAGGTTTTGCAAACACAGAAAGGAACATTAAAAAGGGGAATGAAGGTGAGTTTCCACAGCCTTTTTGTTTTAATCATGCTGAAATACAATGTAAAACTATCTGAAGTGCACAGTTCAGTGGCATGAAGTACATTCTCATTGTTGTCCCACCATTCCCACCATCCAGCTCCAGAACTTCTTCATCTTCCCAAATGGAAACACTGGACCCATTAAGCAATACTCCCCATCCACCCTTGCCCCCAGGCCCTGACACCCACCGTTCTTCTTTTTGTCTCCATAAATCTGACAACTCTGTCGTCCAGGGAAGAAATCTCCAGTGTTTGTCCTTTTGTGTCTGGCTTCTTTCACTTTGGGTAATGCCCTCCAGGCTCATCCATGGTATGAAGTACATCAGCCTTCCTTCCTTCTGAAGTTGAGGAATATTCTGTTGTGTGTCTACAACACACTTGGTTTATCCACTCACCTGACTCTATTATCTCTTGAGTCTTAGCATTCTCCCAGCCAGCCTTTCTGGAAGACTGTGGTGCCTAGGGAGAAACAGAGACTGCTATTCCATGGAGGTGACTGAGCCTGCCCTTCCCCGGCTTTCTTCACTGCCGCTGAAGAGTAAGAAACTCTTCAATTAGTTGCAGCATTGATACACACAAGGTAGCGGTCAATGTTACCTCCAGAAATGGGGGCTGCAAGTCACAGGACCTCATTAGGTAGAAAAATGCAGCCTCGGCTGAAGGAAAGGAAAACTTTCTCTGGAAGGTTTGGAAGCACACTCACAGTTGCTACCCTGCGAGATATCCCGGGCGTAGAAAGGTGGAGCTTGTGATGGTTTGTTTAGGTCAAAGTTTTCTCTGCAGGGTGGTATTTCTGTGGCTGAGCTCATGAACCCTGGAATCCGGACTTCTGTAAACACACTCTTGGTCTAGGCCAGCGGTTCTTAAACTGTGATCCCTGGACCAGCAGCATCAGCATCACCTAGGAACTTGAGAGAAATGCAGATTCTCAGGCCCCGCCCCAGAGCTACTGAATCAGAACGTCTGCAGTGGGTGCAGCAACTTCTCAGTAGTTGCGAGACAAATGCTGTTTCTTCCACAGGCTTATTTAATCCTTCATTCAGGCATTATTTATTTATCACCTCCCAGTGCCAACTACCATGCTAGTGACGGCATTGGGCAGAGTGGGTGGCCAGCGCAGAGACAGGCCTGCGCCCACAGAGCTCACATTCTTATCCGTTACAGCACGGCCAGAAGAGGCAAGGTACTCAAGATGGAGAAGCCTAAATGAAGAACAAAAACCAAGGGGGTCAAGGAGACAGGCTCTGCAGATCCTGAATAGCTCAGCCAATCCCTGGAGACCTGTGTCTTGCTGTGCTGCTCCCTGGCAGGCTGTGTAGGGGGTAATAGTGTAAACCAAAAGTAAATTTCTAAGGCCCCCCGACCATCTGAATGGACTTCCTCCTCTGCCCGGGCACTCTTAAAATTTAACCTGAGAGACTGCTCCAGGCCATGATGGGAAGTGGGGATTGGACGTGCCTCCTTGTACCTCTTGGGCATGGCACTAACATCAACGCAGACCTTAAGTCTAATAAAAAACATTTACAATATATTCTCTCTGAAGCCTGCTACCTGGAGGCTTCACCTGCATGATAAAACTTTGGTCTCCATCACCTCTTATTGCAACCCGGACATTTTCTGTCCATTGATCTCAGCTCTTTAGATAAATTCAGCCAATTGTCAACCAGAAAATTTTAAATCTACCTATAATCCAAAAGCACACCTCCCCCCATCCCCTACTGCTTCAAGTTTGTCCTGCCTTTCTGGACTGAACCAATGTACCTCTTAAATGTATTTGATTGATGTCTCATGTCTCTAAAATGTGTAACACCAAGCTACACCGGGATTACCTGGGACACATGTTCTCAGGATCTCCCAAGGGCTGTGTCAGGGGCCTTGGTCACTCACATTTGGCTCATAATAAATCTCTTCAAATATTTTACGGAGTTTGACTCTTTTCGTCAGCAGTAGACTCGGTTTTTATACCCTCCATATGGGCAACACAGTCTATGTATTCTATTCGTTTCCTGTGGCTGCCGTAACAAACTGCCACAGACTTGGAGGCTTATGAAAACACAAGTGTGTTCTTTCACAGTTCTGGAGGTCAGAAATCCAAAATCAAGGTATCAGCAGCATGCTCCCTCCAGAGGCTCTGGGGGGGACCCTTTCTTGTCTCTTCCAGCTTCTGGTGGCTCCATGTGACCTGGGGTTCGTGGCAGCATCACTTCCATCTCAGCCCCTGTCTCTACATGGCTTCTGCCCTGTGTCCTGTCTCCTTCTCCTCCCTTGTAAGGGAACTTGTCATTGGAGCTGGGGCCCACCCTAGTCCAGGATGAGTTCATCTCCATATCCTTCACTTGCTTCCATATGCAAAGACCCTTTTTCCAAAAGAGGCCCGGGTTCCAGGCAGGCACCATGAGCCCACTATACTCCCCAAAGGGACCCAAGTCTGGAATTGGAGTGTACAGAATTGGCAGGCTGGTCCTGGAGACACAGAAGTGTTGCTTGGCTTCCGAGAATTTTCCTTAGGCAAATGTTGTAACAATGAGATCAGCACTCAGTGGTAGCAGTCAGGGTTGTTCAAAACTAGGCCTGTCCTTGTTTTCTTACTGACACATTTAAATGATACAAAGGTATACTAGTAATCTATTCTAGGAAGAACATGGCCTTGAAAAGGTGGCTTGCAAACTTTTTGGAGTAACAGAGCGTCATTTCCTCCAGTTCTGTTCCTCAGATTGCTTGGCTGTAAAGACCTTTTCATTCCATCTCAGAGAGAAATTGAGTAGATGTCAAATATACAGCAATTAGAGTTGCTATGGAGATGCTGATGTTTAAGGAAGGGACTTGAGGAATAAACAATAAGAGTGAATCCCATAGCCATTATTTGAGAAGAGAGAGAGTCTGGGAAATGGAATGAGATGGTGGGGAGGAGGTAGGAGGGGAATAAACACGTGAAGTTTACCTGGAAAGTAGGAGAAGGAGGAAGACCAGTAAGCAACTCAAATTCATTCAAAGGCACTTGGGAACCAAGAGCTGGTGGACAAAATTCACATGTTGTGGCACATGAACCCCCAAGGCCTCAGAATATTAAGGGACTAGCCCCAGGAACATGGGATTGGGGGGCTTCCAAGCCGTGATGTCCTATTTACAGCATCTAGAAGACAAAGTGATCCATAGTAAATAAGTACATTACCATGAGCACCAAACTAATCTAAATTAAAACAGACTTTCCTTGCAAATCTAATTCTCAATCTTGATTGCCTGTAGTGTCAGTAGTAATGATCAATATTGATTACACACTTGCTGTATATAGATCCTGTGATCAATCTCATTTAATTCCTTCCTCACTATAATGCTATGGGTATTATTATCGGGGAGCATTTTTTTCTTTTTATTTATTTTTTTATTATGAAAAGTTTCAAACATACATGAAAAGGAAGAAGAGAATATGGCCGGGCGTGGTGGCTCATGCCTGTAATCTTAGCATTGGGAAGCCAAGGAAGGAGGATCATTTGAGCCCAGAAGTTTGAGACCAGCTGGGCAACTTAGGAGACCTTGTCTCTACATAAAGTACACACAAAAAGTTACTGGGCATGGTGGAGGTCAAGGCTGCCGTGAGCCGTGACTGTGCCATTGCACTCCAGCCTGGGTGACAGAGTGAGACCTCATCTCTAAAAGAAAAAATACAAAAAGAAATACAGACACAAATGTCCTATTTATTCACTTCAGGTTTAATTATACAATACCAGAACATATCTGACAACCTGCTTTAGTCAAGTCCTATACATTTAAAATACTATAGGTGATGGAGTTGGCAGTTATTTTGAATAAATATACATCTTGACACCTTATTACTCATGCACAATTACTCTATGTTTATCTTCTAGAATTACAAGACATGATCTCTCCAAATGCCACAGCTGACAAAGATTTTAGAAAATTCAGGTATTTCTATAACACACTGCTTAATTTGCCTTTCAAATTTTCTTTTTTTCTTTCTTTTTTTTTTTTTTTTTTTTTTTTTTTTTTTTGAGACAGAGTCTCACTCTGTTGCCCAAGCTGGAGTGCAGTGACACAATCTCAGCTCACTGCAACACCTCAGCTCACCGCAACCTCCGCCTTCTGGGTTCAAGTGATTCTCCAGCCTCAGTCTCCCAGGTAGCTGGGATTACAGATGTGCACCACCACACCTGGCTAATTTTTGCATTCTTAGTAGAGATGGGGTTTCACCATGTTGGCCAGGCTGGTCTCAAACTCCTGACCTTAGGCGATCTGCCTGCCTCGGCCTCCCAAAGTGCTGCAATTACAGGCATGAGCCACTAGACCTGGCCATCTTTCAAATATTCTACCACTCATATGTATATTAAATAACTGGCAAAAATCATGAGTTTTTTTTTGTTTTTTTTTTTTTGAGAAAAGGTGTTCGTTTTCTACTGGTACTGGAATAAATTATCACAAACTTAGTGGCTAAGACAACACAACTTGCTGACAGTTCTGGAAGGCAGAAGTCCAGAAAGGGTCTTACGGGGCTAAACTCATGGTGTTGGCAATCTGCGTCCTTTCTGGAGGCCCTGGGTAGAACTATTGCCTGGTCTTCTCCAGCTTCTAGAGGCCGCCGGCATGCCTGATTGTGTAGCCTTCTCCTCCATCTTCAAAGCCAGCAGCATAGAATTTTCCAACATCTTCCTTGCTCTCTGCTTCTTTCGCCATCGCATCTTCCTCTCTGATCCTGACTTTCCTACCTCCCTGTCAATGAGGCAGAAATTTAAAGAAAAATAAATACTGCATTTATTCACTCCAAGGAAAGTAAGGGTTAAGTGAAAAACACAAGTTTTCCTCTACTGCAGGCAAGGCTATAGACAGGTCGTGGTGACCCGGCCTGCAGAAATGAGCTCCACAAACCCCCAAAGCAAGGTTAAGAGAAGAACAACAACGCCGGGTGCAGTGGCTCATGCCTATAATCCCAGCACTTTGGGAGGCCGACGTGGGCGGATCACGAGGTCAGGAGATCGAGACCATCCTGGCTAACACGGTGAAACCCCACCTCTACTAAAAATACAAAAAAATTAGCTGGGCGTGGTGGCGGGCACCTGTAGTCCCAGCTACTCAGGAGGCTGAGGCAGGAGAATGGCGTGAACCCAGGAGGCAGAGCTTGCAGTGAGCCGAGATTGCACCACTGCACTCCAGCCTGGGTGACAGGGTGAGACTCCAACTCAAAAAAAAAAAAAAAAAGAACAACAACAAATTCCTTTACTTTCTCTCCTGTACTGAACTATTAGTTATGACTATGTTTGCCAATGCTTGTATTTAGTAAGATTTGCAAAGTTCCTGTTTGTTTGTTTGGTTGGTTTTTTTGACACAGCTGCAAGGCCACTAGGTATGTAAGGCCATAAGTTATGCCAAGTTAGCAGTTATGCTATAGATTATGTGACCTGTCAATGTAAAATGTACTGTCTTTGTTTTGCTCTTGTATGCTAGCCTATTCAAGCTAAACTCTGTCTTTGTTCAATGCTCAGCTTTTTAGATGTGAATCCACTGAGCCAGTGTGTACCTTAAAATAAACATCCTCCTGTTTTCCCATATTGGTCTCTCTAGTCCTCAGTTTATCACAACATTTTGGTGAGCCAGCCAGGAGTGGAGATGGCAGGTTTGCTGTCTCCTTTGCCAGTGGGGCTGAAGCCCTGGGTCAAGGGAAACTTGTGACCCCAGGCACTGCCAGGAGAACTTCAGCCTGGAGGGGAAATCAGCTCTTCTGTGACCAGGCATCCCCACCCAGCAGTGCAATGGAACCTGAGAGGGGCTACCAGATGATTACTAGGAACAGTGTGCTACTGGACCGCGGTAAGGTTTTGGGGCCCAAGGCAGGACCCTTCCCATAAGGACAGAAGGGGAGCCTGATCACCTCCCATGGTGTAACTAGTAGTCTGACCCAGAGAGGTTGGGGGCAGCAAGAGTGGCTCGCCAATTCGGATGAAACTCACACCCCAACCAACATAGGATGCAAGAGTGGCTCGCCAAGTCAGTTAGGAAAAGAAAACTGGAGGTGGCGAGAGTGGCTCACCACCACAGTTAGGGACACAGGAACTGGGAGTGGGGAGGTGTGTGTGTGTGTGAAAGAGATTGTTCCGGGAGGAACCAATGTGGGGAGTGACGTGGGGAGTCGTAGATCTCTTAGCATGGACAGTGTGCTCCGAGCAAAGTGTGGGGCCGACCTGGACTAGTGGCAAACCGCATACAGCTAATAGGAGCTGCCCCACAGCTCAGAATTGTGGTGGGAATAAAGACCTCTCCAAAGCTAAGCAGCGTCTGAAAACTCCCATAATAGGAAATGGTCTGGTCAGTCCATAACAAAAGGAAGAGTGAGTGAGCTGTGCCATAAGAGGAGGAAAACGGGAGGACAGTCATCAAAACCTACCCCGTTAGAGTGCATGTTACAGAACTTTAAGAAAGGTTATGCAGGGGATTATAGAGTTAAGCTAACTGCCCAGAGGTTGAGAACTCTCTGTGAATTAGAATGGCCTTCTTTGGTGTTGGATGGTCAACCGAAGGAATTATAGACAGGGAAATAATTGGCCATGTATTTAAGGTGGTGACAGGGGTCAGAGGACAGCCTGGGCATCCAGATCAATTTCGTTATATTGACTCATGGTTAATATAGCACAGACAAGACCGGCATGGATCCAGCCCTGTTTAGCAGCTTATTGCAAAACACTTGTGGCCCGAACTGAGCCAAAAATGAAAGTAAGAGCAGCTTCTCTGGCAGACACAGAGTTAAAGGGAAAGTCCCAGAGGGAGCAAGAAAGGCCAGTCTTATAGGAGCCACGAGAGGGAGAAGAGATTCCTCCTCCATATGTCCCAGCCTACCCCCCTTTACCAAGGCCAACAGCCCCCAAGGAACTAAATTCAGGAGCTAGCACGCCCCAAGTCTCAACCCAAAGGTAAGGATCGGAGCCTCAAGAGGCCAGGGAAGGAAATTAAGATAGTCAAGGAGGCCGTCTCAGATCTGGCTGTGCTCGAGCTATGCAAATGCCTCTCAGGGAGGCGCGAGGACTCATTTATTATGATGACCAAGGCCAAGTCCAGGGGGCGGGCAACCGACTTTCATCTATCAGCCCTTTACAACCACTGATCTCTTAAACTGGAAACACCATACTCCCTCCTATATGGAGAAGCCTCAAGCTCTTATAGATTTGATGCACTCCATCTTTCTGACACACAATCCAACCTGGCCAGACTGCAGGCAGCTTCTTCTCACATTGTTTAACACTGAGGAGCGTCAGAGAGTAACACAGGCAGCTCTCCACTGGCTAGAAGCCCGCGCACCGGCAGACGCAGTGAATGCTCAGGCATATGCCCAGACCAAGATCCCAACTAGGACCTGGAAGATGCAACCCAGCTTCAGCGTTTGCAGAGGTACCGAGAGGCACTTCTGCAAGGGCTAAGTGATGGTAGAGAAAAGGCAATCAATATAAGAAAGATCTCAGAGGTGCTTCAGGGAAGTGATGAGAGCCCTAGCCAGTTTTATGAAAGACTCTGTGAGGCATACCAGCTTTTCACCCGTTTGACCCTGAGGCTGCTGAAAATCAGCGTATGGTAAATACATCATTTGTAGAACAGGCCTAGGGTGATACTAAGCAAAAGCTTCAGAAACTTGAAGGTTTCACAGGCATGAACACCACTCAGCTTATAGAAGTAGCCACTAAGGTGTATGTTAACCGTGACCAGGAGGCAAAGAAGGAAGCAGAATGGAGGCTTAAAAAGAAGGCTGATCTGTTAGCGGTAGCCCTCATACAAAGAGACACTAGCAATGTGAGAGGACATAGACACGGACATGGATGTGGAAGAGGTCAAGTTAGACAGGGATTCGAGAGCTGACCAAGATTAGAGAAGGATCAATGTGCACAATGTAAAAAGAAGAGACACTGGAAAGATGAATGTCCAGAAGGCAATGAGGGAAATGGCCAAGGCCGCAAAACAAAGAGGTCAACAACCAGGGGCTGCTGCGCCCTAGGAGAACCAGATACTGATCTAATCGGGCTGGCAAGGGCTGAAGGATATGAAGACTAGGACAGACTGAGCTCCTTCTCACTGGGCCTCCAGGAACCTATGGTCACATTAGAAGTTGGAGGCCAATTGATGGACTTTATGGTAGATACTGGGGCTGAACACTCAGTAGTAACTCGACTCATAGGGCCTCTATCCAAGAACTATACGACTATTGTAGGGGCTACTGGAGTCTCAGAAAAGAGGCCATTCTTCCAGTCAAGGAGGTGTGTTATAGGAGGATGAAAAGTTCAGCATGAGTTCCTGTACCTCCCAAATCGTCCAATTCCCTTGTTAGAGAGAGACCTACTTCAAAAACTGCAAGCACAGATTACTTTTGGCCTGCAGGGAGATATGACTTTAAAGCTAACTCACCTGAAGGCCATGCTGTTAATCCTTACCATCCCACAGGCTGAGGAGTGGAGACTTTATAGAAAGAAACTACAGGCACCAGTGCAGCCTCGTATGCAGGATGAAGAGAAATGATTATTTCAGTTAGTTAGAGAAATTCCTAGAGTATGGGCTGAAGACAATCCACCCGGGCTAGCTGTCAATCATGCACCAGTTGTAGTAGAATTAAAACCAGGAGCAACTCCTATTCAGGTTCGTCAGTACTCAGTTCCCCAAAAGGCTGTACGAGGCATCTGTAAACACTTAGAGAGGCTCTATAAACATAGGATTTTAGTCCAATGCCAGTCACCCTGGAATACTCCACTTTTGCCAATACGAAAGCCACTGCCAGGACCAGAGTCTGATGAGTATAGACCAGTGCAGGACTTGCGTGCCGTGAACAGGGCCATGGTAACCATCCATCCAGTGGTACCCAACCCATATACTTTAATAGGACTCATTCCAGCAAGTGCTACCTGGTTGACAGTCTTAGACTTAAAGGACACTTTCTTTTGTATCTGCTTGGCACCAGTTAGTCAGCCTATCTTTGCATTTCAATAGGACAAAGAAGCTAACACAGCTCACCTGGACTAGGGTCCCAAAAAGGTTTAAAAACTCTCCCACAATCTTTAAGGAAGCATTGGCCTCAGACCTCAAGGCCTATACCCCACCAAATGATAACTAACGGTGCCTTATTGTGGTACATGGATGACCTTCTTTTGGTGGCCCCAACCTGAGAGGACTGTTACCAAGGAACACGAGACCTCCTCCATCTCCTATGGAAAGCAGGTTACAAAGTATTGTAGGGAAAAAAAAGAGATCAGAATGTTACGGTGTCTATGTAGAAAGGGAAGACACAAGAGACTCCATTTTGAAAAAGAGCTGTACTTTAAACTATTGCTTTGCTGAGATGTTGTTAATTTGTAGCTTTGCCCCAGCCACTTTGACCCAACCTGGAGCTCACAAAAACATGTGTTGTATGAAATCAAGGTTTAAGGGATCTAGGGCTGTTCAGGATGTGCCTCGTTAACAAAATGTTTACAGGCAGTATACTTGGTAAAGGTCATCGCCATTCTCCAGCCTCAATAAACCAGGGGCACAATGCACTGCGGAAAGCCACAGGGACCTCTGCCCTTGAAAGCGGGGTATTGTCCAAGGTTTCTCCCCATGTGATAGTCTGAAATATGGCCTCGTGGTAAGAGAAAGACCTGAGTGTCCCCCAGTCCGACACCCGTAAAGGGTCTGTGCTGAGGTGGATTAGTAATAGAGGAAAGCCTCTTGCAGTTGAGATAGAGGAAGGCCACTGTCTCCTGCCTGCCCCTGGGAACTGAATGTCTCGGTATAAAACCCGATTGTACCTTTGTTCAATTCTGAGATAGGAGAAAAACCGCCCTATGGTGGGAGGCGAGACATGTTTGCAGTAATGCTGCTTTGTTATTCTTTACTCCACTGAGATGTTTGGGTGGAGAGAAACATAAATCTGGCTTCCGTGCATGTCCAGTCATAGTACCTTCCCTTGAACTTCATTATGACATAGATTCTTTTGCTCACATGTTTTTTGCTGACCTTCTCCTTATTATCACCCTGCTCTCCTACTACATTCCTTTTTGCTGAAATAATGAATATAATAATCAATAAAAACTGAGGGAACTCAGAGGCCGGTGCCGGTGCAGGTCCTTGGTGTGCTGAGTGCCGGTCCCCTGGGCCCACTGTTGTTTCTCTATACTTTGTCTCTGTGTCTTATTTCTTTTCTCAGTCTCTCATCCCACCCGACTAGAAATACCCACAGGTGTGGAGGGGCAGGCCACCCCTTCAAGTGTCTAAAAAGAAAGCCCAAATTTGCCATGAAGAGGTTACATATCTAGGTTTCATAGTGAGCCACGAGGAACGCCGGCTTGGCGATGAGCGAAAGCAAGCCATTTGTGCACTTCCAACCCCAACCACCCGACATCAAATAAGAGAATTTTTAGGGGCAGCAGGATTCTGCCACATATGGATTCCAAATTTTTCACTGATGCCTAAGCCGTTATATGAAGCCACAAAAGGAGGAGAAAAAGAGCCCCTCCTTTGGAAAACTAATCAGGAAATAGCATTCAAATAGATCAAGGAAGCTTTAACTCAGGCCCCAGCCTTAGGACTACCAGATATAACTAAGCCTTTCTTTCTATAAGTTCATGAACGAAAAGGAATGGCTTTGGAGGTTCTGACTCAAGTTATAAGATTATGGCATTGCCCAGTGGCATATTTATCTAAACAACTAGACTCCGTGGCACTAGGATGGCCTCCTTGCCTTAAGGCGTTAGCCGCTACCATCTTGTTAACACAAGAAGCTAACAGATTTACTCTGGGACAGCAGCTAACCATCTGGGAGCCACACTCAGTTATAACCTTGACAGATCAAAGAGGGCATCATTGGTTGTCAAACCCAAAAATGACTCAGTACCAAGGGTTTCTGTGTGACAACACTTACATTATCTTAGTGAACACCTTCAACCCGGCTACTCTGCTCCCTGTCGAACCGGGAGCTCCCCTCCATGACTGTCGAAACAGTAGATGAGGTATTCTCCAGTTGGAAAGATCTTACAGACGGACCCCTCAAAGACCCAGCTGTCGAGTACTTCACAGATGGAAGCAGTTTTGTGCTAGAAGAGGTTCGAACATGCCAGGTACACAGTAGTAACATTAGACTCAGTAGTAGAGGCTCAGCCTCTGCCTACTAGAACACCTGCTCAAAAGGCAGAATTAATAGCCCTGACAAGAGCACCGTTGCTAGCAAAAGACAAGAAGGTTAATATTTACACTGATTCTAAATATGCTTTTACTACATTGCACATACATGGAGCTATAAACAAAGAGAGAGGACTTTTAACAGCTGGAGGCAAAGAAATAAAGTACAAAGAAGAAATTCTACAGCTCTTACAGGCTGCAGAGGGTCCAGAAAAAGTAGCTGTAATGCACTACAGAAGGCACCAAAAGGCAAGGATGCCAGAAGCCAAAGGAAACAGAAAGGCGGACAGAGAGGCAAAACGGGCAGCAATGATTATGCTGCATTTTAAAGAGAAAGCCGAGGAAGTCTTAGCTATGCCTCTCCTCCCAGAACCTCCTCTCCAAGAGATCCCAAGTTATACTCCAAATGAAAGAGCCTGGTTTGCCCTGCGAGCTGGAAAATATATTAAAGGAAAGTGGTAGAAATTCTCTGATAGGAGTTTAGCTATTCCGGAGATGTTAGCTCCTAAGTTTGTGAAGCAAATTCATCAAGGAACTCATGTAGGAAAAACGGCACTAGAAACGCTACTAAAATGCCATTTCTATGTGCTGTGGCTCTCTGCCATCACTCGAGCCGTTTGTGAACAATGCTTAACCTATGCTCAGAACAACCCGCGACAGGGGTCCACTCGGCCCCCAAGAATTCAGGAAGTAGGAGCCATGCCTTGTGAAAACTTGCTTATAGACTTTACTGAACTGCCCCGTGCCAGGGGCTATCGGTATAGGCTAGTGCTTATCTGCACCTTTTCAGGATGGGTTGAGGCTTTCCCCACCAGGACAGAAAAGCACGAGAAATGACTAAAGTATTGTTAAAAGACATTATCCCCAGGTTTGGACTGCTTTTAACTTTAGGATCCAACAGTGGGCCGGCATTTGTAGCTGAAATAGTGCAAGATTTAACAAGACTGTTAAAAATAAAATGGAAGTTACACACAGCTTATCGGCCGCAAAATTCAGGAAAGGTGGAACACATGAACCAGACACTCAAGCAGCTACTGAAGAAGTGTTGCCAGGAAACTCACCTGAGATGGGATCAGGTCTTGCCTATGGTCCTCCTCCGAGTCAGGTGCACCCCCGCCAAACAAACTAGGTATTTGCCCTACGAGATTTTGTTCAGTCAGCCACCCCCAATCATAAGTCAAATTGAAAGTGATCACTTTTAATCACTAGAGGAATTGACTTTAAGAAAGCGAACGCAGGCTTTAGGAATAGCCATGCAAAATGTCCATAGTTGGGTACATGAAAGAATGCCTACAAGTCTGACAGACCCAGTACACACTTTCCTAAACCTGGAGACTTTGTCTGGGTTAAGAAGTGGAATCCAACTTCTCTAGGACCCATATAGGATGGGCCCTATACTGCAATCTTGTCCACTCCCACTGCTGTTAAAGTCGCAGGTGTTGTGCCTTGGATCCACCACAGTCGGCTGAAACCGGCAGCTCAGGACAAGTAGACCAGCCAGCAGGACCCAGATCATCCAGCCTGGCTGATCCTGAGACGAGACCAAGCTGCTGCTGAAGACAACAGCCCTGCTCTGGTCACTCTGGAAGCTGACCAGTCTACACATGGCTGCAGCTTGAGGAGACAACAAGCCCTGCTCTAGTCCCACAGCAGAAGCTGACTAGTCTACTCACGGCCGAAGCTTGAGGGCTCATCAAGCAAGTAAATGTAGTTAGAAATCTTAAGACTAGTAGATTTCCTTGTAATATTGTTTTTCTATTGTTCTGTCGCTGTACTCAACCTCTTCCCCCGGGTAAGGACTTCTTCTGCCCTTGCTAGGTATGGATAGCTGTACATTGCTTTGCTGTTGTTACCCCCTTCAACCTTGCTAAAAAGAAGTACCCATAGAAGGGTGTCCCCACTGTACACATACTACATGGTCAAGGAACAGTATAACTAGAACTCTATTGTACCAGACCTATTATGAGTGTACTGGAACCCACCTAGGAACTTGTACTTACAATCAGACCATCTATTCAGTCTGTGACCCAGAGGATGGCCAGCCTTATATATGGAAATGAAAACACAAAAATGGGTACACGAATGTTCATTGCAGGATTATTTATAATAGACAAACAATGAACACCCCAAATGTCTATCAGCTGATAAATGGATAAAGAAAATGTGGTATATTCATAAAATGGAATATGATTTAGCATAAAAGGAACAAAAATACTGATACATACTACAACACGGATGAACCTCAAAACATTCTGCTGAGTGTATGAAGTCAGACACAAAAGGCTGCACATTGTATGGGCCCATTTATCTCAATGTCCAGGATAGGCAAATCCATAGAGACAGAAAGGAGATTAATGACTGTCAGGGGCTACCGGATGGGGAAGGGGGAATAACTCTTATTAGGTACAGTTTTCTTTCGAGAGCTGAAAATATTTTGCAATTAGGTAGTGGTGAGAGTTGCGCAACTTTGCAGCTATACTAAAGATGACTGAAGTGTGTACTATAAAAGTTGAATTTTCAACTTTTTCATATAAAATCTACGATTTAGAAAGGTTGCACTGGAGGTTCTCAGCAAATCATAAGCAGAGCATGAGGGATTTTCACCCAAGGGAGCACATCACACAACCATCACCTCAATAAAAACTAGAACATTCCCAGAGCCCCAGAGGCACCCCTGGTACCCCCTCCCAGTCACTACTCTCACCCAAAGGGTAACAAAAGATGAGTTTGGGTGGTTTCTGAACTTCGTGAAATCACATGGAACATACTGTCTTTACGCCTGGCTTCTTTCATCCAACATGGTGCTATGAGATTCGTGCATATGGTTGTGTGTGCGTAGAGCATGCTCATCCCATTGTGGGACAGAATTCCATTTTGAGTTCCATTCTGTTCCATGCCACACTTTACTTGCTTATTCTACTACAGATGGACTTTTTGGTTTGTTTCTAGCTTTTGGCCATTAGCGTCACAAACATTTTTGTGCATGTCTTTTGACATACATATGTACAATATTCCTCTCGCATGTATTCTGCAGATTGCTGGGTTGTAAGATATGTGGACAATCAGGTTTAGTGTACAATGCCAAGTAGCTTTCCTAAGTGTCTATACCAGTTTATACTCCCAACTTCAAAATATCAGAGTTCCAGGGGAATGCTTTAAAGCCAAAGTGTAAAAAATATGTGGTCCTCATTATGTCAAGAAAGGCAGGACTGTGGCCATATGTTTTATAAATGAAAATAAATGAAGGAAGAGAGAAGACATAATCACCTGGAGAAATGCAGACGGTGTATTAGTCCGTTTGCAACACTGCTGTAAAGAAATACCCAAGACTGGGTAATTTATAAAGGAAAGAGGTTCAATTGACTTACAGTTCCACATGGCTGGGGAGCCTCAGGAAACTTACAATCATGGCTGAAGGCGAAGGGGGAGCAAGTACCTTCTTCACATGGTAGCAAGAGAGAGAGAGAGAGCAGGGGAAACTGCCACTTATAAAACCATCAGATCTTGTGAGAATTCATATGACAAGAACAGCATGGGAGAAACCATCCCCATGATCCAATCACCTCCCACCAGCTCCCTCCCTCGAGATGTGGGGATTACAGTTCGAGATGAGATTTGGGTGGGGACAAAGAGTCAAACCACAGCAGACAGAGAGCGCCAGCTGCAGGGGCCGCATGGCCCACACCTGCATCCTTGCGGCCTCTGCAATGTATGGTCTCATTGTGAAGGCAGACTTCCAGCTGCTTCTCCTGCCATGAAATTTTCTTGTGTTAACTGTGTCGCCAGATAGAGTTCATCTTCTGTGGAATACTCTTGCTGTGTTCAATTAGTCCCCAGGTGTCCAGCTCTTATTTTGGTTTCAGCCCCGTGATAGGAACTGTGAGTGATCCAGGAGGCCGTCAGATGATGTCTGCATCCAGGGCTCCAGTGGCAAGCACTGGACAGCAGAGCTGGCAGAGATTAAACAAGTATCTGTGCACTGATATCTACCGATCTCACATGTCCCACGTTTCTCAGACTATAAGATGGAGAACAGGCAATAAAATGTCCCACCAAACTCAGGATGAAAACAGTAGGCTAGATTCATAGGCAGAGGAACAACCTTTATCAATGTGCTCTGATCCTGTCTTTGAAAATTTCCTGGGAAGGAGATGTCTTCCTTCTTTCTTCTTTTGTTTCTCCCCCAGCCCAGTGCAAAGCTGAAAAAGATGTCTTTCTAATGTCTCTGCACCAACATTGGGTCATGGTTGGTTGAGAGTCCACCTGTGCCTGGTGCCACGACAAGTGGTTTCATGGACACTGTCACACAATCTGCCTGAGGCAGGAGTTCTCATCTCCATCCTATAGGTGAGGGGACAGAGGACAACTATTAGGACAACCCATTGAGATTCCTCAAACGAGGACACTTGAACACACACTTCCAGCTCTATTAAGGGGAAATCTACACACAATAAAATTCATCCATTATTCATGTATAGTATGATGAGTTTTAGGGAATTTGAGCCTAGGCCTTCAGGATAACCATCCCAAAACCATGTGCACTACTAAACATCGATTTCAGCCATTTCTAGGCAGAGAGGACCGTGGCAGTTGCATCTTGGATAAGTAACTGACCTTGGGATAGTCGGGACTCCAAATGAAATACTGGAAATGTGAAGTTTTCTCGAGGCCATCAGACATCTCAAAATGTAGGCACCGTTAATTACGATAATTGAACTAGGACCTTCTCACTTTTAAGACAGAATCATGTGGTTCAGGAACCCAGTGAATCCCCTGCATTCCACAGCCTCCAATTCCATTTTGCTTGTCATTGAAGACTTCTGTTCCAACACTTACAGGTTTGCTACATTTCTCGTGCGTAGCATTTTGGCAGCCTGATCCAAGACCTTTTGGTGGCATATTTGAGAAATGTAAAATATTTTAACTGGAAAACTTAGGCCTCAGGTTTCAATTTCAACACAATGCAGAACTACTTCTTCACCTGACATTCACTTTGCATAATGAGAAATCTCTAGAACCCTAATGGGCACACAGAAGGATCAGTTCATCTGGAAATAACAAACCCCCTGTTCTAGGAGTTTCACTTGTTGACTGGCCATAATGTCTTTTGGGCTGTCGATTATAACTAAAAAACTTCTTGAAATGGTGCAGCTGAAATGACTTACCTACATGGTGAGTCTAGCCCTCAGCCTCTTCACATCCCCACCTCTGCTGGCTACTCCAGTTATTTTGCAGAACTCAGAGCTGGTCATATCTCCCTCTCTTCCCATTCCACCGCCATGACAACACCTTCAGGAAATTCTCCCAGGCCACAGGTATAAATCCCAAACTCTGAAGGTTGCACATAACACACTTCACTTGGCAATGCCAGCTTGGTTTCCAACACCTGTTCTTGTCATCTCAGACTCTGAGCATGATGCCCCCTCCAAATAACCAGGTTTTTTTTATATCTCAGAACTATGCACAGGCTGCAACGTCTGCCAAAAACACTCTCCCCTATTTTGAAGTGTCTGTCTTTGTTAAGTTGGCCTGACTCTTCCTGCTGCAGTGTACATTGCTCTGGTACAGACACTGATGACATAGTATTGTCATGAGGGGTCCCCACAGCGCAGGACAGGACATGGTCCATAGTGGGTGGCCAGCATATGTGACCGTAAGGGGCAGGAGGACTTGGGGTGATTCCCGAGGCAATCGCGCTAGTGGCCGTGCTAGTGTGGGTGGTTCCATTTCACTATGACTTGGGCCGTTTCCTTCTCCTGGTTTCCCTGTTTGCTTTGAGAGAGGGTGGTGGGAAGGGAGGACTGCCAGGTGGAATGAATTGGATTTAGGAGCGGTGGCTCTGGCCTTGAGCATAGCATTATACTTTTCCAAATGTCTGATAATAATAAAAACAGTTACTGAAAACACGGTCAGCTCCGGCTCATTAACAAGACGGCATGTTTCACAGCTGCCTGGGCAATCATGTGCCACTCAAATAGAATGATGTAATGTGAAATGAGCTTACTTTCAAAGTCACAAATTCATTGTTTAGGAAGGCCCAGACTCTTGCCAGAGTTTTTACTGGGTTATCTATTATTCATTCAAGACCAAGTAAACAGAAAGTTGGACGCAGGGCCACATGCTGGGATGGCGCAGCCCAAAAGCCAGGAGGTTCTGCCCAGTAGGAATAACCGTTCAACAGAGTCCCAGATGTCAAGCAGCCAGGTGCAGGGCTTCCAGCGGGGAAGGAGGCCTCCAAGCACAAAGGTCAGGTGGGTAAGAACCCAGCTGGGAGGGGGAGCATAGGGCCCCGGAGCTGTCCAAGTCACCCTAGAGCTGCAGGGAAGAGGTTGGGGTGGAGGCTGGGGCCGGAAGGGATGGGCATCAAGAGGTGAGGAAGCTAAGAATGTAGCTGAAATTGTTGCACATTGTTTAAGGTTGTTAATATGGAATCTGCTTTTTTCAAAATAATCAAGAGACCACATGGTTATCTTCACCTCTCAGGGTCTTGCTCTGTCACCCAGACTGTAGTGCAGTGGCATGATCACGGCTCACTGCGGGCTTGAGCTCCTGGGCTCTTCACAGGAGCTCAAGAAATACTTGTTGAATGGCTAAATCATCTCACTCTTCACAGGAAAGTAAACTCATAAGTAGATGCTCTTTCTAGCCTCCATTTCCTAGGGGGAGATAAGCTCACGGCTCCAAGGCATTACTCTCCACATATGCAGAGCCAGAACTCCAGGCCAGCCCCTCAGCTGCAGAGGCTGTGTGTGTCCTCCCTGGCTGTCCAGCTGCTCAGGGACGTTTTGCCCATACTTTTGTGTCTGACAGGGATGAGGTGAAGCAGGGCTGCCTCAACCCTTGGGAAGATGCGGAGTTTAAGGAGCAGCTGTCCTCCTTAGTTGAGAGATTCAGAGCCTGGGACTCCGGGCTGGAGAGCAGGCAGGCGACAGGCATGTTCTGCTGGGCCCTTTGGCTGGGGACTGGGGTCCATCCTGGAAGGAACCAGACCTGTAGAGGTGAGTGCTGGGCGGTGGTGCCAGGCGGTGGTGCAGCGCCCCTGGTGGGCTTGTTTGACGGAATTGCCCTTGGAGGTGCCACCCCTTGGTTGTCTTTGAGCATAACGTCTACTGGAAGCCTGTTGAGGTCACCCTTCTCCCAGGGCCCTAAGGAGATGCTCACGTCCTGTCCTAGTTTCAGGGCCACTTAGGTTTTCCTCATCTATTGAAAACTGCATTTCTTTTTCCACTGGCAACTGACAGCCCACCGGCGTCCCTTTCCTGCAACAGACGTCTAGGTCTGGAATCACAGGAGTCTCTGGCTTAGCCCCGCTCTTGTCTCTGTTTTCTGTTCCTGGATGGTTTTATTTCTTCCCTCCATCCACTTTCCACCTGAGAGCTGGCCTGGTATTATTTATGGAGCAATGTGAAATGAGTTCAAAAATCAGTGAGTTTAAAAATGGGAGGCCTCATGTTCATTAGGAAAGGTCTCTCCTTTCTTTCTTTGTCATGTCTTTCACATCCCATGGGGCTTCTGCAGTTGGTCCTGAACCAGGGAGCACTGGTCTGGAGGACTGAGAGTGCCCTGACCCTTCCAGGACCTCGCCCCTTGAGCCTGCCCCTCCCGTGAGGGTGATGGCTGAGAGGGGCTGAGGAAGAACCAGATGACAGGCAAGGGCTGCCCGGGCCGAGAAGGGCTGAGGAGGAACAGGCCACAGGTTGGGTGTGTGGTCAACATGGGAGCCAGCACTGAGCTGCCCCGCAGCTCCCAGGGGAAGTGGCCACCAGCCCTGGACTTCTGCCAAGGAGTCTCCCGGAAGGACAGCAGGGCGGGTGGGCGGTCAGGGTCAGGTCCACGCTTGTGCTGGTCCGTCCTGGAGCTCGCCATCCCGGGAGGGGTGCGCCACCGTGGGTGCAGGGGCATGTCCAGGCCTCAGCTGGTGACTTCCAGACAAAAAATGCCCAAGCAACTCTGAGGCCTGAGGGCAGCCTACGGGGAGCGGCCACCCGCTGAGTGTGGGAGCAACCACCGTGGGGTCGCAATTTAGGGGGCTTCGTTCTCCCGGACGCCAGATTCTGCGACCTGAGAGTCTCATGGTGGGGCTGGCCTGCCTTGAATGTGTGTGCATCCCATATTGAAAAAATGGATGGAGGGCCGGGCCCGGTGGCTCATGCCTGTAATCCCAGCACTTTGGGAGGCTGAGGTGGGCAGATCACTTGAGGTCAGGAGTTGAAGACCATCCTGGCCAACATGGTGAAACCCCGTCTCTACTAAAAATACAAAATTAGCTGGGTGGCACACTTCTGTAATCCCAGCTACTCAGGAGGCTGAGGCAGGAGACTCGCTTGAGCCCGAGAGGCGAAGGTTGCAGTGAGCCGAGATCATGCCACTGTACTCTAGCCTGGGCGACAAGAGCAAAACTCCGTCTCAAGAAAAAAATAAATAAATAAAAATAAAAACATGGAGAAGGCAAAGCACTCAGGCTTGGTTTTCTGCAGGTGGGAAAGGACCACACAGAGGCCAGACCCCTTCAGACGTGCCTGCTCCCCACACAGCCGGCTTGGGAGCCAGGTGGCCATTTTCCCATGTGAAGGAGAATATTTCCCTCCTCATTCAGGGCATCTGGGGTTGGGGGCCAGGACCTCCTCTGTCCCTGCTTCTCCTACATCCATCTGTCCAATGGATGCCAAGCTTCGACTGGTTGCCAGGCATGGGGCTGGGCCCCAGGAGAACCGGAGCAAGGACGAGACCTCTTCTCCATCCTGGTGAAGCTCTGTTCCTGGGCGGGTTAGTCAGGTACTCAGGACACCACAGAGGGCAGTGGGTGGAGGGCTTCAAAGTCATGCCCTCGGTAACTGGCCAGCAAGTGTTGCCACCAAGAGCCGTAAGGGGGCTTCAAAACGCTGGCACCTGCTACTGAAAGGTTTGTGGAATCTTCTTGAGATTAAAAATGAAAATGCTGCTGGCCTCTGTCTCTACACATTCTCTAGTGACTCTGTGTCTTCATCAGGGCAAATCATTCCTTGCAATAAATATCTTGAAGGTGTTCAATGAGCTGGCTAGTTAGAGCTTCTCTGGAGCCCTGTGTTCGAGTGGGACACTTGACTTTTGCTGTCAGGCCCCTCTTGGCATTGGGGTCACAGGGAGCAGTGATTCTCACACCCTACTGTGCAAAGGAATCCCCTGGGGCTTGTTGGAATGCAGACTTGCGCTCGGTGGCTCTGGGTGTGGACGAGGACCCTCTGCCCGCAAGCTCCCAAGTACTTGTCTGTTCGCGGCTGCTGGGCTGCAGGTCACCCCTTGACCAACAAGAGCTTAGACGGAGGCTTCTCCGCCGTGGCTGTACTGCTGTCCTGGACGATCTCTGTCTGTTGTGGGGGCTGTCCCGTGCACTGTGACATGTTCAGCAGCATCCCAGCCCTCCACCCACAGGGTTACAGTAGCACCCCCACCCTCAACCATGACAACCAAAAATGTCCGCAGACGTTTTCGTTTGCATCCCCTGGTGGACTGGGGCATGGGGGCGGGGTGTTGAGAACCACCGATTAGTAGACTTTCAAAGACTCTCCCAAATCCAGTTTTTTTGTGATCAAAAGTCCACATCAAATCCTCTTAGTTGGAAAACACGCATCACTCTAAGGCTGAAAAAGATGACTCCACAGCTGAGCTCTAAATGTCCTCTTAAAAATATAAAATCCCAGATCAACCTGTCTTCACAATGGCCGCATGTAGCAGCCCCTCCACAAAGACTGGGTACAGTGGCATTTGCACCTTCTAAGGGACCCTGGAGTGCGGCCTGACTGAGAGAGTGGATGGGGAGGGGATGCCGGGTCTCTGGCTCAGGTGTTGCGTGTTGGGAGCCCACTAGGTAGAACAAGTGTCCTCCACCCAGCTCAGCTCCGGAGCCTTCCTCGAAAGGCAAGAGGTCAATTCATCTTCTGCCTCAGCAGAATCGTCCCTTCCTTTACAAGGGGACTTTGCTCCATGATCTGACAGACCTGGGAAGTGTGTGGAGGTTTTACACGATGACTCAGTGCACATCAGAGTCAGAGACAGGACGGCCGAACACTGATTCCAGAGATAGGCATGTGGGCCCCGCCCGGGAAGGAGAGCTGCCTGGGAGATGGGGAGCTGCAAGAGAGCACCCAGAGGGGTAAATTTGCACAAGGCCACTGCGTACACTGGTACGTGCTTCCTTGAAAATGTGACATTTTCAGGCAGGGCGCGGTGGCTCAAGGCCGGGCACGGTGGCTCACGCCTATAATCCCAGCACTTTGGGAGGCCAAGGCGGATGGATCACGAGGTCAGAAGTTCAAGACCAGCCTGGCCAACATGGTGAAACCCCATCTCTACTAAAAATACAAAAATTAGCGGGGCGTGGTGGTGCATGCCTGTAATCCCAGCTACTTGGGAGGCTGAAGCAGGAGAATCGCTTGAACTCAGGAGGTGGAGGTTGCAGGGAGCCGAGACCGTGCCACTGCACTCCAGCCTGGCAACAGAGTGAGACTCAGTCTCAAAAAAAAAAAAAAAAAGAAAATGTGACATTAGTTTTCATTGCTCTGAAAGAAAAGCGAGACTGTTTCAACAGTTGGGTAAATTACTGTGCTTCCAGTAACAAAGACAGGTTTTCAGATGCAAAGTGACATGTACAACTACTGTGGAGAAATGTCCATCAGACGGAGTGCTAAGTGGGGACAGTGTGCCACCACTGAGCCAAGAATGGAGGAGATGAATGTGTGTGTGATATGGAAAATAAATGGAAGGAGAATTCAAAACCTTTCAAATTTGTTTTATATAAGGAGTAGAGAAGAATAATGAAAACAAGCACAAAAGTTAGACTTTTTTTTTCTTTTTTGAGACAGGCTCTTGCTCTGTAGCCCAGGCTGGAGTGCAATGGCACAATCACAGATTACCGTAGCCTCCACCTCCCAGCTCAATTGATCCTCCCACCTCAGCCTCCTGAGTAACTGGGACTACAGGCACACATCACCTCACTTGGCTAATTTTTGTATTTTTTGGAGAGATGGGGGTTTTGCCATGTTGCCCAGGCTGGTCTCAAACTCCTGGGCTCAAGCAATCCTCCTGCCTGAGCCTCTCAAAGTGCTGAGATTACAGCTGTGAGCCACCACACCCAGCCTAGACTTTTTTACATCTGTTTTCTCGCATAATTGGCTTTGGAGTCATGAATTTATAAAAAATTAATAGAACTTGTTTTTGTTTTTTTGAGATGGAGTTTCACTCTTTGTTGCCCAGGCTGGAGTGCAGTGGCGCGATCTCGGCTCACCACAACCTCCACCCCCCAGGTTCAAGCGATTCTCCTGCCTCAGCCTCCCAAGTAGCTGGGATTACAGGCATGTGCCACTACGCCCAGCTAATTTTGCATTTTTAATAGAAACGGGCTTTCTCCATGTTGGCCAGGCTGGTCTCAAACTCCTGACCTCAGGTGATCTACCTGCCTTAGCCTCCCAAAGTGCTGGGATTACAGGCATGAGCCACAGCGCCGGGCCCTAATAGACTGTTTTTTAGAGGAGTTTTGGGTTCACAGCAAAATTGAGGGGAAAGTACAGAGAATTCTCACATTCTCCCACTCTTCAACCCCCAAAACACCTTCCCCCACTGTCAACGACCTGCACTGGCCATACATTGTCGGACTCCATCAACCACGATAAACACATCATTGTCAGCGGGAGTCCGTCATTTACATGCAGACTAGCCCTTGAGTTTAACAAATGTATAATGACACATATCCACCATTATAGTATCATATGGAGTAGTTGCCCTAAAACCCTGCTGAGATGGTGCTGGTATTCTTATTCTGAGGTTGTCAGGTATCTAACGTGGAATGAAGCAATAGGTCATTAGTGATATTCTATCATTCCTGATGTCCCAAAAGCCGTGAATATCAGCGTGAGAGAAAGGGGATACAGACGGAAGGTGGAAGAGGAACCGCTGCCATCTTGGATATGAGTTAGAAGTGTGGTTAGGAGCTCCTGGGCTAGGAAGTACTTTATTTATTTATTTGTTTGTTTGTTTGTTTATTTATGAGACAGAGTCTCACTCTGTACTCACCCAGGCTGGAGTGCAGTAGCGTGATCTCGGCTCACTGCAACCTCCGCCTCCTGGGTTCAAGCGATTCTCCTGCCTCAGCCTCCCTTGTAGCTGGGATTACAGGTGCCTGTCACCATGCCCAGCTAATTTTTGTATTTTTAGTAGAGATGGGGTTTCACCATGTTGGCCAGGCTAGTCTTGATTGAACTCCTGACCTCAGGTGATCCGCCCACCTCAGCCTCCCAAAGTGCTGGCATTACAGGCATGAGCCACTGTGCCCAGCAGAAGTACTTTATAGATGTGTATTTCCTAGCTCTTCCACTGTAAAAGCTTAAAATCCATGACCAACCCTCAGCCATGTCCAGAGGGTGGCTTGCAAATTTCTAACTTAAAAAAACCCCCTGGAATCCTTGGAGAATGAGCTGATTCCATGTTTGGGCCAGGAAATGTACAAGATGAGCCACAACATCATATCCAATAGCAAAGATGTTCTCAAAGACTGTGAGGGTCAAGACAACAGGGCCCAGTAGCAACCTGGAGAAGCACACACCGGCCAAGACGAGACCATTTAAACATCAATAAAAATAAGTCAGTGCAACACATCAGATACGTTTAAATCAATTAAGTTCATTCTGGCACGAAAGGGAAAAACAAACTCGTCACTGCGGGAGATGCAGGGAACTGACTCATTGTTTTGCAAACTGGAAATTAAAAGAAAACACTTACGTATTCATGCTGTGGTGGCTGTACTGGTGGCTGACCAAATGGTATAGATAAGGGGATTTTTTCCTTACCAGGAGCATTCCAGTTAATAGGTGAAGGCAGACATCACGATTTTGTAGCCTGTAATCAATGAAATCGAACATCATAACAGCCCCACAAGACATATCTGCCTTTAGATGGAAGATTACAGCACCATCTATCAATATTATCAGTAATCTCGCCAAAAAAATCCAAATCTAAATTTGGTGAAGCCTCTAGATCCAATGATCCATTTATAGGAAATACAAAGGAGAGAGGAAAGTGTTAAGAGACAGACTCTGGCCAGGCGTGGTGGCTCACATCTGTAATCCCAGTACTTTGGGAGGCTGAGGCAGGTGGATCACTTGAGGTCAGGAGTTCAAGACCAGCCTGGGCAACATGGCGAAACCCCATCTCTACTAAAAATACAAAAAATTAGCCAGGTGTTGTGGCGCACACCTGTAATCCCAGGTACTTGGGAGGCTGAGGGAGGAGAATCGCTTGAACCCGGGAGGCAGAGGTTTCAGTGAGCTGAGATTGCACCACTGCACTCCAGCCTGGGGACAGTGTGAGACTGTCTACGAGAAAAAAAAAAGAGAGAGAGAGACAGACTCTAGGGATGCCATCTGGGAAACCCAGCAGGAAACCCCGAAGGAAAAACACCCCATTTTCTTCAACAAATACATTTCAGGGAACTCAAAGGTGGAGGGGAAATTTATAGGTTAGAAAAGGCTTAAAAGAAATACCTACTCAAAATATGAGTACTGATGAGAAAACTGTGAAAAAAATTACTATGGCATCAAAAGACAGTTGGAGATAACACTGACTGGAGGTTTGATGACATCAGTGGATAACTGTGAATTTTAAAAGTCAAGCGAGTATCCTTATCTCTTAGAGAAATGCCTTGAAATATGAGGGGATGGAATGAGGTGGTGTCTAGGATGTGCTTCAAGTCACACAGCAGAGGAACTAGCCAAGCATTGATCATGGCTGAAGCTGGATGGTTCATGGGGAGGCATTGGGCAGTTTTGTCTCTTTTTTATTTCTATTTATTTGTTTCATTATGTGTGTGTGTGTGTGTGTGTGTGTGTGTGTGTGTATACATATATAATATAGTTACACATATATATACACATATATTATACATATATACATATATATATATATTTTTTGAGATGGAGTCTCACTCTGTTTCCCAGGCTGGAGCGCAGTGGTGCGATCTTGGCTCACTGCAACCTCCGCCTCTTGGGTTCAAGTCATTCTCCTGCCTCAGCCTCCTGAGTAGCTGGGATTACAGGTGCACACCATCATGCCTGGGTAATTTTTGTGTTTTTAGAGACGAGGTTTTGTTATGTTGCCCAGACTGATCTCGAACTCCTGACCTCAAGTGATCTGCCTGCCTCGGCCTCCCAAAGTGCTGGGATTACAAGCATGAGCCACCATGCCCAGCCTTTCTTTTTTATATGTTTGAAATTCTGTATAATAAAAAAATAGAGGAAATGCATAGATCAGAGTCAAGCACATATGAGAATCCTAAGCTCCAGAAGAAGTGGTGTCTTGGGCTTTGTTTGGAATTTCCTTTCTGGATCGCTCACTATGTACCAGCTTTGTGATTTATAACCAGGAACGGAAGCAACAAAGAGCATTTAGGATGGCTTGAATTTGGAAGAATAGCATGATGGTTACACATGCAGACTCTGAAGCCAAGCTCATAGTTTCAAACCCCAGCTCCTAGCTGTGTGACCTTGGTCCCACTGTATACAATTGTATAGCCAATTTTCTTCCACATACCTCATCCTTATATGATGGTGACATCAGCTGGGCCAAGAAAGACTTCATTTGTTGAGTGCTTTGCTTTCATGCATGTGGAATTTCAGATTTGAATCCATTTCCAAGTGGAGTTATTAAGTAGACAGGGAGACTAACAGTCCGGAGTTTGAAGAGGTCTGTGCCAGAGATGTACATTTCAAATTCATCACCTAGATGATGGATGTCAACATACAGTTAGCATAGACATGGAGGGGGGTCATCACATAGATGGTGAATGTAGTCATATAGTTGGCATATAGATGATGGATGTTGTCACATAGATGATCTATGTCATCACATAGATGATGGACATCACTCTGTCGCTCAGGACGTCAACGCTGTCATCACCTTGATGATGATCATCATCATGTAGTCAACACATAGACAATGGACATCATCGTGGTCGTTACATAGACAATTGACATCTTCATGGTCATTACGTAGACAATGGACATCATCGTGGTCATTACATAGATAATGGACGTCATCACAGTCATCACATAGATGATGGATGTCATCATAGTCATCACACAGATGAAGGACATCGTCGTATGGTCAGCATATGAATGAGATCATTCAAGCCACAAGAAGTGAGCGTTGCACCCAGGGGACCCGGGAAATAAGACACTGGGCAGCAGCACAGGAGGAACCCCTGTGGTGTGAGGGAGGAAGGAGAGGTGTGTCCTTCCCGGCAGCCAAGTGAGGACGGTGCTCAGGGCGGAGCAAGCTTTGGCTCCCACACTGCTGCTGGTCAAGTGAGGCAAGCACTGAGGACAAGGCCCTGGAAAACTTGGCAAGAGCATCACGGGTTGATGGGGGAATCCGTGCTCCACGCATAGCCGTGACGGCTGTGACCTGGCTGGACACTGTGATGGTGAGGGGCATGGAGCTTTGGCAAGGACTCACTTTCTGTCAGAGGACAGGAGAGTTGAGGTCATAGGAGCATGGTCGGAACGTGGGTACCTCAGAGCGGGCCCCCAGGACCAGACAGGCTAGCTTTCTGGGTGCCTTGTTGGGATTGAGGACCTCCCACCCATCATGGCCACGGCCTCTCCCTAGAGGTGCATGGGAGGCACAGGTACAGGCTGCTGTTGGGGCTCTGGGGAAAGAAGGGACCCACGACCTGCACCTTATCACCCACTGCCTGCCACACTAAAGTAGAAGCTTCCTCTGACTCCAGGATTCCCAAGGAGGTGTGTGGTGGCCCAGGAAGAGCAACTGCCATGTGGACAACTCAGGAGGAATGGAGAGCAAATCCCTTCTGTCCCACATACACTCAAGGAAGCTGACCCGCTCAAGTAATGGAGGTCGGGGGAAGGGGGTTGAGAACCTGGACTCCACAGGCAGGGGGTCTACACTGGCACTGGTGAAGCAGGCAGAGCCTCAGGCACCTCCGGCCGCATCATTGTGTCCCGGGGACCCAGCAGCCCAAAAGGGCTACACGGACTTTCCTTGCAGAGCCACACAGAGGATTTCTTTCCTCTACTCAGTTCTAAAACAACGTCTCTTGCTCCCTTCAGTAAGGCGACCCCTCCCATGGCACAGCTAATATGTGTGAGTAGAAAAATAACAGTGACACAATCCACACAAGATCCATGGAGCAGATTTATCTTAGGATGGAATTTTTCAATGACACGTGTTAATGTGTGTGAACCTCCTTTGGTGGAATTTCACGGGGTGAAATAGAAAAGGACAAGGAAATTCTGAGAGGTGCACGAGGCTTTTTGGGCATGGTAATGAGACATCCTTTCTCAAAGCCCACCCTGTCTCCAGGTAAATCTTCACCAAGACAGTAGGAATAATGGGTGAAGGAAGTTACAGTGGCTCAAAACTACGGTTCTCACTCCACCAGGGGCTCTTACTATCTGCAAAGTAGAGCCCATTTGGGGGTGGGAATTGGAGGAAGTGGGTGCTCTGGACCAGCTGTGCAGAGCTCCTGTTGCAGAGACAGCTGTGGACCCAAGGCTCACGTGGGTGGGCAGAGCAAAGATGGCAGAAACCTGTTGCTCAATTTTTATCTTAAGGAAAATGAGCTCTGAGTCACGTTGAAAATCTGGTAACTCTAGGTGCTCCTACACAGTATTTACCGGGAACCAAAACTTCTAAAGTTGAGGCAACCTCAACTATGTGGGTCAAGAAACAACAGGAAACTCAGAAGACAGAAAATGCTGGAATGGAGCCAGTGAAGTGTCGATGGCAGTTATCTGGAAGGGATGAGGGTTGGAGGACTGTGGATATTTAAATTCTCATTTCTATTTTTTGGTATTTTATACACATTCTACTAGGAGCAAATAGTGCTTTTATAATTAGAAAAAAGTACAGAGGCTATTTTTTATAAAGAGAGGAGGGGGAAAGTTTACTGGATTTGCCTAGAACATGAGATTGTGACTGGGTGGAGATAACAGTGATAAATTCCTCTATTTTAAGCTACACAAATCTAGGAAGTCTACAACATCTAGAAATGTAGGAAATCGGAGTGTAGAGCCTGGCCATGGATTCTGTTCTTCATGTTTGAAATGTGCACGTTGAAAGAAAATTATCATTTTAAATTCTGTACAGTGTGTAACTTTAAAAAAGTACTGTATCTTCTAAACTTCAAACATTTTTTTAATCTACTTTTGAAAGTGTTTCCCTTTTTCTCTTGGCTGCCAGGATGCTCAGAGCTAAATTTGGGGCTTAGTCTGTATTGTTAAGGATAACAAACAACCATCTCTTCCCTTCTTTCCTTAATGTCCATTATTTTATGCTTGCTTGAATGATTTTATTGATTATGTTTTTATTACAAGCCCCTACAATCCTTTTGGCTGGGGATATAGTAATAGTAAATGATGTTATTTGACAGAGAAACTGTGAAGTCAAGAGAAACAGGGATTTTCCTCAGTTATGGGTGTCAAAGCTGGAGCTCAGATGGTGTTGGACTCCACACTTGGGCCACTGAGCTAGAATCCAGCCTCTCAGACTCCTCATCCAGTGCTCCTTTCACACTGCCAAGCTAAGCAGAGGACATTGGGTGGCTGTCTGTGACAGCTTATGACAGATGGTGAGAGAGGGGCCATATTACCTCCCACTCACTTCCGGTCATGCCCACCTGGAAAGGTGGGAAGTCATTTACCAGGCAATGTGGGCCCTGCTGTTGCCCCACTCCTGGAAGCACCTGCTCAGAACCAGTCGGACGGGGCTGCCACAGCCAACGGTGACAATATTTCCCAATCTTGGTTTCAGAGCAAGGCTAGTTCCTTCAGAAACTTGTTGTCCTCATCCTGTCTTGGTTTGGTGATGTTTCTGTTCAAACCTCTGTCTCTCTAAGGATCTGAGTCTCCCCACATGTCCTGGAGCACCATGGCCCCATCCCCTTGTGTGGCATGGGGTCTGGCTGTGTTAGTCCGCTCGGCTGCCACAACACAGCTCCACAGGCTGTGGTTTAAGCAGCAGACGTCACTGCCTCACGGTTCTGGAAGCCGAAGTCCGAGATTAAGGCGTCAGCAGGGGCAGCTGCTTCTGAGGGCCATGAGGAAGGGATCTGTTCCAGGCCTCTCTCCTTGGCCTGTGGACGGCCATCCTCCCCCTGTGTCTTCACTCACCTTCCTGCTGTGTGAGTCTGTGTTCAGATCTCCTCTTCTCACAAGGATACCAGTCCTGTTGGATTGGGTTCCACTCTAGTGACCTCATGTTGACTTAATTACCTCTCTAAAGACCCTACTCCAAATCCAGTCACTTTCTGAGGTGCTGGGGGTTAGGACTTCAATACACGAATTTGGTGGGGGCACAGTGGAGCCTGCAGGACTTGCCCCTATCTCTGCAGAGGCCGGTGTGGCCTGGAGGTGCTGAGCACCTTGGCCGACCAGGCCCCAGGTCAGAGGAATCTCCCCGTGTACCGTGTGACTACGCCAACTTTGCCCATCTCTCTGCCCATGGTTTCTTCACAGGAAGCCACCGCCCACATGGCAGCATTGTTCTGAGGATTAAGGGTCACACTGGAAAGTGCTGGCACCTGAGAGCAGCGTAGGAAGAGGGTGTGGTGAGTGTCCCTGACACAGAGGGATCAGCCTTTGTGAGGAGGAGGCCCTGCCTGCTCTCCTCCTGAGCTGATGGGTCAGTCACACCAGGACAAAGGTCTGCCCGGGGCTGTGTGGGTTCCTCCTTCCTGAGCTGCACACCAGCATCTGCTGAACACCTTCTGGAGCTCAGCTCAGTGTCTCGTCCAGAGACACTGGTTCCCTTGGCTTCTCAGCAACTCTCGGATCTGGGCCTGGGTCTAACCTCAGCGGTGGTCTTGCCCATTTCTAGGGCCTCACAATTCAGCCTCATGTCTTCACCTGTGGCTCTTTTGCAAGGCTCAGAAAGCTCTAGGGTCAGTTCCAGATGACTCCCACCAGCATGCCAGTAGGAGCCACCACCCCCTCTCAGCCAGCGCCACCATATTCCAGGCAAATTCCAACTGACACAGACTTCAAGGAACGATTGTAGCCGTTGTTCTTGCTTCTTCCAAATGGAAGAGTGCATTATTGGGGTCCCTTCTAGCACGCATTTCATTCCCCACCGTGAGGCAGGGGATGCCCGGGCTTTCCCCTGACTTGCAGGGGGAGAGACAGGAGTGAAAATGAATCTGCTCAAGTCACTTGTGGACAAGAAGGTGCAAGCTCCAGACTCCGGTGCTGCGTCCTCATCCGGTGTATGCGCAGCATGACAAGCCCGGACCAGCAGCAGATATCAGGCCAGCCTGTGCCAGGAAACCTCCTACATCAAGGGTGCAGGCTCAGCCCACTGGGGTGGGCAACCTGCGCCCCTTCCATCACTGCGTCTGGCTAAGCGGGCAAGTAGACAGCCACCCAGGTGGGGCAGGTGATGGCTGTACCCCTGCTCCTGGCTGGAGTTGCTAACCGAGGACCCTTGGGAGCCACCCTCTGCCACCAGGGATGAACCGCAGCCAAGGAGGCAGGACAGGGGCCCAGTCTGTGTGGTCTCTGGAGTATTTCTCAGAGAGCATTTGTGGGACCCTGGCCGCGGGCCAGGCTCTAGAGGAGCAGGTGTGTCTGTCAGTGGATTTGGGGAAATAGTCATTAGCAGGGACCTGTCTTAGAAGCAAAGTTCATCCAAGAGGCTTTGAGAGGTACTAAAGGAGAAGCTGCTCAATCTAACTTCTTATAACAAGGAAACCCAACCTCCTTTTAATTTTTTGTCCCTCAATGTCCCTGTTAACATCCCATGTCCTTGGAACTGGTAATGTTCCCTAGAACGCCTGTGGGAAAACATGGGTCAAAGGGAGTATTGAGCAAGAATTAATGCTGAATTCTCTCCTCTTCCCTTATTTGTGCTGAGTCCTGGTTAAAAAATAATAACAATAATAACATTTACTCAGGGCTTACCATGAGCCAGTCGGCAGTGCTTAGCCCATTTCCTCCTCGGGACCGCTCCAGGTGCAGCAGACTATTACCATCTCATTTGACGCATGAGGGAACTGAGGCTAAGGAAAGTCGAATCACTTGCCTGAGGTGAAACAAGCAGTAAGTGTGGGATGAATGAAGACACAACTCACCCTTGGTGGCTTAATTTCACGTCTTTTTCTGTTTGCTGAAGTCTAAATAATATTGTTAAGTTGTACCAGGCAGATTCCACAGGCTGTGAGTGCAGAGTGCACTGTAACCAGAACATTCGTCAGAACACCTTCAAAGACCACCACGAACCCAATACAGATGCCAAGGCTTAAAGGAGATGAAATAATGAGCTTTGCCGGTTCCCTCGTGTTATTTTGTGGAGAGCAGTTCGGTGATGCTGGTCAAATTTAAAATGTGCCTTCCCTTTGACCCAGCAATTCCGCTGCTAAGAATGTACCCTTTGGAGACAGAGACACGTGTGCAAAGGTGAAAATATAATTTGTGCACGTCTTTTCTCTCTACACCTTATCCCTCTCTCTCCTTTCTTTTAGTGGATGACCCTGCTTTTCATTTCCCAAAGAAAACAGAAGCAACCAGCAGAGAACCGCATACCCTTCAGCCTGTGTTCAGCAGAGCCTCCTTCCTTTCTGAGGCTCCAGACCCAGCTCGGGCACCCCTGACCTCTAGTGCCCAATTTCCTCCCTCCTGCCTGTTGGAAGACATCACTCTTTTTTGCATGATCAGTTTTCTGCCTTTCTACCTGGCTATTTTCATCAGTCTGTACACCTGCTGTCATTCTGCTATTGAAAAAACCTGAGTCCTCTCTTTACCTGACTTAAAACTTTCCTCAATATCATCAAATTCTCCACTCCTCTTTATAAAGCAAAACATGAAGTGCTCATGCTCATACTCAGCGTTCCCATCCTTCCTGAAAGCCACTCCCATCAGCCTTTGGTCCATACCACTCTCTCAAGGGCTCCCTCCAACCACCTCCTGATACGGTTTGGCTTTGTGTCCCGACCCAAATCTTTTTTCGAATTGTAATCCCTGTGTGTCAGGGAGGGGCCTGGTGGGAGCCGATTGGATCATGGGGGAGATTTCCCCCTTGCTGTTCTCGTGATAGCCAGTGAGTTCTCACGAGATCTGGCGGTTTGAAAGTGTGTGGCATGTCCCCCTTTGCTCTCTCTTCTGCCGCCATGTGAAGAAGGTACTTGCTTCCCCTTCACCTTCTGCCGTGATTTTAAGTTTCCCGAGGCCTCCCCAGCCATGCTTCCTGTGCAGCCTGCAGAACTGTCAGTCAATTAAACCTCTTTCTTCATGAATTACCCAGTCTCAGGTGGTTCTTTGTAGCAGTGTGAGAATGGACTCATACACCTCCACTTTGCCAAATCCAACGGCAGATTCTTGGGCCTCATTTTATTCTCATTGGATTCATTGGGTCACTGCCTTTTTGAACTACTTTATTCACGTGGCTTTTGAACGCCCGTCTCTTGGCCCTTCCAGACCTCTGCTTCTCTCTCATGGTCTGCATTGTTGGTTCCTCCTCCTCTCTGTGGCCTCTCAACACTGCAGAACCCCCACGCTCTGCCATGGACCTCTCCTCTGTCCGCACTCACCAGGGCCCCAGCTGGTCCTCATAGCTTTACTATCATCTACATAGCAGCGTCTCCTCCAGCCCAGACGCTCCCCTGAATTCGACTTCCAAATCCCCTGCACTCCTGACCACCCCACTCTCAGAGCCCTCTCAACCTTCACATGCCCAGAAGGGGGGCTGCTCACATCACTGCACCTTCCCAGTCTCCCTTTTCGCTCTCTCCATTCTTCCAGTGGTTGACCAAAATTTTGGATCCCCCCAACTCCTGTCCCTCCCCCTGTCCCTCTCCCCTAATCCAGTCCCCAGCACGTCCTGGCAGCACTCCCTTCTGTGTATCTTCAGAATCTAGTTCCTCTTCAGCCCCTGCACACCTGCACCCAACCTCAGCCCCCACCCCCGGGCCACAGCCACAGCTTCACCGTAAGCCCCGCTTCACCCCTTGCTCGCGGCAACCCCTTCTCCACAGAAGCCAACTGATCTTTGAAAAACCCTAAGCCTGGTCGTGTCAATTCTGTGTTCAAAACCTTCCAATTGATTTCCATTTTCGCATAAAACACAGAGTCCTGCCCAGGCCACCAGGGCCCTCTGGGGGTCACCTGCTGTTCCCTCTGCCCCCGTGCCTCCCCTCCCTTGGCATCTCTGTGAACAGCCGGCACCCACCTCTGTTCCCTCTGCTGAAACACCTTTCCCCTCAGTTCCCCCAAGGGGCTTGGCTCTCACTCATGTCCCTCTCCAGTGTCCCTGATCAGAGGCCTCCCTGGACCCCCCGCAGACTGGCCAATGGAAACCCCTAGAGAATTAAACATACATGCAGAAGTGTACCATCTTAACTATTTACAAGTGTACAGTTGTGAGGCGTTAAGTACACACACATTGTTGAACAACCATCACCACCACCCACTTCAGGACATTTTTCATCTTACCCAACTGAAACTCTGCACCCATTTAACACTCACTCCCCATTCCCCCTCCCCAGTGAGGCAGGAAAATAGGGTCTGGAGGCAGGGAACATAAGGCCAGCCGATTGATACTTCAGCTATGACAGGAAATATCCTGTCCATAGGGGGTACGCCGAGTCAATGATTTTGTAACCTGACTTCATCCTCTTCATTTACATAGGGCATACACCAAGTTGCCAGTGGAAACCCCTAGAGGGTATTTAAACCCCCACAAATTCTGTAACTGGGCTCTTGAGCCCCTATGCTCTGGCCTGCTCCCCCCACCCTCGCTGTGGAGTGTACTTTCATTTTCAATAAATCTCTGCTGTTGTTGCTTCATTCTTTCCTTGCTTTGTTTGTGCGTTTTGTCCAATTCTTTGTTCAAGACACCAAGAACCTGGACACCCTCCACCGGTGACAGCAGCAGCCCCCATTCTACTTTGTCTCTATGAATTTGCCTACTCTAGGTATCCATGTAAATGGAATCACATAATATCTATTCCTTGGTGTCTGGCTTATTTCACTTTGCGTGATATCTTCAAAGTTCACCCATGTTGTAGAATGTGTCAGAATTGTTTTCCTTTAAAAAGCTGAATCATGTAATAATTCCACTGTATTGAGACTCCTTTTTTTTAGTCCATTCATCCGTTGATGGACGCTTGGGTGGCTTGCACCTTTTGGCTGCTGTGAATAATGCTAGGAACATCCTGAATCTGTTCAAGTCTCTGCTTTCAGTTCTTTTGTTTTATACCCAGAAGTGGAATTGCTGGATCATACGGCAATTGTTGAGTTTTTTGAGGAACCTCCATAGCATTTTTCATAGTGGTAGCACCATTTTCCATTCCCATCGGCAGTGCACAGGGTTCCAGTTTCTCTACCTCCTCATCAGTGCATTTTGTTTTGTTTTTAAAATAATAGCCATAATAATAGGTGTGAAGGGGTGTTGGCCTTTTTTTGTCTTTGCCCATTAGCATTTCCCTGTGGTTAGTTTCTTCGGCTCCAAGTATAGGATGTATGAAGCAAAAAGAAAACCAGAGAATTCACAACTCATCACTCGCTGGACCCAAGGCCTCTTGTGGGTCTGCCTTCTTCACTCCACCTTCCAGGGTCTTCTGTTGATGCCTAGTGTGCAGGGATTTTAGCTGTACTTAGTGGGGACATAGGGAAAAGTGTGTCTACTTCACATTCCTAGACGTGGGCCCCGAAGTCTTTTTTAATACATAGGTTCCCTCTCCATCTCTTTTTTCTTGAAATTTGTTTATTGAAGAAACCAGCTTGTTTATCCTACAGAGCTTTCCACAGGATGGACTTTGCAGATTGCATTTCCCGCAGTGTCACTTAAGGTGTTCCTCTGTGCCCTGTGTGTCATGGAGAATTGGTAGGTAGAGTCAGAGGCTTGATCTGAGTCAGATGCAAGTTTTTGGCAAGACTACTTCATAGGTGGTGGTGTGTACTTCTACCAGGAGACACGAGAACGCTTTGTCTTTTTTGATAATATCAACTCCTTCAATGGTTACCAAGCAGTTTTCCTTTCATTATGAACTCATAGACTTAATTACATACTTTCAGTCCGTTGCAATTATTCTTTTTTTTTTTTTTTTTTTTTTTTTTGAGATGGGGTCTGGCTCTGTCACCCAGGCTGGAGTGCAGTGGCATGATTACTGCTCACTGCATTGCAATTATTCTTACTGATGCCCATCCTGCACCTTGCTAGTGGGAGCTTCTTTAAAATCCTTCTCACACGACCCCAGAGTGTTTTAATTTAACCCTGCTGGTCTCATAGACACATCTTTTCCTCTCCCATGTAAGAACCTGGTTCCCGATGATACCAACATAAATACTCATTTACTCTCTGGCAATAAACATAAAACAGTCTCAGAATAAAAACCAATGCAACACTTAAACAAAACAATTACTGAAACTAGTTTTTGTCAATAAACCACTAATAAATAAGTGGTTGCCACTTATTTGGCTGGGCGTGGTGGTTCACACCTGTAATCCCAGCACTTTGGGAGGCCGAGGTGGGCAGATCACTTGAGGTCAGAAGTTTGAGACCAGCCTGGCCAACATGGTGGAATTCTGTCTCTACCAAAAATTCAAAAATTAATAAATAATAAATAATTGATTGCCACTCTTCTTGACCTGAGGGCATATCACACTAAGAAAGCACAGTAAAACTGCTGTAGTTTAAACTTGTTTGAAATAATTCCTTTCTGTATGTTGCCAACATAATATTATATGGTTAGGTTCATTTATCACATTTTGCCTTCAATTTCTTAGAAATTTAAAAATTCATTTGCTAATGATGTAAATATTTGCATGGTTCTGAAGCCAAATCTATAAAGCAAATGATATTAGACAAGTTTATCTTCTAACCCTGTCCCCTGCACGTCATTCCCTCTCCCTTGCTGTAGGTAACAACTATAAAACATGTTAGTTGCCTATATACGTTACTGTTATTGTGCACTTACAAATTTGTTAAGAGGGTTGATCTCGTGTTAAATGTCCTTACCACAAAACAAGAGGGGAGCACGAGGAAACTTCTGGAAGTGGTGGATATATTTTACTGTCCTTTTTTTTTTTTTTTTTTTTTTTACCTCAGTTGTGGTGATGGTATCACAGGTGTATGCGTGTCTGCTCTCATCAAATTGTATACATTATTATTATTTTTTGAGACAGAGTCTCACTTGTCACCTAGGCTGGAGTACAGTGGTGTGATTTCGGCTCACTGCAACCTCTGCTTCCCGGGTTCAAGCGATTCTAGTTCCTCAGCCTCCCAAGTGGCTGGGATTACAGGCGCCCGCCAGCATGCCTGGCTAATTTTTGAATTTTTGGTAGAGACAGAATTCCACCATGTTGGCCAGGCTGGTCTCAAACTTCTGACCTCAAGTGATCTGCCCACCTCGGCCTCCCAAAGTGCTGGGATTACAGGTGTGCGCCACCGCGCCCAGCCAAATTGTATACATTAAATGAGCAGATTTTTACAGCTGCACAGTATTCCACTGTGTGGATGTACCATGGTTTATACAAACGATCCCCCATGGATGGAGATCACATTTTCTTGGAACGGAGTCACTGCTTTGAGTTATATGATGAAACCATTCTGGATGGCTGCTTCTCGTCACTCAGGTTACCTTGCCATCCTGCAGTCCTGCTCTCAGCAGCTGTCCTCTGTGCAAGGGTCTGGCTCTATTTGTTCCCACCTGGCTAATATCCAGGACAAGGTCTTAACTAGAGTTTTAATTCCAGTGTTGCCTCAAAAGCAGTGTTGTGAGGGGGAAGTAGGGAGTTCCTGTTTAATGAGTACTGAGTGTGAGTTTGGGAAGATGAGTATCTGGAGATGGAGGGTGGCGATGGTTGCACAATGAGAATCTACTTGATGCCAATGAACCTTACACTTAAAAATGGTTAAACTGGTACATTTTAGGCATATTTTACCTCAATTAAAAGAAAGAATAAGTAGGACCTATGGGAAAAAAAACCCCACATTTACTGCAGAATAGCAATACGAATTCCCAAGAAAATGCTCCACCTGGCTTTGTACATAACGAAGGGAAGATTTAATTGATACGGATGTTTCCCTGCAGGATGTTCCCAACTTAGAGATGGCTCCTCTCTCCACTCCTGTCATAAGCAAGGCTTGGTCGCCTTCCAAACTTACCTTTATCTGACATGGGCTCTTTCTAGACTTCTATTTATCTTACTACATGGTGACTTGAGTTTTATGGTTTCTGGATGAGGCATTTATGACTAGACGATCCAGCTCAGCGCCAGGCTCTTCTCCCAGACATGCTGATGTTTGCCTTAAGGTTTATTAGCCCCGGCTGGGATGTCAGCGACATGGAACAAACGTATGCTGGGTAAGTCCCAATGGCGTCATGAGTGCATAAGTGGGCTGTGGATTCTGGTGGGTCGTGGCGACCCTTTGCTACCTCTTTATCTCTTCCCAAGACCTCCTGCCTTATCATTGGTAGGTAGCAAATATTTCAGATGCCACAAGACCCTTGGCCACTGGGTGCTCAAGGGGTGCACAGCACCTCAAGTTTTCTTTCCTTAACTGGTCATGTAAAAAGACAGCCTTTACAGCCCTTCAAGGCAAAAACCCAGCTATTTTATTTTGTTCTGTATTTTATTTAGTTCCATCATGGAACTATATGGGGCTGAGTGACAAGGAGCTGACCTACCTGCTGGGGCCACCGGGCATACCAGAAGCAGGAACAGCACCTGCAATTGGAACCATCATGTGACCTGGTTCAGGGATCCTGACCACGTGGGGCACAGGGAGTGCACCTGGCCACCTATGCACTATCCCAGAGTTCTCATCTGGAAAGCCAGTAAGTGAGGGGATAAAGATGGACGTCTTGCTACAGCCAAAGGGGAAAAGCCAGAGCTAGCGAGGTGTCCACGTGAACCTGGGAGTAACTGGTATGATTTAGATCCTGACCACGGTCCAACAAAGCATTCATCCAGGTCCTCTGAAGACGTGACCCCTGCTTGTGAAATCCGTATCACAGAAACTTCCCCAAAAGCAGAGAAACTGGTATCATGCTTCCCCCGCACCCAACTTCAGCCTCCACAGTGACCAGCATTCTGTCAGTCCCGTGGTCTCTACCCACTCTTTTTTTCCCCCACTCAAGTATTTTAAAGAAAATTTCAGACCCCGTGTGATTTCACTCTGAGGATTTTGGTATCCTGTTCCCTTAGGACTGCTGAACAATAAACACCCAGCAGCCACCCCAAATGGTCAGCAATGTCTTTTTAATACAGATGTGGTACAGAATGTTTAATTACAGCAGGGCAGTGATTCCAGTTAAATAAAATTAAAAACCTTTATTTTCCCAAATATAAAATTACTAAATTAAAGTCTTAAAAGAAAATATAACATGGTGACAGCTTTAAAGTACACCACCATTCACCACAGGATTTATGATTTACCAATTACATACTCCACCATTTTGGCAAAAGGATGAAATTCTTAAAACTGTTTATAAACCTAATATAGTAAAGACTGTATACATCTCCATATTGCACATTTTTATGTACAAGAATAAAACATTAAAGTGTATTGCATATACTGGAACAGCACAAATTTATCACAATTAAACTTAATGCATAAGCCCATGTGAGTATTAAAAATGTAGAAATGTAATACATATATGTACAGAATGCCAGGACTGTATTAACAATGATATGTACATAACAATATACTGTACTACTTTGTACTTTTCAGCATAGTTGCGGTTATTAATATAGGCCTTTGGTTCTAAACTGCTTGACTAGTTTTAAGCTCACATAATTCCTTAAGCTTTCATATTTTCTTAAATGCAAGGAAATGAATATAAAAGCACTAAATCTCCTGGTTCACTGGTACAAAAATTACAATGGTCAGTTCCCTTAGGTCATCAAAAACTAGTCACAAAAATAGTTCTTGTATTCAACCTGAATGTGCCACAGGAAAAAAAAAATATTTTCAAGATTTTCCAGCTCAGCCTCGAGGCAAAAGGTCCCCCAGGCATCAATGTCAGTGCAGCCCTCCCTGCCATGTAGATCCCAGAACCTTTTTTTTCTGTAGGCCATCTATTCTAACACTACTCTGCAAGGAAGAATAAAATCTAAGTCCAGCTCAAGAGTGTCTACCACACCTTTGTTAAGACACAATGAAAACTTTGAATATTGCCAGTGAGATTTAAAAAAATATGTGCACCTTCTTACAACTCCTATAGAAAGTCTGTTAAGAAATAACGTTGTTCTTTATTTCCTTTCTCTCCCCTTCCCCTTGGTCCTCCCTGTGCTCGGTCTCCCCAGTGATTGGCTTTGGAAAGCATCCTGAGTTTGCAAATGACAAAGCAAGTCCCCACACACGGGCCATGAGATGTAATCACACGACCGAAGACGAGCTGGTCATCCCGTGAACCATTGTGCTTGTTGGAGTCCCACTGATGGCGTTGAAGATGTGAAGGGAATTCGGTAAGACGCTCGTCTTCTCCTCCAGGGGGCAGATCTTGAGGACAGAAACACAACGTTACTGAGGGCAACACAAGGTTACCATATGCAATGCCATGTTGCCATGTGTGACACAATGTTACCAAGTGTAACAAAATGTTACAGAGTTTAAGGCAATGTTGCCACGTGCAACACAATGTTACTGAGTATAAGGATGCAAGCAGATATTTCTCAATGTGTTGCACCCCACATCACACACACAAGTCTACACTCACTCCATCACGTGAGTGATGTGCAGCCGGAAAGCCTGGCTGCTGGTTTACAGAGGGAGATGTTCAGCTTATCTCATAAATGACTGTTTTCAGGTGAGGATTATAAGGAGAAAGTCAAGAACAGCACATTTTGTTTCTTTTACAAAGCTAGTGAATGGAGAGCCTTCTACGCTCACCAGATCATAAGGCAACGTGAGGTCTACTTAAGGCAACGTGAGGTCTACTTACATGTGCTTGACTGGGACACAACCTAGCCTTGACCTTGAAAAAGCCTTTAAAAATGAATTTGAAGCATTTGTGTTTCTCTCCTGCCTCCTTTTCTCAGGGTCTTACGGATTTTGTCTTGGGAGAGGGTGGCTACTCCTCTGACCCTGAACAAGTATCTTTCCATGCCCAGTGGTGCCTGGAAGGATCTGAGTGTAGGTCTTCACCTCCAGCAGAGGCTCCCCTGGAAACATCGAAAGCAAGTCTACCCCCGCCACGGCCCTTCAGGGGTTCACGGGGGCTCAGTCTTCACAGCTGTTGGCATAATGGGAAGTTCAAGGTGCAGCTGACAGCAAGTGCATTAAATATCCCTGTACTTTGGGAGTTTAACAGTTTCAGCCTATGATCTCTTACTACTTTCATCTTCTCTAGTGCCCAATGTCGGCACCCACTGACCAAACTCTCCATTCTATAGGAATCTGGAGGCTCCACAGAAAAGATCTCAAGTTTTCTCTGAAAATCGGTTCCCATGAGTCCCTCCTGTTCTGCTTAATTATTCAGACATTCATTTCTCTAATCGTTTCAATTTTTTTCTACTTTTTTTTTTTTTGAGATGGAGTCTCGCTCTGTGGCCCAGGCTAGAGGGTAGTGGCATGATCTTGGCTCACTGCAGCCTCCACCTCCTGGGTTCCAGCAATTCTCCTGCCTCAGCCTCCCGAGTAGCTGAGACTAGGGTATGTGCCACTACACCCAGCTAATTTTTGTATTTTTTAGTAGAGATGGGGTTTCACCATGTTGGCCAGGCTGGTCTCGAACTCCTGACCTCAGATGATCCACCCATCTTGGCCTCCCAAAGTGCTGGGATTACAGGAGTGAGCCACCATGTCTGGCCTCTACTTTTTAAAATGTCCAGAAGAGGGTGCTTTCCTCTGCCCATGTACTGTCATTATGCCAATGTCTGTAGTTGCTCAAACTCAAAAAAGTAATAGCTTTTTCTAAGTCAGATTATCAGAAAAATAATGTTTAAAAATGACATTACCATCCCAGCTGAACGTGTTAGCATGGAGGAGAAAAAAAGCAAGTGAGTTAAAGCTCACACACTGACGTTCGTTTCCTGCAATGAAAATGTACTAACTAAACTGTCAGGGGATAGGATCACTCCACAAACGGCCCTGGCTTCCACTGTGCCAGACTGAAGGACGATAATGGAGGGGCCAGACAGAGCAGTTCTGTGTTATCAAGGTGCTAATGTCAATTATAAAGAAAGGACAGTGACTGAGACAGACCCCTCACAAAAAAAACAATGTGGATGCTGCTCTAGGCATTCCCTGGGTATGGGACACTGTCTCCTCTGTGACAACTGAGCCCACACATAGAATCCTACTGAAGAAACCCACAGGAAAGAGATAACAGCAAAATAATCAGGGAAGATGCCCATAGTGACAAGGAACTTAAAGGAAGAATCCACTGGGGCGCCAAGGCCCACTGTACATCATCAAAAATGGAATCAGTCTGTATTTTTAAACAGCAAAAACATTGAATGCAACAGATAATTCCTTAAACCAGGTTGGCAAGTCCTGCTTTTTTCAAAGGATTAAAGGAATAAAGTTGTCAGAACAGTATGGATATTTTCGTGTGAGTTTTTCCTTTCTTTTCTTTTTGGCTAGACGGGGGTGGGGAGAGAGAAAGCTTAGGAAACATGGCCACCTCTTAGAGCCACGAGGAGGCGGGCCCGCTCTCCCCTGCTTGCCGTAGATAACAGCATATGGGCAATCTGTTAGCTGTTCCCAAATGACCTGGGGCTAGAGCATGGCAGGAGTGTGGTATGCTACATTCTCCTTCAGATGTCACAGTTCTGGAAGGATATCAGGCGGCCTAAGTCATGATAGGGTGTACTTGAAACCCCTAACCAAGAACTCCAAGTTGTTGGAGCCAGTGCGGCCCTCACCTGCTCATGCATGATTTCAGAAAGCTCCTTCGCCATTTCCCTGTAGTTGGCTTTCATTTCTTCCTGATACTCGAGCTGGTCTTCTTTAATCAGACGTTCGTTTACCGCTAAGGCTTGACCGCAAGCTTCCACAAATTGCCTGGAATGGTACAGGCGGGAGAAACAAAGGCACGCAGAGGATAAGGCATGAGTCCAACCAGCAGCATCTCCTTCCCGAATGAGTACAGAAATGATCAATACTCGAAGAGAAAAAGATGCTTTCAGTGTGCTTTACCTGAAAACTTCCTTAAGCAGCTTCACTTTATTGTCAGGATATCGCTTTGTGTTTGTATCATCTAAGAAAGCTCGCGCATATGCTAGTGGGCCAGCATTGACCTAGACAAAGAGCAAAGATTTTCAGTTCCACTAGGAAGAAAATCACCATGACCATCTGCTCAGTTTCAGTTTGCAGGCACTAAAAAGCCCGTTCGCGTGAGCTACTCACAATCCCTGCCTTCCAGGAACTTAAGCCCAAAAAGAAACCACAAAGTTCACTCTGTTGCACACCACTTGATTCCATGATCTCAGCCATCTTCAGGGCACTTGTGATGATGGTTTACTTTATGTAAGAAGAAACCAATGCTTGGAAAACTTAGGGGCCTGTTGAAGTTTGAAGAGCCAATAAGCAAAACGCCAGAGATCACAGCCCAGGTCTTCCAAATCCAGGTCAAGGATTCTTACTTCCAAGGTGTTTAGTCACTGGGATTTGTGCTGCACTACACTGAACTAACAGGCCAATCTGGTGAATTCAGTGAAAAATTGAAAAATGCAGTAACTATTCCAGTTTTTGAAACCCAACTGTTCATTTCATTGAATTGTATAGACAGCCATGGGCAAACTGATTTGCTATCCTGGGATGAAGTGAGCGTTTGCGGTGTGCTGGAGAGCTAGATGTTAGGAGCAGACAGCACGGTGAGTGAACCAGAACCCTGCACCACCCTTGCAAGCAGCTAAGAAGGGTCTGCTGATTCTGGATAAGTAAGGAAAGGTAAGAACGTGGTGAGAAAGAAGGCTGGACACACTGGGATGGGAAGAAGAATGTTCCAGGCGTCTGAGACAGCCTGGGGAAGAACGTGACTATGTGGTCACTGCTTGATATTTCCCGGAAGGTCTGGTGAGCTTAGCAAGGAATTAGGGGAGCTCCCCGTGTGTGGTTCTGACCCATGGTAGGCAGGACTTGTCTAGCAATGGCAGGAAAACTGAGCCACAGGAACTCACACCAGACGTGGAGACACAGGAGGGTTCCAGGTTCCAGCCACAGTGGTCAGAGGGGGACCTCTGAGCCGGGGGCAATGGGTGAACAGCCCAAGGTGCGTTGAGGGTGGAACTCAGCACCAGGCTGGTGCGTGGGGGGAACTGTATTCATCACCTGAAGACGACCAAAATGACTGATCATCTAAAATGATACAAGACGGTCTGTATTTGAAGAAGATAGAAAGAGGAAGGCTGATGAGACTCCATAAGGTCTAATAGCAAGATCTTGGAGTGCAATGACAAGAAGCTCCGCAGACGGCTCTGCCCAGTAAAGCTGCAGCGCCAGTGAGCTGCTTGATGAAACAATTACAGAAATACGCAAATAAAATGATAAAGTTAATTTCCTCTGGCTGCAACTTTGTTGTTACTTTGGTAGGTATGAGTATAAACTTAATCTTCTCATTTCAACATGGAATTTCTTGCTTTTTAAGATGACTGGGAATTTTATAAAATGCTAAGTTTACCATCAAATTAGCAGGGCATATTTTGCCTTTTACAAAGCTCAATGGTCCAGCCCTACCCTGGACTGGTGCCACACCCCTCCAGCGGCCTTTCCATAGGGGCTGGATGTTCCAAGATCATGTTGATTGAGTGGTTTTGTTTTTAGCTACAGAAAATTGTGGCCTCTGGACCTGTTACATAATCACTCATGTTGCTGGAATACTTATGTTCACTTGCTAACTTATTTTGGCACATATGTCTTTGAGACTATAAGGAAAGAGATTAAAAACATCTGTAAATGCTTTTGTGGTGAATGACACAAAAATGTTGGGCAACAACTCACGGTTCTTTAGCGTGGATCTGATGGGAAGTTGACAAAATATAATTTCAGAAAATGAACCAAAAAAACCAAAACCTATGTATTATAATCCACATGTAACTTTCATAAACATACCCTTCTTGAAAGATAAAACAATAGGATATACAAATACATATATACACACATGTACATATACATATGAACAAACATGTGCTTGAACTATATACACTTAAAAATACCAGAAAATAAGAGTCATACTTGTTACTGGAGGGAGTGATTTAACACTTACCAATTAACTAGGAAACCATGTAAGTAAGATAACTTTTTAAAAACCTCTTACTAAAGTATAATATACAAACGGGAAAGCGCATATATCACAAGTGTATACAGCTTGATGAATTTTCACAAACTGAACATATATGTTAGTATCTAGATCAAAGATGATCTTTTCAATAAATTGTGTATATCACTTGGAAGGTCATATGGAAAAAATATATCCTGACCCTTACACTATAACATATACAAAAATCAATTCCAGATGGACTGCAGACCTGGATGTGGATGCTGAGCAAAGGAGGAAAACCTAGGAGAACATCTGTGAAATTTTGGAGTAGACACAGATTTCTTAAAGAGAACATAAAAATGCTACCAATAAAGAAAAATTGATTGATTGGGCTATATTAAAATAATGAATTCATTAATCAAAAGATACCATTAAGAGGGTAAAACTTAAGGTACTTTTTTGGATACAATTTTCATAGAAAACAGCAAACAACAGTTTTATAGGAAAATCTACTGCTCTCCACACTTCTTTGTATTTAGAAGAGTCTTGATGCTTCTAATCAGGCACCCAGAATTCCCCAAATACTGACAAATCAGGGTAGTGTATGAGATCTGGCTCTTGTCCCCACAGTCAGTCCTCATGGGGCGGGGGGCAGGGATCATGAGGTTTCCTCCCCCTCTGATATCAGGAGAAATGTCACAGACGTTGGGGGAAGGGAGCAGGGATCACTTGGTAAACCGAGGCTCTCAAGTAGACCTTGTTAGTGGAAACGACTCTCAAGTCACCCAGGGGCAAGGACGTCCCCTGCTGCCCTCCGGCCTGCTGTGCCTGGCTCACCTGAACACTCACGCTGCCCTGGAGTTTGAGCTGCAGTTTGATCATGTCCACCTCGGCCGAGGAGCACAGCTGCCGGAGCTCCGCCACCTTCTTACTCATCTCGTCAATGGCCACCTCGATGGGGTTCAGGTCAGTGTGGTGCTGGTACATGACAGGGATGCGCTTCTTCACATAAGGGAAGCAGTGTATGGCTGCAGAGGGTAAGCCCCAGAATTACTGCATGGCTTGCACGAGCTTTAGTGTTATTGAGCTGATTATTATTAGAAGTGATTATTATACATGTCATTATTACTTACATTTTTAAAATAAGGAACCCAAAGCTTGCCAAAGACACATACTAGTACTTGATGGAGCTAGAATATTGTCTTCCTTTACAATCGTGTGTCTCGTAAAGTCAAGAGAGTTGGGTCCTTGTTATCCTTTTAATGTGACAAGCGTGTCTTTAAATAAATGAGGTTATCATTCCCCACTCAAACCTTCCTTGGAAGCTCTGAGGTTTGAATGAGTTAGTGGATATAAGATGACTTTGACAACATAAAAAAGACTAAACAATTTTGAGATACTACATAACAGATTAAGTCCAGAAAATAGTTCCATAAAAATATCCTTGAGAAAATTCATTTTTGTCCATAGAATAACTTTGAATCACATGCTAAGCTTGCACAAAGCTGAGAAATCAGTAGAAAATAATAAGTAAGAATATATTCCTAGGGTGGGTACAGTGCTCACACCTGTAATCTTAGCACTTTGGGAGGCCAAGGCTGGTAGATCACTTGAGCCCAGGAGTTTAAGACCAGCCTGGGCAACATGGCAAAAACCTAATTTTTGTAATTTTGTAAAAAATACAAAAAATTAGCTGAGTGTGGTGGTATATGCCTGTAGTCCCAGCTACTGGGGAGGCTGACACAGGAGGCTTGAGCCCAGGAGGTCAAAGCTGCAGTGAGCTGTGATTGTGCCACTGCACTCCAGCCTGGGCTACAGAGTGAGACCCTGTCTCAAAAAAGAAAACAAAAACCATTCCCCTAAAACCCAAACCAAAAAAACACAAAGAATATACTCCTAAGCAAAGGATTTCATGAACCAGAAATTCACAAACTTTTGGAGCTGTAGTGCTAATAAAGGTATTTTGAAACTTACAGCAATGAATAAGAAATAAAAATAAAAATATTTACTTTTTCTTATATATTTTTTAACCAAAAAAATCTGATTAATATTGTTTTCCTTTATCATAATGAGATACCTAAACATCAACACAAAGGAGTTAATTTAAAAATGAACAGAAAAACAGCAGGTTCTCATTTACTATTTCACATTTCTTATTGCTCTATATAATATAGAAATATCTATAATATTCTCACTTGACATATATTTACTAATAGGCAGGTAGATATGTACTTAAAAGCTTATTATTTTTTTTGAACAAGCAAACGTCAGATGGGAGTGGTCCTGGTCTCTAGTTAGCAACTGGCTAGGGAAGAGTTCAATTGGGAAGGACTCATCACAGGATGGGAAACAGGCCCAGCCCCTGTGAAACACAGAGTTCCGATGGGCCACCCAACATCTGGACAAAAGCGGAAAACATGTCCACCCTGAGGCAACCTCATATGTCACGTACTTATAGGCCTGTTGCCTTTTCACAATGTTTTATCAGTGAAAGGTGAAGGGTTCCCGACTTGGTTTCACAGATTTTAAGTGGTAGCACTGGGGATCCACAAAGCTCCCTGGTAGGATGGTGAGGACTCGGCCTCGCTGCTCCCTAGTCAGGGAGGCAGTGCTGGCAGATGCCTGCTTGTATTTGGACAGGGGGCTGTGCTTCAGGGGAAGAGTGGGGCTGCCTTCCTGTTTCTGAGGAAGGAGGTCAACTCCAGGTTCCCAGTCTCCTTTTGCTTTGTCTGGAACACAGATCACGTTCTACCACGGTTATATTTACTCATCTGGGTACTGTTTATCATCTGTCTCCTCTGGCTAGAATGCCAGCTGCACAGGCCCACAGATGTCTGTTTCATTAGCCTGCCAATGGGAACATGGTCAGTGTGCAATACATTTTGTTGAATGAATGAATGCATTACTGCCCAAATGGCTGCATGAGAGTCCAAACTGGCTCTGGAAGGTGGACAATTAGGTGACCGACTGAGCCAGCCCTTTAGAAAGGAGGACGGGGAAGGCCCAGTGATAAGTATGGTGACTGCTGGTCTGTGTGTCTTGAATAGAAAGTGGAGGGCCGGAAGCTAATCCAGGTTTGGAAGACTCTGGAATAGTGACTGGGAAGAAACTCCTTGGCAAAAGTTCCATGAAAGAAGTGGAGGAGGCTTCTCCTCGCCCCCCTTCTTTGGGACAGGCTCAGAAATTTCCACTGAAGGAGGCTGGAGGGTGATCATGAGGTTTTTCAAATGATTGCACAGTTACAGTCAGCTGACTGGGAACTACCCAGAAAGGTGAGCCTTTTCCTGGTGTAGAGGGCAGGGAAGGCCTGGGCTCCCTTTGACCTTTGGAAGGCCAAAGGTTAGGTACAAAGCAATGCAATGGAAGAAGAACCTGAGGGGTTGATAACTTGAGGGAAAACCCTCAGGTCTAGCCTTCAGAACGCCCTGGTGTGTGTATCTAGCTCAACAGCGGATGAAATCTAGCAAAAAATGAAGAACGCTCTTTCCCTTGCTTCTTACTATTTACAAAGTTATGACAATATAATGAGATAAGTGTCCTAACTTGCATTTTACAGATGAGGAAACTAAGGCATAGAGAGGAAGAGTGACCTGCCCAAGGTCACACAATGAGGCTGTGACCCAGGCCTACAGGACCCCCAGGACAGCCTCGCCATTGCTTAGGCTGTCTCAACCCACAGCTGTGGACGGCAATCCCCAAGCCAACAACACAGGTGTCTGCCCCACCTCTCTCTGAAGCGCACTCTCTGTCCCCTTGTTCCCGCAGATACAGAGCATTGCTCATGTGCTTTATCTAATCTAAAGTAGTCTCTAACAAAATGATGACCTGTAACCCTGGAGAAATGTGCCCTGGGAAAACAGCCTATGGTAATGAATGTTTATGAATCCGTACACTGCCTTAACAATAACCATACTAAAAAATCCTGACCCTGACTCAGCAGTGAACTAGGTTTATTAAAGGCAGCAGTTCTCTAATCTGAGCATGCACCAGGATAACCGGGAGGGCCTGTTGAACACAAAGAGCTGGGCCCCGCCCCCAGAGTTTCTGATCCAGCAGTTTCGGAGGTGGGGACCTGGAACTTCCATCTCTAACAAGTTCCCTGGGGGTGCTGATGCTGCTGGTCCTGGACCAACCTTGGGTAACCACTGACTTAAAGGGTCAGAAGGAAAGTTATCACAGCTGAACCATAAACACTGTAAGCTGGTGATTCCCATAAAGTGATTCCATCTGGAAGCGCAGTTATTTGGCTTAATGAGAATTTGCTACTGATGTGTGCATTAAAAAAATAATTAAATTATTTGGGGTGGGGTGATGTTTGTGAGGACAATATTATTTGTGCTTTATATATGCTGTCTTCTTATTTTACAAGCAGGATTAGGGACACTTTAAGAACACAGTTTTGTTTTAACTTGTATCTCTTTTCCCTCATAGGGAGTGTGAAAAGCTCCCTGCAATACGCTGTCCTGGGCTAATTCATAAAAACCTGTATTTTTTTTTTTTTTTTTGTAACAGCTTTACTGAGATATAAACCCCACGCCATCCAGTCTCTCTTTTTAAAGCATACGCTTCGCCGGTGAGAGCTGATAAGCACCTGGGTGCAGCATCTCCACAGCGCTCCTTCCGCTTATTATGATAGTGTGTATTATTACCCAGACAGAAACTCAACAACCCCAACTTCCGGGGAGCAGGCCCTTTCCTGGTCTGACTTAACTAGGGCCACTCTTTGGAAGACGTGTGGTGAAAGCTGGCACACCTGGCATTCTCAACGGCCCTCCCACTGATATTTCTTGGTCAAGAAAGCATTTTATGTTAGGTTACCCCAGTGATGTCGCTGACCCTAATGAGGCAGGGATGGGTCAAGCTCTCCCACAGAAGGTAAAAATCACCCCAGGATGACTAGACACTTGCCAGGGACCGGGAAATGATGCAAAACACATTTCCCAGAGTGGGTTATCACTGGCTAAACAGTGCCAAAGGGATCAGTGAAAACTGCCTAAGCTGAACTCGTGGATAGCCACTGAATGCAGTGAGCTTCCTGGCAGAGGAGGCATTCAAGTGGCAGCTGGCCAGCCCCCGGGGGCAACAGCGTGGGGCGATCCAAGCTCACATCCCATTTACTCACAGCCTGAGACCGCTGAGCAGGCCATGCTAGAACCTGAGACAGGTGTGTGAGACGGGTCCCTCCCTGTGCGGAGACCCAGGACTGGGTGTGGCTGCTGGACCTGGAGTCCATAAGTCACCTTAGACTGTGTGCAAAAGCATCTAGGCACATAAGGCACGCCATTTTCATCAGATTCTCAGAAGGGTAAGTGACCTTAGATTGGATATGAGCTTCTGGTCTTGTGGAAGAAGGAAGTGTCAACAGATCAACAGAAAAACATCCCAAGTATTCAAAAGGAAGCACTAGATAAATGTGAAACTGAAATGGGTGTGGGGGTGGCTAACTGAGCTCGAAAGACCCTTCCAGTCCTGAAGCTTCTGAATCCCTCTGGACAGCTCTTTGGCGAGGTGTCCGGGCTCGTGTCCATGCGGCTTCTGGGGCCCATACCTGTCAGGATGGTGCGCCGTTTGCACTGCTCTTCCACCCCGCCCTGCCTCTTCCCGGTCTGCGTAAATGGCATCTCAAACATGAAGCGGCGGATGTTGTGGGATCTCTCAAACTCTGTTTTCCTTTCTTGCAACTCTTTTTCGTCAAAGAAGGGGATGACGTGAGTCACCTGGATGTATGCATACTTAGAATCCAGATCCTTAGGGTTGACCTTTAATTGAAACAGCACAATGGGAGATTGGTGCTCCATGAAGGAATCACTCAGTTCTTACCTACGTGGTATTTTCCAACATTTTATTTGTAAATATAACGGAGAGAAGAGTACAACAAACATCCACATATCCACCACTTGGATCAACAACTGCTAGCAGTTTGCTATATTTGTTTCAAATATACATACACATACACTTATGGATGTGCACACACACACAGACATACAGACTTTTTTTTTTCCAGTAGAACCATTTCAAAGTAAGTGGTACACGTCAGGATACTACAGTCAGCTTCTCCTAAAAATAAGGACATTTGCTTCTATAACCGCAATACATTATCATGCCTACCCAAATTAACACTGATTCCCTAATACCATCCAATACCCAGTCTATATTAACATTTTCTCAAATGTCTCCAGAATGTTAGTTATAGATATTTGTGTTTGGATCAGAATCTAATCAACAATCACACTTTACATTTAGTTGTTATGTCCCTAGTCATGTTTAATTTAGAAGAATTCCCTATCATTCATTTTTCCCATAACATTGAATTATTTTATTTTTTTTTGAGACAGAGTTTTGCTCTTGTTGCCCAGGCTGGAGTGCAATGGCGCGATCTCAGCTACTGCAACCTCTGCCTCCAGCGTTCAAGTGATTCTCCTGCCTCAGCCTCCCAAGTAGCTGTGACTACAGGTGTGTGCCACCATGCCCAGCTAATTATATATTTTTAGCAGACACAGGGTTTCTCCATGTTGGTCAGGCTGGTCTCGAACTCCCGACCTCAGGTGATCCGCCCGCCTTGGCCTCCCAAAGTGCTGGTTTTCTTATTGAATGACCTCCAGTCTGGATTTCTCTGATTGTTTCTTAAACTGCATTTTTAATATATTTGGCTTAGAGAGATAAATGTTTATTTTAGGAATAATGTTTGGAAGCTAGGCCTCCAAATTATCATTAATCTACAGACAGCTGAGATTAGATGCAACAGCTGCAGATCAATTAATTTAATACAGGTACAGATTAATCTAGACTAATCTAATGATAAATTTAGTTTCTATTTAACATATAAATGCTTTTAAAACCACATTGCTAGAATTGGTGGTACTTTCATTTCTGTGACATGATAGAGAATTAAACATAGGCAATTCCTATGCAGAAACAAAAGCTAATTTATTAGGAAGACAAATCAACAAATCAATTTTGCACATTTTAATTGTATTTAACCTTCTAGAGCAATAAAAAGGGACACAAAAGAAATGGCTGTGCAGAGCACATGGAGACCATACTGGTATAAGGCAGGCAAATGAAAGAGAACTGTTCTCAAAACAGAGACGATTGTGAAGAAAAATGAAAAAACAGATGGAAAAGTGCCTGAAACTTTAGAAGAAAATACATAAAGTCATAGAAAGTTATTATTTGGGCCAGGCTCGGTGGCTCACGCCTATAATCCTAGCACTTTGGGAGGCCGAGGCAGGCAGGTCACTTGAGGTCGGGAGTTGGAGAACAACCTGGCCAACATGGTGAAACCCTGTCTCTACCAAAAATACAAAAATTAGCCAGGCGTGGTGGCGCGTTCCTGTAATCCCAGCTACTCGGGAGGCTGAGGCACAAGAATCTCTTGAACCCAGGAGGCAGAGATTGCAGTGAGCTGAGATAGCGCCACTGCACTCCAGCCCAGGTGACAGAGCCAGACTCCATCTCAAAAAAAAAAAAAAAGTTATTATTTGTATTTTAGAAAAAGCCATTTGGCCATTCATTCTAATTGTATCCAAACCTATTAAAACTTAACTTTCTTTAGCAGGAATAATTTAAAGGCAGTGGGAGTGAAACCGTCTTGCCCCATGTTTCACCTTCAGGAAGCAGAGGGAGACCTGACCTCCTGGAGATGTCCTGAGGAGGGTGGGACACACAAAGGTACAGGACAAAGGTGCAGGTTCCAAAAGGGTCTTCATGAGAACAGAATGCCAGAGGACAGCTCTCTAAGCAGAAAATGATCGCCATTCCCACAGTCACGCTGCTGGTGAGTTCATTCCTTGGCCTGTCCATGTGTCCATTCACCCATCCGCCCATCTGTTCACCTGTCCTTACATCCAGCCGTCAGTGACAGAGTGGCAAGTCATGTGCTACATGCAGGAAGAGGTGCAGTGAGTAGCGAAGCCACGGGCCTCATTCTGTCAGAGTTTCTAAATAGCTGGACTAAAAATGACATATCCTGTCAGACGTTAATTATTTTGTAAAATTAGATGTTTCAAAAATTAGGCGATAAAGATTTTTTAATGTCAAGCATGTAATGGAAAGCACTAAAGGTATCAGGAAGAAAATACACCTGCCACTCACGGCCAACAATCCTTAATATTTTTCTTGTGTTTTTTTCTATATACATTTAAAAATATATAATATGTAATCAATCACAACATTACATTGCTATGAAACTTATCCAAACATGGTCATACCTTGCCAGAATCCTGTATCATTTTGACATTTTCAGAACCAAATTTATCCGAGTACAGTTTAAGGAGTCTCTGAGAAATTTCCGACAGCGGTGTGAGTTTGGGTTCCTTGTAAATATACTCCTTTCCATCTTCATCTTCAAAGAATCCCTGTGACATAAAGCACAATTAGAGCTATCCCTGAACGTAAGCCCAGGGCTTACCACCTAGGAAGCGTTCTTTTATTACAAGGGGGAAAAAAAGGAATGGGTCTAAAAATCCTGCTGAAATGGGCTTTCTGAATGAGAAAGAAAATGCTAATAACATGAAGTCTAGGTGCAAAGGTAAAGGAAAAACACAACATTGCAAACTTATTCAAGAATGCAGTCATTAAGTGTTGAGTGAAATGAAAGATTTTGGATACAAGACTAAGCTGTCCCAGGGAAGTCTAATGGGAGTCAAGCCTGTTTCACTTTCCCAAGAAGCAGAACTCACTAGAAAATGATGAGCAGCCCACGACAGGCAGGCTCAGAAGTGGACATGCCTCCCTTCTCCTGATGGCTCCCATGCACACAGGATTTTATGGCATGAACTGAAGCGTTTGGGGGTCTGGAGTAAGTTTAGTAAAAGTTAGGTAAAGCTTGTATAAATTGTATTTTGCTTTACCGATGAGAAAAAAATATTAAAGACCTGTAGCTCAATATCAGAAAATATTTTCATATCACCAGTCATCATCTGTTTTAGCACCAATCATGTTTGACTACAAGGCTTAGAATTGCATGGGAAGTGAAAAAGGTTGAAAATTAAAAAGTCCAACTGGGGTTAATGTTTAAAAGAAAATTTTTTAAAGTTTCTCACGTAAATTAAGAGAGAGAAAATGGTGCACAAAACAGTAAAAAAAAATGCAAGCTAGCATGAAACAAAAAACATCCACATCAAACTAGGAGTTTAGACGCAGTAATTTCACTATATTACTTGCTTTTTAGGCATTTACTGTAATTACCTCCACATCTGTTTCACTGTCTGTAAACTGGTATTGCTATAAAGTTATAAAAGACAATAACAGAATAAATTGAAGGTTATATAATGCTCATAGAAAACCACACGCCCTAAATATATGTATTATAATTTATACCATTTAATAATGTTAAGGGACTCGAAGGTTAAAATTTAAGTTAAATTTAGATAAACCCTTTCCTATAGGGTTTCTGAAAAACTGTAAATATACTTGTGGAGATATTATACTACAAAGGATAAAGATGCACAGGCACAAAGGACACCAGAAAGTCTTAATTTTGGTTTAAAACATGCAATATAGATATATAAGAAAACAGGTGATTTATTTCTGTAAATGGAATAAAATGTTAATTTTTTTGGAGTTTGTAATAACTAGACAGATAAACATACAGACTTGAAAAGCAAACTTGCAAACCACACTGAAGTACCAAAGATGTTGCTAAGAATGTCTTAAGGAGGAAGAACTTACCGCTGCCTTAAGAAAGTAATAAAGAAAAGACAGGAAGAAAGAAAAAAAGCAGAAAGTTTACTACTGAGGAAGATAAGAATCATACTAAATATGACAAATTCATCAAATTAGCAATTACAGAAAACAGAGAATTTATAAGATATAACTTTATTATAGTTTTTTTTTTGTTTTTGTTTTTGTTTTTTTTTAAAGGACTTAGGACAGTCTGCAGAATGGACAGGAGGCTCACCTGCCCGAAGAAGGCTACCCGGAAGTAGGTCCCCAGAAGCCTGCGGCCCGAGTGCATGACCTCGGTCACTTTGCTGTAGGCCCGGTGCAGCGTGTCATACAGATGGGCCAGCCTCTGGAAAGCAGAACAAAGCCCATTTCTTCCCATGTGCAAAGAGGAGAATCGATTTTAAAATAACAAATGTGATAATGGAGGTGAAAAGTCCTTGAACTTGAATAAAAATACACACACACACATTTTGGCTGCACAACTTGTAGTGATCATTAATGAATGGTAACATTTCCTACCCAAAGGCCAGCCCACACGTGAGGACCCATCACATTTCCACATTAGAGTAAGCAAACTCTGTTTTCAAGTTAAGATGCGATGTCAGAGATGGTTCCCCAACGTGATTCTTGGCCTTTGCTTTTCCTGCTCTGTTTGATATGCCTAGAGAAACTGGATGACCTCCCAAGCCCAGGATGGACGGAAGGGACACCATTTTTTCACGCAGGTGGAGTAAGGAAGAGTTCTCAGAAAAGGGACAACTGGTGATCACAAAACTCTGTTCATGGCAGCCTTTCGAAAGTGGAGTGCCGGTTACTCTGTAGTTTGAGATGTGGGGGTCTCCACAGAGGTAGGGCCCAGGTCTGGGTGATACCCGATGACTATTTGGAGATGATGACTGGCCACCACCTTCAGCGTAACGTGGAGGGTCAGAGACCCCCACTCATCTCTGGCCCATGGCCTGCTTCCTCTCTCACATATATGCAGGTCTGGGTATATGTCACAGCGTCATGCTCTCAAATAGGAAAAAAACAAAAAGGCACTCTCATACCTCAAAATCCCTCCGCTTCTCATAAATGGGGATGATAAGTTTGTAGATGTCGGCGATGAGCTCGTAGCGCTCGGCTTTCCAGAGTCCATCTGCGCACTGCTCAAGGAGCTCCATCAGCACATCCTGATCAAAGAGGAGGGCCAACAGCAAGAGAAGAGCGTTATGGGGAACGTGACATGGCACCCGTTGCAGAATGCTAAGTGCTAAGACTGCCAGGAGGAATTTTTCACAATAGACAACATGCATCAACACTCACTTCCACACTTACAACAACATTCTTTTTTAGGGAGCCATTTTTTCATCACCACGTTCTTTTTTAGGGAGCCATTTTCTCGATCATGGTCACAAGCAAAAACGAAAAAGGATCACCCTGCATAACTGCATAATACATGGAAAAACTGACACTGATACCATCACAGGGGCTCTCAATTTTTGTTCCTAGTTGTCTTAATAAATATCATCTAGAAATTTCTTTTCCTTTTCTGAGGAACAATGACAATGCTAAGACATGGAGCCTTACTAAGCATGATTTTAACACAAATTAAAGGGATTTAGTGATGGAGTGTGGGGGGCACCGTGCCTGCTTCACCTTGGACATTTCTACCAATTGAAGTTTGGGTAGTTACTCTGCTTCCACTAAAACCCTTGAACTTTGGAGGAAGTTAACACTACCCATGGCTTAAGAATTGTGGCCTGGACTTACACTAATCAGCACAAATCTATTTCCTGGCCACAGTCATTGCTTCATCGTGGGTGGACATGTGACCTAAGCAGGCCAATCAGGGTGAATTTTAGGACCCCAGCTTGGAATTCTAAGAAATGCTCCTACCAGACTGTAGCTTGGCTGAGCTGGCATTCATCTCATGGCCATGGAAGGGGGCCTGTCTGCCTCAGTAGCAGAGTGAAGGGCCTCCCTTCTGCTGCCCAGCAAAGTGATGGTGTCATGAATAACTCTGTTAAAGGTTTGGATTGATTGATGTTAATCTCTCCGTGGAATTTCCTAGTGGGATCCAATACTTGATCTCTAATGTTTAAGCCCATTTTAGAGGGGTTTCATTAATGATGCTGAATTAATTTTAATTTGTTGATTTGTTATATATGGCTTTGGTAAAGTGTCTATTCAAATCTTTTGCTCATTTTTCTACTGGATTGCTTATTATTGAATTTTGAGAGTTCTTTATATACTGTGGATAAATGTCCTTTGCCAGATAGGTGATTTGTAACTATTTCTCCCAATCTGTGATTTGTCTCTAGGGTTTTTTTTTTAATATTAAATTTATTTTAGCTTTTTTGAGACTGGGTCTTGCTCTGTTGCCTAGGCTGGGGTACAGTGGCATGATCTTGGCTCACTGTAACCTCTGTCTCCCAAGTAGCTGGGATTACAGCTGTGCACCAACATGCCCCACTAATTTTTTGTATTTTTAGTAGAGATGGGGTTTTGCCATGCTGGCAAGGCTGATCTTGAACTCCTGCCCTCATGTGATTAGCCTCAGCCTCCAAAAGTGCTGGGATTACAGACGTGTGCCACGGTCTGTATGCCTATGTCTAGGTTTTCTTAACAGTGTCTTTTAAAGAGCAGAAGTTTTTAATTGTAAACAAAGTTTATCAAGTTTTTATTTCCTGGATTATGCTTTATATGTTATATTTAAGAAATATTTATCTAACCCAGGTTCACAAAGATTTTCTCTTATGTTTTCTTCCAGAAGCTTTATAGTTTTACATTTTACATTTTAGACTATGACCCATTTTGGGTTATTTTCTAATGAAGTATAAATATTCTTTTTTGCATATGTATATCCAATTGTTTCAATACCATTCGATGAGAGACTATGCTTTCTCTATTGGATTGCCTTTGAACCTCTGTCAAAAATCAACTGATCATAAGTGTGTGGGTCCATTTCTGGACTCTCTGTTTTGTTCCATTGATATATGTGCCCATCCTTGTGTCAAACCACAGGATTTTTTTTTTTTTTTTTTTTTTCGGTTTTGCTACACTTTAATGGGTTTTTTTTTTAAGGGATTTTTTTTCAGGTCTTGTCAGCAACATCAAACAAAAGGTACTGAGTACTCCACAGGGTACAGAGTGCTGCCAAGCACCTTAGAAAAATTACATGACACGGAGAAAATGCGCCTCTTGCTCCTTGAAGAGCTTACAGTCTAGGGATTTGACAACTCACAGTCTTAGGAACTGGGCAAAGTAAGGCAAATTCTTCATCCCCTAGAGCTATTGTGGACTGAATCATTTTAGAATTTGGAATTAATCCAATCAAGATGAGAGACAAGACTAAATTTGGCTGAGAATTCATTCAGGCTCGCATAGTTTTTATTAACATCCGTCTAGTAAACAGAATGGACCTAACAGACAACTGAAAGTAAAGACTAGATCTCTTGAAGTGCAAGGGCTACAACAACTTAATTGTGGTTACTTATTTTAAAAAGCAAACATACTGAATGGTATGACTAGGGTGATTACACTAGTTTAAAAATAGGCCAGGTACTGACACTGCATTCCCCTCATGCATTGCTCATTTAAAATAGTGAATATTAAAATATGTGGGCTTTACATCTAACCCACAGAAAGCCCACCGCAAATGTTCTGTGTATCAAATATCCACCTCATGTGTACTATGAAAGTTTTATTTATGCCCCATTAAGTCAAAAGTAAATTATAGTAAGCTAATGACCTGCATATTTTCATATGGATGAATGTCAGTATATCTAAATAGGAAATAAATGGCGATATTTTTTATGCTATTGTAAATAGCACTGTTTTAAAGTTTTGATGATCACTTTAAAGGAAAGTGCTTTGTTTGAATAAGATTAAATATCATCCAGCTTATTTGTTTCTAAAAATTACATTAAGTAATCATGAACTATACAGTAAAACCATAGTATAAGAATGAAGAAGTTAATTTTTGTATACTAATCTTGTATCCTGTGATCTTGCTAAATGGACTTAACAGTTTTAGTAGCTTATTTTCCAAGTTCTTCGGGATTTTCTCTTTATAACTATGTCTTATGTGAATATGGAAAGATTTATTTCTTTTTCTTGCCTTACTACACTGGCTAGAACCTCCAGCATGATATTGAATAGTCAGTAAAGCAGGTATTATGGTCTTGTTTCCAATTTTAGGGGCAAAGCATTCAGTCTTTCACAATTAAATATGATGGTAGCTATAGGTTTTCTGTAGACAGTCTTTTTGTTTTCAGGTTAAGGAAGTTCCTTCTATTTCTCATTTTTTTAAAAAAATTATGAATAGATGTTGAATTTTGTCAAATACTCTGTATGCATCTACTGAGAAAATCATATGGTTTTTCCTATTTATTCTGTTGATATGATCAATTAATTTGATTGGCTTTTCAATGCAGAGCCAGCTATGCACTCCCAGAATAAACCCTACGTGGTCATGATGCATTTCTCTGTTTTATGTATTGCTAGATTCAATTTACTAATATATATTTTTTTAATTTTAATTTTTTTATTTTTTGAGACAGAATTCCACTCTTGTTGCCCAGGCTGGAGTGCGACGGCGTGATCTCGGCTCACCACAACCTCTGCCTCCCGGGTTCAAGCGATTCTCTTGCCTCAGCCTCCCAAGTAGCTGGGATTACAGGCATGTGCCACCATGCCCGGCTAATTTTTTGTATTTTTAGTAGAGACAGGGTTTCTCCATGTTGGTCAGGCTGGTCTTAAACTCCCGACCTCAGGTGATCCACCCACCTCAGCCTCCCAAAGTGCTGAGATTACAGGCATGAGCCACTGCGCCCAGCCTTCAATTTACTAATATTTTATTAAGGGTCTATAGTTGCTTTTGAAAATGTTTATATCCTTCACAATACTGTAAATGAAGGGCAAGGCCTGTGTTTTTCATTACCAGCCCTAATGTTTCACTACAGGACTAATGCCTACAAAGATTACAGATTCAAAGTAAATAAACATTTGTAAAGCAGTTGTGACTCAATTTAGCAGAAAACGCTATCTAAGCAAGACCATTTACCTCCTACATCATATTTATAGCACACGAGTCATAAAAGTGTCATTTGTGTGACTGAACTCTGTACCGGTGCTTATTAAAAGGTACATCAGTTTTGCCTGCTTTTATTGCAGGTCTCATAAATACAAACACTAAAGCCAGATACATGTAGTAACCACCATAGCAGCAAATGACATGAAGAAATCAGAAAAGGTTTTCACACCCACTCTTTTCCTTTGTATCTGTATTATAAAGAAGTACGTCTTTTTTTTTTTTTTTTGAGACAAGAGTCTCATTCTGTCGCCCAGACTGGAGTGCAGTGGCACAATCTTGGCTTACTGCAACCTCCACCTCCCGGATTCAAGTGATTCTCCTGCCTCAGCCTCCCAAGTAGCTGGGATTACAGGGGTGTGCCACCACGCCCAGCTAATTTTTGTATTTTTAGTAGAGACAAGGTTTCATCATGTTGGCCAGGCTGGTCCCAAACTCCTAACCTCAAGTGATCCACCCATCTCGGCCTCCCTAAGTGCTCATGCCTATAATCCCAGCACTTTGGGAAGGCATGGTGGGTGGATTGCTTGAGCTCAGGGGTTCAAGACAAGCCTCAGCAACATAGTGAAACCCCATCTCTGTAAAAAATACAAAAAAATTAGCTGGGCATGGTAGTGCATGCCTGTAGTCCCAGGTACTTGGGAGGCTGAGGTGGGAGAACAACTTCAGCCCAGGAGGAGGTTGCAGTGAACTGAAATCGCACCACTGCACTCCAGCCTGGGTGACAGTCAGATTCTGTCTCAAAATAAAATAAAATAAAATAAAATAAAATAAAATAAAATAAAATAAAATAAAATAAAATAACCTTAATTTTTACTAGGCTATATAATCTATGTAATCCCACAGGGTCTCATACACACTGGGTAGTCCAGTATCTATTGGACGAGTGAATCAATGTGTACTTTTCTTAGTAATATTAACGATATTACTAGATAATAATAGCTGTCCTTGTCTGTGAGGAAATAAGCTAAGATTCCCTTTACCAAAGCCTTGCATTTCTGGCCTATCTTAGGTCAAATACACTGCCAGTGTGTATTTATTATCTTGACTCTCAGTGGTGTTGTGGGACTGCAGTAGAGGTGGAAGAATTCTAAGAAGACCTAGCTTCCCGTGGGGAAGACATATTGTATAACAAGGCATACTTCTAATAATGAAACCATCAAGGGCATGGAACTTTTCCCATTTTAAAACTGTCCTTAGGTTTACTTACAGACTAATCATTTGGTACCTTCGGTTCTCATTTTTGGGCCTTTTCAAAGAGAAATGTAAAATTTTTTTTTGTTTGTTTGTTTGTTTTGTTTTTTTGAGACGGAGTCTCACTCTGTTGCCCAGGCTGCAGTGCAGTGGCACGATCTTGGCTCACTGCAAGCTCTGCCTCCCGGGTTCATGGCCATTCTCCTATCTCAGCCTCCCGAGTAGCTGGGACAACAGGGGCCTGCCACCATGCCCGGCTAATTTTTTGTATTTTTAGTAGAGATGGGGTTTCACCATGTTAGCCAGGATGGTCTCAATCTCCTCACCTTGTGATCCACCCACCTTGGCCTCCCAAAGTGCTGGGATTACAGGCGTGAGCCACCGCGCCCGGCCGAGAAATGTAAAGTTTTTGTGGAAAACTACGACCAGTCCACTAGTAAGCCATGGTCCACACAGTAGATGTAAATCTACAATGACACCCTGTCCTTTGTGGATCAGATTGGAGACATAAAGAGTCTTAACTCCACGCCATACCAGTTATAGCATAATAATAATCTGGTGCAATTTTAATGCAATCTCATTAAAAATGAAAAATTCTTCTCAAAGAGTTACCAAAGTTACAACTATGTGTCCTCACCACCACATCATTGAGTCATCCACCTATTGTATCATTTGTTCAAATATTTATCAAGCATCTACTACATGCAAGGCACAGCGCTTGACACTGGGGTTATAAAACAAATCTATATAAATAGGATTTAGTTTCTATAATTTATAAAAATTACTCAATAGATTTTTACCAAATGTGAAGGGCAGGTTTTGGATGGTCTATTAGGCTATGTGTCATGAATGAAATTTGCTTCCTCAAAGACACACACGGTCATCCTCAGAGGAGCCAGAACTGATGTACTAGAGACTCAAGACTACCAACCAGAAGAGACGTGATATACATGGTAAGACACGGAGGACAGAGGAAGACCCAATGAATTCAAATACATGCCCAAGATGCAAGTCGCAGGGGCAGGCACTCTGACTTGCGAGCAACGGGTACTGATTCATTTAACAGTAGTCAGTGAGTCCCTGGGCGGTAGTGAGGTCAGGTGAAGAAAGAACAGTCAGGTGAAGGAACGCTCCCTGTCTCCTAGAGCCCAGAGTCTCGTGTGGGAGCTAGGTCCAGGAAGAGATGGTAAAAGATGGCGGGAGTGCACGAATAACGAAATGTGCAGGGAGGCGGGAAAGAGCAGCATCTGTCCGGCCACAAGGGAAGGTGAGGCATGGAAAGCTGAGGAGAGTGATGACTGGCTGGGTCTGAAAAGAGGATCGGGTTAGTCAGGTGAAAGTGAAAGGTGGGGGTGGGAATACGAAGGAAAAGAGAGGAGACAGCCCAGGTTGCAGGAACAGCCCAAGCAAAGGCAAGAGGGTGAAGGCAGCACAGCACGGGAGGATTTACATGTAGTTTGAGGGCCTGGAATCTAAAATCGCAATCAGAGTGATAAGAGATGAGGCTGTGGAGGTGGGAAGGGATATCTTCACTGAACTGGCACACTCGGAGCTTCCTAAGTCAAACATAAATTAATAATCAACTGTAGATAATTTTATGAGACATAAAAACATATGTAGACACACATCAACCACCATAACAGACAATAAGGTATTATATAAGGAAGATCTTATTACTTGGTATTAAAATGATAGTCTGTGTATCCAAGCAAGATATCTGTATACAGCAGGCTTTCAGGTATATTTTAAGTAGCTCTAGATTTAGTCAGTTATTAAATATATGCCAAACAGAATTTATGGGTGGTCTCCTGAGTCAAATGTTTTTAACTGATAGACTAAGATTGGGGTTTTTTGTTTGTTTGTTTGTTTGAGACAGGTCTTGCATGTAAGACGTGCTTGCTTCCCCTTCACCTTCTGCCATGATTGTAAGTTACCTGACGCCTCCTAGCCATGCTTCCTGTTAAACCTGCGGAACTGTGAGTCAATTAAACCTTTTTTCTTTATAAATTACCCATCCTCAGGTAGTTCTTTATAGCAGTGTGAGAACAGACTAATACACCCAGCTTTTTTTTTTTTTTTTTTTTTGGTAGGGATAGGGTCTCACTATGTTTCCCAGGCTGGTCTTGAATTCCTGGGTTCACATGATCCTCCAGCCTCTGCCTTCCAAAGTGCTGGGATTACAGGTGTGAGCCACCACATCTAGCCTAAACTATGATTCGAATACATGCTATTTTTACTCTTGTGTAGTCAAATTATAAATAAGTGAATAGTTTAATAACAACAAAACCTGAATTTAAGTAGCATATAAGTATTGATATATGATATAATGTATGTACCACATGATACAGATAATTGAGTTCATTATGGGAGAACCTGTTATATTTGCTAAAAAAAAAAAAAAAAAAAAAGATGGGCTTCAACAAGGGAGAGTCTCCAAAATGGCTGGGAAATAGGAAAGTTTGATAAAGTAGATAGAGCTTAGTAAGTAATTATGAAATAAGTCTCACAATTTGATGGTTATCAAGAACTAGGAAATAACAAATCATTAAGTTTTATACTCTACTGAACATTATTTCGTCTTCTTTTCTGACTCAGAGGCCATTCAAATTCTATAGTTTATCAGTCCAAATATCACTTATTATTATAAATAAATGGTATTATACACTATAAAAAGCAGAGTTAGCACAGATTTTACCCAATAACAAACTAAAAATAGCTTTTATATTACAAAAGTAAGTCCACCTCTCACATAAGTAGAGTGTGGATTACTGAACATTAAATCCTAATTTAGTAAGCTATATTATTCAAGTTAATGCCAACTCTATACCTAATCCTTTACGGCTTCTGCATCAAGTAACAATTCTTTGAATAGAAATAACTGGTAATCAACCGGCAGTTCAGTTTGAGAGACCATACACCAATACAAAATTATTCAGTCACAAAGACCAAGACACAATAACTAAACATTGGAGCATATATGAATAACATTTTCAGCAGAAATTCCAGTTATTAATTTACTTTAAATTCTCAGCAATCATTGCACCTGAAAACCAGAACAAATCCAGACAATGGTCAGATAGTGATAACCTTATAGGGCAGTCATATGGAGTGCCTGATGGTTTTACCACTTTGCTTACAATTTAAATTCCAAGATATTTTTTCCTATATTGTTGACATATGCAAAGAACTGTTAAGTAAAAGCTGGTTGGGGGAAAATATTTCATAATATATTTATATTTTTAATATTATAAAATATGTCATAATATTTAAGTCTAGGCTAATATTTTATGATATTAGCCTAGACTTAAAAGGAACTCAGTGCAGCAAGTTCATAAGCCATCAAGGAAGCTTTTAAAAATGTAATTATCCAGGCCCATTTTAGTGTGCCACAGTGATGCAATTGAAGGCACTGAGCATCTGTCTCTGGAAACAGCACACTAACATTGTGTGTGTGTGTGTGTGTGCGCACACATGTGCATGAAAATGCCTGCATGAGCCTATGTCTGTGCAGGGTTATTTAAACATTTTTTCATTGAGATACCATTTGCTCTATTTTAGGATTAATTTAACTAACCTTACCTATGAAGCTAGATGCCATCGGTATTACCTACCATTTGGGAATAACTGCAAATGTGTGACCTGGCTTAGGCAACAGTGTGCTATCACAGCATAATGCACATTTCTACTATATCATCATTTCCCAAGGTACAGTTGAGGACCACTTACATCAGAATAATCACCTTGGATGCTTAAAATACAGATTCCCGGGCCCCACACCCACCCAACAAAATCTGGGTTTGGGGGGTAAGGATGGGAATCTATATTTGTAGCAGGGATCCAACTAATTCCTAAGAACCTGAAAGCTTGAGGATTCTTGCACTGGATGAAAATCTCTGAGGCAGGGACTTCCACTTACACATTCCTGAACTAGCACACGGCACATGGCCAGTCTATGGAATTCATCAACATATGTCAATCTAGAAATTTCCAAGTCATGAAGAACTCAGACAACTTCCAGTTCAGACTGGAGGGACTGTGGTTGAGGTGTTTCTCCTCAGAGGGCAGAAAGCAGCAGTAGGAGTGTAGTGTGCTATGGCAGGGATCACAGCTTACTCACTCTCAGACCTCTGGCCCCCAGCTCAGTGCCAAGGAAGCCCAGTCCACATTTGCAAAATGAAGTAGGGCAGTATGTGCTGGCATCCGGCAAAGGCAGAACAGCCACCCAAACTCCACTGGCCAAGTTCCCTACTCACTGCCACTACTGTTGTGGAGAATCGCTGTAACACTGAGGATGTGCCATGTGACTTTCACGGCTCCAGGACCACTGTCAGTCAAGGGTAAAGTGGACATGAGCTAGCTCTAAAGGTTTAACCACCACGCTTGGATGAGACGTAAACAGTAATCCCTGAATATGTTCTGTTGATGTCTCTATCTCCTGGGATAGTCTATGGATATAAACACTTAATGCTTCTTACTGGCAACTATTCCTGAATAGAAACAATTTTGACGAATAGAAGCCAGAGACTGGCCTAGTTAAGTTCATATAATGTTTATTACATTCAGCAGCAATTCTGCAATGGCAAGACCTGCTGTTCTGTAAAACAACAGTTTTGTGTGCTAGATACAGTCAGTTCTCGTCATCTGAGGTAGTTATGTTCTATAAAGTCACTGTGAATTAGTGAATACTTGTCCGCTTCCTAGGGAAAATGCAAGGTTCAGTTCCTGGGAGCCTCTGGTTACAACATTTTCATTAACCAATCAATACCTACACTTGTTTTATGTGTTTTGTTTAAAGACATCTAACTAAATATATATTGTTGATTCATTAACATTAAATATATAGCCAACAGCACTAGAACTCACACTTGAACAAAGCTTATGTAACTTACACATGGCAGTGTTCTTGCACTTAGGAACCCCAGAAAGCCATTCTAAACAGCAAACCGCCAACAAAATCCACACAAATGTGAAAAACATGGCATAAAGTAGACCACCAAAAGGGGGCCTGTTCATGGTGTTACAGGAAAGGGGTCCCAATCCAGATCCCAAGAGAGGGTTCTTGGACCTAGTGTAAGAAAGAATTCAGGGCAAGTCCACAGTGCAAAGTAAAAGCAAGTTTATTAAGAAAGTAAAAAGTGGTCAAAGTACAGCTACTCCATAGACAGAGGAGGCTGTTCCTGAAAGTAAGAGGAGGAACACATCCATCCCAGGTACATTACTCGTATATATGGGGAGATGTGCTCTGCTATGAGGATCTGTGATAAAGGATTAATTTTCTTAATTACTGTATTTTGCAAAAATCGATATTATTAGCTTTAAAGAAAAATCAGGAACGCCTTTCTTCTCCAGATATTGAGATATCTAGACACTCTCAAGTCTGGGTCTGTCTAGTAAACATTATTAATTTGATCCCTTAACCATAAACATCTAGAGGCTCAGAATGCCTGACCTTCTGGGAAGGCAGCCCAGCAAGTCCCAGCCTCATTTTCCTAGCCCTCACTCAAGATGGAGTCAGTCTGGTTTGAACACCTCTGACAATGGGATGAGAGCTGCAACAAGAAGCAGAGTGTTGCCTGGTTCGGCCTCAGCTGGAAACATAGTTGAGTGGTAAAATCTTTTGATGCTCTGTACATATCCCTGAATGACCACAAAAGTACCAAGGAGTATTGATTTGGAGGCTACAAAGAAATTTCAGCAGATAGGTGGATAATGAGGATCACCTGTACTTTCTACTTTTCCCTCTGGAGCTCCTCTGGGCCCTGTTCTCCTGGGCTCTGCTCTGAGAAGCAGACACTGCAGGACTCGTGCATGGTGACTTCCTGTCTGGTTGCTGTTGAGTTTGGCCAAGGATAGGCCCCAGTAGGAGGCTGGGGGGCAGGAGGAGAGTGAGGTGGGCAGTTACTCCTTTCCTCCCTGCGTGGGTGCCCTCAGGAGTCCTTTACTAAAAAGCTCACAGGTCCTGCCAGGTGGTCCTTCTATGTAATTTCTCCCTTTCTCCCTAAGGTTAAGGGGTGACGCCCAGCTGCTGCTAACCTCGGGGCACTGCAACATCCCTTGTTGGCTTCCCTAAACCCTCTCTGAACTTTTAAAAACAGTTCCTTTCTTAGACTTTCTTCAATCTCCCAACTATGCTACCTGCATCCTTCCAGGACCTTGGTACTGCATTCGTTAACAAGGGAGGGATCTCAGAACTACATGGGCCATGGGGAATTTTGACACCACAGGAAACTCTGAATTCTTCAATCTACACAGGCTCAGTCTTGCAAAACAAAATTGTGAATAGGAATTGGAGGTTTCTCTTTATTAATCAAAAGCAGCTGGAAAGGAGTCTGCTCTTCGGCTCAGAATCAAGGAAGGTGGAATTGGTGCCAATAAAAACTCATCTGAGACCTGCTGCTAAGAGAATTGAGTATTTTTAGGTAGCGTCCCTTAAAGTCACTTTAGAGAACATCTCAGGCATTTAATTATATCTAATAATGTAGATGAAAAGGGCAATGATTTTTATTCAACTGTGTTATACACTTATCTCCCACCAGATTTTCCCCAAAGTCCTTCCTCTCTGGCAGAGATTTTCATCTCTCTTTTTCTTGCAACATCCTGGCAGCCAATGCAAAAACGTGCCTGGTAATTTCTGCTTTCCTGTCTTTTAGAACATGTTAGTCTTTCTGCTTCCCGTTAGTTTCAATCTGGATGTGCAAGGCTTGCTCAGGACTTTATAACCCTGCTGTGTCACATCCTAATCACCACAGATTGTCATGTACTATGGACCTTGTTAAAGATTTACTAAGTTTATGCTTCAAGGACAAGGTGACGAATCCGTCTTCTGAAAATAGCTGATAAAGGGGTCCTTGTCACAGGCTTAGTTATTACTTAGAGGGGACTCCATTCACAATTTCCCCAAGGCTGTCTGCACTTGATTTCACAGGCTAATTCATTAGGCTCTAACATAATAACTATCTCAGCCTGTTACTCAATCAGATGAGCAAATGCAAGCTTCATTTTATCAGCTCTGCAGGATAGGTCACTAAAAATAGTCTACTTTCCAATCTTTAATTGTTCCTGGCATCGTTGCTTTCCTTATCTAATTCCAAACAAAATGGTACACTCCAGAGGTCTGACTCGGCAGAGGTGCCAGGGTGGTTTCTGCAAGGAGACAATGCAGTCATGCCTCTTCTCAGAGAAAAACTCAGTTGAAATTCGCCTGAAGTGAGGAGTTCAAAGCCAAGAGTATGTGGGCCTTGATCCTTCAGTGGCAGGTTTCATATTTGAGAGTAAAAAGTAAAACAAACAAACAAACAAACAAACAAAAAAGACCATCCACCCAGGCCTTTCAAGGTGGAGAAACAGCAGAACTGTTAAAACCACGTAATAACCAATCTATTTCTTTTTTTGTAGGATACCTAGAAAACTTTATTGGGGTTTAAATTATCTTAATATTTAAACATGAAGTACACTCAATATGTTATCCTTTTAATTCATGCTTAGTTTTTAATTTTGAGGACCATTTGAGACTAGACAATTTACAACAGTGGTTCTTAAACTTTTTGAGCTCAAGACCCCTTCGTAGATTTTAAGAATTATTGAGGACCTCAAAGTTTATGTGACTGTTCTCTCTCAATATTTACAATACTAGATATGAAAACTGAAACAAAATTAAGATTTACTTATTAATTTAATGAAAACAATAAGCCTATTACATATTTTAAAAATAGCATTTGTAAATAAAAAAGGATATTTTTTCCAAAAAAAAAAAGAGTGAAGAGTAGTAGTATTTTCCATTTTTACAACTCTCTTTACTGTCTGATTTTGCAAGATAAGCCCAAATGTGCATCCATTCTGCACACAGCCTGTTTGACAGGCTGTTTGGGTCATTGCGTACAAAGAAAACCCAGCCTCATAGACATTCAGTAGCAAGAGTACCGCCTCAAAGACTCACTGAAAGGTTCCAGGACCATGTTTAGAGAACCACTGACTTATGGCCTAGCTCATGTCATGAGGATGTGTGTTCAAGGGCCTGCCTCCCTGGCATGAGAATGGTTAAAAGCCCCAGTATCAACCGTATGCCACACCGCTGTGGCCCTGGAAATCAGGATGAAGCAGGTGCAGCAGAGGCGGAAGAGACTGACTCCTTTCTTGGCTTGCTCTTTCACTCCATGGGAGAAATTGGACAACTTCAATTTCCTTAAAACATGGGCAGGATTAAAAAGCTTTCCCTCAGCTGTTTCATTCTGCCCTGGGCTGAAGGGAGGCAGGTACACACAAAGAACCCTTCAGGCAGATAGGCATGGAAAAGGAAACAGAGTGAATGAGTGAATGCCAGCAGAAAACTGGCATTTATTCAAATATCTAGTTTTATGTCAAAACTCGCCAGTTACAGATAAGTGGCTGCAAGGCTAACCTGTTTTAGCAAGAAACTGGAATTTGCAGACATTGCTACGGTGATCTAATGTCAAACTTGCTGGTCTCTGTAGGGGGTGCGACAGGGTGGTCCTGTTTCCTAAGGGCCCATAGGACCTGCGCCACAGCACACAAGCGGAGGCAGGGACCAAGGCCCTAGACAGGGGTTGCTATGACCAGGACCCGAGTCTGGCCTCTCATGCCTTTGAGTTTGCCCTGGGGATATGACTGGTGCTGGAGACATTAATTTAAAAGTCAGATTAAAACTAAGAAAACTCATGAGCCAGAGAAATTAACTGCTATAAAGAATGAGAAACTTTATGACCAATATATTGGAACTTTTACCGGATGTGCTCAAGCACTGAGCCTCACTTCATTACAATCTAGCCCCTCATGATCTCTTTCCAAAGAAAGGAGACACTCCTAGAAGGGGAGAACGGCAGAAGCTTTTGCTGCTCTGCATCAGTTGTCTGGAGAATCATCTCAGTTAGAGCTATGTGTATAAGTAGCAGCTACAGGGAGGAAAAAGCCCTGGTCTGATGCACTAGCAATGCAAACAGCAGGCTCCCAGATACCCCAGTACCTGAAAGCCCACATGAGTTCAAGCACGCACCTCGTTGAAATGGACATCCTGCATCCCCACGTCTTCCATCATGGAGGCCTCCTCGTCGATGTTTGGGGTAATGACCCTGAAGGCGGTGCATCCTTGTCTAAACACGCCTAGGAAGAGAGGAAGGAGGGACAGTCAGAGTTAGGAACCTGAACGTGGGTGAACCCTGAGGGTTTTTCCTGCCCTGTGTGTTTCTGTGTTGAATGAAATAACGGATTTTGAAATCTCTTAGGCACCAGGCCAGCATTCACGGGGGTACCTGGGGCTACTGTGTGCTTTTCTTCCCTATAGTGAACCCTAACCTCTTTCACTTTCTTTTCCTTATCCCTTTTTATCTACCTTTATTAAAATGTATGCAATCTCTAAATATTAAACTATAAACTGAGAAATAGGTATTAAATCAAAGTAATAGTAAAATAACAATAAGTGAAAATTTGTCTTGGTAGGATGACTCGTGCTGAGATACTAAGAAAAACAAAGGCAAAGCCAATATAAGAGAAATGTATGATTCAAAAAGAACTGTTTCCTTCAAGCTGTCACCTCACCCACTCTGGCCAGGGAAGAACACATCTCTCAGATGAGAGCTTCCCCACACAACCCAGGTGTAGCTTCGTAGCCATAATGGTGAGCAGACAGGCTGCCTTAGCTGGTTCCCACCCCAGAGGCCCCGGGGTGGGTGGCTGGCTGCATCAACAGAGGGCATGGATGCCTGGGCACTCTGATTCTCCAAGAGGAAATGGTGTTAGCTTAGAGGCAGGATCAATGTCTGGGATAAGGATGTGTTTCTTAAGCAATGACAGCCCATTTGGGACCTTTCCTCGTCTTAGAGTCACTGGAAAACAGCTTTAAGTCAGTTGGACCACGTCAGCTATGCAAAATGATCAAGTGAAGAAGGGCATGAGATGTTCCACTACTCTATTTTGAGATAACTGTTCACAATAAAATAAAACAGAAGTAAAAACTTGAATTGAGACTTCTACATTTAGGGAGAAAGAGGAACACAGGGTATTCTGAAATCAAGCCTTGAAAACGGAGATCCTGAAGTCAGAGATTTTTCTGCTGCACATGATCCCAGGTTTCTACACTATTCATGGATTATCCAGCATCTGCCACTATCCCAGTTTAGTTTTTATTTTGTTATATGGAAACAAGAGTCTCCCATGAAAAGCATTAATCTAGGAACTTGAGGATACATTAACATACAAACTGTAAAATTAAAAAAACCAACCACCCATGCTCTAGGCTATATAGTACATTTCACCACATAACTCGGAGCCAATGGAATAACAAAAATGGTGGCCAAGGTGCTTTCCTCTTGTGCCCACAGGAATAGACCAGCCAACCAGAGAGCCACAGAGTAGGAGGGAAGGAGAGTGAAGTCTGTCCATGCAAAGTTAAAAGGGCAAATCCCCCACCACGGGAGGGCACGTGACCAGGGCAGGGGGTCCCCGGGGGCTGGGCTGATCCTCAGGCTCACCTCCCCGGCTCCTCCTCAGGCAGGCGCTATGGCTGTGGGGGAGAAGGGGCGGCTCCCACTGGACTGCTTCTAAACATGAGGAAATGCATCACCTGATAAAAGGTCTCAACAGGAAATAGTACCGGTATTAAATGAACATGGAGCCCTTTCAAAATTTTTCTCTTTGGGGCTCTGCTGTTTCATTCCAAATAGCCAGCTGCACCAGAAATATACAGTCTGTGGCCTCGGCATCTTTGGTTTCACACTATTTCTCACTTCGTACATCTATTCCTCATTAGCCCAGATCTGGTGCTGCTGTTTTCTCCCATGTAACTCACGCAGACTACCAGCTTTTCTAAGAACCTCAGTATTCTAAAAATAAATGTCACCATTTGGGGCTGTGCTGATTTTGAAGTGGAAATGAGCACCTGCTGTTTAACCAAAGGGAAACTGTGAAAGAATTCATGGCCTGCTCATCTGGGCACAAACGGAGAGTGCACAAATGAAGCGTCACTCCTCGCCCCCTCTCCTTCCTCTGGGAGATAAGGTTTCCATCAGAAAGGCTGCCTTCTTAGACAATAAAGCCAGCTGGGCTGCGTTGCAGAAATGCTGTCTGATAATCTCCCGTTACAACTTTTTGATTGCCTAAACATTCTAGTGGGAACTATCTTAAGGGAAAAATAGTATCTTCTTAGCTCTAGATTTGGCCAGATGCAAAACTCATTAGCTAGTTTTTGCAGAGTGAAGCTATCAGAGGAGGTTACATGACAACATGCCATCTACTTTTCTGTCTAGTCCTGGCAATTTCTGCTGTGCCCACCAATTCAAGCAAACATCACGCCAGGGGATAAAACAACGAATACACTTCACAAACACACAAATCCCCACCTTCCAATCTTCCTGAATGGCTCTCACTTGTCTGCTGCTTTGTGTGGTTTTATACTAATTAATTTCACAAAACATGAGAATAATTCCTTACCTTTCCGTGTGAGATATTCTGCCACTAGGGCTGTTACGTGGACATAGCACATTGCTGCCTATAATAGAAGACACATGCCTCAGAATCATCATTCATAACAGCAAGTCATAATGCTCCCACACAGACAGAAATCTAATCAATGTATGAACGTATATATTAGATCTCAATGCACCAGCTAGTATTTCTAATAGCTGATATCTTACCTTTTGAAGAGAGTGGAATCACTCACATAAGCTGAAAATTTGAAATTAATTGGGAGTTGAGATAAATGGCAGTAAATTTGCTAAGGCTTTTTTCTATATAGAATTATTACATTTGTAAAGTAAAAGATAAAAGCAGCATTTTCCTCTTACTATACCTAATACTTCTGCATCATTTCTCTCAAAGCGAAAAGAGGATGCTTTGAAGAAAACATGTGCTCCTCCCTAGATTCTGAGAGAATGGCTCAAATTTCAGGTGCTAATATATTTTTCGCTTGACTTAAAAATTAAGAGCAAGTTATAATTTTTTCCAAATATAAAATTCTAAATAAAAATCATAATTTAATCTCAAATAGGTAACATTATACGTATCTTAAATTGAAAGAAAAAAGAAATTTTTTCACCAAATTGCCATGGTGTTATAAAGATCAAAGACAGCTGTTAGAAGCGAACCCCCTGCAAGGTTCTAATGCATGCGGTTCTGTGCCTGTCAGCGGGGTGAGCGCCACCACGTGGTGCCCTCGTCTAGACCCTCACCCCTAGCTACTAGCCAACACACACCAGCAGAGGCTGCTCCACGTGCACGTGTGTCAACGAATGTTAGCAGCGTGGCATGCACTCTGATGTGTGCAGAGAGAAGTCTGTTGGAGAGTGGAGTTATGTACTGTCCAGTCCTCGGAGGCAGAGTTCATGCCTCCCACGTGTGTCCCTCTTGCAGTACAAAGCAGGGTCACATGCACTGAACAGGCAGGAAAGTACATGACGGGTTACTGAGCACACACACAAAACCAGACACGGCAAGGGCAATAAGAAATCTTATAAATTAGCTGCTTTCGTCCCTTATTCACTGGGTATACTGGGTTGGGTAGTGTCCCGCCAAAATTCATGGCCTCCCTGAGACCTCAGAATGTGATATTATTTGGAAACAGGCTCTGTTAGGTGTAATTAGTTAAGATGAGGTCATACTGGTGTGTGGTGGGCCCTAAATTCAACATTACTGGTGTCATAGACATATGGGGAAGGATGCTATGCGACCACGGAGGCAGGAACTGGAGGGATGTGGCTACAAGCCAAGGAACATCAAGACTGCTGGCAACACAAAGAGCTCAGGGACAGGCATGGAACCAGTTCTCCCCAAGGACATTCGGAGATGTGGCCCTGCTGCCACTGCAATCTTGGACTTCTGCCTCCAGAACTGTGAGAGGATACATTTCTGTGTGAAGCCACTCAGTCTGGGTACTTTGTTATGGCAGCCATGTAAAACTAATTCACAGAGGAACAGCTGAAGCTTAGTAAGTTCTTCCTTTCTTTTTTTGAGACCTAGGCCACATATGTCATTAAAGAATCTTAAATTCTTAGAATGATAGAAAAGTTACTTCTCTTAGTTATTCCTTTTTATTATGGCCAATGTGTGGTTTACATTAAATTTATAGTCAAAACTGTCACGTTAATGTGTACTTTTTAGCATATTGAGCTCCTTGAAAAATAAATATGTAAAAATAGTTAAAATTTTCAGACTTAGAGTATGTTTATTAATTCAAACAGTTATAAAAGTTTAAAAGTCAAAACTTGCTTGCTATTGTAATAATGTTGATCATAGCTAAACATCTCAGGCACAGACACTGAATGAGTTCTCCTAGGCGCACAGACTGCCTTACAGCCAATTGTTTTCTTCAATTCCCCATTTTACAGATGATGTCATTGAGCAATAGAGGGGTTAAAAAACTGGCTCAATGTCACAGAGTTAGTTAATATTGGATCTTGGATTCAAAGTCCAATATTACTTGTACTGGAGCCCACACACCCAACTCCCAGCCATGCAGTCTACATATTGAAACACGTCAGCTCTGCATAGAAGGGAATGCTGGAATACCTACTGCATCCACAAAAGGAAATGGACTACCCTACAGAGGAGAAAGCAACACCTGTCATTACCTTAAATAACAGGAGGAATTCATTTGATCATAAAATAGCTGAATTTTAGAACTACAGAGGAATTTTGATGTGTATTTTAATTAGCAGGAGACTGTATGAATAGGTTTAAGAGCTTAAACAATGCTCTTTGTTGACAAAAATAACCCCTTACAATTTGTTTTAAATTATTAAAATGCTCAGCTAACTATGAAGTCACCCTAAGCTTCATACTGTTTAAAGTTTTGCATACTTTTAATTGGTTTTTGATTAATGGAATAACTTTTCTCAAAACTGGCTTTTTAAGTGAATGGGGCCTCACTGGTTTTTTCAAAAACCCATTCAAGCGGCTGGCAGGGCTACTACCTCTGAGAGATCGCCATTTTTGACATGGATCCTGGCCATGCTGTCGAGCCACGTCTTCCTGAGCTCGGGCGTGCTGGCATAGGATTTGGCCAGGCTGTACTGGAGGTCCACCAGCATCTCTGGGTCGTTCTCATGCTCCTTCATCTGGGCGGTGGCCATTAGCACCGTGCGTATCCTTTTGGTTAAGTCCTTCACATCAGAGGAGAAGCTGGTGTGCTAAAACAAGGGTGGAAGAGGAAAGGACACATGGCTTCCTCTGTTTGCTGCCTGTCCACAAGCACCTCAGGTGCTGATGCAGAGTCTCAGGGTGAAACTAACATGGGCCAGGCTACCCACCTTAATAAGCCGGTCACTGTTGGCACAGTTGTTGATGATGGACAGGGACTGCTGGAATCTGGTTCCCCCAATGCCAACAACGTCTGCTATCAGCTGGCTGACAGATATGATGACCTTAGGGACACACAAACATGAGCAAATCAATTTACCTTCAAATGACTGCCCAGGCTGGGCTTCTGCGTTCAGTTAGGATGTGCCTAAGGACCCAGCAAAGTGGGGGTTGGGGGGTGCTTTGAGCAGGGGTCGCTCCGTGTAGGAAACAATGTCTGAGGTATTTTCTTCCCCTTTAAGAATAATTACAGAAAGTGATTCTGCTATCCTTAAAAAACACTGTTTGCAAAGCAAAATGCTGATCAGGAGAGCAAAGGGAGAAAGAAAATGAGATAAGCCCATCCACTTGGATAGTTACTTACCTATTACCTTCTCTAACCAAGAGGGAGACATGATTTATTTCTCAGTTTTCAGTTTGAACTTAAATGTATTAAATATGCTATGGGTAGACTGTCCTTTGCAATACTTTATCAGAACATGGATAGATTAACTATGCCACAGGGGGCTCTGTCTTTTTTTGGCTCAATGAATAGCACTGCCTTTACCCAGTTGCTTGAGCTAAAGCATGGAGGCCATCTTTATTTTCCTTTTCCTTCACCACACCCAGTTACAATCAGTCACCAAATGTTGTCAACTCAATCTCCTCTTCCTTCTTACCTCACCATCCCTGGTCTAGGATACCATCCTCTCTGACCTAGCTTTGACAATGGTCTCCCTAGCTGAGGTCTAGACTACCCTTGACCCATCATCAACACAGGAGTCCAGAAGATCTGTCCAAATATGCAATGATTTGGATATGCCACCATGGGTCCTCCTCAACTCCTTCTCACCCATATTCTAAACTCCGCAGTAAGGAACATCTCTAGTTCCCCAGATGGGTGCTTCCCCGTAGTTCACTGTGGCCTGGAACATGCTCACTGATCTTCAACCATGAGCCCCTATGCATCCTTCACATCCTCTAGGTGCCCCTCCTGATACACTCAAGTTCCTCTACAATAACAGTGGTCACACTTGTACTCTCAGAGTTCCAGAGCTTGTCTGTGACCTCCATTAGACTACACTCCATGAGGGCTGGGAGAGGGTTGTTTTGTTCATGGTTGTATCCACGAATCCTATGTGGACAATAAATATTGTTTTTTAAAAAAAGGGTTAAATACAGAGATGGAAAAGGGACACCTACCATGTGTTTGTAGAAAAAGAGAGTTTACAAAAATACACAAGTTTGGTCATTATCTTGGCTGGCTCTCAGAGCAGAGAATTTAGGATGCTTTAATTCTGCAGAGATAGCAGATGTGTCAGCAGATAGAGGACAGAAAAGAACCACTTAGGTTGGGCTTCTTGTTCCTTACCTAAAATGTTTACTATTAAGCATCCTCACATAGGTTCTAACACTTCTTGATTCAATGGAATTTTAGTCAGTCCAATATTGATTCAATATTTAAATGTCAATTTACCAACAGAAACGCATCTCAGGCCCATATCTTATAGTAATGGAACATGAAATAAACCAAGCCAGCAAACGTGGCTTCCCAGTTTTCCAGATCTTGCAGTATCTTTATGACAAGGTAAATTGGTTAATGTGATACTCAAAGTTTTCCTGATACAGCAGGATTCTACAGAGTAAATCTGTATTGGAAAGCTAAACCACACGCACTTGCAAATGTGTCCGGACAAAGGACTTCTTTCCAGTGTAATCAAAGTTGTTCCTCATCAGGAAGTAGAGCAGCTGGGAGGCCTCCGTCCTGATGGAGCTCAGCTTGGAGTTACAGCACTTGAGAATCTCGTAACACAGAGCCGCACACATGTCCGCTCTCCCTTCATAGAATGTTGAGGGAAACTAGACAGGATGAGAGGAAGCAGCAGATAAACCACAGACAGGTCAGTGCTCGGTAATGTACCCTTCAATTCCGGGGGAAGAAGGAAAACATCTAACCACTGCCCATGAAGCAACTTACCTTATAAATTAAGGACCTTAAGGCAGTGAAGACATTTTTTAAAGCCGTTTCAGACTGATGTTTTTGAAGAAAACACAGGTAGACATCAAAAACTTTTTTCATGAGAGGATTATGTCCATGGTCGGCCAGGAGCTGGTTCTTAAAACACACATTGACGGCTTTGTTAGACATACCAGTCACCTCTAGTAGGTTTCACACAATTTCAGGCTCAAGAATTACATTTTCTAAGTATTAAGACAACTTATACTTTAAACAAACTCTGCCTTGAATCCTCTAGGAAAGTACAGAATTCTTTTGTAGAACAAGCAAATCTATCAATACATTTATGTTTTGGGGATGAACCTCCCAGCAAACTAACAGAGTTGAAAGGAACACTTGCTTAGTACTGACTGGGCTTCTATTTATTAATATGTACTCATTTTTACTGTCCACCAGCAGCTGATACAGAGGTGCCATTTGTGACATCTTAATTCCAACAGAGAAGTGCCATCACAGGTATGCGATAATTATAGATGGGAAAAAGTACTCAAGTAAGGTATATGAAACAGGTCTTCGAAAAGGGAAAAGTGATCTCCCCAGGCCTCTAAGGCACTCTGCTAAGCTATGAATAATCAGAGAGTTTGGTAAGGTGGAAAGTGTACAGGCTTTGGTCAGGTACCACTTATCATAGGCATGAATTTGCACAGGTAAACTGAGTCTCAGCATCCTCATCTGTAAAATGATGACCCTAAAACTGACCTTGAACAGCGACTGTGAAGACATGAGATCAAGTGTAGAAACCATCTGACGCATACTTTGGTCTAGCTCAGTAGGTGGCATCTAGTAGGGTTTTGACATTCGTGGATTTTACTTATCAAAGAAAACAAGAAGACTACAATTTGCTTCTAGTCATTCAAGATTTCCTCATGTCAGTAGAAAATTCACACAAATTAAACACTTTGGAAGCCTGGTTGGCTACAACTCCCATCAACTGTAGAATATACACAGCAGCTAGAGGTGTGGCCCAGCAAGCAGCCAGGATGAACTTCGTGTCTAATGTGCACAACACTAAATGACACACCACCACCTTCCAATACAGACAAGCTGTCTGAACAAAGCTCTGTTGGGGAACGATAGGTGTGTGCATTCTGCACAAGTAGGCAGATTTGACATTAATAAAAAAAAATGTCAAGAGGCCAGTATCTCAAACCAATCTTACAATTTGGCCAACGGAACAGGGGTAACTTATGTCCATATAATTTTGCTACATAGCAAATTATGGTTGCGGTCATAGTTTCAGAGCAAGATCTACCTTGTCTTGTTGTTGGAGGGAAATTTTTCCTCAAGGAGTAAGTTTTTGTTTTTTTTTAGGTCCAGTGAATTGTGAATCTATCACAGCTGGCAGAACACCTGGAATTCACAGTGATCTTTCTATCATGAAATACTAAGGTACCATATTGAATTCCGTCATGTGAAAGGGGAGCAATTTAATGAGCAGAAAGTGGGACTAATTAAATGAATATGATCTAATTCTCAACCATGAGAATTAGTTCTCAACCATGATCTAATTCTCAACCAAAAAAAAAAAAAAAAAAGATTTCCAGTGTTTGGGGAACTGCTTACAAGTTTTATCTATGAATGCCATTTTCTCAGGAGCTGTAGTTTGAAAGCCTTGCTTTCCTCCAATGAATTTACATTCCTAATTATGACTGGATTAAGGTTTGGGTGAATCTGGAGGTGAGCTTTCATTTCTTAGCACTCTTTGCTGAGGCTATCCAGGAGATACGGTTTCTACAAAAATTCCCAAGCTTCCAAGTTCTGCTGTCTGAACTGGCCCATGTTTCTAATGTTTCTCCACCTTTCCCATGTTTCTCTACTTCAGTTCAATTTCTCCTCCTTTTCCTCTCTATGGTCATGGCCTTTACTTCTCATTTTCAGGATTCAGTCCTCTTCAGCCCTGATCTCAAAACTTGTTTGCAAGAATGGAGTTAAAGCTCATTTACATTATGTATCCCATAACCTGTTGTAAACCTCAAATATATACAATAAAATTTATTTTTAAAAAGACGTAAATAACCTCCACTTAAACAGGTAAAGGACCTTTTGTCCCAGACACACCCCGGTTTCCTAACTACTTGCTTTTATTTTCCAATCACTTTTCTTCCCTCTTTTTCTGTGTCTCCCTGCTGCCTTCTCATCACATAGAAGGTAACATACACTAAATACAAACACATCTTTGAACATTCAGAAAGCCTCACAGGGGACAAAAAGAGCAAAACACAAATCACCCTTAACTGTTCCACTCAGAAATATCCACAGATAACAAGGCAGGGTTTCTTATTTCTATCTTTTTATCCCTATAAACTCTTGCTGAAGATGGGAAATTTTCACTTAGGAAAGTAAATGACATATTAGAATAATATAAAGGCATGGCTTATTTCTAGCAATACAGTGGAGACTGCTTCTCTAGGAATTCTCTGTCTTGGATTCAGGTTTGACCATTGTAACATGGTCTCTTATGGTGCTTAATCCAAGAGATGAGCCTTTCAGAAAATGAATGCTCAGTATCAGTAGTTTCTAAAAGATCCAGGAACACAGAGGAAAACAAATCTCGGGTGTCAAAATGAGGTAACTGGAACGAAGTTAATTTAAGACGGCAAACTCTTCCCAGTCAGACAGTTTTATGTACACAATTATTTTAAAATAACGTTAAAAAATCAGTTTGCAGAAGAGCCATTTCTGTTACAGATGCTTGCCAATCACTAAGACGACCTAAGCCTCATGTGTCTGCCGACCAGGCTCATTGTTGTGCAAAGCAGATCACAAGCTGCCTCGCAAGCCTCCGGTGCCCATGTGCTCCTCCCTGTCTTGGTTCCTATTGCTCCTGATTATGTGTTAGTCCTCACTGTGCAGTTCAAATCAAGAAGAGGCACTAAAAATGGAACTGCTAAAAACACATTTCCAGATTAAATCTGTGAACACATTAAAAATATTATAAACTACTTGAAGTCCAGCATTGGTTTGGGATTGTGTTAATAATAGACATTAGAAAAACCAGATTTTTCTGCATGTGACAACCTGTTTATAAAACAAACCCTTTTATGTACTAAGTGAGATAACATGTGTGAACATGTCCAGATTTGTATATATCTGATACCTGCTAAGTGTTTGGTAATTTTCTTCTTCTGTCTGTATAAGAGATCATTCAAATACCTTGATCTTTACTCAACTCACTTCATCTTTCTCTCTCATACACACACACACACACAAACACACTCACACACATCTGTCTTAGTGGTGAACAAGACCTTTGGACAGGTCAGTTGTGTAGTGATCTTGGGCAAATTTCCTAATTTCTCCCAGCCACGACTTCCTCATCTGTAAAATGTGGGATAATTCGATCTACCAGGCAGAGCTGTTGTGAAGATTAATGCCTGAGGCACAGAAGGCACTCAATACATAGCAGGAAGCTCATGTAATAATAATACCAGAATTCTGAGCTTAAACCTTTCAAACATTTTATCTTATTAGGAGATTGATTTCTGGATTGTCTTTGGCAATTTATTAGATGTGGCCAATTAAGAGAGTCAGTAACCACAGAGCTACACCTGCTAAAGATGACTTTCTTGAATTATATCAGCTCACTCACTGTTATATCTCTTCTGATATGGTCCAACTGATGCCTGAGTAAATATTTGCAAAGAAAGATCCCAGTGGCTGCGGTGCCAATGGACCTCTCGTATCTGTGAGTCTAAGCCAGGGAAGCCTGTCTTACCACATGGCCCAGCATCCAGTAATGCCAGAGAGTGCACCATACATTCGCCCACCTCCCAGCTGGGGGGAGGTGAGCTTTAAACAGGAAACATTTTTTGCATGCAGGCATATAAACCTGCACAGAGATCACCTTAGCTCTAGAAGCTCAATCTTCCTTGGGTGTCTCAGGGATCAGGCCCTTTGCCACAGGACCAGTGAGGAGCAAACACAGGTAACAGTGCTACTGTCAACCTGGAATTCACATCTGAACTCCTACTACCTTCCCATTCTGAGACTGGAGGCCAGATATTTAGAGATCCAGGAATAGTGACAAATACTCTTCTTTACAACTCTTTTTTTTTTTTTTTTTTTTTTTTTTAGACGAAGTCTTGCTCTGTTGCCAGGCTGGAGTGCAGTGGCGAGATCTTGGCTCACTGCAACCTCCGCCTCCTGGGTTCAAGCGATTCCCCTGCCTTAGCCTCCCGTAGCTGGGACTACAAGCGCACGCCACCATGCCTGGCTATTTTTTTGCATTTTAGTAGAGATGGGGTTTCACCATGTTGGCCAGAATGGTCTCGATCTCCTGACCTCGTGATCCGCCTGCCTTGGCCTCCCAAAGTGCTGGGATTACAGGTGTGAGCCACTTCACCAGGCCCCTCTTCTTTACTATTAAGCAAGCAACTTGAAGGGGGCTGAATTAGAACTGCAGGCTGTTCAGTTGTTCAGTAAGGAAACCGTCACTGTTCTCACAGGTGCCACTCAGACTGCACTTGTGCCCCGTGTGCCTGTAGCTCACCCCATGATACTGCTCTGCAGCTCCAGAATTTTCTGCTTATTTACCTGGTGGGGCACAGGAGGAGAGGGGAAGAAGGTGTTGCTGCTGCTGTTCTGAACTTAATGATTCATGTTTGAGACTGATACAGGTGTGCATGGCCAGATATTCACTTTTAAAACCTTCCTTGCCTATTTACTAAGAATTTTTAACTAAAAATACCCAAAAGAAAAGAGAGGCTCCGAAGCTTCTTTCATGTTTCTAGTAGAGGCACTGTGATGTTCAGGTCTCACACCCAGAGTTTCTGATCCAGTGGGTCTGGGGAGTGGCCCAAGGATTTCCATTTCTCACATGCTCCCAGGGCTGCAGTGGCTGCTGGCCCGGATACCACACTCTGAGAGCCCCTGTAGTAGAGGCTCCAGGTAATGAGGCGCTTCTACCCCGAGCTCATTTTCTTTAAGCTCTCATTTCCCAGTCTCTCAACTGGGCTCCTAGTAATGAGTTTCATGGGGACAAGAGAGGGGTGGCGGCTAAGGAGAGTAAAGGTATATAATAATAAAGGGACACGATGTCAGGAAAACTCTCATTATTCTTCCTAATAAAGGAATGTGCTTTATGAGTAGTGGAGACAAGTAAAGCAGAGAATGACTTGGGTCCTATTTCCCAAACACCCTTGCAAATAAGCAAACTGTTCCAATATTTATGGCATATAAACACTCATTCAATTTCTCCTTTCTATGCTAGAAATGGAAGTAATCATTTAGCAAGAATGAGAAGTATTGGGTTCCTAAAAACAGGAGAGTGGCTGAAGAGTCCATCTCCACCTACTTGAATATTATTTGCTAAAACTTAAAAACAAGACAAAAAAAAAACCCCTTTCATTTTCTATCTCCAAAACGTTTTTATCATTTAATGCAGTAACAGATAAAAAACTGAAAACATGTGTCTGTGTTTATTGCTCCTTTCTACATAAAAATCTAATTAAACGCTATAACATTTGGATATATTTAAAGATATTCAAGGCAGAAATGCCTGATTAGGTGCCTATATTCACCATCCTCAAGGTTCGAGCCAAGAGTTAACTGCCTCCAGAGACCGTGTTTCCACCATACCCAAGCGCGCAGCACACACTGACCAGTTAAATTTTATTTCAGGGCATTCAAGCCATTCACTGTGGAATGATTTCATTAAAGGAATTTAAAGATTAATGGTTTCCTTACAGGGACAAAAATAATTGCTGAAGTAAAAATGCAACATAGTAAGTTTGTGCTCACTGAGCTTACCAAGCAGAATGAATGTGAAAGGTAAAACTAGAACCACGAACAGCAAATTGATACAAACCTTAAACGCCAATGTAAATAGAGAAAGCGTGTCCAGAGCTGTCAGGCAAACCTCAGTAGCAATGTTGGCTTCAAGTAATGACTGGTGCAGAACATCTGCGTCCGAGTGGCCATAGCCTGCATGAATTACAACACAAGATTACTGCCCAGTGGTTCAGAAGGCAAGGCTGGCAGGATGCGGTAGGCACAGTCAACTTTTGATTATTCAGAAGGCCCACTTTGGGACCTTGTCTCTGTGTTTGCCTTTTTTTTGGGGTGGGGGGCGGGGTGGGAGGGGGAAGGAAGGGAGAAAGTAGTAATAATGTTTCAATACAATTATAACTTTTTTCCCACTCTGAAAGGGCAATAACCACAGCAAACATTTATTATGCACTTGCTGTGTACCAGCCACGATTCTATGAACTTTACACATATTCTCTCATTTAATCCCTCAACAGCCCTGTGAAGTATGAAGATTGTTGAACCCTTGGTGGAGATAAGGAAATGAAGGCACAGAAAGGCTAAACTTGTCTAAAGTCATACAGGTAGTAAACAGTGGAGACAGGACTTGGACCAAGACAGGCATTGATCGATTCTGCTATCCAGCAGGAGTGCTGGCAGAGGCTAAGATTTCCAAAGCTTCCCATGTAGACGGAGGCAGCAGCACAACGCAGGTTAAGAAAATGAGCCTGAGATCAGGCTGCTGGTCACTGAGTCCCACTCTGCCACTCACCAGCTGTGTGGCCTTGGCAAGTTATTTGGCCCCTTTATAACCTCAGCTGCCTCATCTGTAGAATGGGGATAATACAGTATCTACCTCAAAGGGTTGTGGTAAGGATTAAATTTGTTAATATTTGTGAAGCTCTTGGAACAGTGCCTGGCACACATTGAGCGCTATGGAGGTGTTAAGTCAATAACTTCAGGAGCTATGTTATCAGCAAGCTCGTGAATGATAATCAAGAGTTGACTGCGCTGTGCATAGTATTCTACTTGCTTTAAGAAAAAGCATAAAAGCCAACATGTCTGAAAGAAATGTTTAGAAAAAGAAAAGGACTTGAAGAATCTGTCATTTAAACTTAGCTTAGTCACACCTAATTTAAATACAAACGGATATCTTCTATATGTGGCAAAATCAGTTTAGTACTGATATAAATGCAATTTGACATACAAGTTGAGATTAAATTATGAAATGGTATGCATTAGCAGAAATACATATAGGGATGCAAAGATGTTACAGTATTGATCTAGATTACAAAGAAAGATGGCAATATAATAAAACACCATGTAATGTCTTTCTCCAAGGAGCAAAATTAAAGCGACGCCTCATTACTTAAGTAATTTTCCTAATACTCCAGAGAGGAGGACATTTTGTACATAGATCAAGAAAATGAAGTACAGAAAACCTAGGGAATGTTCTTGAGACCAGTAATGGGAAAAAAACAGAATCTACACTCCAAATTCCTTATCCAGGTCACTGTATCATAGTACATATTATTGGGAGAAAATCAAGTAACTAGCATGACATCATTCTGACTCAAATGTCAGAATTATAGAGTGGTTTTTAAAAGGCTACAGAAGAGCTTTAAAAGCTACAGAAGTGCTTTTTAAAATATGATAGAAATGCTGTTGTGTGCTTTTATCCAATGCTGCTTTGCTTTTACAAAGGTGGTGCTGAGATCCTGTTGTGGATCACATCACTTCCACTCTGCAGCACAGCCAACGTCTCTCCAAATTTAGTGAGGATCTGTAACACATCTCGCACCATGCTAGTTCTATTTCATTTTTTGCTTTTGGGGTACGAAATCTCCCAGAGAAAATAAAGGTGGATATGTTGGGGTACTAATGTTACTTGTACTGCCATGATGGTAATCCAAGGCATGACTTTATTCAGCGAGGTTGTTTGGTAAGATACAGAGACAATGAAAGAGGAAAACAAACAGGTCGATGATGACTGTTAAAGTGATCACATACTGTGGTAAGAGGGCACACACAAGAAATACAACACCTGTTATCAGACCAACCAAAATGATCATACAGGTCCAAGGGATCCTTTCCTGAGGGCTGCCATTTGCCCCGAATGAGTTTTTGTCTGGGTTCAATTTTAACAAGGAACTGGCTTTATTTTAATTCCTTTCTCTGCAAAGAACTGTCCTTTTCTTGGTCTAGATCACCAACAGGTGAAGTGCATCTAGGTGATGATTACCAATGAGATGGCCTGAAGAACTCCCATAGAATTTAACTACTCCTGGCTGAAAGCCTGCAACAATTAAAAATTAGAATTTGGCCATGTGCTGTTTTAAAACATACCATCAATGGACTATGCTAATTAAGTTATTATATAATTATGTATACACATATGGAAACATGGTACTGGGAAATGTTATTACACCATCTACTCTCCTTTAGAGTCAGATTCATACAGACATCGGTACGCTTGCCTGAGTCATACAGGAATCTAAAAGAAATGGTCCTTTTAGCCACATATTGTTATGCTTTGCTTTTCCTCCAACTGTTTCATCTAAAAAATCAGCAGGATTCCTGAGCTAGAGCTATTTTTTTAAATCCCTAAAAATAATTGGCAGCATAGAGAGGCTGAACCAGTCACAGAGACTGAGACTGTCTCAAGGCCTGGAACAGAGCTGTGCAGGAGGAGGACTTGAATCAACAATCACCATGGTATAGACCAACACAGGAAAATGAAGCTGAGCTAGTAAATCCAAGAAGAGGCAGAGAAATTATTTAAACTAAGGGTTGGCAATGTTTTGAAAGCTGATTAAGCAGCTTTTGACCCGGGCAAGTAAGGAGTGCGGTGTGAAGCACACTGATTTCCACTAGGGGGCCGTGGTGCCTGGGGCCCTGCACTGATTCGCTCCAGCCAGGCTCTTCAGGGACAGAGCTGCAGGACTTCTGCAGGGACGTGCTATCTCTGACACACATGCCCCGGGATGCTTTACGGTCCTTCGGATTCACTGCTCAAATTTATACAATTTTCATTCTGTTGTCATTCTGACAAGACTTATTCTAAAGCCCCCAAATCTTTCAAATACTCTGGGGCCACAGATGAAATTTGTCTACACTGAATTAACCTAACCCTGTTCTACAAACTCACGTTACCTGCATAGTTCAAATGAATAATGCTGACACATCGGCGAACCTCCTCCCTCCCCACCACCATGACATCAGAGGTAATGTGGTGGGCAGGACAGAAGCCTGAGGCCACATGCCTTTTCTGAATACCAGAGGACATTTGGGATAGAAGAGTAGGTCAGAGACGTATTCCTATAGGGGGCACTTCCATGTTGATAGCCACCTTCACTCTTTATGCAACCAAAATTCTTGTTCGTATTTTGACTTTTTTCCCCTCTAGCCCATAACATGAATCCAGAAACACAGTAAGTCTTATGAGAAAATATAAATACCAAATAACAAGGAATTTTCTTGCTGAAAGAACTCTCCAAATGTAGAAGACCTAGTCTCCTAGATACCTATTAACTCATGGCATATGGTTTTATTGAGTTCAAACATTTTTGCAAAATATCAAACTGATCAATATCTACACAATCTATTATTCATTTCCATCCAATTTTTATTGCTAAAGAGGTTTTCCTCACAGACTGGCAAAGAGTAGAGAATAGAATAAATAGTGATACCCCAAGGTAAAATTTATATCATTTGATATCTGCCCTTTGATCCACAGACAAAAAAAACAAATATGCTCAGAATGCCTTGTGGAGACACGGGCTGTAATCTAAGAGTTTATGCTTCAGGAGGTAGGCGTCATACCATCAGCTTTCTCTTCCCTGTGTCTTTTTTAAACCTAATGTTGAGTTGCATCTGAAAGTGGGACCTCATATGAAGTAAAGGCCCCAAGTGAAAATACTTGGTTTAAACATACCACACATCTTAAAATCCTCTGTAAGGATATTACAAATGACTGACTTTAAACATACACTGTATCAGACCTGCTCACCTCTGAGACCCCATCAATTGCAAGAAATACCAATCAATGACAGACTACCATATCCAGTGTAATGTGTAAGATATACCCAACTTTGGAAATACTAGAAAGTGTGCAAAAATGTGCCTCAGAATCAAGGAAACATATCTCAGAATCAAGGAAATAAGTGTCTTGTTTATGAACAAAATTTTTTTTTTTTTTTTTTTTTTGGAGACGAAGTCTCGCTTTGTCACCCAGGCTGGAGTGCAGCGGCATGATCTCGGCTCACTGTAACCTCCACCTCCTGGGTTCAAGCAATTCTCCTGCCTCAACCTCCTGAGTAGCTGGGATTACAGGCATGCACCACCATGCCCAGATTTTTCTGCATTATTATTATTATTATTATTTGTTTTTAGTAGAGACGGGGTTTCACCATGTTGTCCAGGCTGGTTTCGAACTCCTGACTTCAAGTGATCTGCCTGTCTCAGCCTCCCAAAGTGCTGAGATTACAGGCATGAGCCACCATGCCTGGCCACAAACATTTATTTACTATTTTGAGTATATGTTTAAAGCATCCAAGCACATTTTATCCAATTTTAAAGATATATTATCCATGCTTTAAAACTTTTGGAAAATATTTTAACTCAGAGATGTCTACATTCTCTGTATTTTTCATATTAATTCAATATGATGTACAGTAAAGGAATTTAATGATCACCTATATTCATTTTCCTGCTTGTGCTTTAGGTAACAAAGACATTTCGGAGTTAAATGGGGCCTGACAAGCCACGCCATCCAACTCCTCATGGCATGCTTAAGTGACCTGGACAATACCCCAGCTGGGCCTCCTCCAGTCTGTTTGCACAGCTCCAGCTGCAGGTGTCCACATGAACTTCACAGGCAGCTCAGCACATGCCACTCAAGGCCAGTTCAGTTAGAAAATACTTTCTGATTCTGATCTGAAATATTATCTGCAACTTGACCCAGTAATCTTTAACTGCCTTTTAGATCAAATTATATGAAATCCAGATTTTCTTTTCATGCTGCTACCTCTTGGCTGGTGTTCCCTGCATTATACCAGTGGAAAATATGAATTATGCAAATGAACTTGATGTATTCCTAGAACAACACGACATCAAAGTAAACATAGTGTTATTTTATATATATTTTGCAAATGCACCACTTATTTTCAAACACATTTCACTAAGTTTTCACCTCATAATGTGGTTTATAGACATGCACATATATACACATATGCATGTTCATGTACCTACAGTGTACCCTCTCTTTGTGGTTTTGTGCTATCACTCTCAATTTTTTATTTGACACAAATCTCTTCCACTGATACACAATGAGCACAAATTACACTAAATATGTCAAGGCCTAAGTGTTCTAAAGTTTATTTTCCATACACCTGAGTGATGGCCTAAACAACAAACCTGTCTTTTAAGGGTGTTTTTCAAATAGCTAAGACTACTTGGCCATCACGGGATTTGGGCATGGGGATTTGCTATTCTACTTCCTATCAAAATTAAAGAGTAAAGACAGGTTCTTGCTGGAGTTCCATGTGCAGTGCGTGTGGTGCCTTCTTCCATGTCCTGTTACCAGTGGTGATGGGGACAGACCTACAAAGGATTCCGTTTCCCATGGGCCTCTGCTGCTCCCTGCTGGTCAAGCTGAGTTCTGACAAAGCCTTTCCTACTCTACAGAAATAGCGGAAATGAACAATGCAGATGTACAGGGACTCTTCCTATTTTTATTCTCTTCTGAAATAAAATCATTTTGGACTCCTGGGGTTCCCTGGCAACTTTCTCACATATTGGATCTATGTCATATTGGTTGGCCCAACAGAAGGTATTGTATTTGTTGTTAAATGGGATTTTTTTTAAAGACATATGGCCATAAATTTCCCAAAAAATACCCAGGTAGAGATGAAAACAAACATGTACATATATATAAAACACACACACAAACATGTTCATGTACATACAGTATGCACTCCCTTCTCTGTGTTTTTTGTCTGAGTTGATGATTTGGAGCTCAAAGAGCTAGCGGAGGGAAAAGCTGAAGCCATTCAAACACATAATGAGAATTGGAGATGTAAAAGAAGGCTGAGTTCTAGGAGTTGCAACAACTTAGGAGATAACAGAACCAATTCGGAATGAGCAGGAATTGTAGGAATGCAGGCGAGGACTAGAAGAATCAGCTACATGCTGTTTACTGGCAAAGCAGGAGAAATGTGACTGAGGACAGTATGCCACTGAAAACTGATGAAAGAGGAGGGAGACAGGAGGACAGGGCTCTTGTGGGTAGCAGGAAGACAGAATGGAAATAAACCATGTTAACAAGATGGCTTTTGGCAGCAGCAGCAGCACCAGGCCAGCTGTCTCTCTCCTCCAATTCAAGTTACCACCACAAAACCCATTTGCAGTGGGAAGAGCTGCTGCATATCCGAGTGGATTAAGGTTATTTATTCACATGTGGACCATTCATTTAATTTTTGTTTTCTGTGTTTCCTAAATGATTATCATTGGAGGTGCAGCACTGGTGTACTTATGATTTTTTAAAAAGTGCTTCAAAGTTTAAGCATTTATTTCAACCAATAGTGAGTTAACCTCTGTGTTATAGAAATTATCTGAGCAAAGGAGGTCCAGCAGGTTCTGTTTATCAGTGGGGATTGAATTTCTGCTGCTAAATGGCAAAGAAAAACTAAAAATAACAAACTCCTGGTTTTGTTCCAATCCCTTTCTGCAGAACTAGTCAAAGCCCCAACAGAAAAGATGTTAAAAAATCAAGTACTGTAGCCTTAAAGGTGTCACTCAATTTGCATTCTACAGCTAAGTGTAGAACTCAGAAGTAGCATTTTATGGCTACCAACTCCGTGTGGCAGACTGACATTATCTAAATTAAGCCTGGGATTTTATCAAGACAGACTATCTTCATAACATTTTTTATTTTTTTTATTTTTTTTTTGAGATAGGGTCTTGTTCTGTCACCCAGGCTGGAGTGCAGTGGCACAGTCTTAGCTCACTGCAACCTCAGCCCCCCAGGTTCAAGTGATTTCATGTCTCAGCCTCCCCAGTAGCTGGGATTACATGTGTGTGCCAATAAGCCTGACTAGTTTTTGTATTTTTAGTAGAGACGGGGTTTCACCATGTTGGCCAGGCTGGTCTCGAACTCCTGGTCTCAAGTGATCCACCTGCTGCTTGGCCACCAGCAGCTTGGCCTCCCAAAGTGTTGGGATTACAGGCATGAGCCACCATGCCCAGCCAATCTTCATAACACTTAAACTGCACCCGGACAATCTTCATAATGCCCACGTTGCTGGGTCAGAGGTGTGGGAAGCTGCTTTGTTTTGGTTCCTCAGGTGTCTTACTTTGAACTATTATTAATACAATGCATTGGGAACACTGCCTTTACTGTTGGCCTGTATTTTAAAAAGAGGTGTGAAAAATCACAGCGAATGGAATTTATTATTAGACATGATGGAAGGATATTAATAACCATGTATTAAAGACAGCACTTGGAATAACAAATAATTGTTGAGATAAAACAATAACTAGCTGTGTCATGCTTGGAGAAGAGATGGAACAATTTAGAGAACACAATGCTAGCAGAAATGGGTATTATAAATGATCTCATCAATTTTTCACGTGCTGTATGGTTGATATCTTTCAGGTGTTCTGCTTTGAGAAACCCTTAAGAAGATAAAGCACTTAAATTACTAGAAACAGCACACAATGCCTTGTCCCCTCTGCTGACTGATAAAAGTAAATTAAAAATATGCTCCCCTGTTCTGGCAGAATCTCTTTTGTAAAGTTAGAAAGCCCCAAAGTTAGGAAGGCAAGATGAACAAAAAGGGTCTTGGCTTGCAAGTGAAGCAACCTCATAAAGCAGACTTCAACCTGATTAAATCTTACCATTGTCTACAGAAATTCCAAGCACACTTGATATCTTTCTCACACTGAAAACACAGAAAAAGTCACTTTGTTATTGGATGCTTTTCCACACCCTCACAAATTGATTCATGGGCTTTATGTTTTCACAGTAGTGCAAGGATTAACATCCATTCAGAGCTGGAATGTCAGAATGTGGACGCTTGATCAATTACATGCACAGGATCAGAAGGGGTGAAAGAAATCCATCCCGAATGTTCTCAGAGTTGCAGGGGAAAGCCAACATTAAGTCGGTTCTAGGTGATGAATCCAAATTTTATGTTTAGAATTCTTGAGAACGGCTGGCTATGGACCCAGCCGAGTTTTGTTTTAGGGATGCAGAAAGGGTCAGGCACTTTTAGGTTTAGTGCTGTAGTTGAGCACGTTCCACATTGTGTCACTCCCAAATGCTGAGGACGCTCCTCCAAGGAAGGGAACTGTGCCATGAGCTCTTCATCCTACTTGCTTTGAGCTAGAAGAAAAATTGAGTTGGTGATGTGGTAGGTGTGGCCTAGGGCTCTCCCCTCTGAGATGGCACATGAGATGGCTGGCTGTTACGATGGCATGTCATGGGACTTACTGTGGTTAAAAGTGAGAGAGTTATCCAGGCTGCCCAGCTGCTGCAATCTGGCATGCATCATTCCTGTTCTGTTACGGGAAACAGGCAATGTCTGAGACTTTCGATCATGAACTATGGGTCCCAACCCCTCCTGGTTCCTGCAACATGAGTGAAATGGGATAGAAGCAAAAGTTAGACGTGTTACACTGCAGCGAGACGGGGAGTGTTAGTGAAGCCAGAACATGGCACGAGGGAGATGGCCATGCACTGACTGAACACAGTGGAGCAGCCAGAGACACAGACAGGCGGCAGCTCCTGCACACTTCACGGCAAAGCACCTGATGATCCAGAAGCAAAAATCAGGCCAAAGCAGGGACCTTTTTATTTTTAGAAAGTACTTTAGAGATGCTACTCTGAAAAAAGTGAGCATCACTCCAATGCAGTACTAATGGTTAGTGTTCTGACGACTGTCAAAACGTCACTAATCTTTTTGGATTATATATGTTCTGAAAAAGCAAAAGACATGTATTTTTTTTAATTAAAAAATGCATTGGAAGACACAGAGAACAAACATGCAAAGGAAGGGATTATATGAGTTTTAACACCTTTATTCTTACCCAAGCAGGAAGGAGAAGAGCCACACACTTTGTTAAACTTGTCAGCAGTCAAGTAGAGAAAACAGAAGAGTGATTTGGGTTAGCAATCAAACAGCTAACTTCCTGCTGTGTACCATCACCAGAGCAGATGAAAATGAGACCAGGGCTGCAATGACACCTGTCCCCTGTCCCGGAGCCAACCGTCCCCCTCACTGTGTTATTGTGTGTAGGAGAACAGGGACATGCATGGACTATCATCGACTGCATGCTGCTGGGTGACTTCAAAGTGACAATAAGAAGGCACAGTGTTCATCAAACTCGACCACCGTGGATGGCAAACATGTACAAGGTTCACAGTCTAGTTCAGGATCTTTTTCACATGCAGCAGAGAACCATGGCAATTTTTGTATAGAGCAGAGCATATCTTTCCACAGTGCATGGAGCAAAGTCACATCATCTCCACTCCTGTTTTCCTTGGCCCATCTATTTTTAAGGCAGTCCACACTTTTATATGCAAATATATACAGGGTGCTTATGAAGTAGGAAGATTTTCTTTTAAGAAGTTAAATTTATATCCACTGAAAAAAATACGTTAACCATTTCACAAAACCCGATTCTAAAACATTTTGTTGGGACAGAAATCTTCAGCTTCTCACATTCACTGTTTTAAGCTGTGAGGCATTTTATTCTACTTGGCACAATATTCTCCAAATGCCATCTTGTGACGTAGGTGTCACTGCAAAAAGTGAAGCTAGCCCAGCACAGTGCCTTTCTGTGACAGAATTTACTGTTTGCCCATCTTCATGGGACAAAGTCAGGGAGAATCCAAGTCAAGGTAGAAGACGTTGCTGGTATAAGGACACCTTGTATATACTTGCATTTAGTACTCCAAAACTCAAATATAAAATTACTGTTGTGATAAAAAATAAAACAGTTAAGATTAGAGAACTTTAAGTGCTACCACATTTCAATGAAAAATAGAAAATATTAATAGGAGGAAAATGCAAAAATTCTAAATTTGCTTCTTTTAAAAAGAAAACATACATGTTTACTTCTTAACATAAAATGTAATTCTGAAAATTTCTCAAATATCCCCAGAAAAGAACAATGTTAACAGAAAAAGAAAATCTTCACAAAGAGGAAGTCTACTAAAAATCTCTGGCCTATTTCATCACTATAAGACAAAATTGTCGATATATAGAGAAACAAACCTCAATGACAATTACATTTTTAAGTTTTTCTTAAAACATGTTTACTTATAATAAAGCTGTTAAAAACAACAGTAAAAAAATATAATACTTAGACCAAGACCCCACTAATACAATAACACAGAATGGCTCACAACACAGAAAAAAACAAACAGACAATCTGAATGGCAGTGGGGCAGGAGGAAGAACTTGGTAAGGACAAGAGGTGCTGCGAAGAAACGCCCCCAAAGAAGGCGTGTCCAGCCACACAGCTGCAAGGAGTTTCTAGGAGGCTGGTTCTGCACAGGAAAGTGGGAGTGACGCTACTCACCAGGGAGTTCTGGCCAAGAACATGGAGCGTTTACCAACTAGTCAAGAGTAGGAAGAGAAAAGGCTCCATTTTAGAGAAGGTTTGTGGAAGTCCACACAAATTTGGGATGGACTGAAAACATTCTTTCATTAAGAAAGAAGAAGAGTGGTTAGGTGAGATTTTAGTATCTTTGTAGTTGGGAGCAGGAACAGTCAAAATGACCTTGGAAAGTCAAACAGAGGAAGAGAAACCACTGAGGAAGGAACATAGGAAGAAGAACTGGGGAGAAGAGGATGGGAAGGAGACAGAACAGAGAAGGAGGGGGAGTTTGGACGAGAGGATGGAAGGGTAGACACAGCCCGCTAAAGGAATGCTTTCCAAGAGATAACACGTGAGGTGAAATGAGACTTCGCCGGTAGGAATGCAGACCAAAGACACTGCCAGGCTCTGCGGTGGCAATCCAAGGGCCTGCCATCAGTCCCCATGGCCGCTTCCATGAACCCCAACTGCCAACCGCCACTGATGACCAATCCCACACAATCAGAGCCAGGCATCACAGAAAACAACACGTTTCGAATGAAAACGCCCCACAGTACCTGGCTATGTATCGCTTCCCCATGTACTGGAACTGGTGCAGGCAGACTCTGCAGGCAAGATGAAAAATTATTAGGGAAATGCAAAGATAAAATTATTTTCGGGACGTTATTTATCTGTTAACAATAACAAATTCAATAAACATTATGTCTAGTACCAGCATAAGTCACATCCTCATTCATTCAGAATGGTTTTTGGGAGTCCTCTGGAAAGTGCCTTCAAACCCAGAGAAATTTATTAACCTGTGAGGGAAGCCCCATCCTGTGTAGCTGTCAGTGTGGTGGTGGCTGGCTAAAGCAACACAGCGCAGAGGCCCACGACCGACAGGATCGTCCATCGACTCAGAGGTAGTGATTCACTCCACGGCAGTGTGCCCGAGAAAACATGTTCAAGACCATGCACACTGTTCCAAGTTACTTATTCATCCTCATTTACATCTATATAAGGAGCTCTCTCTTTTGGCTCAAATATATGGATTATACACACCAAGTGTGTAGTTTTTAAAAATATATATCTAACAACATTTTTTTTTAATCATGTATTTAATGAGGTAGTTAAAACAATGTCTAGTGAGCTCCTCTGGTGTTGAATCTCGTTTCACCACATAACTCCCGCCTTTAACTCAGCAGAGGTCAGGAGACTATGAGCCAAGCGTCCACTGAGGGCCAGGCCCACAGTCTCTCATCTGTAGTTCCAAAATGCATGAAACTCTGAAAACCAGCTTTCCTCCTGAGTTCATGCAAATACATTTGGCACCAAAATATGACCCAAAATAATAGACATAAAGCTACTTTTAGTTATGATTTATTCAATTATTATGAACAATAATAGTTCTGCAGAAATTCTTTTTTTTTTTTTTATTATAGAGAGATGCTGCTGGGATGTAATGGGATACAGTCTATATGTAAATTTTTCAGAAATCCAAAAAGTTCTGAATTTGGAAAATCATCTGGCCCCAGCAGTTTTGGATAAGGGATTGTAAATTCACGTTTCTAAAAGTAAAGAGCTTAAAGGAAATCAGAAACTTATACTGACAAACCAAAATGAGATAAAGATGCTACATAAGATTTCACTTTTACTTCTTATATTTTAAAATTATAGCAACTTTTCTGACTCAGTTTCTGCATCAGCTTAAGTTAGGTTCAACTTAGAAAAGCAGTATCTACCCAATTCAGCTAATAAATTTCATGTTATTTTATTAAGATGACTTATACACATAAACAGTTACCTCTCATGTAAAACAGGCACGTATCTGTAATACTTTAAGGGTGACCACTGATCACTGGGTCACAAGCCCTGAAAATATGTTTTAGGGCCAAGACCATGAGAAAGGGCTTAAGGAGTAAGTGAGGATGTGACATACACTACTCCTCTGGTTCAACTACATAGTATTCTTCAAGCCTCTTAATGATCCAGGAAAAAATCAAGAGGCAGTGATCAAAGAGAAAGCTACTTACTCAGATATTGTAAAAAAATCCATAAGTTCAGATGTTGAAGCCTTGTTCCAATATGTAAACAAAGCATCTAGAAAATAAACATTTACTTAGAATCACAATACATATGATATACATTATGGAGAATCACCTGTTGTGAAAATGGGAAGGAACCTTGGAGTGTAGGCCTCTAAACCCTGGAGTGTAGGCCTCTAAACCCTTCCCCTGCCCTCTTTTATAGCTGACCACTCTACACTGGGTATCACACACCTGAGGCCTATTCACCTTCAACATGCTGCATTTGAACTTTAATTCCATCATACGTCATTTAGTGCTATATTCTGGCATAATGCTCATTTAACTTATTCGTAACATGCTCTTAAATAGACTAGAAAATTCAAAGAATACAAGTGGACATATAACCTAAAGCCGGGCTCTCTTGTCTCCTACTACAGGATCTCTCCCCAACAGGGAATTTGTTGAAAATCTTTGCATATTACACACATAATTTTGCTCTCTGAGTTTTAACTGAACAATATAGCTTGGATCTATCTCAAGTTTTCCCAAGTTGCATAATATTCCTCTATGTGGATAGACCATAATTGAGTTAACTAGTCTCCTACTGATAGGCAGTTACTGTTTCTCTCCCCTAACTTTTTGCTATTATAATTATGTTTCAATGAACATCCTTTTATGTGGGTCTTTGCATGCATGTCTAACTATACCTACAGGATAAGTTCTCTGAAGCGAAACAGCTGTACCCAATGGTATGTGCATTTAAACCTCTGTGTGAACCCTTAACAGTTTAGTATTACCATCGTTTGAGTTCTATCATCTAATAGCTAACCTTTTTTGCATTCTTATATTTTACACTGAGGTTGAGAAATAGGTAAAGAGGTTTCTCTTAGGGAAAAAGCCAGAGTCTTTGGGGCCTGAGATAAGCAGAGACGGTGGCTATGGGGATGCTGATGGCTCATGAAGATGTATGGCCACAGGCTTTCACTCTACACTTGCCAAGAACAATGATAGGCAGGAATGACATGGCATATAGACTGAGAATCTGTTGTGTGCCAGGCACTGTACTACGTGCTCTCACAATTTCACATAGATTGTGCCATCTAATCCTCACCATAATCTGGGGCAGAAGAAAGTCCCCATTTACAGATGAGCTAACAGAGGCTCAGAGAAGTAAAGTAATTCTCCCATTTACCAGTCTGAAGAATCATGGCTGAGTGGGGATTTAAATCGCGTGCATCTGATTCTAAAGGCCGCTTGGCCTATTAGACCAGTAATAAGGGTAGGTCATGGGCTTCCATCTTTAGGGGTTTCAAGTTTAGATTCCAGAGGAACAGACTCTGGCTACTTGAGGCTGGCCATCAGGGTATGGTGAGCCCCCGGGGAGCTCAGTGCATGCTGGAGAGCCTGGTGGGACCACCCTGCAGACCCCTGTGGCCACCCTCAGCACACACCAGACGAAGCGGCCAGCGGCATGGGCAATGACGCTGCCATTCACTGCTCTGGGCCCCAGGTACTGGTTGGGGAGAGTGGGAAGACAAAGATAAGCTCTGTGAAGAGGGAAATGGCACAAGAAGGACAGCAAGGAGGGGCCCAGCATGTAGAAGGTGCTCATTAAATGTGGAATAAATGAAAGAGTAGCTACAGAGTTACACAACTGATTTTGGTTTTCTCTGTGTTAACCATCTCTGGAGGCAATTTCTCCCCCTAACCCATATGACACACAAAAGCCAATTGTAGGTAGATTTTTAGAGTTCAATGTGAAAATTTAAATAACACTGCTTTCAAAGAAAATATGAGAATATTTTCATGACCCTGGGAGTAGGAGAAGATTTCTTAAATGGGATGCACACACACACAAATTCTAATTATAAAGGGAAAACAATCGATAACTTGAAGAAAATTGAGAGAAAAATATATTCTAAAATTGTTTTGAAGAGGTGGTTGCATTTTAAAAATATGTGTATGACTTTAAAGAATAACTTTTACTTGAATTCAAATGTTCTTGTATATTTGTCTTCAAAAAGCAGTTATGTTCTTATTATAGGTCATATTCAATATTTGAAATTTAAAATATTTTTAAAGAAAACTTTAAACAAAGGAAAAACAGAATTATAATGCTCGCTGAAACTCATTATTACCATGAAGCAAAGTTTAGAACTTTTGACTTAATGGGAAGAATTTCAACTTTATAAACCCAAATATGAGACTAAGTGCCCTGTGCTAGTGTATTTGGTCATCATTCAGGGAAACTCTTGCTCGTCTGTTCTTTTTTAAAAACTAGCATTTTAAAGTAACAAATCAACAGAAGAACGAATTACCCAGTCTTTATTTTAAGGGCAAGAGGGATTTTCCTACCATCTGAGCTAAAAAGTCAGGCTGTACCTTGGCTGGGGTTGGGGAAAAAAAAAAGCCAGGCTGTTAATGCTGCTGAAATGGAAGCTTGATCTAAAAGAAATACTATTTTCAAGCAGAAATACCTTCCACTGGATGTTTAGTACACACCTCCCGCCCCCAGATATAAGCAGCACAAGAGGCCTTCAGGTTCTCAAAAAATGGCACTTTGTTTTTAGGAGAGTTCATCCTAATTCAATCACCTTAATGAAGTTCACAGCACACCTTTTAATTCGTTGTAGGAAAAATAAGATTTTTGCCCAGGATAAGAACTGCGACATTGTTTACTGGGATTGTTTATATTACATAGCCAGATACACAGATGAGCTAACAGAGTTGAAACTGTCCTGTCACACACATTTGCAAGCCTTATACGGTCCAGATAGAGCATTCATAGTTCTGCTCATTCTTATTTTAAAATGTGGTTGTCAAACCCTTAAACAGAAACATAATCTACTATGATACTACCATTTCCATTAGAAAACTAAAATAACATATCTCCCACTTTGAGCCAGGAATATACACACTCTAAATGGAAGGAATGCTTAGGTCCCCCCACAACATATATTCTAATTCCAGAGACTAACACAGTTATTTAAGTTGACAGTAAGTTTGTCTGGACGAATAAAAATTTTTTTTAAAGCCAAAAGCTATTTTATTTATGTGCTTCTATCTCCTTTAGTTAAGATGGCAGGTCCCAGTTTAATATAAATTTAAGAAATAGGCCCATTCACATTTTGGAACTCATTTTCTAGAATAAAATAATTAAGGAAATGATTTTCCCACAATAAGGTTCTTATTTCTAAGAACCTTAGTCAATGAATTGCATTTTAACAATTACATTTAGTCAATGAATATGCATTTTAAACAAGAAAATCCTTTGAAATCTTTGTATCATTTCAACTTATTACAAGTTAAAACCAAACAAACCAAGTGCTGAAACGAGCAAAACAGAAATCTCCATTTTTTAACCTACCATCAGACATGCTCTTTAAGATGTAGAGGAAACACATCAGTAGGCTCTTAATCTCAGACTGGTCAAGTTTATCACAGCGAACCACGGAATTTCCCAATGTGCTACTTTGTTGGTGCTAAAAAGAAAATACAGGTGATTTTTCTATTTAATTACGGGAGGAAAACGTGTTTCCCTTTTCTCCCTTGGAAGAGAAAGACTCTTAGAATCAAGTCAGATCATACACATTGGAAGGTGCAAGTAACTTGCTGACAATTAAACCACAGGCACCCTTTCGCCCAAATATAACACACTCAGATGCTGCCCATGGAAGCCCTAGCTTGTCTCCTCAGCACGCTCTCCTGAGGGACAAGCAGAAGGCACAGACCTTTCTCACTGGATAAACACAGCTTTAGCTATGCCAAGTAAAACCTTCTGAGATGCCAAGTATATTGAAACCTCATGCAAGAAAGTATGTGTGCTAGGATCAAGAACAGAAACCATGACTCAGAAGACACTGCACAACCAACCACCTCCTGAGGACAACAGCCGTGGCTGAAACAGCAAGTGCCTGTGGTGCTGCTGTGACCAAAGCACCCCAGAACCTGGAGCCCAGGCGCCATCACCCAGGGTGCATTATGGGGCGTGCTGTGGGCACTGCTCAGGGAACACAATAGGCAGGTGCCCAACCGGGACAAACAGGGACACGTCAGCACAGCATGGCCAGAGGTCCTAAACTGATGAGGTCACTCCCTCATCAGCTTAGCTCAACACTGCAAACGTCAGAAAGCTTGGGGCAAACAAGAGGGCAATTTTGCCACTAGGCAGCAGGTTCTTGTGGAAAAAAAGCAGAACAAGAATCTCATCATGTGATTGCAAACACAGGAGATTTAAAAACTCTCCCAGTTGAATTTCCAATTGAAATAAAAAAAATTTTTTTACCAAATATCAAAGCAAAAACAATAGTGGAAAAAAGATGTTTTATTCAAGGTGCTGGTGGCCAATTGAAAAAAAAATTATGCGTGTGTGTGTGTGTGTATATATATACATATATATATCAGGCTTAATAAAATATGTGAATATTTTCATTTACAAAAAAATACAGGGGAAATTAGTGGCAAAACTGGTATGGATGCACCCTCTGGCCTGCCCACTTGATCAGAGCCACTGGAGAACTTAGTACTTCCGGCAGTGGGAGGGAAGGTGTTGCATTCAATGTCTCCTCTGGCAAAGGTGGAATCATTAGAAGGGAAAAATCCACAGTGACCCGGTTTTTCCTGGCTGACTGGCAGCTCTCCTCCTCCTCTTCAGCACTGCGTATGACACAAGCAGAGTGCCTTCGGAGCAGCTTCTCCCTCTATACATGAAGGCATGTTGGGGTCAAGGGAAAAGTTCAATACGTCATGACACACCCAAACTGAGCTGCTCGCACCTCAACAGAACTGCATTTAATGGTAACCATGTCAATGCCAGCCATGGGATGCGTGACAAGATTATAAACCTGATGCTGAGGAAGGATGTCTTCCGGGTGTTTTTGGAGAACTAGGGATAAATCCCTAAATGGCTCAGCTGTTTATTGGGATGGGCACTTGCCTGTAACTTGAAGTAACTTAGAAAATCTGTGCCCAAAGTGATACCAATCTACCATGGCTCCAGGTTTAAACCCACACTTTATCCTTTCCTACAAAGTTCCAAATGGTCTGAGCACTTAGTAGTTTCAAGAAAAAAGGCTAAGTATGAGGAGGAAGTGTTGTGTTGTGGGTGCGTGCTGTGTGAATAAAGTGATTTCTTACCCCTGAATCACCTATATGATCAATTATTCTCTGGAGCTGGCTTCAGACCTAACACCCTTGTGGGTGGAGAGCTGTGTTGATGATGGTGTCTCTGGTATAAAGACTACAGGGAATTGGCCAGGTGTAGTGGCTCACGCCTGTAATCCCAGCACTTTGGGAGGCCGAGGCGGGCGGATGACGAGGTCAGGAGTTTGAGCCCAGCCTGGCCAATATGGTGAAACCCCATCTCTACTAAAAATACAAAAATTAGCCGGGCGTGGTGGCTTGTGCCTGTGGTCCCAGCTGCTGGGGAGGCTGAGGCAGAGGAGTCGTTTGAACCCAGGAGGCGGAGGTTGCAGTGAATTGAGATCGTGCCGCTGTACTCCAGCCTGGGCGACAGAGCGAGACTCTGTCTCAAAAAATAAATAAATAAATAAAAAGACTACAGGAAATTGAGATGGGCAGCATTTTGAGTCCCTCCCCGTTCAACCCACCAGAGCCATTCACTCAAGACGCTCCACTGCAAACCCTGCCCAGGATCTGAGGTACTGGAAACAGGAATCAGAGCACTTCAAGGAATGGGCCCCAACCTTAAAGCTCTCATCACCTACTCCAGGTCAGCCGGGTGGTTTAGAAAAAAACAAAAGGTCACACTTAAAAGGCACTAGAACATGAAGTACGTTTACTTTGGGCTAAATCCATTGATTATAAGAAACATTTGTGTTGGGTGAAAAGCAATTACCTTATCCAGGGAATTGCTCTTCTCACTATTCCTTTCTGGAAGGCTGTTACCCGAATCTGTGCTTATGAGAGATCCTCTCGAATCAGCATTTCTCACACTGTTGATGTTTGGAGTTGAGGTTGTATATGGAGAAGCTAAATGGAAATCAAGCCAACAATAAAGTTTTATTAAGACAGAACAAAATAAAGATGAGTACTGAACTTTAAGGGAAATTGCTTTTATTGCACTTATTTTTTCTGTTAGGAAGTTGGCTCAAGAGTTGCATTCCATTACTTCACCTTTAAAGAACCAGGTCATATACAATGAGATAAAAAGAAACTAGTCTGAAACATTCAGATGTAAACATCAATTCACTTGTTAGAAACCACCTTTGATCGCTAAAGACTAAATGCATACCTGTTTCAGAATGTGATAGAATGAAGACTTAAAAAAATTAAAAGATAAATCCACCTACAACTATCAAATCACAAAATTAAACCACACAACAAACTTGTAGCATTCAAACTGGTAATAAACACTGAGGAGCCTACCCAACTCTGAGGGGTGTCATGGGGTATTTTAAATTTTCGAGGAGAACACAGTGATATGTGACCTCAGCCAGAAGCTGCTGTTTCAGCAGCAGGTTGTGCTATGCTCCTTTTGAAGACATATTTGTGAAGCTGGGTATTTGGGGGCCTGCTATGATAAAAGGCAAGTAATCAATGAGGGACAGGAAATGCGAATGGTGCTGGCCAATCTGACCCAAAGGCTGAGAAGCTGTCAGTGTCCAACAGGTACACACCACCCATTTGTAGTGAGTTGTGGTTATTAAAAATAAAATTAATTGTTTCCTTTAAATTTATGTGTATTATTTCTTTTAAGTGCCTACTAAATTGTTAGGATGTAAGTACTTATTAAGTTATTTGGTCCTAAGTACCTAATAAAGAGAACTGCTGGGTGTGTCTTTCAGCCTAGGGATGCCACGAAATAAAGTGACACTAAGGGTGCTGTGAACGGGGAATATCTGGGAATCTGCTATAAACAACTATGAGCAGAAAGGAAATCTAATGTGGAAATAAAATTTGTGATGTCCATGAAAAAAACAGTATTTGAAGGCAGAAATCACTCCCTATCTTGGTACTATGGAATTTTTTAAGGTAATAGATTGACTTCCTGCTTAGATAAGATTTAAATAAATCACATAATTTAAAACGACTCTTTGGACTTGTACATTCCGTGCTGAACCAAAAGGCGTGCCTCCAGCGGAAAGGCCTGGCTGGTTTGGCAGATGGCATCAGGAGATTTGGACTCTGTGTCTGGCAGCTGTGAGCACACATTCTCCCAGACGCAAGCTGAAGATGCCATTACTTGGCACTTCACAACAGGCTGGTTGTTTTCAGATCTCAGTAGGCAAATGAGCTGCCATGGACTGGGATACTTCTAAGTTAAAAAATAAATAAACAACAAAATAAATATAGCCAGCCTCTAGGTTACACCAAAAGTATATTTGAAAGTGACTCCTCTGCCTCAGCCTCCCAAGTAGCTGTGATTACAGGCGACTGCCACCAACCCTGGCTAATTTTTTTGTATTTCTAGTAGAGACGGGTTTTCACCATGTTGGCCAGGCTGGTGTCGAACTCCTGACCTCAGGTGATCTGCCCACCTCGGCCTCCCAAAGTGCTGGGATTACAGGCATGAGCCACCGTGCCTGGTCAGTCTTTAACTCTTTAACCTTAGAAGGAAGACCTGTGACATCAAGGTCATAAATCCTTCCCTCTGTTGAACACTCAGATTTATTCACTGCTATCCCTGAAACTGATTCAGTGTATTAAAGATCAAGAAAAGAAGAGCCAGGAGAATTTGAAAAAAGAAGCAAAGGCTTGAACATGGTTTCATTAAGCCTTATTGTCAGCCAGTGGCTGCGTCTCCCCAGGAGAGAAACCATGTGAATGATTGTCGCAAGGGACAGGTAAAAACCCTGTGAAAAAACTATGGCCTTTTTCTGTACTCAGATAAGAAACACATGCTATGACCAAATTATAATTTTTCTAATATAATCATATTTCATATTTAATGTAGAACAGCATTTGAAGAACACAGAAGTCATGAAAAAGAACACAGAACTCAAGAGAAAGAGGTCCTCAGTAAAGTAAAATTAGGCCCTAAGTTCTCAGAGTCTCAAGCTTGATTCCAGAACTAGAGTCCTAATTTAAGACAAACAGATGGAAATGCAATATATCAAAATCAATATGCTTAGTTTGTTCCTATTTTTATGTCTTTGTGTATGTGTTTGTATTTAATATCCTGGCCCAGTGCATAGCTTTTAAAGTCCTTAAACGACACTTGAGTAAAATGAAAAGAAGATAAATTCGTCCCTCTTCCCTTGGTACCACTGAGTAGGTGGAAAAAGAAACCCTGAGCCTCAGGACGCTTGCCTTTTAAAATGAATGTAATCTCAGAGTAGTTTTTATCCAGGCAGTGAATCACTTTTAAAACTCTCAGGCACCATGATCCAAAGACATTTAAAAAACTGTGACGGCACATTCTCAGTATGTGTGGAAACAGGATTCTTCTAACAGAGATGTAAGGAGAGTTTGCTCTTGAAGGAGAAGCACCAGGACTAAAATTAGCTAGAAACTCCCTGATGAACAAAGAATTGTTAAAGCTGCCAGAAAAAAACTAGTAAACCCAGTTCAAAGATGAGGCTTCCCTGGAAGGTACTCCTAAAAGAGAACAGGGATTTAAATCTTCAAGAAAGGAGGCAATATAGATAACCTGAGTATAATAAGCCTGTCGAGGTGAATTCCTATGAAAAGTGGATTTGGATCTTAAAATTCAAGAGTGAAAAAGGATTAAGTCAGTTTCAAGTACTTTTCACAGCTGCAATGTCAGTGCGGAGCAATTGGAGGCTATGATGCTAAAGATCCCCAGTGGCCTATCTCCAAGTTCTAAAGAAGTCCCCAATCCTAACAAGGTGAATTCTGAATTGGAGAAGAGTCAAAAGAGTCAAACAGAAGTATTAAAACTTTGTGGAAATGATCAAGGTTACAGTGAAGTGATGTTTCCACTCATCTGACTCCTCTCTGCCAACCACCATACACTTTGTATCAGCTCTTAATCCCTCTAACGACCGTTTTGAAGACATGGGTATGGAGGGCAAAGAAGATAGACAACATCCTGCCATGGTAACTAGTAAATGGTCGATTCCAGATCCAAGGCTGCATCTGTCTGACTTTAAAGCTAGTGCTGTGAACCACTGCAGACAAAACCCTCTAAGGAAGGTCCCCTCCCTGCTTCTGGAGCAGTGGCTGGGAATGGGGCAAAGCAGGGCAGAGACAGAGTGAAGGCCCAGAAGAAAGGCAAATGGAAACTCGTGACAGCAGCCAACATTTGCTGAGCATTTACCGTGTGCCAGGCTCTGTTGCAAGCATTTTGCATGAATTAACTCTTTTAATCTTTACAGTGTCAACTAAGGAGAGCATAACTGTGAAAAAGACACATAAATATCAACCAGGTTAAGGACTGGTATTATTATTGCAGGATAAATTTGGGCATTGGTGTGGGGTTTCTCATGTTAAATTCTACCCAGTTTCATCCCCTACATGAAATGGCGTATTACCACCACCACCACCGGCAAAGGTAAAGACATAATCTCAGAGTGGGCAAGTCCTGTGAGTTAATTGGATAAAGGCTGCCATTTATTTTATCCCATGAATTAGTCCCATTATTAGGTAGTCTAGCCACTAGCCATAGTAGGATGCTTTCTTTATTCAAAATGTGATAAAGACAGGGAGAAATAAAGACTGAAGAAGGCTGTGAGCACCTGTGACAATTCTTGGAGGATATGTGTGTTTGTGTGTGTGTGTGTGTGTGTGTGTATATATATATATATATATGTAAACTGCTATCTCTGAGGAAAAGCTAGCACAGGCGTTCATTTAGTCAGAATATTAATAAGTACATTATGTCCGGCATTTTCTTATGGAGAAACTATTAGAATCTTGATTTGTGTCACGTGTTTTTCTCTCAGAGGTGGCCGCTCTTCTGTTATTTCACACAGAAAAAGTCTTGCGGGACAGAAGACTTTTGAGAACTGATTTTAGCACTGAATTCTAGCCACAAACTGCTACGTTCTTCTGGAATTACTATGTCATATTTCATCAAAATTGCTAACACTACAAATCAGTGTTCCCCTCCCCCCACCACCTGCAAAAATATCCCTTAACAGTATACACAATCCAATTAAGATTTAAAATGAAAACTCAACAAACGTTGAACAAAAAGCAAACAGCGTGAGCCAGTGATTAACTGTATGATCCTGAGGAGTCACAGGCATCCGGGACCTTTATTTCAGGGCATGGCTGAGGGGTTTCAGTTGTTGACTATCACAAGCAGGAAAAGAATACTCAGGAAAGCAACTTAGACTTCAAGGTCCTACCACACAAGTGTGACACGTTCACCAACTATTGGCTCCAAGACACTTTCAGAGTGATGGTGGAGAGAAGCCCACAAGAGCATGGAGCGTTACCAATGCCGGAGATGGCGCCCAGCAGGTCCTTGTGCAGGCTGTTGTCCAGGGTGCTTCCCTTCTGCGGCGTCACCAGCGGATTCACAGCTGGTAGAGCCAGGGATTCATCCTTCACAGTCTGTCAAGGAGAGGAAAGCAGAAACAATCAAAGATGACTGGAAAGGATTCCTCCCCTGTTCTTGGAAGTGCCAGGGCAAGTGCAGGACCAAGACAGCCTGATGCATTCAACGTGCCTGCCTGCATGGGAGGAGTAGCCTTGAGGCGTGGGTGAGGGTGGAGGGTGGGATGGGTCAGAGGGGGAGCAGGGGGCATGGGATATGGATGCTGGGTGGGGGTGGGGGAGAGAAATCACGTTCCATAAAGTCTTGTTTCTCTTTCCCCAGCGTTGCTAACACCTTTCCCTTTCCAGAGCTCGGACGCCCAACATTTCCTTAGATTATTGTTTTGTTTTGTTTTTTTCCTTCAGAGAAAGCCTCCCCTGCTCTTTCTAACTGGAATGCTGGCTTTTATCTGTAATGCGGGGAATTACAACAGCAGCAATGACTGTAGATGTTTGTAGCATCATGTGAACTCTCAGTCAGTGGAGAAATCATATTAATTTTTAAGTTAGGTCAAAAAACGGGATTTTACTTTGGTGAAAGTGTTCATTTTTGTTAGGATTGAAACAGTTCAAGGAGGTCACATTCTACTCTGAATTACTCTGGTTTGAAAAACAGACAGGGCTAGAGAATACAAGTGTGAAATGTAATGTTGTACAGGGTGAGATAAGCGAGGTGCACTTAGGATAGAGAGAGTTCATGCCCTTTAGAGCAGCCACACATGCACAAACGCTATACACACGGCTCAGCTCAGTGTAATGTTACTTAGGAATGTAATTGGAGGTGAAGAGGTAGTGTAAAAATGGGACACTGCATCACTGTTGGGGTGGGACGGAGGGACAGAAACATACATGAGACTCTGCAAGTGTACACCCATAATGACAAGGTAGGAAGATGAACAACCAAGCCAGTTCATGAGTCCAAAGTACCAGGGAAAGGGGAAATGCTGAAATAACATCTGCTGAAATTCATAGCAGATAAGCCCTCTGAGGCCAAGAAGAGAGCATCAGAAAGAGAAGGAGTGCAGGTTTTAGATGTAAAACTCTTATAAACTTTACTAATTAGAAATTATTATAGGTTAACCTTTAAAAAGCCTTTTGCAACTGAAATGTGACAAGAAATTTGATAGTGATAAACCTTTGAAAAAGCTGAATTGCAAGATGATTCCAAGAATCCTTTTTAAAAAACAATCATATGAAAGGTACCAGAGACTGAGTAAAAAAGAGCAAAACCATCTCTAATCAAAAACTTTTGAGATAATTTCTGGGGTCATCTCTCTATCTACTCAATTTCCAATGCATGTTTAAAAAACAGCACAAAGATAATATAAATTAAGGCAGTCAGTTCTTGGAGGTGGAGCCTCATGTCCCTCACCTTGGCATCCCTGATGTCCAGTCTCACTTCTAATCTGACAGAGGGAGAGAAACTGTAGCCCACAGAGGTGGCCTTTCTTAGACTGTGCAGCACGTTACTGTTATAACTGGGGCTACCATGACCTCTTCCAGGACACAGGTTAGGTTAGAACTACACCTTTTTTGTGTCTCCTTCCCCCCATAAATTTTTAGTGAATATACAAATGAAAATTCTGAGGCCTCACAAGACATTGGTTCATCACGAGAACATGGTTTTCATACTTATTTTTTAACAAGAAATGAAGGTGTAGTGACTGACCCCATCTTAGCCAGAAATGCAACTTACCAGGAGTTGCACTGGCAAAATAAAGGGGTGTGTGTACTGGGTTGAATAGTGTCCCGCAATAAATTCATGTCTACCTGGACTTCAGAATGTACCCTTATTTGGAAATAGGATCTTTCCATTATATATCTAAGATGTAAGTTAAGATGAGGTTATACTGGGTGAACCCTAAACCCAATCACTAGCGTCCTTATAAGAAGAAGAGAGGGGACTGGGCACGGTGGCTCACGTCTGTAATCCCAGAACTTTGGGAGGCCAAGGTGGGCAGATGGAGAGTTCCAGAGTTCAAGACCAGCCTGGCCAACATGGTGAAACCCTGCCTCTACTAAAAATACAAAAAAATTGGCCGGATGTGGTGGTGGGTACCTGTAGTCCCAGCTAGTTGGGAGGCTCAGGCAGGAGAATTGCTTGAACCTGGGAGGTGGAGGTTGCAGTGAGCCCAGATTGTGCCACTGCACTCCAGCCTGGGCAACAGAGCAAGACTTATCTTGGGGAAAAAAAAAAAAATGAAGAGAGGGACACAGAGGCACAAACACCATGGAGAACGAACACCAAGTGAGGATAGAGGCAGAGACTGGCGCGATGCCACTACAAGCCAGAGAGCACCAAAAGTTGCCTGCAGCATCAGCAGCTGTGAGAGGAGCATGGCCCATGAGCCTCCAGTAGGAACCAACCCCACTGACACCTTGATTTTGGACTTCTGGACTCCTGACTGGGAGAGAATAAACTGCTGCTGCTCTAAGCCACCCAGCTTATGGCGCTTTGTCCTGGCTTCCCCGGGACCTGATATAGGCTGAGTTAATGTGACCATGCTTACGTACCATGCCCGCGTTCACAGGGAAGGGTGACACATCCCTCACATTGATCCGCTGGACGTTTTCAATCAGCAGACCAAACAGAGGCAGGTAGAGGGTGGCTATCCTTGCCTGATGGCTCTGAAAAGAAGACACACATGGTAAGTTTGACCCAGGATTCTGAGAACCGAACTAAGTTGGTGCTGACCATCTCCTTTATTTGGATCCTTCCTATAAAGACAGATATTTGATTTTAGTCCCAAAATAGAGCAAAATCTTAGTGCTGTTACCATGAATTTTCTAACTGATTACTTTCTTTACACCACTTAAAATAAAGGACATTATCAATGCACATTCCTTCCATTGGGGACCACTCACCCTTGAAGCATATCTGTCATCAAAAGAATGCTTTATCAGCAGGTTCTTGAGCACACTGATGGCGATCAGACGGACCTCCCGGAACTCCTGGAGGGCTGTCCCCACCTCCCTCAGTAACAGTCCCACCAAGAAGTGGTTTCTGCAGAACTCATCTGTTAATGAGTAGTCAAGCTGGAGGTCTGAAATGAGGATAGAAACTACTTGAGTTAGGAAAGATGCAATGCTCTTTGAATAAAACAAACAAACAAACAAACAAAAAAAACTAAGACCCATCCTCTGCATTCAGCCCACCCTGGGTGTCAAGAGATGATCAGACTTGGCTTCAAATGAGAAAGAATCAATTCTACAAGGCTGCTCTACTTCTTAGCACAGGAGGATCTTAAATGAAAACCAAATTTAAATACAATTAAGTGCACTGGATTTTGGAACATATTGCATCCTACATAATTAAATTAGTGAACAGTTTAAGTACCAATTTTTAGACTAGAACACAGCATATGTTATATTACAAATATAAGTTTGTTATTGACAAAGTTAAAAACGTTATTATACTAGCTAACAGAACTGTATAAGAGCAGTTTGTGCATAACAAACATGTAATTAAATAATAAACATACATGGCTCATTAAAATGTTATTACATGAGTTCATATATTCCTTTCCTGGTCATTAATGTCTATATACTCCATTAAAACCCAGTGGATTTAAGATAAACAAATTAATATATAACCTACTTATTCTGCTATCCCTGAATGAAGAACTTATTTAATGCAGTATTTCCTAAGCTATTCTCCTAATATTTCTCCACCTCTGAAAACAAATACAAATTTAATATAAACTAAAATTGAAGTGGACAAAGCATCAAACCAAACTGGTAAATCACCAGCAAGCTAAATGACAAAACTGAGAGCTCTTCTGGAAAACAGATAGGAGCAAACATGAACTCTACTTAGGAAGGGTACATAAAAACAGCTAAACATCACTCTGAAGATAAAATACAATTTCAGGAAGCTGAAGCTAGGTTGTGAATTGTCAGACTGACTCCATTATTAAAGGAAAGTCTATAGACCTCTCCCTTTGCCTTTTGTCCCCTATCAGACAGTTACTCCTAAATCTAGCCAAAATATGGGCCCAAGTTCTATGAAACCCTTTAATAGAAGGGGGAGAGTATTCATTTTCTAGATTATGTTCATTGTTTATGATTATTTCACCTAGTTTATCAAAACTATAAGTCATAGCTTGAGTTCACATGTCTCTTGGAAGAAACTACTTATGGTTTAACTGGGAGTGTGCTCACACATCTATGGTTGTGTGTATGAATGTGCATGAGAAATTACATGGTCTGGATGTGTGTCCCCTCTGAATCTCATGTTGAAATGTGATCCCCAGTGTTGGAGGTGGGGCCTGGTGGGAGGTGTTTGGGTCATGGGGGCGAATCCCTCATGAATGGCTTGGTGCCCTCCTTGCCATAATGAGTGAGTTCTCGCTTTGAGTTCATGCGAGATCTGGTTGTTTACGAGAGTGTGGCGCCTCACTCCTCGTCTCTTGCTCCCTCTCTCGCCATGTGACATGCTGGCTCCCCCCTTGCCCTCCACCATGATTGGAAGCTTCCTGAGGCCTCACCAGAAGCCAATGTTGGCGCCATGCTTCTTGTACAAACTGCAAAACTGTGAGCCAAAATAAATGTCTTTTCTTATTTTTTTTGAGAGAGGGTCTTGCTCTGTTGCTCAGGCTGGAGTGCCGTGGCATAATCTGCCTAGATTGCAGATTTCACTGCAATCTCTGCCTCCTGGGCTTAAGTCATCCTCCCACCTCAGCCTCCCATGTAGCTGAGGCTACAGATGTGTACCAACACATCAGGCTAATTTTTGTTTCTGTTTTTTTGTAGAGACAGGGTTTTGTTATGCTTCCCAGGATGATCTCGAACTCCTAGGCTCAAGTGATCCTCCCAGTTCAGCCTCCCAAAGTGCTGGGATTGTAAGTGCGAGCCACTGCACTGGCCCTCTTTTCTTTATAAATTACCCAGTCTCATGTATTCCTTTATAGCACACGAATAGACTAACACAAGAAAGGAGGTGAAGGCAGGGGTGGGAGGTAAGTGAGAAGAAAGAAAATGAAAATTCTAAAAAACATTTATTCCTGTCAGTGTAGTAAGGCAAATTACTCCCATATATCCCCCCATCGACTGAGCGAAGCCCGTCTTGCTACCAAATACCCTAGAAGTCTATAAGAGCTTGTGCTGCCCTGCTGGGTCATGGGGAGATGGGCATCAGCACACATTCACTACACAGCCACTGGGCAAAAAGAGCTCCCTGGGCTCTGTACCAGGTGGAAGGAAGGAGAGTCCCCAGGTACAGGAGACTGGGCTGAGGGAGGCTGTGGTGAGGTTGGGGGCACAGGGCAGGAAAGAGTGGTTAATTCCAGTTGAGGAAGTGGAAGAGAGTGAGGAGACCCTGGGAGGCCCCATGCAGGAGGTGTGGAGTGGCTGGCTTGGGGAGGAAGATGAGGATTCCCCAGGGAGGGGGCTATTTGAGGTGGAGGGGTGGCATGATATGTTTGAGGAGCTGGGAGTTGGCAGGGATGCCTGGAATGTGCAGAATAGGGGGGTGTGAGACCACAGAGGTGGGGGGCCAGGGTTAGATCAGGGGACACTGAATACCTATCTGTTCTCTCAGCCCAGAAAAAGTCTCCCCCAGATATGCGGGTGCTTGGCTCACCCCTCACTTTCTTCCAACTGTTATCTGGCCACCCTGTCTCAAATGTCACCCCTTTTCATATCCCCTTTCCTTGCTTTGTTTGTTCTCCTTAGGATGCATCAGTGTCTGACATTCTATGTATCTTGTGTATGTAGAATAGCCGGGGATTGTCATCCAGGTGTATGTAGAATAGCCGGGGATTGTCATCCAGGTTGTACACAACTTATTCTGAAGCTCGACACAGTTGGTGCGGGGTAAATATTTGTTGAATGCATGAATGCCAACTCCAGGGCCACAGTCCCCCTGCCTGATCCTTAAAAGGCAGTACCAGTCTGTTTGGGGGAAACAGACTGAATGAATGCCTTAGTGTGTTTCTCTCGGAATTCAGAAGCAGTTGATTCAGGTGCCATTAGCAGTTTGGTGGCATCCTTCCACTTTTTCTCTCCCTTAGCACAAAATACCTGAGTACATACAAGGAATTAAGCTCAAGAGCTATTGCTTGACAGACCTGACAGACTAATTTGTTCAATTTGATTTACTCAGTGAAGACAAAGACATCCCTATGAGCTCAACTCTCTTCAAACGTAAAAAGAATACAGGACATTAATAAAGACTCAACATACAAACATTAAAAGCATGTAAAAAAGCCACATTGCTTGTGATTTTGATTACTGCCACCACTATGGACAAGGGCTATGAAAATAGTAGAATAATGAATTTTGGGGGTGAAGCAGGGATGTTTGTTTTACTTCTTAAAGAAACATCCTAGAGTACCCAGTGACTTCAGGAGCAAAAAACCGGATGCCTCCCTGGGATGTTACAGCAATGTCTTAGTTCCAGTGAAAAAATTCACTAATTTATGGCAAGTTTAAAAATTGATCAAATTATATAGGAAATACTTAACAGAACAGCATATGGAAGCAGTTCAGCCATCACTTGCATTCTTTATTTTTTAGAGGAGGAAAATGCAAGAAAGCAAGCGTCATACCCCACACCTACCTACAGGAGTGTCATTTGACTCCACAGTTGGTGAAAGAAAAGCTAATTCATAAGAAAAAAGGAAAAGTGAAACAAATAAAAATAAGCTATAGCAACTGAAATAGATTCCTTTTCTTTAAGCAAAGGGATTTTTCAATGAAATAGCCATACTGGCATGATCTGTAGTCTGATAAGTTTGCTGAAAAGTAAGTTCCCATATTTTACCAATACTTTTTGAAATGGAAATTTCATAAGAAAAAAATTAATTCATCAATGAAAAAAATCAGAAAATTCAAATATCATGTTTGAATCAATTATCTTTTCTTATTGAAAATAAATGTCTCTGTTTGTGAAAAGGTTAATAGAAATAAAGATGGATTACCTTGGTATCTTTGAATCCTGCCTTTTCCAAATGGCATTGGTAAGTTCAACGGAATATAATGTTCATGGTTGCACACTACACGGAGAAATTCAAACTTGTATTCAAAGAGGGTCTGCAGGAAGAAGTGTGTAGTCATAAATACCTCACTGGATATTTTATACAGGATTCTAAAAAACCTATTAGCAATAGTATGCTAGAAATAGTCATTAGCTTCTTGACCTTCTTAGAACTGCACACTCTATTGCACTGTACAGATTTCAGGATGGCTGCAGGGATTGATTTGAAAACTAAGGACACATTTCAATAAACAATGTCTTCAATTGATTTTTAGGGCTCCTCCTACTTCAATGAAGGACTTCAGGTAGCTTATAATTACAGACACAGGCTCAATACAATAAAAAAATTAGTAAGGCAGAGCTTTAAAAAAAAAAAAGGAAAAAGATAATTCTACCAGAGAAAGGCTACATGGTGACTTCTGTTACCAGTAACAACCCCCGCACTACCTTTGGGTCTCCAGGAGCAAAACAGCTAATGTAGTTGTTGATCTGCTTGAAGACAAAGCCCCTGTCCATGAAGGTGAAACATCTCTGTGGAGGAAAACAAGCAAAAAAGTTATTTCAGGTCCAAACATTTCGGAAATTTGGATTCAAAGCAGCATTTATTGCTAATAAGTTTATCCACTGACATAAAAAACATGCCATCAACATTGCCAGAGCACCTACTCTATTCTAGTCACCCTGCTAGACAGCTGGTAAAAAGCACATCTTTGTCCCATAACTGATATCCTCTTCCCTGGAGGTCCCCACCTTGATGAAGACAGCAAGGCTATGATTCGCGTTCTTAGATGCCTCTGGATTATCTCGAAACTTCTGAGTGATGTGTGGCATCAGCATATTTACAACGGTTTCCACTGCATGATGATAGGATGCAGGAAATCTCTGGTTTCGCAGCAACTAAAAAGAATTCAGAGCAAACATTTATTATTTATTAAGTTGCAATCATTTGGGAGGAAAAAATATCTCATCCCTGAGTCCATCTTAAAAAACCCAGAGTTTCTAGCTGGGTGCTGTGGCTCACACTTGTAACCCCAGCACTTTGGGAAGCCAAGTTGGGAGGATCACTTGAGCCCAGGGGTTTAAGACCAGCCCAGGCAACATAGCAAGATTCCATCTGTACAATAATTAGGTGGGTGTGGTGGTATGCACCTGTAGTCCCAGTTACTCAGGAGGCTGAGGTGGTAGGATTGCTGGAGCCCAGCAGTCTGAGGCTGCAGTGAGCCAAGATCAGCCACTGTACTCCAGCCAGGGTGACAAAGCAAGGCCCAGTCTCAAAAAACCCCATAAAACCTCAGAGTCCTAGTCTTGTTTATCTGAAATTGGAAAAAATGAATTAACCCTCCTTCTTTCAAAGTACTGTGAAAGTGTTCAAATACTTCAAATAAGTGCTGTGGATTAAAACTGGAACCTCAAACTTCAGCGTAATAAAGATCACCTAAAAAGTGTTTGTAAAAAGGTGGAGCTTCTGCATCCATTCCCAAAGATTCTGATTCAGGAGCCTGGCAGCGGGTGCAGGGAGAAGGGGCAAGAACCTGCATTTTTACTGAGCATCTTTGATGATTCTGATGCCTGTACCTCTCAGAGATCTCTTTAGAAAGCACTGGCTTACATTTAAGCTCCAAATATTCAAACTGAAAATACGGATTTTGATGACCGTGCATGATTAGTTAAAACTGCTTGGCAGCAGTCTTCTCACAATCAACTTTACACAGTAATCTTTCCCCAACAGGAACCTACAAAATTACACTCAGATTACTTAGCAATTAGCTAACACTTATGTATATCTTCTACATGTCAGACACTGCACTACATATTTGTATGTACTTTTTCATTCAATTCTTGTAATACCCCTATAAGTTTAATCCTCATTTGTTAAAGGGTCAGAGAGGTTAGGTACATGTGTCCTCAGTCACACAACTAACAACAACGATTCAGACCCAGGTCTACCACAGAATCCAAAACTTGGGCATTTTCTGTTACATGAAGCTGCACTTCCCCTGTGTCTATAAACAGAATAATTTACTGAGAGCCTGAAGTAGGAAGGATGCTCCATTACATTGATCCATTCATGCATTTAATTCTAACAGCCACAAGAGGGGGGTATTTTCATCCCCATTTTACAGACAGGAAAACTGAGGCTTAGAGAGCTCACTAAAAAGTACTAACTGACCTTTAATAAAACTGTCCTTGTCTTCCTCCTTTTAGTAACTGAAGAGTAATGGTTTTACAGGGACACATGGCTGCCCAGCCAGACTATATTTTCCAGTCTAACTTACCACTAGGTATGAGCCACATGACCAAATTATGGAAGGGATGCGTGCCTTGTTTAGGCCATGCTCCTAAAAGGAGCCGCTGGCCTCCCTTGTTCCTTCCTGTGCCACTGCCTGGACTGTGCTGTGGCAGTGAGCCAGCTTCTCAGCCACGTGGATGAGGTGAACATCGCAGGCTGGATAACTGGATTGGAGGAGCTTGAGTCACTGAATGATCTTGGGGAACTAGCTGCCCTGTTCTCCAAACTGCCTACCAACTCATGATTGTCCAAGAGAGAAATGAACCTTCTGTCGAATTTAAACCACTATTATTATGGCCTGTTTTTGAGCAGCCAAACCAATGTCCCAATATCAAACAAATAGTATTTTCTAAAACTGGGAACTGCAACCTAGACATTTCTGACATGACAGCAGGCATTATATTATGCATTAAATGCCAGAACCTATTAGGAATATTTGAAATACCAGCTTTATAACAATTTCAATTCTCAAACCAATAACGAGGAAATGTTTATAACCTTACATAGAGTCAAGAATCCAATGAGGAAAGGATCAGTAACAAAAATGTGAAGCTCACCAACTTTAAAAAACAGAATGGCAAAATGTGAAATTCCAAAGGGATTTTGTTGCATATGTGCCACCAATAACTCTATATCCTGAGATGACAGCATCAATAGATGACCAATTTCCAAGACCGCAGGCAAGGCCAACTCTAACCCCCGGCATGACTGCTAACTACCCAAGCTGGCCACTCCTGAAAAAGAGGTATCCCAAGAAATGCTTGTGGCCTTCACAATGGGGCTGAGTCAATGGCTGCTAAAACCAGGAAAAGTAGATGGAGAACTCTATCATGGACAGGTTGAGTGGGCACCATGTAAACCTATTAATCAACATTATTATAACTAAAAGTAGAACAGCTGGGTATATATGCCTCCTGATGTGATGCAATAGTAACAGCTATGAGGTATCCTTGCCAGAAAAAAAATCAAACCTGAATCAAATTAAGTCTCTAGATCCAACCACAAGTTCACAGGGAACACGGGGCAGAGAACCACGTATGTAACACGGTGAGGCTACCATCAGCCAAATCTAAACTGTGGGGAATTCTGCTGGACAAATGACCCACTTTCTTCAACAAATATGTTGCCAAAAAAAAAAAAAAAGTCCAAACAGATGAAAAGAGAACAGTTTAAGAATCAAAGAAACCTCAGAAACACAGCAACTAAATGCAAGGTGTGAACTTTGTTTAGATCCGGAAGCAGACAAACCCAACTATAGGATGACATTTTTGAGACACCTGGGGAAAACTGAATATAGACTGGGTGTTAGATGATAATAAAGACGTTTTGCTAATTTTGTGTGGTGTGATGTTGGTAGTTATATCTTTTTTAAAGGCTTATCTGTTAGAGATGACATGCTAAAAGTGTCTAAGATGGAGTGAGAAAATAGCTGGGAACGGCTTAAAATACTACAAGGTAAAAATGTGAGGGTGGGTATGTATCAAGCAAGGGCAGTAGAACATTGACAAGTGGGGAGGCTAATCCCTCTACTTCTGCACTTATTAGAAAATATAGTAAAATGTTTGTATTAAAAAGAAAGAATACATGGAGAAGAATGATGGATAATTTACATACCAACCCATCATTAGTGCTGTTCAGTGACTAGGCAATGACAACTCATGCCTGTGAAGGCTGAAATGAAGTTCTCCCTGCAGTGGCAAATAGCTGTTGTTAAGAGTCCTAATTGTCAATAAAACAAACTAAAGTCTTTTTACGAGGTATCATACACATTTCAAGGTAATGAAGACCTAAGCAATAGAATGTTTTTATGGAGATTACTATAAACTGAAACAGAAGAGGAAAATCTAAGATGATGCTCAGGTAGTGAGTACCTGATAGAGGCTTGGAGAAGAGGACGCTGAGACACTAAGGGACTTCTCAGCCAAACCAACCTCAACTCCCTGCCACGTCCTGCTGGAGGATCTCTTGCCGTGTGCTGCGCTGCACTGCAGCATCCCTTTCTGTCCTGGCACCACCTGACAGGTGCTGCCTGTGTGGGGTCAGCCAGCCCAGCACCTGTCCTCACAAGATCAGCCTCTCTAGCCACATGCGGGATGCCATGCCCCCATCCTCTGCGAGCCACACTTATGTGCTGCCCGCTGGCTGCTCAGCGCCTACCAACTGACTCCTCGAATGAACGGGATCTCCCTGAAGACCCACACTCAGCCTGGCTGTGGAGGCCCCTGTGGACGCTGCGGTTAACAGCCAGGTCTTCGTAGAGACCCAGGATGGGCTACTCCCCGCCCTACAGGTCATCTGCTCTCCCACAGCTGTGCTGCCCAATCATTGCTTCATGGGTGAGGACTTCGGAATGGTCTTCAAATGTTCACTTCTTTGTTCTGCACTGTGTTCTTCCACTCTCTGGTGTGGTTTAGAGGCCTCTTCTCTATGGGCTATTTTACTGCTTTCCGACGTAAATAAGACTTTTAATTAAGAAACTTTCTCTTTGTGGCTTAGCAAACAACAAAAGTAATGGGGCTGAGAAGAAATTTACCAATGACATTTCCCTGCATTCTGGTTACTCCCCTTTATCAAGATCCCTATGTTATTTCCTCTTTCTCCTATTTTCTTCTACAACTTGGTTTTGTTTTTGTTTTTGTTTTTTGTTTTTTTTTGAGACAAGGTCTCACTCTGTCGCCCAGGCTGGAGTGCACTGGCACAATCACAGCTCACTGTAGCCTCATCCTCCAGGGCTCAAGCAATCGTCTCACCTCAGTCTCCTGAGTAGCCGGGATAACAGGCATGTGTCACCATGCCCAGCTAATTTTGTTCACATTTGCAGAGATGACGTCTCACTATGTTGCTCAGGCTGGTCTGGAATTCCTGGGCTCAAGCGATTCTCCTACCTAGGCCTCCAAAGTGCTGGGATTACAGATGTGAACCATTGCGCCCAGCCTACAAACTCCATTCTTCCTACCTCTTCATCATTTTCATTCCCAAAGATCAGTCTTCTCTCTATAATCTGCATGTTTACCTCACTCTCTGCCCTGCTGACACAATGAGAATGGCACCTCACATCTTCAGTTGCAGGGAACATAATTAACTCCTGGCCCCACCACTATGCTGTGGAATCTACAGCTGCATTTGTACCAAGGCCACCCGTGCCTCCATGCCTCACATGGCTGCTCCCTGCCAGTGACTGAGGGTGGAAAGGAAGCTGCAGCAGGCTTGTTGCTGGGGGATGTGGGACTCCACTGATGACTGAGGAGGAGGCTTGAGGCCTCTCCAATGCCTTGCTCACCTCTCTTACTTAGAATTCCACTGTGGCCCAAGACGCTTCCTTCCTTCTCTCTCTTCTTAACCTTGGGTCACACATGTGCTGCCCTCTGATGGCTCTCCCACTGTCTCCTGAGCGCCTTCCCATTTTCCCTTGTAGTCATTGCCCCAATAAGTCTCAAGCATGACTACTCCTATCTGTTGACTCAGATCAACACAGTCCTTTTCCCCAGAGAAAAGCTTAGGCTTATGGTTTCAGCAGATTGGTACTCACAAATCTATTTCTTTAGTTCTGTCTGTTCGCTTCCCTGTCCCAGGCTGAACCTTCACCTGCCAACTGGAAATGTGTTTGGCTATGCCTCAGCCCTTTGTGAAACAATGGCTGGTGACTTCCCAGTATCTGTTCTCTCTTCCCTCTCATGGTAATAGAACCTCAACTTTTAACTAGGTTCATGGATACCCAAAGTAAAGACTACATTTACCAGCATCCCTTGCAGCTAGGTACCGTCATGGCTAACTCTGGCCAATGCGATAGCAGTGGTAGTGATGTGGCAGTGCAACTTCTGGGTCATATCCTTAAAAGGAAAGGTGCATCTTCCCCTCCCTACTGGCTCCAGCATGGATGTGGTGGTGAACCCAGTTAGATCAAAAGGAGGAGCAGCACTCCAGGGGGCAAACAAGATGGAGGCCTCTCATAACTGTGGAACAGAAGCCTCTTATGAGCTTGGGGTTTCAAGTAAAAAGAAATAAACTTTTACTTTCCTGTTTAACTCACTGTTACTTCAGGTCTCTGTCATAGCCACTGAACCCACAGCCCTAAGCATATGACATCCCAAGGCTAACCTTGCACCTTCCCTGGTAAACCAAGCCCTCTACTCTACTGCCTCTCTCAAAAGCTCCTTCTTCTATGATCTCACGCTCAATATCTAGGTGGCCTTTCTTCCCCCACTCAAGTCTGACCTTACTGTGCTCTGTTTTGTTTCAGTCAGGTTTATTGAGGCATAATTTACATACCATAAAATTCAGACTTTAAAAGTCTACAGTTTGGTGAGTCTTGACAAGTGAATATAACTGTAACCATCACCACAGTCAAGAAGAGAAAGTACATCTGTTGTCCCCATCCCCACCTCCAGTCCTGGGCAACCACGGGGCTGCTCTGCGCTCTGTAGTTTTTCTTTTTCTATAATGTCATATACAGGATATGGACCCAAATGGTATGTAGTCTTTTGTGTCTAACTTCTTTCAGTTCATAGAATGCTTTTGAGATCCAACCATGCTGTTGCATGACTCACTACTTTGTTCCATTTTATTACTAAGTAGCATTCTATTGTGTGGAGTTACCACAATTTGTGTATCCATTTACCAGCTGATGGTCATTTGGGTTGTTTCTAGTTTTTGATTATTATGAATAAAGCTACTGTGCACATTTGCATTTAGGTCTTTACATGGATACATCTTTCATTTCTCTTCAGCAGATATCTAGACGTGGAACTGCAGGGTTGAATGAATGGTTCTGTCTGAATAATCTCCCTTACTCATTCATAATGCTCTCCATCCTCATCCTCAATCCCACCTTATCCTCCCAATGCCAGATCTTCATCAGCATCACCATAAAATGTCATTTCATATTATTGCAGTTAGAGAGCTAAACAAATAAATAAATCAAAATTTAAAATGTCTGGTGAATCTGTTCCACAGGCTATTTATACTTCAGGGGATAAGCAGACTTATTGATATAAAAGTTTCCAAGCCACTCTGCTAATCTTTATACTCTCTGTCATCTCGCCACTCCTACTAAAGAACCTACTGTACCTCTCTAGGTCTCTACCAGTTCATCTGCTGCTTGGCTTCACAGCTCCCCATAATCTCATCTTTGTTTCTGAGCTAATCTTGTTTTTCACTCTTTCCCCTCTAATCTCAATCTATCCAGCCTGAACTCTGCCCCAGCGGCCTTACCTGGGCCTGAGCTATTTCCTCTGCCTGGTACTCATTCTCCTATCCCTAGATTGTGGTATCCTGCAAGGCCCAGGTAAAGTTCCAACTGTATCCCCACATAAATCTATGATTCTTGAAGCTCACATATGCACCTTCCTGCACACTGCTCTAAATGTTCCAAGCTGAACGTTTTCTTTCTCCAGTGACTAGGTGAGCTTCAAGGTTAAGGGTTCACTCTCAACTCCATTTGCATTTTTCCTCAATGCTTTGCACATTACAAACAACTGTTCAAAACACTTGAGGGTGAATGCATACTAGCATACTGGTAGAATGCATACTAGCATTCTACCTATCACATATGTATAGTGTTTACAAATTTGGTTAAGGGGAAGTCCAAACAGTCCATTCAGACTATGAGCCACACCCTCCTTCTTTCACTTTCAAAAACAGTTCTTTTCTTTTTCAATTTAGCTAGAAAATGGTTGGAGGTTAAACAAGCAATGTCTAAGGGCATATATTCATCCTACCCTATGCTAGGTTTTCCAACCTCCTTTCTTCCAGTATACCTGTGGAATGCCAGCAATGTGCTTCACTCCATGTGGGAGGAAAGGAAATGCAAAAGCAGTCTGCTGAAATTACAGCTGCTAAATATACATGGTGGAAAAGAAACACCAACAAACTGTTGACCATAGGGGCAGAGAGTGAGGAGAGGACTCCTCCACAGACCTTGATGATGTCTGCTTTACATTTTTCTCAAATATCACTTGTACCCTCCAAGTACATGTCACCTATGAAACTAGAGTCTGGCACAGTCATACACAATCCATCCATACTTTGCAGGTCCATCCGCTGTAGTAAGGAAATTACTTATTTTAGATGCTAGTTCGAAGGGGTTCTGATTCACACCCTTCCTCAGTAAATGTAACAATGTACAGTTTGGTTGGCTGGGGACAAGAACATGGCCACTTCCACCTTCAGCAGGAGTGCAGCACTGGAAGTAAGCATAACGCTGTGCCATGTCCCTCCATGTAAATATGCATTGAATGGACTCACTCGACTACCACCAAGAATGACATAAATTGTACACTGAAAGCATCAGCTTAATACACAACATGCATGTGTAGCTATCCTTGAGTAGAACACTTTAATTGGCACTGAAAGCACTATCTGGCTGTTATGAATCCAGGGCCCAGGTGCTCCTACAACACTGGTGTGTGCCTCGTCATGACACTTCAAGAAAGGTTCCCTTGGCTGGGCGCGGTGGCTCACGCCTGTAATCCCAGCACTTTAGGAGGCCAAGGTGGGTGGGTCACCTGAGGTCAGGAGTTCGAGACCAGCCTGGCCAACATGGTGAAACCCTGTCTCTATTAAAAATATAAAATTAGCTGGGCGTGGTAGCGCATGACTGTAATCTCAGCTACTTGGGAGGCTAAAGCAGGAGAATCGCTTGAACCCAGGAGGTGGAGGTCGCAGTGAGCCCAGATTGCGTCACAGCACTCCAGCCTGGGCAACAAGAGCAAAAAATATTAAGGTCAGAATAAATTAATAATTTTGGTCTAAAAATATTAAAAACCCTAAGGGGATGAGATCAAAGTTTTGGAAATCACAAATGGTACAGGAATGGTGAATATTCATAAATTCAGAAGACTAAAACAAAGAATTAGGACATAAAATTCTTCAGATGTAAATAAGACAAACACAAAAACAACTAATTCAAACAGAAAACTCATTACTCTTAAGATACGAGACACACTGAATGAAGGCTTTAAGAAAATGTTAGAGGAGCTCTCAGCTCAATAATGTGTGATTAGGGCAAAGAACAGCAGGGTGTCTGCAGGGCCAGGGAAGCAGAAGCCAGAGAGGAGTGCTCTAAAAGTGAAAATGTTGAACCCTCAAGGTGGTAAGCAGGTGTTTGTGAATCTCTTTTTATAGTAAATTATGTTATGGTTAAGCTTTCTCCTGTGGGATACCAGAGTTTCCACTTAAGCACTTAAAAAACAAAAAACTACTTCTAAAAACTCTCTGAATATTGTTTTAGGGTCAAAATATAATTAACTTACAGAAAAGGTTGTGCATGGTAGCATTTGAGTGGTTTGTGTTAAGTTCCAAAAACAAACCATTTCCCAGAGCAAAGGTGTTGACAAATCATGTTATAAGGCTGGAAATGGCAGCACCTCTAGGAGAGGCCCACTGGGACTCTGCCACAAGTTCTTGGCTCTGCTCAGTTGTGTGACCCTGGGCAGGTCACTTCACAGTCTATGCTTCTGTCTCTACCTCTGTGAGGTAAGGGAGGAGCTGGAACAGAAGATACCTTTCAGGTCATTACCACCCTTAAAGTGCTATGGTTTAATTTGGCATCTTGAGAACAAACACATGCAAGTAAATTCCTTTACTTATTTTCTAATGCAATTCTCAGAAAGGTGTCACTGGCGCTTGATTTTGAATATCCTTGTATGTATTCCTGGAAGTGTTCGTTACCTCCCTGACCATCTTTCACGTGGTCTTCCTTGCAGTCATAAGGCAGAAAAGCCTTATGTTCATGTAGTTCCCTGAACTGTGGTGCTGGGTCCTAAGCTTTCCGCCAAAACCACTCTCTCTCCACCTGGTCCTCATTCTCCTTCTTCACCTAGCCAACTCCTGTTTACTCATCAGAACCCACTGCAACTGATGCCTCTTCCAGGTGGTCTTCCCAGATTCCCCACACTACTGAGCACTTTGTTCCTACCTCTTCAGAGCACTCGTCATGAGGTAGGGCAGCCACTGAACGAAATGCACACCTTCCCACCTGAACTCCTTGAGGGCAAAAACTGTGATGCATTGAACTTTGTAATCCTTGGCACCTCAAACATAGTAGGGGCTCAATGAATAGTTGCAGAATGAATTGGTTATATTTTGAATATAATCACGTTACCATTGCATTTAAGGGATGACGTTTATTTAGAGCCAAAAATAATAAAAAATCCACTGGCGCCTCGTCATGGGCTGACCTGTGCCCCCCTCGAATTCATATGTTGAAGTCCTAACCCCTAACACTTCCGAATATGGCTGCACTTTGGGCCAAGGTTTTAAAAGAGCTGATGAAGGTAATGTGAAGTCATTAAGGTGGTTCTTAATCCAGTATGACTGGTGTCCTCCTAAGAAGAGATTAGGACACAGACGCGCACAGAAGGCTGCATCTACAAGCCAAGGAGAGAGGCCTCAGAAGAAACCAGCCATGTGCACAGCTTGACCCAGGACTTTCAGCATCTCAATTGTTATAAAATAAATTTCTATTTTTTAAGCCACCCAGTCTGTGGTACTTTATTATGGCAACCCTAGCAAATGAACACAGGCTATAATCCTATTCTGTATATAACATGAAAAAATGTATAATTTACCATCTTTACCAGTTTTAAGTGTACAGTTCAGTGGTAATAAACACATTCATATTCTTTTTCTCCCCCATCACCTCCTCCCCTTCTTTCCCAGTCTCTGGTAACCACCAATCTATCTTCATCCAATCCACTTTTTTAGCTCCCACATATCAGTAAGACAACATTTTTTTTTACAGAAAAGTAATATATCTACATGATGTGTGTGTCTGCGTGTGCATGTGCACGCACACTTAGCTGCATACTGCCAAGCAGACAATCTGCTAGATTTTTCCTTGGCAGGCTGCTCTGGCATGATTTAGATGGAGCATTTCTCTGTAGAAGGCAGGGCCCACTTCCATCTGGCATCTCCCTATGCACTAAAATCAGAAGCTCTAAACTGGATTCAAAAGAGAGAGACAGAAAAAAGAAAAGGAGAAACCACCTGGCCAGGCCCAGTGTCTGCTTTACGGGAGGAAAAGGAGGGCTTTAGGCCTGAACCATCAACCTTCTGCCAGCAAAATCTAGCAGGCTTTTCCAAGGCTTCCTCGGAGAGCCCAGATCCCTTGTGCAGGAGGCCTAGATTCTGCCCCTCCCTCCCTATCCCCTCTCCTGCCTACAAGGATTGCAGCACAAGTGTTCATTGTGAGACAGGACCCAGCACCACCCGCTCCCTGCACAAGCTCCTTCTATAATACTTCAACCAGACCCTGCCTCCAAACAACTACACTACTTCACTGTCACAAGGACAACTCCAGGACTCTGCAGGTCTCAGAGGAGCCCTGGAAACTTCAAAATGAGAAAGTGACACTGCCACTTCTGTTTACTACATTGGAACTTTATAGAAACTTATCTACCTTGAGCCTCAGAGAGCCTGAGGTGGCCAAACACACCTCAGTGGGCACCAGTCCAGAGACAAGACCAGTCATCTCAGGGCTGAGTGCAGTGGGAACCAGGGGAAGCAGGGGGGACCCACGGTCAGAAAGGAACACACATCCAGGCTTCACCACAAGGGGATGCTGGGGCAGAGAAGAAATTTGAGACTGCGCATCTGCCCCAACGAGATGGATAATCTCAGAGTCTGTTGATTGCTTTTGGAGAACATGAGATTGGTGAGATACTCCCATCTAAGAATAAATGTCTATGACGGTCAAGACACTTAATAAATCATGGGTAATGACACTTAGAATTTATGCTGAAACCACAATTTCCATTTCAACAAACGTGAAGATTTCTAAGCTAATCAAAGGAAAAGACATATTTTTCTTTAGGTTAATAACCAAGTGATTCAGGAATACAACCTTTGGGGCCAGACTGGACTCAAAACCTGGCTGCTCCACTCACTGGTAGCATGACCTTGAGCAAGTAACTCAAGCATGCTGGCCTCAGTTTCCCCATCTATAAAATAGGTAAGAACAGTACTTTCCTCAAAGCGTTGTTATGAAGCTAAAATGATTTATTACTTGTAAAGCACTTAGAACAGTCCTGTAACTGGCACAGAGAAAGCATGAAGAAACGTTCACTACAAAGCAATGAAAGAGATTTCTTTTCCCCTAAGAACACAAGCTTCCACTTGAAGTAACATACCTTAACTTTGGAGTTCTCTATCAAATGCTGAGCCATAGATTTGATCAGTACATCAAAGAAAAACCATGAGTACTAAAAGAAAAAAGAACAGGACCCAGTAAGAACACAACAAACTGGTAGGTAAGACATGAACTCTCTCAGGCTGACAATATTATTGACATAAAGCAGGTGTGACCCTAAAACACGGCTGCACCTCTTGGCACATTATGATCAGAGCCAACGGTGAATGGCAGATGTCTTCTGCTTGCACAAGTTTAGCAACAAAGAGCTGCATCCTGCCGGGAAACTGGACACCTGTGCTCAGCGTGGCACAACCAGCACGAGGCTCTGTGGGGTTACGGGTGTAGTCTTTCCCCTTCACTGCCCTCTGCTTGGTGACACTTGTCTTTAGAATCTCTAAGTCATAGACCTTCATCACTGATTTGAACATAATGACTATTAATCCTCAAGAGCCAACACTGAACACAGTGGTGTTTTGCAGCTCTTCTCTCAAGACACAATTAGAAAAGTTGGTATCAGAGAACACTACCCCTTTTTAGGGAGTGGTGTTTGTCTCTAAGAGCACTCAGAAAGGCTGTATTGATCAGGCTGTGGAGTGAATTCCTGTTAATCAGTTTCAATCAGAGCCACACTGACTCTCCTGACATACCTTCAGTAGTTTGTTGCTGGTGAGGAAATCGGCAGAAGGCTTGAGAATCGTGGTCATGGATTTGGTCAGTTCTTCATGCACTGTCTTGTATTCAGAGGCAACATATGGCTCAGCCTTATACGCGTACTTTGAAGAAAAGAGAAAGAGACTTTAATGCACTGGCTCTCCAATGTGGGCTGAAAGCTTGAGAGACTCCCAAGAATGGAGATCAGGGACTGAGCTACAATATCATTTGTGGGAGAGGAAGGTGTGGATACAAAGATGGGAAGGGTGAGTGTCATGTGATAAAAAGGAGTCCAGGATGTCTTCAAGAAAATATGTGAGTCATCTGACCCGGTCAAATCAGTGACCAGCCAGCCCGTAACTCCACCTGTGCCAGGGGCTTCAAGGAATGTGTGGCACAACAATGTATGACTGATACCCTAAAGGACCAGAACTTTACTTTTTAAATTATCACATAGTTGTAATTTACAAAGGTATTTAATAGTAAACAGAATATGTGCATCTGTTTAGAATAGTAACTGCCACTCTACTTACTGGATGTTGTATATAAATAAATAACTTGTTGATGTTTATCCTAACAACATCTCTTGCTGTCCCACAGAGTCATCTAATTTGACTGTAGCCAGAGCTAACCTTCCTATCTGGGAGGAGCAGTTTTGCTGGAAAGTTTAGATGGAAAGAAAAAAAAAAAGGAAGACAACTAACGTTAGCAGAGGCCTAGCCAAGAACAACTTAAAATTCTTCTTTAAACTTCCACATTGAGTCATATTATTTGGAAAACCCATTAAAAGAAACATAATTGAAGGAATGGAATTAAGTAAATTAGTGAATGGCTGTCCCTCTTCGTACCTCCCCTATTCAGGTACAAGCATTGGCTATGAGAAATAGAAGAGAAAGCATACGTTACAAGCACATCCTCAAATAACCAGGCTTGTGAAAAAATAAGTCCTTAGAAGGAAAACTGGAGAGCCACAGATGTAAGTGATCAGAACAGTGTGTTTTACATACCTTAACATATGACCTCAAGTGGCTCTCCAATCCTTCCTCATGGCACTGGGCAACCACATGAATAATGACCCTACACACCACAGGAGTGAATAAAGCAAAGAATATGTAAAAATGGAAACATTTCATTATTATCACAGCAGTAGTAGAACAATGATGATGCTATCAGCACTTAGGAAACAAGGAGACAAGGAATTAGATGGGGTCCTTACACATGGGATCAAAGACATTTCTTAAATGTAATGTTCAGCACACAGTAGCATCCCAGCTATGCATGACTATGCTCCAGATGTGGACAGACTAGAAGTGAGGAAGAGCATCCATCCACCTCCCTTACCGAGTCACGTTAACCGCGACTTCTTCCTGTGTGGCTCTGGTGAGGACTCGGAACAGCTGGTTTAGGATAGTGGGCAAGAAGGCGATCATCACGTGGCCTTCCATCGCATGCAGACTCTACGGACACAGAATGGCACAGTTCATGTTATCCTTCTAAAAGTAAACCAGCCTAAAGTAACTTCCACTCTTCCAAACAAGGATGGAAGAACTCCCTCTAAAACAAAGGGAAGGCTGTGGTGGGCAGAATGTCCCCAGAGGCGTCTGTGTCTTAGTCCTCAGCACATGTGAATACATCACATGGCCCAGGGGAGGTAAGGCTGCTAGTCAGGCCTTATGATAGGGATTATCCAGGTGTGCCCATGGAATCGCAAAGGGCCATAAACCAGAAGAGGGAGACAGAAGGGGAGAGGAGTCAGAGGGAGCTGGGACAGAGGAAGCAGGGTCAGAGAGATGCTGTGTGGCTGTCTTTGAGATGGAGGGAGGGGCCGCAAGCAATCACATATAAAAACTTCATTGTTTATGTGGATATGTATTCCATTTTCCTTGTTAAACCAAACAAATTTCTATTCCATTTCTCACATTTCTTGTTTTGTCCCCATGCCCTTTTAGCTATTTCCCCTTTCCAAAATGCTCCCCACAGCCACGTTCTGGATGAAGCTCTCCTAGACAAACCCTGCCTGGCTCTTGCTGCTTAGACACGCCAGGAACCCCTTGCACAAAGCTGGGACTGGTTCTGTGCATTATTTCTTTATTTGATTTGTCTGCCTAGCATGCAGTCACCAAGTTTATAGTATCTCCTACAATGAACTAGAAGTTCCCTAAGGGTGAGGACCGAAGTCTCTGCTTCTGTGCCCATCACTGTGCTCGGTACCCAGGGAGGTCCGTCTCAAGTGAGGGGTTTTCCATGCGTGAGAAACAGTATGTTTTAGAGATCCTGCCTTGAGCAAAGGATACATGGGACTAGGACACAGGCAGGAGTAGTGCCGTTCCTAGGTCCACTTCTTACCACTATCTAAACCTCATAGAAGCTACTGATGTGAGACATCCAGGTAAGAGCTTCCAAGGGGTGAGAACACCACTCACCACCAAAGAGAAAACCCAACCTACTCCAAACTCACTTAAAAGGGGATACTAAGAAAGCCATGTGATACCTTAAGGTACTTTACAAGTTCGTTTCCTAAGGCTTGGGCTCCAGATTCGGTTTTCTGACAGTACTGGAAAAAATTATGTAAATGCTGATCCTGAGGTAGGGAAAAAGGAAAAGAAGAAGAAAGTCTATTAGAATACACGCTGTGGAAATAGAAGCATTTGTTTCTTGCAGCATGCTTTTTTGCTGTATGTTGTTGTTGTTGTTGTTGTTGTTGCTGTTTTTTTTGAGACAGAGTCTTGCTCTGTCGCCCTGGCTGGGGTGCAGTGACATGACCATGGCTCACTGCGGCCTTGACCTCCCAGCCTCTTGCAATCCCCCTACCCTAGCCTCCTAGGTAGCTGGGACTACAGGCACACATCACCATGCCTGGATAATTTTTGTATTTTTGTAGAGACAAGGTTTTGCCATGTTGGCCAGGCTGGTCTCAAACCCCTGGGCTAAAGTGATCTGCCCACCTTGGCCTCCAAAATGCTAGGATTACAGGTGTGAGCCACCACACCCAGCCTCATCTTATTAAGACTAAAAATTGATCGTGTACAAATAACATCAAGAAGATCCTCCAATGAAAGGGGAAATCTGTTGCAAAATGATGCTTGTACTAGTCATTTATATGAATACATATAAGCACTTCAGTTGTACTTTCTTTCTTTAGAAAAAGATCTATAGAGTAAAAATATAGTAATATAACACATTAGGATTTTTTTCTTCTTGCAAAATGGTGCAAACTTTGTCACAGGGCAGCAACTGCTAATTTTGTTGAAGGAGCACATACCTGAGTATACACTGTAGAAACCAGATGAGTGGAAATTTTCAGCAGTGGCTTGCCTCCATCTACCCATTTAATTTCCGGACCATAATGCTAAAAAAAATATGGAAGAAACAATATCCCTACAGATTAGTTATTTTGGCTCTAACATGATCATCAATGAGGGTAATGATGAGGGACTGAAAGAGGGCCCAGAGAACTTTAGTGACTTGGCGACTGTGCCGGGCCCATGGCAGGAATGCAGCTGATACACATTTCTGCCCCCTTTCTTCCCCCAAAGTACAGTGCTTTTATTACTGGATTTTCTAAGTTATCTTTTCTGTTTCTTTGCAGCTGTGTGAGTTATTGTTCATTTGAGAGGGAAAGAATCCTATTACACCAGCATCTGAACCCAACTTGAGCTCAGGATTCTGAAGAAGCCAGTAAAAGGTGCCAGATAAAGCAAACAGCATAATATGCAGGCCTGGCACAGGCAAAGGGTCAATCGTCTGCTCACACTAATTTCAACTTTTGAAACCTCCATTTCTCTGTCATGCTCAATTATACAATTTATTCTTCTTTGGGAAAATTTAACTATTTGTCTATAATATGAACTTAAATTTGGCATCATTTAAATGCAGACAAACATAAAAAGAACAGGCTTTATTTAAGCATGTTATAAAGCCGCAGTCTATAAAATTTAAGATGGCTAAAAAGAATGCAAAACCAACAAAGCAATTAAAGAAATCTGGGGAAAATTAGGCTTTCAAGAATCAGAAAGGTTTCAGAATGTGCAACCCTGTGGGTGAGAGATTTGGCGTACTTGACTTACTTTAAGCTGGAGGAAAATTCCTAATAGTTTGCATGACCCTAAGAACTCATCTTTATTTGAGCATGGCCAGTCGGCAGAGACAGACCTTATCCCAGATTTCCAAGTCTCTATTTTTCCGCTGAGACACCACTAGTTCAGGGCTTACAAAATGCCCAAACTGTAATTCTGACATTGAGGTAACTGCTAACAGCACTGTCTTCAATTGGCCAAAGTTTACTTGAAAATGAATAACTAATATCAAAATGGTGGAAGAGCAAAAATACTGTTTGCTTTTTGTGTGTTATTGTTGTTTTAGTTGTTCTTTAATGTTTTCTGAAGAAATTGGGATGACCCAATCTTAAAATGGGACATACCCTGCCCATCCCAAGCTCCTGGTAGCCAAGATAGCCCGAAGGAAGGTTCGCCGAGACCGGGATGTGCTGCTCGCTTGTCACCACCCTTCCGTCTTTCAGGAGGGGAAGCCAGGAGTAGCCAACTGTTGAAAACAAAGAACAACAACAACAACAGAACACTGTGAGTGTATGAAAACTTATGAAAGCAAGCCAATGTAAAACCGTCTGATTTTTAAGAACTTTTCCTATCAATTAGAGTAAGAAATTTAAAATGCCCTAAATGTAATCTCTGCAGAACATTGTCTACAATGTACTTAGGCCTTTTCGGGGTTAGAATTCTACAATCTTCTTTTATAAAAATGTACATATGCAGGCTGGGCATGGTGGCTCACACCTGTAATCCCAGCATTTTGGGAGGCAGAGGTGGGCAGACTGCTTGAGCTCACGAGTTCGAGACCAGCCTGGGCAACATGGCGAAATCCCGTCTCTACAAAAAAATACAAAAATTAGCCAGTGGGTGTGGTGCGTGCCTGTAGTCCCAGCTATTCAGGAGGCTGAGGTGGAAGGACAGCTTGAGCTCAAAAATTAAAAAAAAAAAAAAAAATTACATATGCAACCCAGACATGCTACATATCCGTTACCTATAAAATTCATTTAAAGATCCCTTTGCAAAAAGATGGAAATTCAGAATCTTAATACAATTTAAGAACCTAATGTTTCAATTATTTAAAATCAAAGGAATGGTAAGCCCCCCCAACCTTGGGTTTCAACGACATCCCTCTTCTTCGTGCTTCCTTTACTTGAGTTGTCACAGCTGACATGGAAGAATGTGAGCAACAGGTGGTGCTTTTCATGCAGCTGAGTGGGCAACTCTATTTTAATCTGCAAGGGAAGACAAAATAACAACAAAATATTCTAAAAACACAGAAACTCTCAGTGGAAGCAGAGACAGTATGTGTTACCCAACGCATAAACGTGCACTTGTTCTCCGAGCGGATATTAACATTTGCACTCAAAGATACTGAGACTATAAATTGTGCCAAGCAAGAAATGAATCCTGAATTCACCACTCAGAAACAGGAAGAGAGTTGATGGTATTTCTAGGAAGAACTGGAAAACACAGGACAGTAACTGCTACGCTAAGTTACCACAGCCAAGGCATTATGAAGAACCAGGATAGAACATTCCCAAGTAGCATGCATACAGTGGTTTCAATGAATTACATTATATTTTATGTAAGCAAACCCAATGATAAGAAAGAAAGATTCTCAGGTCCAACAAATGTAACTAAAGTATGAATTTGATAGGAAATATACCAGAATATTAATTGTGGTAGTGATAGTGGGATTATGACTTTTTCTTTTCTGTATTATCTGCATTATCCAAATTTCTATTTCTTTTAATAATGAAAATGTTACATTTACAATCAGAATATATAAAAGAAATACTTCAACATGCAGTTCTAGCTCTGTAATTTCAGTGTAATATGCAGCTTCTCTTGAATTTTCCTTTACCAGGCAAATACATTAAAGTTTCCCTTAAAACTGGTCAAATTCGGTTTTCCCTTAAAAACATCACTTACCTCATCATAAAATTCTGGGTTTTGGTGATGGTGTAAAACTGCAGCAAAGGCGCTTCTTGTGAAAACTGGCCCACCAGGTCTGCCATAAATGCACTAAAATAAGAGTTACCAAAGGGAAACATCACGGTTCGATTAAGTAAGAAATTAAACTTGGATATATCGTAAAGGAGGAGGCATTCCTACGGCATAGACTTAGCATCGCCACCTCTGATGGGCCCCAGGCCTGTGAGCCCCGGACTGCTGGGTCCTGCCCACCTTCCAGCTTGCCTTGAAGCCCATCTGCCTGCTCCCCTTCCTGCCCTTCCAGGTCACAGCCCTGGATGATGCCTTGCTCACTGTTCCCTTTCACATTTCCATGCCTTTTCTTATGCAATTCTTCTGTCCAAATAACCTTCGCTTCTGCATGCATCAAGAAAACGCTCAAGCATTCTTCAAGAAATTGTCAACTCCTTCCATGTGTCCCCTCAGCATTTTTCTGTATTAATTTTCAGTTTTGTCCAAAACTTCATTTCATACCATCTGTCCACCAAGATCTTTTTCTCCACGACTGTTTTTCCCACTTGACTGAATTTCTTGAGGACAGATACTATATTTTATATATATATATATATATTTTTTTTTTTTTTTTTTTTTTTTGCATCTTTGTCTCCTTCTCCTCTTAGGAAGTCACTTTAACATAGTCACAGTAAAACAATTTGGGTTATGGAGCTAGACTGCCCGGGTTTGAATCTTGGTTCCACTAATGTTTTACCTTAGGCAAAAAATTCTGCACTACTCCCCTCACCTAAAACATATGGATAATAGGCCGGGTGGGGTGGCTCACGCCTGTAATCCCAGCATTTTGGGAGGCCAAGGTGGGCAGATCACACGGTCAGGAGATCGAGACCATCCTGGCTAACATGGTGAAACCCCGTCTCTACTAAAAATACAAAAAATTAGCGGGGTGTGGTGGCAGGCTCCTGTAGTCCCAGCTACTCGGGAGGCTGAGGCAGGAGAATGGCATGAACCTGGGAGGCAGTGCTTGCAGTGAGCCGAGATCACACCACTGCACTCCAGCCTGGGCGACAGAGCGAGACTCCATCTCAAAAAAAAAAAAAAAAAAAAAAAAAAGGATAATAATAATACTTAACTCAAAAGACTACTGAGAACCAAAAGAGTTAAACACACACTAGAGCAGTGCCTGGAGTACAAACAGCTTTCAATAAAAGTTACCTATAATCTACTGCTATTATTATTACTATACTGTAGTAAACATTTAATAAAATTATCAATTGTTGATCAGTTATTATTATTTCTATGATCAACATTATTCATATCCTAATTCTTAGCACCCACAGTATGAGCACTTGGCTCATAGGTGAACAGTAAGTGTTTGCTGAATTGAGTGTGTATAAGAAACTCTGATCCTTAAAAAGAATAAAAAACAGTCAATTAGGAGCCAGAACCTAAATATTCCATATTCGATAAGATTGAGTATATATGTTTATACATTGTAACATTATATATTTTTGATTTGTGTCAATTAAAATGTGCTAAACTGTTGTAGTTGTACGGTATCATGAAAGTGCATTTTGAAAATGGAAAAATCAGAATTCGTAGGTGAACATATATTAAAAAAAAACAAACCTTAAGGGGCTGAGAGTCTTCCTCATCTGAATCTTTGAATTCAATGCAAATCGCAATATTTCTAGCCTGCAGCAATAAACAAAACAGAATAAGAAAAAACAACAGAAAGTCAGACTATGTAAGTATTTATAAAAGAACATGGGACGCTGAATCTAAAGGGAGGGTTTGACATCAAGAATGAAACCTCCATCTTCACACTCACCTTGGCAAAAGACTTCTGACTGTCGTATTTCAAGTACTTAGGATAAACGTAAAGGTGATTGGTGTAGATGGTGTAAGGCTGAGTGTGTTTTGGTATGCAGGGCACAAATTCCTCCACTTCAAACGTGATGGGAGTTTTACTGCAGGTTTCAAATTGTTTTGTGGGAATGTATGATGAATTAACATAATCTGCAAAGATATTCAAAATAACTCAAACTGAAGTAAAACCCAAACTAATAAAAATTCTGTCTATTATGTAGAACTGACACTTACTAGGGAAGTCTGAGGAAACATTATCAATTGTAATGTCTAGATTGCCTAAAATCACTGGGAGCTTAGCCATCTTCTCAGGTCTGCAAACAAAAGAAGAGAAAAATTAAACATTCGTAAGTTAACTCTAAAACCGACACTCTAGAGCAGCACTTCCAAGAGAAATATAAAGCAAGCCATAAAGACAATTTTAAACATTCTAGTAGCCTCATGAAAAACAGCAAACAGGAACTGGTAACATTAATTTTAATAATATACTTCACTCAACCCAATAGGTCCAAAATATTACCATGTCAGTATTTAATCAGTATAAAAAATGTGTACTCTAAGTCTTTAAAACCAGATATGTATTACTGGTTTTATACTTAAAGCACATCTCAATTCAGACGTCCTGTATTTCACAGGACAGCCACACATGGCTAGTGGCTGCGCACTACACAGTACAGGTCTAGATAAAGAATATCAGCAAAACAGTTACAGCTCAAGTGTTCCTGAATCACTCCAGCCTCACCATAAATATTTGGCTCATTTAGAATCATCACCATTTGGGGGAGCTAAGCTATGAGGATGCAAAGGCAGTAGAATGATACAATGAACTTTGGCGACTTGTGGGAAAGGGTGGGAGTGGGGTGAGGGAAAAAAGACTACACATTGGGTACAGTGTACACTGCTCGGGTGATGGGTGCACCAAAATCACAGAAATCACCACTAAAGAACTTATTCATGTAAGCAAACACCACCTGTTCTCCAAAAACCTATTGAAATAAAAAATAAAATAAAACATACAATCATCACCATCAGGAACTAGAAATCATCTTAGGCTCCAGTGTCCAGCACAATGCTGGGTTCAGAGTCGAAGCTCACTGAAATTGTTGTATTAATATTTGTTCTGACTCAATCCAATATAGGAATCCCCTGTGACACTCCTGACAAGTGCTGCTACTGCCTCACCCTTCCTAGTGACAATGAGACTTCTGATTCAGCGGTTTTGACACTAGTCTGCTCTTGCTCATAGCATAGTGAAATTCACCTCCCTGAAACTTCTACTCACCAAGGGGTCTAGCGATGTTCCTCTATCTTTCAACCACCTATACTACACATTCTGAAGCCCTCTATTCTCAGCACTTTTGCACCTGCCCCAATGTCATTCTCTCCCAGAAGAACCTGCCATTTATATTACAGAGCCTGGAACTGCATACATCTGGCCAGTGTGGGTGCACAGCTGGGTGCACAGCCTCTGTCTGGTTTTCAACAATATACCTGTCTATTAACACAGCCTCAAAGCTATTACTTTTAGGTAGCCATACCATCCTAGTGACTCACAGGAAATTTACAGTCACCTAAAATTCCTACATCTTTTTTCACATGCTTATTTCTTTGTCCTTTATTTATATAATTATATTTTTGGACCTCAGAAGAGAATTTAATTTTTGTCTTGCTGAAATTTCATCGTATTGTGTTTGAGCTATTTCTAGTTTATCAAAGTCCTCCTAGATCCAGATTTTACCACCTACTGCATTAGATATTCCTAATAGCTTTATGTCATAAAAATATTTAATCAGCATGTTATAGTCTCATAAAAGTCATTGATAAAGATACTGCACAGTATATTGCCAAGAACAGGCTCCTTCCCAAGTCTCTGGAGGCCCATTTCCAGACTGACACTAGCTCATTCATCACCCTCCCTAGCATCTGGTTTTTCCAGCAGTTGAACAACTGCCCACTCACGTGTGCAGCGCTTCTTTGACTCATTCACAGGCTACCACAGCACCCACACGTGGTAAATACATTCTGCTGAAGCCTTTGCACTCCTCTACTACACAAGCTTAGCGGCGCAGTTACAAAGAGAGAAGAAATGCAGTTAGGATGACTAGTTCAACACGATATGACTTAGTCTTAGGAAACACAATGCCGCCTCACAGTCCTTCCTACGCCACCTGTTTCAGATCTCCTTTAGAACATTGCCAAAGATCACCAAAGCACAGGGACTGGCAGATTCAGCATTTGGTTTTGTTCCCATTTTTGAAAAGTTCCTACCTACAATTTTGCAGATTCTTTGGACATGACTGCTGACTATTAAGCAGCCTCACGTGTCACTCCTCAGTACATCTTGGAATATTTGTCACCTGAATTAGGACTTCCCTAAAATTTCTAAATTCCTGCATCCTTAAGACTAGAGACGATGTTGAGAAGATCCATCGTGGCCCATCGCCAGCTCTAAGCTGCTAAATCTCTTTCTCTCAGGGTCCCTCCCTCTCATTTCCACTTGTCTTCTGTTTACATCTGAGTTTAAATGAACAGTTCCTGAAAGAGGTAATGGTCAGGAAGGCAAGTCAATGATTTTTCACATGTTCCGCCTTCCGTTGAAAAGATGTCTGGCCAAGAGCTCTCCAGGTACAGCCAAGCACTCCCCTACAGTTTGCCCCTGTGCCTGCGGTGTGAGCTGCTTCACACACACAAGATCCTTTCCTGTTGGTGGGAGGAGGGGCAGCAGCCTCCCCTCAAGGGTCAGTCATTTCCTGAGAGCTTTTGACCCAGCATCTCCCAAGCTCTGGGCACTCCTACGATGATAGCTTGTGGAGCCTCTCTCAGCTTCACATAGAACTCTTCAGGGGCATCAACCTTCAGACAGGGGGTTTTATGAAGGTATCAATTTTCTTGACATACGGTGCCTTGCTCACCTCTTCAGTGGAGGAATTCAACACCACAACATATCACAAGACACTGCACTCCACAAAATTGTAGAGACACCTATGAAGTTGTATCTGCTTTGAGTTAGAAATACTCTGTTTATTACAAATTATACTTTTAAATATAAGTAAGTATGCAAGGGTAATGGATTTCACCCCCTCCTAATTATTTCCACCTATGAATGAACAGGCATCTTCATCACCATTTTTAAGATCACTCCAACATCCTCCACATATAAATTTTTGAGAGAGGTGGAACACAATTAAAATACGTTTCTAAGCAACATATTTTAATTAAATGATCTTCACTGGAAATCTTCCTATAGTGTATTGTGTCCTTCTGTGCCTAACTATAGTTATTTCTTATTCTATTTCCTCCCTCTGCTGAGAGATTTTACTTCTAGTTGCTGCTTCTGTAAAGACGTTCTTTCCATGTGTTTCCAAGCACATTTCTGAGTTTAGTTCCATATTATGTAGCACATGGGCTTTTAAAAGTTGTTTTTTTTTTTGCCAGCTTTAAGTTTTTAAAAACCCAATCTCAAACCCATTTCAAAAGTTTATGGTTTATGTTGAATCTGGTTTATTAGACATCAAACACTCACAGGCAATAAAGATTTTACTGCCTTTTTATGCACTTCCAAAGTGGTGGTTGTGTGCGTGTTACACAAACTGAATTCTTTCATGACTGAGAATAGTTTTGGTTTTTTTGCTTTGTTTTGCTAAAGAGTACCTATATTCTATGCAAAATTTATAAAATAATCCTTGAACATGAAAACTCATCTTAAAATTACACGAATTAAGTAAGCATGCAATACAGACACTTGCAGGATGCCTGGCCTCTGGGAACTGCTCCTGTCTCTGTGTGAATGTAGAAGTGAGGCTCAAACTCTCTCTTAGGAAAATTTTCCCTTCCCACTGCCCATCCATTTCTGCTGACTCAACAATTCCCACAGAGGAAATGGGAATGGTATCATCAACTAGCAGTCCTCCCATGCCAACAGATTTGGGGTCCTTATCTAAGTGTTTCTGCAGCCGGTCTTCCCTTCCTGACTTCCTGTATTGGCTCGTTAAAATGATTAGCTGGCAATACAGGTATGTTTGGACTGCTATTGGTGGTGAGTTTAATCTTCTAACTGTGTTTTGTGAAAGGAAATATTCCCTAAAAGCTTTGGTGTCACTTAAAAAAAAACAACTATATATGATTGAAAGAAATTTGAGATATTTTTGTTTCAACAAAAACCACTGAGTTTATGTCTAAGAAGAAAATTCAATAAGCATTTATCAAGTGCTTAGGATATGCTGCAATGTATGTACTCAGGACCATGGAGGAATGCAAACAAGACATAATTTCTTTCCTCAAGAAGCCAAAAGTCCAGTAGACACTGTAAGCTACTTACGGCATATGAGGGCAATCACTTTCACAGAGTATGTACAAACCTCTACCAGAAGGCAGAGTATCTAGATCTATCGAGAGGGAACACGGGATGAGATCAGTATTCATGGTGGGAGAAATCACCTTAATGCCTTTTGCATTTATTCCCCACCACGGTTTTAGGGGGCAGGGGCTGTTATTATCCACCCTTAAAAAGAGGAGGCGGCTCAGGCAGAGAAGCCAAGTAACCGCCTCCAGGACTCCCAGCACAGAAGTGAGCCACAGACTGGGCTTTGAAAGATGAGTAGAGTTCCCTGAGAAAGACAAAGGAAAAGGGGAAGTGTGTATGCTGCATGTGTTTGTGATTTATGTGCTGCTTGATGAGGCAGGAAGGGGACACAATTTGGGCAGAGAGAAAAGCATGGCAGAGGGAAGTCCCCAGTGGGTTTAGAGAAAGTCAAGCAGCCCTACTTGGCTTGAGTGCAGTGTAACCAGAGCGAAATCGGGGTAAGACTGTAAAACCTGGATGCAAAGAAGATGAGTGTACAAATAAACACAGACACATTAAGCTGCATACGCAAAAACTTTAGTAGTATTATTACCTAAACTATCCAACGTAGTACCATTAAAAAGGTCTACGTTTTAAAGAAAACGTTCTATTTTTATACTTTGCCTTCATGTCTTCGCATTTCCTGCAGAAGTTGGAAAAGATGAGATACCATCTTATCCATGAGATACCACCATGAACAAATCAAATACAAAGTACCAAGTCTCTCTTCTTATAAAATGTTAGCAATATCATCTATCGGACAGAATCGCTTTCTTACTAAATCTTGGAACATATCCCTGGGTAATTATTGCAAGGGAAAAAGGAAAGTGGCTTATGAGCTTTGGCAGCTGTTTTGTTAAGACTGAGACAGCGTGAAGAAATTTTTTTCATGCATTATTAAATAACATTTTGAGACAATCATGGGGGTAGAAACAATAGCTTTGGATCCAAGCCGGTGCCCAGGCCACTGACATGAGATTATTTCCTGTAAAATATACAGAGGAAAGAAAAATAGCAATGCAAAGATTTTTAAAAAATGAAAAAGGAATCCTCCACGTCCCCTAACTCTGTTGTGAAGAATACGGGGAGTGGGCACCAAAGTTTCTTTGAATACTTATTGAGGAGCGTGGCCTCACTTATCCTGCTGTGTCTTCTATGCTGTCACCATCGGATCCCTGTTTTCAGGTTTCTGGGTCTCTAACTGGCCACCTGGAGCACACCCTTCACACCAATGCCCTCCTGCTGAGCACATGCATGAAGAAGTGGTGTGCAGAAGAGAACTCACACTTGGTTTTCCCTGGGCTCCTTTCTGCCTGGCCACAGGCTTTCTGCTCCCATCACTTTCAAATTAGTGACCATGTGAAGCCCCACTCCCCAGCCTCCACTGAAGACAGGACCATGCACTGGGGCTGCCCCTGAGGAGCCGCCACTGTGGGGAAGTCTCAAGCTAACCAGCCTAGGAAGTAACTTCTGAGACAGGGCTCCAACCTCCATCACATATAAAAAACTTCATTGTTTGTTTTGTCTGAATATAAAAGTGTTAGTTTTTTAAAAGTTCATATAAAAATGACAGAATGTTATAAAGTGGAAGGTGAAATATCACCCATCAACCCATCCCTCAGAGATAACCATGATTATTTGGCATATATCCTAAATAGCTATTTTTATGCCTATCTTTCCATCTAGATAGCTACTTGCTTATCCATTTCTTCATTTACATACAAAAGAAATATATATTTTCTTTCAAAAAATATAGTAATACAGATATATTTTTTCTTCCTTAATAATATAGTGTATTCACTTTCCTAAGTACACGCAGACCCACCTCATGGTTATTAAGAGTTGCATGGTAGTTGAGCGAAGGAAAATATTGAAATCTATCCAACTAAAGGTGACTGGTTTTTGAAAAAATTAGTAAGAATGAAATTTTCTTGAAACTCAAAAAATGACAATAATTACTATATGATAATATAGTATGTATGATAATATATTACCCACTACCAATAGAGAAGATTTTTTTAAAGATTCTAACTGTGGCTTATAGGTATAATTCTGAAAAATCAGAAACACATTAAAAGTCAAAAAATGGCTGGGCATGGTGGCTCACACCTGTAATCCCAGCACTTTGGGAAGCTGAGGCGGGCAGATTGCCTGAGGTCAGGAGTTTGAGACCAGCCTGGGCAAGATGGTGAGATATTTAGTATCTCTACTAAAATACAAAAAAAAAAAAAAAAAAAAAAAAAAATTAGCGGGGCGTGGCAGCATGCGCTACTCAGCTACTCAGGAGTCCCAGCTACTCAGGAGGCTGAGGCAGGAGAATTGCTTGAACCTGGGAGGCGGAGGTTGCAGTGAGCTGAGATGGTGCCACTGCACTCCAGCCTGGCGACAGAGCGAGACTCCATCTCGGAAAAAAAAAAAAAAGTCAAAAAATGGGGGAAGAGTTAAATAATCTATGGTCTATCTCAATGGACTATTATAATATTTATGCATTAAAAATGATGTCTATAAAAATGTATATATAACACTTTCAGAAAATACTTGAGTTGTGCAGGGAAATATTACATATTTAGTATGATCATAGCTACATAAGATAAACTAAAATAAAATGTAAAGGAATAAAACGTAAAAAAAAATGTTCCCCCCTAGGCTGGGCACGGTGGCTCATGCCTGTAATCCCAGCACTTTGGGAGGCTGAGGCGGGCAGATCACAAGGTCAGCAGTTTGAGATCAGCCTGGCCAATATGGTGAAACCCCATCTCTACTAAAAATACAAAAATTAGCCAGGCGTAGTGGTGGGCGCCTATAGTCCCAGCTACTTGGGAGGCTGAGGCAGGAGAATCGCTTGAACTCGGGAGGCGGAGGTTGCAGTGAGCTGAAATCGTGCTACTGTACGCCAGCCTGAGGGACAGAGTGAGACTCCATCTCAAAAAAAAAAAAAAAGTTCTCCAAAAGTTCACCACGAAGGTTAAAACTAGTAGTAAACCTTTTTTCATCCTTTTATTCTTCTGTATTTCTCAAAATTTCTAAAATGAACATGTATTATGTTTGTAAACTAAAGAACCTCTATGATTTAAAAGTAAAAATAGGGTACTATTCTTTTATTTAGTCTTTCATGAATAACAGATTCATAGGGATCCAGGGGCACTCCCTGGCCAAGACCTGTGTCCTTACCAGGTCATAAAACTGTCAGATAGTGACTGGGAATTTGGGGCACCTATATGGTCCAGGAACCCTGGAAGGCTAACCCAGCAGGCCTCATCCTTCACCAGTATCCTCCTCTCCCCCTTCTCCAATTCCCTACGTGAGCTGTGAAAGGTTCATTCCAAATCAGCCCAGCGGGCATGCACACTGCTTTGCTGAACAGGCCAACCTTAGCTGCATGTTAGCAAAACTGAGGTTGCACTTCTCATTAAAGCTCCAAACAGGGGAAACATCAAGACAGTCAAAAACTGTATAATCACATAACTGAAAGAGACCTTGAGAATCCTTTCTACCTTTTTGAGCCTCTTGACAAGGGATTTCACGTCGCTGTGAAGGCTGAAGCCGCCTGCTGACATGGACGTGATTGGATTCTGATTAGGAACACGTCTCTGTGTTTTCAGAACTTATTGAGCCTGTTTCTATGACTCATATCGTTTCTATTCCTACTACTGAAGACAGATAAGAAAAAGGTAAAATAAGGTTAAAGAAAGCTAAGCAATCATTCTTGAGTTCTAGACAAACTGATAAGATTGCTATTTTGATATGCACAAAAAAAAAAAAAAACAAGGATACCTTTGGCATAGAATAGTTAGCATTTGGCTCTCAGCTATTCTTTTCACTTCACATCTTCTAGCGCCCTCAGCTCTTTCACATTCCCAGAATTTCCCCAGAAAAATTCTAAGACCCATCTCCCTAGCAAAGAAAATCAGTTTCAAAGGTTCAGAGTGAACTCTTTAGGATGTAGCAGCAAAACAGCATAGAGGTTAAGAACACAGACCCTCGGGTGAGACTGACTTGGGGAAGCTGCCGGCCCTGTGATGTTGCACACATTCCTTGCTCCCTCTTTGCCTCATTGTTATGGGTTGAATTGTGTCCTCCAAAAGCATGGTGAAGTCCCAACCCTTTGTACCTATAAATGTGACCTATTTGGAAACAGGGTCTCTGCAGATGCAATCAGTTAAGATGAGGTCACTAGGCTTGGCCCTGATGCTTTATCACTAGTGTTCTAAGAAGGGAATTTAGACAGAGACACACAGGAAGAGGACCATGTGAGGCCAGAGGCAGAGTGGAGCAATGCTGCCACAAGCTAAGCAACAACTGGTGCCAGAAACTTCCAAGTTAGAAACCTTGCAAGTTATTTATCTTAGACTATTACCACCCCAAGCCAAGACCCAGTCATCGTATCTCTTTGGCACGACTTGAATTTGTCCCCTTCTTCCTGTTTGCACTTGCAGTGGCTTTGCTGAGTCCTTTCTCACCTCTTGACAAGGTTCCTCAACTGTTTCCTCCCCACCATAGGCTCATCCTTACCCAGTCCACCCTTCACAGCACCACCCAAAACATCCTCTACAGAATTCAAATTAACTGGTTATTCTTCTGATTTTCACCCCATCTTTCTTCTCAAGGGTTTGAGGAAATGCTTCACGCTCATTTGCCATCCCCTCTGATGTCTAAATCGAGCAACCTAAGTGACTGCTCCCCTGTTCCTCCCTCCCCACTACACAGCTTCTATTTTTCAGGTGTGGAAATAAGACCTTGAAACTCACTTCCGAAAGTCTGCAAGTAACTTGAGCATGTCATCATTGGATAGCTTATTGCTGTCTTGCCTGTAGATGGCAGAAAATCTGGCATTTTTGTCAAGATTTCCAGATGCATCCTTAAACAATGTCCTGAAATGGCAAAGCAACATTTCTAAACTGGGTTTCCAAAACACCAAAATCAATTCATTATTTAAGTCTAGTTTCTATGAGAAGTCTAATTATTATTCCATTGGCTATAGCCAACAGAAATCTCATTATCTAAAAACATGGAAAACATCTATGGGGATGAGGACAACTAAATCAATTTACATAGAAAACAGTTCCAGCCAATGGCTTGTGCTTAGGAAACAATATACACAAGTCAAATGCTTAACAAGTAGAGTCAAGAGATAAAGATCACCCCAGGCCTCACTGGATTGCCCTGACTTCCAGCTGGAGGCATGTGGTTGGGTCCTTGAATCCCAGCTCTGCAGCTAACACTACCGTGCACCCTGCCAGTTCCAGGTAGCACTTCTCCAGACAGTGTCTATCCTCTCTGTGACTCTACCAAATGATTTTTTCAAAATCTGGGCTTATGTATTTCTCAGTTTTACACATTCAAATCCTCTTTGTCTCTGAACAACAAACAGAATAGGCCTATTGACCCATCCATGCACCTATCTATATCGATTTAAAAGGTATAAAAGGTGTTCCTTACCTTGCTGCCCAAGCAAATGGCATTCTATACTGTCCTAGTCTTTGGCATGCCTGCTTGGCATTCTTCAGCACCTTCTGGGCCACCTTGAAGACATGAGAATAAAGCTATGAGATACTGCATCTCACTGAAAGAACTGTGACCTCAAGAGCCATCCTTACATGCTCACTAAATAAGTCCTTACCATAGCATTGGATGCATAGAAAAGCACATCATACAGTAATGAATATGGCTGGATTCACACTCTGTGCAGAGTACTTTATTTAACGCATTCTCTAGCAGTGATTCTCAAAGAATACAGAACGAAGACTTTCCAAAATCCATGTCTCTTCTTTGGTCTTTACGGGCAACAAACATGCTGTTTCAGAGGTTTTCATACATCTTTATGACTAAGTGCTACTTATTATAAGTCTACTGAGTTATTAATAATTACTATTTGGTATCCATATCAAAATATATCACATTATTAGGATTGAAATGAGAACACTAATTAAAATACTAAGCTTTCACAGCTCCTAAAGCGCACTAGCTTATGCTGATTCCCACAATATAAGGGATAAGATATTAAGATACTGACTTCAGTTAGGCTGGGGTTCTCAATGCTATATTCTTGCTTTCTAAACATGAATTACTGCTATTTCTACTTCCTAATGATCAATTTTGGTTTGTTGTTGATTGATTGATTAATTCACAGTGTACAATGAAGCTTATTTGCTTTTAGCCTAAGGCAGACCTATTATTAATCATCTATACCCCTATTGCTAAAAAAGATAATGCTTAATTTTTCCAAATTTGTCTGTACTGTGATAGTGCTTTGTCATCAATGCAAAGTTTGATTGTCTCAGAGTTACAGTGAAGGGTCTTTTACATTACTTAATTTTTTTTTTTTTTTTTTTACTGAAGGGTCTTTTACATAAGTATATCAAAGTCAAACCAATTTTGGGAAATGTACTCCAAAACCAAAGTGTGCTATAGCATCAGCATCACTGTAGAAATGCAGAGTCTCAGGCCTTGCCCCAAACTTCCTGGATCAGAACGTGCGTTCTGACAAGACCTCCGGTGATCTGTGTGTACCATCAGCCACAGGAAGGATCTAGAAGGATCCAGAAGGATCTAGATGACAGAGCTGTCTGTCTCTAAGTCACACTGAATCCAGCTGTATGACTCTGTAGGCCATCAAACCTCTCTGAGCTCCACTATCCACACCTGAAAATGGGGGCTAGGCTATACTTTTCATGATCCCTTTCAGTTGCAAAACTTTATAATCCTACCATAATCATGCTGTAGGAACTGCTGCCTTCATGAGTAACCTGGAAAATACATCCTAATTGGAAGAGATGTCAGGGAATCATCTAGGACCTCCCCCCTTCTCCAATGAGGTATGTTCTTGCCTCCCTGGGTGGGGCGACTTAGTGGGGTCTTAGGTGTATGAGTTATAGGGTACAATGGCCTACCTAGCTGCAGGGTCAATTTACTTAAACATTTTCAGGTTCAAGATTTTTTGGTTCTAACAATGATGAATATGTTGTGGAGTAAAATGCAGTAATTTCATAAAATTTAAAGCTAAAACATAAAACATCAATAAGCCTTTTCTGCAGTGAATGAGGACTTAGCTCTCGGACATATGAAGGGAGCAAATAGAACACAGTATGTGTGAAAGTCAGAGTAAGAAACTTATTTTTTCCCTTTGGGCTTTTTTCCCCTTCTTTTTCTTTTTAAAACCTCTATTCACAGGAGATACCTACAGAGACTTTTCATAAAAATTTCCTCCAAAATGAAAATTTACTCTAAATGATGTTCTAGACCATCTTGGAAAACATGAAGAAACAACTTTGACAGACAGAAAAAAATCATCTCACTGTAACATCTCTGCCAAAACTGTGCTAAAGTAAGATAGTTGAGCCTTAATTCCTGCTTTAATTGAATGCTTTGGAGGTGGCAGAAAAGTAAATGCATGAATAATGTACACATGGATGAGCTTTACATTCCATAAAAAAATGAAGAAAAAGCAGACTTCAGCAGATGCTCAGTGGACATGGAGGAGTGTGCAGAGGTAAGTTTAGCCTACAGTGATATGTGATTTTTACACCAATATGAGCTGCCAAATTTCAAACCATGCATGCGGCAGGCAGAAGTAACAAAGTTGCTGTGGATGGGCCTTGGAAATGTGTTGCATACACGGTCGGGGGAGGAGATCTTATATTGGGCCTTCATTGATTATTGATCAAAACATAAAAGAGCTAAAAGAGCTTCTCATCCAAGGTTTTACAGACTTGGTTTAAAAAAATAAAACAGCTTCTCTCCAGAGACCAAACTTTACACAGCTTTCATCAGCCAAAAAGGCTTACTGTTGGAACCAATGTGCCTGGGTAAATGGGCTTTTACTTGACTGGGGCTGTAATAAATGACGATGTCTTCTGGGCTTTCTGTGATTTATGGTGCCCACAGCACTGACTCATACATGATCTGTTTGATCCTAACACTGTCCCTATGAGGAAGGCAGAGGCAAGAAGTAACATCATCCTTCATGCACAGAAGGAACATATGGAGGCCATGAGAGGTGATGTGATTTGTCCAAAGGACCCAGATGAGTTAAGCATGCAGCACCCAGGTCTTCTGACTCCAAAATCCATTTCTCAATGGCCATCGTGCATCCTGTGGACACAGCTGTGATGCATGGGCGCCCATAGAGGTGAAGATAGGAAGCTCTGAATCCAACTTAGTAAACTTCACTCACAGCCTCTGGGGTATCCACTCCTACTGCTGACCAGTCCTTGTCAGTGAATTCAGGCCTCTCAGATGACCACACAATTTTTTTTTTAAATAACTAAAAATATGTAAAACTGGCAAGGATAATAGCACTTAACAGATTACACTAACCAGGTAGCACAAGGTGCTACGAAGTGGCAGTCAAGTGCCCCCTGGCAGCTCCAGCCATGAGACACTGAGCAGATCACTAAGCCTTGGTGAGCCTCAGTGTCCTGAAATATGAAAGCACATCTTGGACTAGATGACCTCTAATATTTAATAATTCTATGGTATGTCCATGCCTAGGCACTTCCCAAGTAATGAACACTACTTTGAAAAAAACCAAACATACATCATGTATGTTTTCTTTCCATCTTCCACCTAAAACTCTGCCCCTTCTAGCAAAAACCAAGTGGACCTGAATCACTGACACTGCTGGCCAGGTCATCTGAGCCAAGGGCATCTCCTGGTCTCCAGCCTCATATATAAGTGTAAGTGGACCAAAATAGAATTTCAGAACCCAAGAGGCAAATTAACAGATAGAAGAAACTCTATTTGAATATCATACATGTACCTTCTAACACAGAAAGTTTACTATTAAGCTGGTAATTCCTTTGCAAATTATTTTAGGATGTCAGAACTGTCTAGTCAAGTGGATCATTTTATTTACACATAGGACTACATTTCCTTCAAAATCAAGACATAAAGTTCAGAGTAAATACAGGTAGCATATTCTACATCTTTTAGAGTATAAATATGGCTTATGTTTGATTTCATTAAGGATTTATAGTATCACATAAAGGCCTCTTTTCAGATTGCTTTTTACCACCCCAAAGCGTAAAAGCCATTCATACCTTAGAAGAGTCTGAACTTTTCATATATGGCTCAGCGCAATGTGTGATGCTCCCCTGAAGGACTTTTTCAATTCTGGCCACAAGAAATATATCTGGATGAGGACAAGTGACTGAAAATATTCCCTAGGAGGCAAACAATTTTCTTCAGTAAGCAGAATTCACAGCTACGTTAAACAAATCCCATGAACATTAAACAGCAAAGAACAGTGAAACAGGACAACTAGTAAAAAGCACCCAGTGCCAAACTAGTTAGCTGACAAACAGTTCATCATCTGCTCAAAAAGTCTATTTGGTGAGGGAGGTAACTAGGAGAACTTTTAGAAAGAAGAAAGGAAATTAAAAGCCACTTATTTCTCAGCTTGCTTTTACTGTCTAATAATAAATACTATTAATTAAGAGTCTAATGACCCCACTTGTGCATTACAAGGTCTAATTTGAGCATTTTTGGTGCATTTAGGTAGCATGCAAAGTGAGTCTGAGTAGTGGGAATGCTGGGCTCATACTCCCCACCTGCTTCGGATACTGCATGGCGGCTTCATGAAGGATGCCCTTGAGGACAGATGGGCTCTGCCCACTGCCATTCATCAGCGCCGGGGACGTGGTGGCGAGCATTTGCCTCACTGAGAAATGGTTCAGGTCTACGTGGAAATCGGCAGAAATCTTCCGGTTGTATTTTATGTCAAACAGGGATAGAGTAACAAAGAAAGGTTCAACCTGAACAAAACAAAACAATCCAATGATCACCATGGCTCAAACAGGGACAAAAGAATGTTGCTATCAAAAGAGAAATGACAAGACCTATTTAGGACTGTTGCCATAAATTACTACTAAACAGTCTCATCCTTCTGCATACAGAGAATTAGCTTATAAAACATTTTAGGAAACAAACAAAACAATTATTTTACCTTTATGTGTTTTGCTACGTAATGTATGTTCCATAGAAAACACAGTTGCGTTCCCTGAAGCATCTAAGATGAACTCTGTCTCCTGGAAAGCTGAGCACAAACCTGCCACCCTCATCTTCCATCACGAACATCCTGTCCTTGCAGGCTAACAACCTCCATATCCTGATCCAAACACTGCACCTCTTTGATACCAGGGACTAGGATTTCTTATCCAGGCTGCACTGTAAAGGTACATCTGAAACCTCTGCCTATTTTTTTTTTAATGTTTATTTTTAAAATGAAAAATTACATTTGTAGTGGGTCCTTCTTCATTTTCGGCAACACAGCATTGCAAATTGAAAGATAAATCATTGCACTTGACAAGGATCCTTTTTCCAAACTTCTCTTCAAATGACTTCACTTCTGGCTCAGCTGATGAGAAGTCAAGCTTCTTTAAAAGAAAATGTAAACATATAAATAAGTTATGCTCTTATTTTAAAAAAACATCATAAATGCATCCAAAGGAAACGGAATAAAATATGGAAAAGCTATATACACTTATTTACTCACAATAGTGTTGCTATTATATAATCGGTTTCTATGGTTTATAGTAGTTACACACATAGTTTATAACAATGGTCAAAGACATGGGCCGGGCACGGTGGCTCACGCCTGTAATTCCAGCACTTTGGGAGGCCGAGGCTGGCGGCTCACCAGGTCAGGAGATCGAGACCATCCTGGCTAACCCAGTGAGACCCCGTCTCTACAAAAAATACAAAAAAATTAGCCAGGTGTGGTAGTGGGCACCTGTGGTCCCAGCTACTCGGGAGGCTGAGGCTGAGGCAGGAGAATGGTGTGAACCCAGGAGGCGGAGCTTGCAGTGAGCCGAGATTGCACCACTGCACTCCAGCCTGGGCGACAGAGCAAGACTCTGCCTCAAAAAAAAAAAAAAAAAAAAGACAAAAAAAAAAAGACATGATGGTATACCTACTCAATGGATGAACTGAAAAAATACAGAGCTTGAAAATTATGATCATGAACAACAAAACCAATGTCCATCAAGTATCCAACCAAGTGTCCATCAACAGATTTACAAGGATATATAAAATGTAGTATATACATACAATGGAATATTCAGCCACAGAAAGGAAGGAAATTCTGACACATGCTACAACATGGATTGACCTTGAAAACATGTTAAGTTTAAGAAGCCAGAAACAAAGGACAAATACTGTATGATTCCACATTTATGAGGTTCCTAAAATAGGCAGGTTCACAGAGTAGAACAGAGGTTACTAGGGGATGGGGGAAGAAGGAAAGGAAGGTTATCATTTGATACAAAGTTTCCGTGTGGGAAAATGAAGAAGTTCTGGAAATGGATGGTGGTAATGGTTGTACAACAATGAGAATGTATTTAATGCCACTGAACCGTACACTTAAAAATGGTTAAAATGGTAAATTTTATATTATGTATATTTTACAATGATAAACAAAAACTTCTTAAAAGCAAATAAAAAATATAGACATATAAACACACATACGTATGGTTATGAGGTTTGTGAGGAAACAGAAAAGTACTTATCGTTAGAGTTAAATGGAAAAGGTTTGTATTTGAGCCTGAGCCTGGGCTAGTCGGGAATTATCACTGACTCCCAGGCAACTGCAGTGATACCTGTTGTTTTCTGATGGTTATTTTAACAGGTAAATTAGATGTTCTTTGTGAACTTGAGAATGTCTTTCAATAAATCTCTCCCAATTTTCAAACATCTATTGAATATCAAATATTCACAATAGTAATGCTATGGTGATAAGATTATACATTTTTATTTTTCCTCTTTTCCCCAAATTTTCTATAGTTATTTTGCTTGTTTTTCCAAAATAAACAAAGCAAACAAATAAACAAATAAGCCCATCGATGATTTTCTCTCCCACATTTGGTTTTAAATATTAAACATTTAGATAGTTCTTACCTGGGCATCTGGGTCCAAATAAAAAAGTTTGACTCTGCTTTCACTTTTCAGTTTGATTTCTGCTTCTCTTGCACTCTGATAACAAGATACATGAAAATTACATTTAACACAATCCTTTTCTTGCAAAGGTGCCCAAATACATTTAAAAGCTGCCCAGTCCTGAAGGTTGAGGCTGCTGGAAAGCTCTGCCTCGTGTTGGAGAGCCGCTGTGTGTGCCAGGGAGTGTGCAGCACACAAAGAAAGCACTAGGAGGAAAAAGAAGTGAAGGTGAGATCCCTGCCCTTCTGAAGCTCACAACCAGTGGCAGAGTCAAAGTCAACACAAAGAAAGCAAAAGAGAATAATTAAGCATCTGTGTGTCAAGAAAGGCTTCATAAAGTAATGGAATATGGGACAGGCTTGGAATGAAGGGGCAGAATCGAGCTGAACATCCCTGGCTGAATGAAAAGGATGCACAGACAGACACTGAGGATGGAAATGAGCCCAGATGATAGACAGGATTTAATAGAGTCCAGTCTGTGACTGGGTGCAAGAAGGGGAAGAGGAAGGAATATATTTTGAATGATGAGATAGAGAAAATGATGGCTGATCTTGAAGGACAAGATGCTAATTAATTCAATAAATATTCATTAAGCACCTCTTATGAGCCAGGCCCTCAAGTTATGTGAAATGTGAATGAAGGAAGTCCCTAGTCCCAAGGAACACCAGGTGGGGAGAGAGCATATCAACAGGTAATAAGGAAGACAAGAGAAAGTTTAAAGTACAGTGGGAGCTGACTTGGACTAGGGGGTGGTCGTCAGAAACCACCTCCCAAGGGAAGGCCCATTTGGAAGGACAAGAACACTTGGCCAGGAAAGGAGAAAAGCGCATTCTAGGAGAAGGCACAGCAGGTGCAAAGGGACAAGTCACACCTGAGCAATGACCAAGTCACTCATCATAACTGAAAGGCAGGGCATGATTAAAAAAAAAAAGTGAAAAGAAATGAGTCTGGGATTTGAATGCCAAGGATTGGGGATTTCCCACCCCTTGTTTAGCATATCATCAAGAAAAAAACATAAAAATGGGCAACCAGCAGCCCACAGGGCTGCTTTGCCAATGGCATAGCCATTCTTTATTTCTTTACTTTCTTAATAAACTTGCTTTCACTTAAAAAAAAAAAAAAAGGATTGGGGATTTCATTCAGAATCTAAAATATCCTGCAACCTTTTAGGTAAGAGAATAAAATGAGTTCCACATTTCAGAAGCATCACTCGGGCAGGGCTGAGGCAATGGGTTAAAAAGGATAAGACCCAGAGGCCCACAATGTCTTTCTTGGGTTATCACACCAGCCTCCCAGTCTCACAGCAGGGCCGATTAACAAATCCCACATTTCTAGCTTGGGCAGCCTGCTGAATGGTGAATCCATGAACACGACAGAAAACTCAGGAAAAACAAATCTGCCAAAAAGATGATAATATTTTTATCATCTTTGTGTAGAGACGCCTGGGTAGAGATGCCTGTGGAATTTCCAACTGGAAACATCCAATAGACAGCTAAAGGGATGAAACTTAAGCGCAAGGCTGAGAGGAAGGCTGGAGTTCCAGCCTTGGGAGTGGATGAGATGTCCTGAGGGAGAGGGTGAAAGTGAGTCTGAAGACAAAATCCTGGGGGCCCAACATTGAAGAGGTGGACAGAAGAGAGGCCACGGAAGAAAACCGACAGATGGTGGCAGAGATGAGGGCTGGAGATGAAGGATTTGGGAACAGAAAGAGAGAGAGGCTTTTCAGACATTCACAAGATAGAAGTCATCTCCATCTTTATGATTTTTCATGCCTGGTGCCTCTAAGTCTATATTCTGTTCTTCTTGTCAGTCTGAGCTCTCCACTACTCTCAGTCTCCACAGTTAAGTCTATGGAGTCGGAATAGAATGTACTCTCTCATCTGCTACTTTCCCCAAAGACATGAGTCACATCTCAGCACTTGATGGGGCACTCACAACCACAGCAGAAAAGGCGTCTTGTCTCTTCTGTTGGTGACAGAACAAAGTCTCTTATTACATTTCTAATCATGGATAACGAGAAAATAAGCATCTTAATCTTCTTAGCCATACGATTGTTGTATATAATAGGTCTTTAGCAATGATCCAAACTACCATGATCAGCTGTCTATGTTTATATAAAATGGGCACCAGAATACTAAGAAACTGGGTTCTGGTTCTAGTTCAATTAAGTAGCTGTGCAAGCTACTTAGCCTCTCTGGATTCCATTTTCACTTCCAGGTAAAAATGTTAAACAAGATGATGGCTCAAGTCTGTTGCCACACCAAGTTTATCTTGATGCTATCGATGGGAGCCTGAAGGCTATGGAGGTGAAGGGGCGTTCCTGCAATCTTCTGTTTATGCTTCCAGGGCAAAACATGTGTCTGTGGTGGAGGCAGGCGCTCTCCATATGGGAGATGGGACCACTTCATTTTATTCTATCCTGCCTATCACCTTTCCTAATTTTTCACACCAAAAGAGTGAGAACACGTGCAAGTGGAATCTATTTAACTGAACCCAAAGAACTTGCTTTACATTGTATACTGCCTGTGGTGTTTCCTAACAAAACCATCAGTACTAGGTGCTGCAAGCCACCACCAACAGTTATCTATTCTACTTCTGAATCGTCCGCTTGAGCCCTTCAACAAAGGCAAATACTGTGTTATGTTCTCAGACGCTAGAGCAGAGGAGTGGGTTCTTAATGTAGATGCAATTCCTAGTGGCTTTCTGAAAGATGCTTGTTGTCTTGAGCTGACTATGCTAGGAGATAAGAAATGAATAAAGCAAGAATAACTGCTAATGAGCTCGGTATAATTAAAGAACAAATAGGAATGCAGACACAATAAAAGAAAAACAATTAACTACTAGCCAAAATAGACACAAAGCATTCTGATTTTGTCACTAACACCCAACAGATATATTCTTTACCACAGACATCATTTATTGGAAAAGAAGGGACAGCTTTAGATGCAAAAATAACCTAAAAGCTTGTAATCTACCTAATATACATCTATTGCTCTGCTACAAGATAAATAAAAAGCAAATTCGGCTTCTTAAAGTTCCTCCCATCCCTCCTAAGGTCTAAGATGATGCATTAAACACAGAGGATGCCCAACAGTGGCTGATGGAATTACCAAGTAAAATCTAAGAGGTAGAAAAATGTGGTTCAGGGGTAGCAGGACTTTGCCCCAGAGTCAGGAAACAGTATCTGGAAGAATAGTAACGATAAGAGCTACTATTGATAATAGCCAATATCTACCTGCTAGATATTACCCTAAGTGCCCATTTTAATTTTATACAACCTTAGGAGGCAGGTACTATTATTATCCCTGCTCATTAAAAGAGAAAACACTAAGGCATGAATGTTAGGTACTTTGCCCAAAGACCTACATCATGAAATAGAGGCCTGGCTTCTAACTCAGGTTGCCTGGCTTCAGAGTCTAAACTATTACACTACACAAGACAGAAGAAAACAAGGTAAACAATGTGAACAAGCAAGTCAGGAAGAAAAAACACAAATGGCAAATAAATATATGAAAATATGAAAAATATCACTAATAACCAGCAAAATATAAATGAAAGCACAGTAAAATACCATTTTACACTCGTCTGGTGAAGATGCAGAGAAACAGAAATGTGAATTGTTATAGCCTTTTGGGACGGTAACCTGGCAATGTTTAAAGCATTAAAAACACAATAAACTTTGACTTAAAAATTCCACATTGGGGAATTTCTCCTACTGAAATAAGAGCACAAGTATTTAATGTCATGTTGTTTATTGTGTACTGTTTGTAGAGGCTAAAAACTGAAAAAAAAACCTTAAATGTTCATTAATAGGGAGATGGCTGAATAAACTGTGCAGTAGCAATAGTTGAAATATCATGCAGCTTGCTGATATGTATGTAAGGGGGAACCAGATCTTCCACTGGCCCAGAGGGACATCTATGAAATATTTTTAAGTGATACAGAAAATTTCAGAATAATGTATATATCATGAACATATTTTTATTAAAAAAACTTAAAAACCTTACATATGTTTATCTATATTTCTATGAGCAATCAGTTTGGTGAAAGGGGAATTGCAACCGGTTATTAACTTCAGTGTTCTCAGGAATGTGGGAATGGAGGATGAAGGGAAAAGGTGAACTTTTCTTTAAACAACTTTGGGTATTTTTACTTATTGCGGCAAGCACGCTTCTTTTTAATTAAAATTTTAGTAAAGATAATAAAATAAATACTTGTAATATGTACTTTCACAATCTAAGAGTGGAGAAAATACAGCTATAACAAATATCATCCCAAAGTCTGTAGTTGAGCACTTCTCAGAGTGATGGAAACCAGCTCTGCTCTTAAAATAACCTGTGGTCAGTCTATATTGTGATGGTAAGAAGAGCCAACTGGCTTTTCCCCAGACACCCTGTTGCCACTTTCCTGCCCAAAGCCCACTGACTACTCTGGGTTTCGTGGAGAGGAGAATGAGAGGAAAATGGAGACAGAAAATGCACAATGGCAGAGCTGTTCTCTGTAGAAACTGGTGTTTGCTGAGAAGACAAGGAAAAGAATGATTCATCTAAACCAAGGGCGATTCCCCCACCCCACCCCATCCTGTAAACCCTACATTCAAGCACTAATGACACACCCTGACAAGGTTTTCTTCTTTGTCTTAAGAAGTAGTTATGGACCAAACATTCAAGAGTTTCCAGAAAGTCTGCTGTAGGCTTTAGGCATACTCTGTGTCTTAAATTTATTTGCGAGTAGATAAAACAATCTAGAGACAAAGATTATGGCCAACAGCATCTTATTCTGAGGATGAATTATCAGAAACAATGTGTTGAATGTTGGGTCATTTAAACAGATTGGGTTGGAATAGGAGGACTTTGCAAAATGTTTTGAGGCCAAAATATATAATCTTTAATTTAAAGAGTTATCATGATTTATTTCCACTACTTCCAAGACACCTAACTTCTCAGGACCATCAGTTCATCCTCTTCACAAAGGAGGCCCAGAAATGCAACACCAGCTGACCCCACAGACACAAGCCTAGCCAGCTCCTTTGTATAATAGTGCAATGATATTGTTTTCTGGATTGGAATCTAGGGAAGAAAGCACTTATTATAGACTTGGTTTAAAAATTAAGAAAAGGTGTCCGTGAAACTGCTGGGTCCTGACAAGTTCTGCTGAGCATGGCCCTTGATCCTCACTCCATCTCCATGAGACTATAAAGTCTGAGACATCATACTTTCCCCTGCATGCAACTGTGGAAGATTTACCTGGAACAATAAGTTCATTTGCTTAAAACAAAGTTAAAAGGTAAAAGGATGTGAGCAATTCCGGATTTAGAAGAAATTCTACTTCTCTTTCAGAACCACATGGGGAAACCAAAGTAAAAGTTGGATGCTATTCTTTGAGTACAAAAATAAAAGCTCACAAACAGAAAAGCTGTGGAAGAAAACATAAGGTGGGTTTTCTTCACACTATCTTTAAGGAGGTGACATATATGTTCTGATGTCACCTAAGATATAAATGTAACCAGAGAAATAAATTATTAAATAACTAGTAATGAAGTTTATAACCTGATTATGTTACTCCTTGACTTTCTAGGGAAGAAATCAATTAACTAACTTGAACTACGGTTTGTGTATCAAACTAAAATATTTATAAGACTGATGCTACACACTGTTACATTTACAATAAAAATTGTTTGGTTCCATAATAGACAATAGGAGGAAAAGAACCAGTTTTAGGGTAAATACAGTGTGTTCTCTAATAAGAAAACAATACAGATGTTCAGTACTAAATGTACAAACATAAGCTCCAAGATTATACAAAATATTCTGAAAACCTGGGTTTACATCACTCACACTGTAAGTAATGAGCCCTTCCATAATATTCCAGAATGAGACATCAGTTATTTTTGCACTGAAACAACTTCCTGTCGGTCATATCCTGTTTGGCTATGTCTTAGTCACAGTGGAAAACAAAAGCCGGGGCAACAGGATGAAGGAGGTTAGAGGAGCTGATTAGAAAAGGAACCTGCCATGAAATTACACCTTCAGCCACCTTCTGCCTGCCCTCATTGTTCTAGGCCCTTCTTTGTAATCTTACTGAACTGTGGCCCAGCCTCCCAGCCTGACCCTTTCTTGCACCTTCCTTCCCTGATACTGACCTCTTTACCTCTTCATACCCTGGGTAAACTCCTTGCACAGTTCTCTCTCCCCACCCCTCCCTCTGCATACTTCAGTCTCTGATTCTGTAACCATGGAATCCATCCTTCCTAATGGGATGACCAACAGTTATCAGGTCAACTTCTTTGCCTTCTCAACCGGTGCAAATAGTTCAGACACCCTGAAGGGGGATGATAAACAGCCAAAACTGCATTTTTGCTCAAGGCTGGGGATGGGGAACACAGGTCTCCCCTTACTGCCTGGGCTGCTCACACTGACACCAAGCTGGGCTTTAAAAGGCAAAGCCCACAGATACCCATGTGCTGAGTGAATAACTCATCTCCATTTTCTTCATTCTTTTCCCCTTCAAAAAATTACTTTCCACCTTTCTACCTTCCTAAATAAAAGTATTTGTAAAACACCTGAAAGCCAGGGGGAAAGAGTAAAAGCCTCTAACAAGGATTCATTTTTCAGGTTTTGACCATGACTCCTGGTAAGAAATGTTTCAAATTCCCAACACAAAGATAAATGTTTGAGGTGATGGCTATCCCAATTATCCTGATTTGATCATCACACATTGTATACAGATATCAAAGTATCACATGAACTCCCAAAATAGGTACATTATATACCAATGAAAGTAAATAAATATACATAATAGCACACTAAGAAAAACAAATATCTTTTATATCACTATGCAAGACACACATACACACTATATGTATAAATAGTACATTGCCCTTAATAATGACATTATTTTATGTAAAAAATTATGTAATTCACTTTAAAAAGTTTTTTTTCAGGTCGGGCGTAGTGGCTCATGCCTGTAATCTCAGCACTTTGGGAGGCTGAGGTGGGTGGATCTTTTGAGGTTAGGAGTTCAAGACCAGCCTCGCCAACATGGTATAAAACCCTGTCTCTACTAGAAATACAAAAATTAGCTAGGCATGGTGGCAGGTGCCACCAAAATAATAATGACAGTATTTTATATAAAAAATAATGTCATTATTAAGGGCAGTGTACTTTCATATTCTCCATTCAATTCTATTACATTAAAAAAACACTTTTTTTTTTTTTGAGACACAGTCTTGCTCTGTCACCCAGGCTAGAGTGCAGTGGCATGATCTCAGCTCACTGCAATCTCTGCCTTCCAGGTTCAAATGATTCTCCTGCCTCAGCCTCCCAAGTAGCTGGGATTACAGGCACCTGCCACCACGCCTAGCTAATTTTTGTATTTCTAGTAGAGACAGGGTTTTATACCATGTTGGCAAGGCTGGTCTTGAACTCCTAACCTCAAAAGATCCGCTCACCTCAGCCTCCCAAAGTGCTGGGATTACAGGCATGAGCCACTATGCCCGACCTAAAAAAAACTTCTTAAAGTGAATCACATGTTTAGCTAAATAAGCCTGACACAAAGAGTACATGTATAAGTCCATTCACAGGAAGGTCTAGAAAAGTCAAAACTAATCTACGGTGATGGAGGTCAAAATAAAGAGGGTCTCAGGTACAAGCTAGCCTGAGGGCTGCTTATATCAGTGTACAAATGCGAACTCCAGTGAGCTCTACAATTCATGTTTGAGCATTCTGCTATTGCAAATTATACCTCAATAAAAAGAATAAAAAACTAAATAGAAACAAAACAAAAAGAAGCAGGGGTTGAAATCAAACTGATTTCACCAACTAAAATGGCTTAACCTAACTTGTAACCCATAGTTTAAAAATAGTTCCAAATATTTTAAATGACAAAATATACAATTATACTTATAAAAAAGTATATATACATAAATGTATACATTTATATTAAATATATGTATATCTTAAAAAATCTCCCTAGGTCTTGGGATCAAACAATACTGAATTATATTGGCTGGGTAGTAAGAGAAGGAGGGGACCGTTCCTGTATATCCTCATAGGAAAAAGCATAGATTTTTAATTAATCAACATTAGGCTCAAATAACATGAATCTTCTCCTAGGTATCCATTCCGTTCACCCAGTAAGTGCAGAAGGTTACTTTCTGAATTCTAGATGGCATCACATATATTACCTGCTGCAACAAACTAAAACCCAAATGGGCACAAATATTTTGTTTTGAGAAATTATGAACCCCCAAACATCCAGAAACAAAAAAGCAAATCTCAATGCAAAATATGATACACAGACATTCATAACACAAACACACAAGCCAAAACTCTTCCCAGACTAGGAGGTGGTTTACAATGGTGGCACTAAAATTAGCTTTAATAGGCAGGTGCTAAAAAGATACTGTGGTAGCAGTCAAGTCCTAAAGAAAAACAATGCTCTAAAGCCCTAGCCAGGGAGGGAGATTTTACACTTGAGAACAGCCATGTTGTCTTAAAATAAAGGTCAATGCTGAATGCTGGTCTATTTATAATCCTATATAGATAAACCATGTTTCTATTATAGTGTTTAAGATGTGGGTGTGGAGGGTCGCCATTTCACTCTAGTATCAAAAAAGAATAGAAGGGCAGTAACAGAGTAAGAGTGCAAAGGGCTAGAGAAGACAAAGATATTTCTCTCATTTAAGAAAGAATCATTCAGATACACACAAGGACACAAGTACAAGGACAGTCATTGTAGCTTTGTTTATAATAGAAAAAAATGAAAATAATAGAACAGCTAAAATAAAAAGTCTATATAGTACAAATAAAAGGGGTAAATTTAAAAATTTTTTAAAGTGCAGAATACATATGGTATGTTAGCATTTATAAAACATTTTTAAACATACTAAATCATACTGTATATATCATTATGATAGATTTATTTGTAAAGATATAAAAATGAAAGTAAAACTTTTAATAGTGCTTGTTTCTGATTGGGGTTGTGGGAGAAGAAGAGAATGGGAATAAGGACAGTGTTTAAAAAGAACTTCAACTATAACCGATGTTTTATATCTTTTAAGAATATGGAAGCTAAAAAGGCAACATCATAATAGATATTTAATCTGGGAAGTAGCAGTATGGTTGATTTGCTTTTCTTTGTGCTTTTCAGTAACTTTTAAATTTCTCAAAATTGTAAGACACAGGAATAGCTTATTTTTTTTCCAGTAAGAGTGACCCGAAACAATTTCTGTAACTCAGGCAACCCCCGGGTTTCGTGGCAAGATTACCAGGTCCTTCCTCTTTGGAACCGTGTCTATTACCCTGAGTAAGGGAGAGCACATGTATCAACATAGAAAGTACGATGCTATTATGAGAACATCTGCCTGCATATTTCAGTTATTTCTTCAGTACCTGTGATGCAGTGTTAAGCATTATCAGGGAAAAAAACACTTAAAATAATAATAAAAGGAGAATGCTTTGTAGGGTACTTTTTAGAAGACAGACCTGAAATCATACTGCATGAGTACACGTCACCTCGTAATCAGGTCAGAAAAAGAGAGAGGTAATCACAATGTAATTTTTATGATTTCAACAGATTCCATTCTGGACAAACCAGTGAAATGAGACATACTTCAACAGCATTCAACGAAGAGCAGAAGATATAAGACGATGTTACCTTGGCAAGTTCCGGCAGGTAGCTATCTAAACCGGAACCAGAACCTTCCAATTTGCTTTGTTCATCATCTAAAATGGCAAAACAGATTATCGGAATCACTTGTAATTCATAGCATTTCATTTGAAACAGGAGGAGGAAGGCCGTTTCTCTTAGGTGCCTTCAAATGAACACAGTGGTTCCCCACTCTGGATGCTCCTGGGAAACACTTGGGGTGCTTTGAAAAAATACTGATCCACAGGCTCAGTGATGAAAGTCAAAACACTGAGCAGCTGGTATAGCATGGACACCGTCCAATTAGAACTGACACTAGCTATGAACAACAGCCCACATGGACACGTCCATGAGACCCCCTAAAAGTCAGACCTGCCCAGGCTCCACCCCAGACCAACTAAATCAGAATCTTTTGTGGGACCAGGTAAATGGTATTTTTAAAAAGCTCCCAGGTACTTCTAAGGGGAAGCCAGGGTTGGGAATCACCTAAGGGTTGAAGTAAAACATGAATTGTCAAGAACATAGCCAGATTTTTCTCACCAATTTAATCTGAGGCTCCCATGCATTCTAATTATTACTAATATTTTATAATACAGTAAAATTCTATGCCAGATACTTGAGATTCATTTTCTTATTTACACTTCCCATCTTCCCAGCAATTTTCATGTTTATTCCCATTTTATAGGTGAGTCAACTGAGGCTCAGAAAACATAAGTTGTTTACCCAGGGCTACACAGCTGAAATACAGTATTTATGGCACTCAAACCCAGGTCTCCCTTTCTGCCTCCAAAGCTTTGGTTCTTCCCATTACATGATTTCCATATACGAAATGTCAGGGAAGTAAGTTATAATGTGACAAAACCTTTGCTGACAGGATATTTGTAAAGAGCTCCTATCCGTCCCACCTCTCATGTACTTGTGTAACACAGGTCTCCTTCTTATACCCACCTGGCAAAAATAAAGACACCCACAGAGTGTGTATGTGCCTGGGGGAAGCCAAGCCTATCTACCTTCGTGAGAGTCGCCATTTCGCTTTTCTTGCATTGCAGCTTCAAAGTTGAGCTGGAGGATCTTATTTAGAATTGTGATCCATTCTTCCATTTCCACTTCACTGTCTGCTGCCAAGAGATAACTACTTTTGTCCTGCATCTTGAGCTCAAAAGCAAAACGCCTGACTTTGTTGTTCTGAAATGAAAAAAGGATAAACAGACATACTTTAAAAGAATTAGAACTGCTTTAAAATAATTACTCTCTCTTGTTGGTGAGTGATATCTCATTGGCATTTAGAACCAAGCTATTTTAAATAGCTTGCCCCCTCCTCATGAAAGCCCCCCCCCATGAAATCCCATTACCGTCCACCTTCCCTGCTTCACTTTCTGCAAGCTTTATTTTTCCTTCTGACTCATTACCTGCTTTACATACTCATCTGATTCACTGTGTGTCCCTGCAGTGGAATGAAACCTCCTCAGTGCTCCCATTTTTGTCAGTGCTACACATCCTTAGTCTCTATGGACTCTACAGTGACTTGCACATAGTGGGTATTTGAAAAATATTTGTTGAATAAATGAAATTTCATGTAAAATTTTCATATTTCTTCAGCTCCTATTTTTTTAATGAAGTAGTGTATGGTATTACATTTTTAAAAGCCAACCATTATCTATTACTATGTTTGGCTTACTTATCTGGAACTTTCCCATCCTTTATGAATCCCAAAAGGTATTTGGACTCCCTGTCCGTGGCCTTGCCTCATGCCTCCAGTTTTCATGCCTGCAAGAGGGTGACTGGCTCACAGAACAAGAACAGTAGTCCATGTGCAGTAACAGACGGAAGATGAACATGCACTAGGCCAGGATTTCTCAATCTCGGTACTACTGACACTTGGGCAGCCAATTCTTTGTTGTGAGTGGCTGGTCCATGCATTGTACAATGTTTAGCGAAATTTATGGCCTTAAGCCAATAGATGCCAGTCTTCAGACATTCCAAGATGTCCTCCAGGGAGCAAAATCTCCCCAGGTTGGCCGCAGTAGACAGAGGTTCAGCTCTGAGGATCATGGCACAAGATCCCCTGTAAGGACAGGCTGAGCGATATGAAATCAAACACTCCCACTAACCTGAGCCAGCAGGACAGCCCCCCGCATAGCCACTAAAATCCTACTGGGTTATCCACACTCTCTCTAAGAGTTCCTTGGTGGAGGTCTCAGGGACAGGGCAACCCTCCCAAAAGTCTCTGTGATTCTGCAGCACAGTTCTTAGAAATGCAAAGTCAAGTGCTCCCCTTGGCAAAGCCACACACTCTTGTGCACAGACTGTCTGCTGTGGGCTCAGTAATTGCCACTTTGGATTCCACTTAAACTTCAAGGCAAGAACCAGGGAAGAAGTCAAAGGCTTGAAACAAAATGAATTTTCTCTCCTCCTTTCCCTGCATACTCACAATCATGAAAAGAGAAAGTTAAAAGTGGAGAAAAAAACATTAGGCCTCAATTCTAAATTTCTGTTTCTGAGCCTCAGTTTTCTCATCTGCAAAATAAGTATAATAAATTTCAAGGGTTCTAAAATGCTTCAAAATTTTTTAGTTTAGGCACTTTTTTTAATTCACAGCACCAGTCAACTAATTTTTTTATAATATCCATAAGTAATAATTTTTAAAAACACTTAAATCACAACTTTTGATGCTTAGTTTACAAACAGACACAGATAAAAACAAATTATTTTACTCTTTTGAAGCCTTGGATACACTTTATTAAATGAAAACACCATCAGCTGCATCTGCAAAGACAATTTGAAGGAAGAGACTTCCATTGAAGTCAGAACCTTAGATTTTGAAATGCACCCCGGAGACTAATTGATAGCTCAGGGCAGTTGTACTTATAAACATCTGTCCCTGGGCCAGAAACAGGCAGCAAAACTCTCTTATAAAACAAAAATAATTACTTCCTACTTTAAAAAATGAGGTTGCCAAATACATTTAGTTTTGCTTTAACCTTCTTTTTAAAGTCAGTGCCAGAAAATTCAGCTAAAAAGTAACTTAAAGGTCTTTTGACTAAAGAATACAAATAAAACTCCTACTTGGGAATCCCACCCAAGAAGTCAATTCACTGTCACTGATAAATCACTCTGGCACTCCTTACTTCACAGACATTGTCAATGAACATACTCTGATATAATTAGATTGTTCATAGTGGTGGCCTTCAGAGAAGGCTGAATTGCCAGCTAAGAGACATCCACATTAGCTGTTGACTGAAAACAATTTTCAGTGAGCATTAAGTGGTGCTACAGTCTTGAACGTGGGCCCAAATATACTTTCATGTATTTTACCTTTTTTTTTCTTTTTTTTTTTTTCGGCAGGGCGGGGGTACTGCACAGTGGTATTTTGTTTGTTTGCTTTTTGTATCCTCTCAAATTACCTGTTGGTGTTTTTTATTTATTTTTCAAAGTGGTTTTTAAAGTTAGTTACCAATAACTAAAGTTACCAAAGTTTAACTCAAATTCTGTATTTCTTGCTTTTTGAGAAACCAGATGATCTGGCACCTTTGAGCCGGGGGTTCCACCTGGCGGCACCAGCTGCAGGTGGGCAGGAGATGCCCCCTTTAAATGGGGCACTGGGCTCCAGGTCACCCCGGCATTCCCTATTGCTTTGCAACCAGGCCTCTCTGTCACTTAATTGACCTCCTTGGTCCCTGCAGACATCTGATTCTGGACCCCTCCCTTCCACTGCTGACCATAAGGAAGAAACAGGATCTGGACTTAGCCTCCCACCATCATTGCTAGAAAAGTGGACAAAATACATGAAATAACTGTTTTCAGATAGGGGACAAAAGGCAGTGCAGCCCTTTCTCTGTAGAAGGGAAAGACTGAAGTGAGCCCCAAATTGCCTCAGCTTTCTGCCTGGAGGCAGTATCTGAATTGCAGCACAGGAAGGGGAATCCAAAAAGAGCCCTGCCATCTTGCTGAGTAGAAGACACTGACGAGACCTGGGGAAGACCAAGGTGGCCAGAATATGCAGGGCAGAGTCTCCAGAATGACGGGAAATAAAACAGCACAAAGATAAGAAAGAGCCGAGCTCCAGAAAGATCCACCGAGTCACACATGCATTAGGCATATATTTTCTATTTATATGTTATACCTTATTTTCTATTTATATGTTATAACTTAACAAAAAAGCTTACCAAAGCATAAAATAAAAATCAAGACACAACAACCAAAATTTTAGAACACTAAAGAGAAGACCACAAAGAACAGGGATTTCGAATAACATCAGAACCTTCCAAACGACAGTGGAAACTAGATGGCAATGGGATGCCCTTGAAATTCCAAGGTAAAATGATTTCACTTTGAATTTTATAACTAGCCAAACTATGAGTCAAGCATGAATGCAAAAATTAAGATATGAACAGATACCCTAATTCTCAAAAAATTAACATCTCACACACAATTCCTCAGAAAGCTGCAGAAGATGTGCTCCCCCAAAACAAGAAAGTAGAACAAGAAAGAGGAAGGCATAAGGTCCCAGAAACAGGAAACCCAACACAGGAAGGAAGACAGGCCGAATGTCTACATGGCAGGTGTGTGGGGCAGGAAAGCAATTCATCCAGACTAGAGGCCAAAGGAGGGTGCCAGGAGCTAAAATCCGATCTACCAGCACAGGAAATCATGCAATGACGTCCAAAACTGATGAATGAAGAAACAGCAGTGAACACTTGTGATCTAGCACCACTACTATTTCAAGGGAATAGGATGTGAGTGGGTAAGGTGATGCAGGGGTGAAGCACTGCCCTTCAGCACTGCTGGGCTGTTTCTCTTTTTTTTTTTGAGATGGAGTCTCGCTCTGTCACCCAGGCTAGAGTGCAATGGCGCAATCTCAGCTCACTGCAACCTCCGCCTCCCAGGTTCAAGTGATTCTCCTGCCTCAGCTTCCCAAGTAGCTGGGATTACACGCACCCACCACCACGCCTGGCTAATTTTTGTATTTTTAGTAGAGACGGGGTTTCACCATGTTGGTCAGGCTGGTCTTGAACTCCTGACCATCCGCCTCTGCCTCCCAAAGCGTTGAGATTACAGGCGTGAGCCACTGCAGGGCTGGGCTGTTTCAATCAGACAAATGTATTCCTTGGAAGAAAATGCACTTTAATTCTAGGTAAACATGTAAATATGTAACAAGTATACCTTTAGTCAAACCAGAGAGCTGTGTCACACTGGCCCCACCAAACAGTCTCCTTACAGAATCGAGCTACAGGCTGATGTGATCAGCCATCATGGAGTTATCTGAAGGGAGAATTCTTTGATAATGGTGACTGAATCTTTTGTGAGGGGTTGTTAGGAAGATTGTTCATCAACCACAGAGCCTTCTGTGTGAGGGGAACCCTGAGAAAAATGCCTGAATGATCTTCATTCTGAGATTGCTTGGGCAGCTTCTGACTAATTGGATTGCCTTTATCTCATGTGCACTGTGAATTGCGTGACTAAACAGGTCTCCAAGTGAGAAAGCATAGAGCCCAGGTGGTGGCCCACCCACAGCAGGTGTTAGATCTTCAAAACATACGCTTTCTCCTTAACTCTATTTTCTCTCACCCTTATCCCAATCCCCTGTTCATCTTTCTGCTTTCACCCCCACTTTAAATTTATGCTATCCCATGTCCTGTGTATGCTTATAAGCTGCTGCCTTAAATCTTCCTTGAAAGTGGCAAGGCTGGATGAATGGAGGGGTGGACAGATGGATGGATGGATGGATGGATGGACAGATGATGGACAGGGAAATTGACAACTCTCTTCCAAAGACAATGCTAAAAAGCTACAGAAGGATGCATGCAAAACTGGTAGTAGCTCCCCTCAGAAAAGAGACACTGAAGGAGGGGAGGAGTCCAGAAGGACTTTCACTTTATCTGTATTGTCTGATTTTTTACAAGAAAAATACATTCATGTGTTATCTTTAATTAACAATAATTTTAAAGGATAAGTACATAAGCCCTATGATATAAAAGTACAACAGCCCTATGATAACAAAACTATCTAATACTGACCAAATGCTTACCATTTGTTGGCACTGTTCTAAGCTTTTTACATGTGTAATGAATGAACCCTCTCAGTAACCATATTTGGTACTGCCATTATCCTTATTTAACAAATGAAGAAACTGAGGTACAGAGAGGTTAAATAACATCTCCAAGGTTACACAGTTGGTAAGTGGAGGAGCAGGGATTTGAACTCAATCTGCGCTGAAACCTAATCTCTTTACTGATCTACACCGCCACTGGTACTACAATGCTAGCGATAAAAATCACCACTGAGATACTATGAAGTGTTTTAAATATTTTCCTGCACTGATTCATCCAATGTACTCATTTGCCGTATTAAAGAAACATTCTCATTATCTGAATTAAGTAGCCTGTTAAAGGTCACGCAGCTATAAAGTGGCCGAGCCAGAGTGCTCCTGCCTGCCACAGCATAATTCTGCCTCTACATTATCCCTTCCATCTTCTACAATGATGAAAAACAAGGCTTGCCTCATTTAAAGTTATATGTTATATTTCTACCATGCATATTGCCATTTTTGGAAGTGTTTGCTTAAATCTGCTAATTTACACATAAGCACTACTGCAGATAAGAAAACATAATGGTAAAACTCTTTTCATATTTACCTGAACGACACCCATACAGGAATCCAGAAATATTGATCCTTTTGGTTCTTTGGAGATCTTTTCATCTTTATAAAAATTCAAATTATAGGATCCATCGCCAAGTTGAATCAGGTGGAAAAATCGTCTCTTAAATGACTGAGAGAAAAATATACACACAGCTATTCTTTCAAAATGAAGAGGGTCACAATCTCTATCAATAACCCACTTATGACTACATACATACATAAAACCTGTTTCCGTTCTCACTCTAGCTGATGCTCCAGGTCACTGTGGGGTCAAGACTCCCCATCCCATCTAAGAAGCTCACTGCATCTCAGTTCTGAGGAGGTGGTTCCCCTAATATCCATGGGTCATTTTTCTCACCCACGGAATCAGAGATTTTACATAACTACCCAAAAGCAGTGCAGGGACTTCCAATTTGGGATGCAGCACAGAAGGACAGAAACTTTCTCTAAAATCCCCAGGGTTTCTTGCTCACAGAATGGGAACTATTTTTTGCCTCATGACGCTGAATGATTTTCCAGCCTTAGGGTAATGACAGTCACATTTCCTCCTTAATTTTTATCTCCCTGACTCCCTTGTTTCTCTTCCCTTTGTTATTAATCCTGATGTTCCTCTGGTCCCACTTTTCTCCTGAATAGCTTCTTCTATTGGTTTGACTTCTCTGTCTGCAACCTTCTCTTCTATGCAACTATTTTCTTTTCTCGTCCTCAATTTTTGCTTTACTTGACTTTGCTGCAGTACACCTCCACAGAAGTGCTCAGGATTGGCATGACAGATAGCCCCTTGGTGACATTCTGTGAGGTACCAAAGAGCACTTTTCAGTTATTACAGAGAAGAAAGCCTATGTCAGTGTCTGCACCTTCACACCAGCCCAGGGATGGTCTCCTTATGCTGGTGGTCAGAAGACAGTGAGGGAAAGTGGGTGGATGAGGCTGTGCCAATGGGGGTGCTATCACCAGGGGAGCATCCTAGGAATCAGACAATGTCCCTTTTGTGGGGAAGAACAGCATGCGCATTCATCTTGAGCATTGTTCTCGAGCTCTATGGCAGAAAGGGCTTGTGAGAGGGGAGGGCAAAGTGATGTGCGTCCTCACCCTCATGGTCACGCTGATGGCACTGTTCATGTTGCCTTTGTACAGCCAGCCATGCTTGGTGATCCCACCCTTCTGGGAACCAAGGGAGGCAGCATCCTAGGAGAGAAGGAAAACACCAGCAGTCAACCTCCCGTTATTACCTGGGTTGCTTGCTGTGAGTTTGGTCAATGGGAAGGTCATTCCCTTTGTGCCAAGTTGTCCATTGCCCCTTTACTGAAGCACCCATTGACACCAATGCCTACAAGTCACATAAAAGTCCACTTAGCGGTGAAAGAGAGAGACCCGCCTACATTTCTGAAAACTTTATTCCATTAAAGGCAAAGCTAGCTCCTGTCCAAATTTTTATTTGTCAGTGTTTAATGAGCCACAAAAGGACCAAAAAGGACATACCTCAACTGACCACTCACGTTGGAAGGTCTTGCCTGGTTTCACGAAAAAATGTTTTCAAATGACACTCCCCTATAGTCAGAGGACAAAAGCACATGCACATTCCTGGAAACCTTCCCAGAGGCTTAGTTCAGGGAAAGGTGAATAAAGCAAGGGAGGAAATTGAGGCAATACAGAAAGGAGAGATAAAGTGATGGGGGGAATAAAAATAATTTGCTACATGCACATTGCTTAATGAGTGGCTAATGTTATAGCTCAGCTGACAATTTTTTTAAAGAAGGAAAAACCTAAACTCACAATGGGACACTTAACAATCAATGGGGAGGATGAGAAATGCAGAGATGGGCATTGTCTTCTTGTGAGGTTTCCCTCACTCAGTGGGCAGACTCATCTCAATGCCCTACTCCCTTTATATAGTTCTTTAGCCATGAGCTTTCCTCTAGGAATAGGGGGAGTGGGCTTGATCAAATCAGACTTCACTAAAAGCAATCATTGAAGAAATAGCCATTTAAATCTACTGGCTGGCAGCTGTTTCGAGATCTGTTGAAAAACAACCTAAATTCAAGGTCTAAGTCATCTTGATATCTTTTAACAATGTAGCCAGATCTGATCCAAGTCTTTGAAAATGATCTCAGAACAAATAAACACAACCAAGAGAACATGAAATGCTAAGCAGTAAAGTTGAAACAGAGACCTTATTCCAATCAATCAATAACATTTTTAAAAAATTATTCCCGTTTCATGTAACACTCCAATGCCTGTTTTGGCTAAATGTCGGTAATTTTCTAACTAATCTTCTAAGTCTGTAAAATTGATGTTTAAATCTAGAGTGAAAAGAGAAGCAACAGCAAGCAGGTATCCCACCTCATCTTTGTCGACCTCCTCGTCAACTTCATAGACATGAACTGGAAGTTTATCCAACTTGACCACTTTGCTATAAAAACAACAAAGAAAATTTGTTTTAGAAATGCCTAGTCAAGGAAGAGGCTTTGCATTTCTTCCTCCATCATAGGGCCCGGCCTTTACTAAATCCAAAGATGGCCCAGCTTCTTTATTCAGACAAAGAATAAAACCATCTATGCCCTTGCTTTTCAAGGTGGGTAAGCCAAGAGACTTGAGTAAGAAAGCTCCAAAAAGCTATGTGGAAAAGACAGCATAGCTTCTGGGGAGTTAGCAGGCATACTAAAAATAAGAAAGTGGATTAGTTTTTAATAAACAAAGACTTGGTAGAATAACTTTTAATACAAAGTTTATGAGGAAAAAAAGGAAGATTGAGTTGTTGCGTTGAAACCGATTAACAATGATGGTATTAACCACAACAAAAACAAGACACCAATACCAATAAGCAGCTTACATTTACTCAATGGGTATGACGTGCTAGGCCCTGCGCACTTCTCATGTGCCCTCTCATTTAATCCTTTAATCATGGTGACTGTTGTTAAGGCCATTTAACAGATGAGGAAAATCAGGCTGACAGACGGCAGAGTCGTCTGAGGCAGAACACAGAATCTGTGTTCTTCACCACTGTTACAATTCTCCCTCTCTTTCTCATCACACATTTGGAAATTCTCATTAATGCCAAGAGAGAAAATGTACCAGCAGTCTATTAGATAGTAAGTATACGACATGACATAGTCTGATATCTTTCAACCCTGAGACTATGAACAAGAGGATCAACAAAGATGGGTTAAGCCAATCCAATGGGAAGAATTAAAAAATCCCTAAGGGAGGATTGGGTAAATATAGAACTAAAGGGCTACCCATCTGGAGAAGATAATACTAGGAGGGAGTGTTCCTGGCTGAGGTTTAAAAAGAGGCAATCGGGGAATTGGCCGAACATTCTTAAGGAGTGGCAAAGCCACACAAGGAGGAAAAACAAACAGCTAGGTCTACTGAGAACCGCATAAAAGGTTCCAGCTCAAAGATGTAACAAACGCAAAGAAAAATACATTAATCAGGTCTCAAGTAATATTTTCATTGGTGATGGTTAGTTTTAAAACATAATCCATCACTATTTGCTTTCAATTTTCCCAAAATCAAGTATAATTCAATTTGCCAACTGCTATGGTTTGGATATGGTTTTTATTCCCACCAAAACTCAGATTGAAATTTGGTCCCCGTTGTTGCATAATTGGGCCTAGTGGGTTATGGGGCAGATCCATCATGAGAGGCTTGGTGCTGTTCTCACAGTAATGAGTGAATTCTTGTTCCTGGCAAGATGGGATTACTTGTTGCTGAAATGGATTAGTACCCAAGAGAATGGGTTGTTATAAAGTGAGTTTCCTCCTCCTCTTTGGTCTCTTTTCACAAGTGCCAACTTTCCCTTTGACCTTTTCCATCATGTTTTGAAGCAGCACAAAAGTCTTCAACAGAAGCTGAGCAGAAGCCAGTGCTATGCTTCTTGTACAACCTGCAGAACTATAAGCGAAATAAATCTCTTTTCTTGGCTAGTCTCGGTGGCTAATGCTTGTAATCCCAGCACTTTGGGAGGCAGAGGCAGGTGGATCACCTGAGTTCAGGAGTTCGAGACCAGCCTGGCCAACACGGTGAAACCCTGTCTCTACTAAAAATACAAAATTAGCCGGGCGTGGTGGCAAGTGGCTGTAATCCCAGCAACTCGGGAGGCTGAGGCGGGAGAGTTGCTTGAACTTGGGAGGTGGAGGTTGCAGTGAGCAGAGATCGTGTCATTGTATTCCAGCCTGGGTGACAGAGCAAGACTCTGTCTCAAAACTAAATAAATAAAAATAAATAAATAAATCTCTTTTCTTTAGAAATTACCCAGTCTCAGGTATTCCTTTAAAGCAACACACAATGGAACCTTTTATAAAAGATAGTCTGTCAAGGCAATACCTAGCTACCGCGATTCACTTTGGCCACAACTATTCAATCTAAATACACTTGCTTTTGGTATAGTCTAGAATAAGTTAATACATTAAAGGAGATAAAAAAAAAATTTAACTGGGAAAATGCTTGTTTCTTGATTTACTTTTTTTAAAAACATAAAATTTATTCAATGTAAAATGCTCTTTATAATTATCTTCTTCAAAATATTCTTTTCAAGGAAAAAATGCACTGCAGCATATTTCAGTACACTTACGTTTTGTTTGTTTTATATTTTGTAGTGAAAAAATTTCACCTATTTATTTATCAGTGGTACCCTGAAAAGAACCACTGGACATAATTAAACCATCCACATGTTTATTACTACCTATCAATACCAAAGTAGCATGTTTGAGTCTTACAATCAAAGGCCCTGTAAACAATAGTTACACCACATACACATAAACCATCTAAAAATATTTTCCTCAATTACTCTGATTGCATATGAAGTTACATACCTCCCCCCAAGCATTTCAAGTACAAAGACTTTTCCCTATGTGTATAATATAGCTTACTCACTTCGGAAGCTGTCGAAACTCTCCTGAGTAATCTTCATATTTATAGTTCACAAGATGCCAGTCAGAGTTATAGGTTTTGATGCACTATTGAAGGGGGATTTTAAAAATAGAAAATAAAAAACAGAAAGACGTGATTTTTGGAAAACACTTGGGAAAGTTTGTGAAGGCATACCCATAGAAACATCAAAAAAATTTTTTCCCATCAACGAGCTAATGCCTGAAATTCCACCACCAGAGATTCCTGTGAAGCTTGAGACTTTGAACCACTGAAACATTACCCTTGGGGGTAGTATCACTTTAAGTTATCATCATTAATGATCTGAGAGCAGGTTTTACAAGGAGACAACTTCACCTAACCTTGTGACATTTACTTAACAATGGACTATTTCAGAGTAAGCACCTGGTTCTTAAAAAGCCATGTGGCCTCTACTATGACATAAAAGTGAATAGGATGCGTGAACTTAAAGACGCCTTCATGGTATTTACTAATATTAGAACTAGCTAGCTCTGTTAGTTAATATTACCATATAAATCTGCCCTCAGTTTTTCTTTCCATTCATAAGGAAAAGAGTGAAATAATTAGGAAGAAACATATGCATTCCAATTAATATTAGCACCATGACATTTTCATCTGTGTGTGTGTACAGAATGTTTAATGTAGTCTTCCACTGCCAAGGATTCTATTAGTGACCTCACCTACACAGACTGCATTCAAACTACCTCGCCACATGACAGATTCAATGGGCCAGCCTGGTGTCCGTCGTTCATCCACCCATGAAGATCCTCCAATAGTGCATAAAGCCTAAGATTATAATGCCACATCCACCAGATCTTCAAATATGAATGAGTCAAAATCAAAAGCTAAAGAATTTTAGTTAAAATCAGCTTAGTTCAAATGATCTTCTGTCCAGTCAGCACTTGACTATTTATGTGCAGACTTCAGTGTGGGTGGAAAAAAAGCATGAGTGAATCAATGAAAACATAGGTCGATAAATGTATTTATGCCTTATCTAGTTTATTTGGCTCTGGCTGTAACTAACATGAACAACGTCTCTATTCTGCTTCTTTCACTTCATCGTTTCTACTGTCAACCTTTCTATCTGTGTCACAGGCCATGCCTGAAGGTCTTCTGAAGCAAACTCCCCTCCACCTCCAAACTCATGAAAGTAAGAATTACAACAGCAGCAAGTGCTTATTTTGTGCCAGGCTCTACAATAAGCACTTTACTGGCAAGGGTGTGATGTGTGATGTGAAGGTAATGTAAGTTTTTAAAATTATTCTGAGAGGTGGAATAAATGGCAGAGAAGGGCTAAGCGCAAAGTCAGATTTTGGAGCTGGCAAACTTTTTGATTTTTTTACTCTGTAGTTAAGAATATTTTAAAATGCTATTTTATCCTTGAAAATGATTTTTTTAGATTTCTCAAAGCATTTTCACATTTTGAGTATCATACATTCACACTCAAAATTTCATTCCAAAACCAGTCAGATTTCAGAATAATCCATAGTTTTGGATTTTCCCACTACTGCCCCTAGGTCCACTGGCACAGCTAAGTAGTCAGGCCTGACTATGTACGACGTGGTCTTGTGGGTGTGATCCTATTCTCTTCAAAGAGCTACAGCGGTTTTTCAACAAGCTCTAGAACTGAAATTGTACCACCAAGTCTCCTGCAGGACATTAAAACTATTCTGAAGTATAAAATGTACCTGCCCAATTAAAAACTAAATAAACCAGCATAAATTTGTATATTATAAATGCATTTATGAATGGAGCCCAGATTTTTATTTATTTATTTATTTTTTTTTAAGACGGAATCTTGCTCTGTTACCCAGGCTGGAGTGCAGTGGTGCAATCTTGGCTCACTGCAACCTCTGCCTCCCGGGTTCAAGCGATTCTCCTACCTCAGCCTCCCGAGTAGCTGGGATTACAGGCGAACACCACGACGCCTGGCTACTTTTTGTATTTTTAGTAGAGACAGGGTTTCACAATGTTGGTCAGGCTGGTCTCGAACTCCTGACCTCGTGATCCACCCGCCTCGGCCTCCCAAAGTACTGGGATTACAGGCGTGAGCCACTGCGCCTGGCCAAGATTTTAATACCTTAGGCAAAATGGGGAAAATAATTACAGTTTATTATGTTCATATATTTATAATTATAAGGAATCGCACATACAAAAAAAAAAAAAAACAAAAAAAAACTCCACAGTGAACCTGGCTAAGTATTTAGAGATTCATTGATTTAACAAGCCAGTGTTGACCATCTACATAGCAGGCATTGGCTAAATTCCAAAGCAGAAGCACAGAATTAGGCAAGCAACCCCCACCCCTCTGGGGATGCAGAAAGTCTAGGAGATAAGGAGTTCCATCAGAAAGCCAGATCCTGAGAACTGTACCTTCAAAAAGACAGGAATGTGACTGACTGATTATACGATTAACATTTCAAACTGGTGAAATTCAATAATATTTTGAAGTTACACTGAAAGGTTTTTGAAGTTTTTTTCTGCTTTGTTTTGCTTTGTTTTAAGCCATTAGGTCATTCCCTGGATCAGAGGATGAAGAGGAAGTGATGTTCACTCCACCCAAGTGGAAGGGTCCCAAAAGTGTTTAGTTATGTTGGCTCCAGCAGCATAGGATGAAGCAGCTATTGCTCAACCTGCAGTGATTAAATAACTTAATGGAGAGTTCTCCCTCAAAAAACCATATTTTTTTAATCAACTGGGAGAACTGAGTTAGCAATTAATAATTTTGCCACATGCTTTAAAACATAGGTCAACAAACTTTTTGTGTAAAAGGCAAGATCATAAATATTTTCAGCTTTGAGGGTCATATTATCTCTACTTAACTTTGAGTTGCATGGTGACAGTAGCCATAGGCAATATGTAAACAAATGTGCTTGGCTGCTTTACAATAAAACTTTATTTACAAAAATTGGCTACAGGCTGGATTTTGCTTGCAGGTCATAGTTTGCCACTACCTGCCTTAAAAAGACATTTATAACTACATTCACAAACATATCTGGCTGTATTTGTCTGGAATTAAGTTTACTAATATAGTGGCAAAGGAGGTAAGACAGGAAGTTACTTCTTCAGAAAGATGAGGGAACACACTTAAAAATTTTTTAATTTTATATTTAATTTTTCAAAAATCTCAATGGAAATTAAATATTGTTATTTAATTGGTCTTTATAAGAGTATTTATAGCTTCCTTATAGTAAGCAATTTTATTGATGAGCATATTTATGATCTAAATATCAACTAGAAAAACCAGGATTAAAAAAAAATCATTATTTTTAAATGAAGGTGCACTTAAAGAAACAAAATTAAAACATCTAATTATTCCTTCCTACCTAAAATTACCTGGAGGAAAAAACAAACACTCCAAGGGGAAAAACTAAAGCAAACAACCTAAATTGTAATAATTTCTCTTTCTGGCCAGGCACAGTGGCTCATGCCAGTAATCCTAGCACTTTGGGAGGCCAAGGCGGGCAGATCACTTGAGGTCAGGAGTCTGAGACCAGCCTGACTAACAGGCTGAAACCCTGTCCCTACTAAAAATACAAAGGTTAGCCAGGCGTGGTGGTGCACGCCTGTAATCCCAGCTACTTGGGAGGCTGAGGCAGGAGAACCACTTGAACCCAGGAGAGGCAGAGGTTGCAGTGAGCCAAGATTGCTCCACAGCACTCTAGCTTAGACAACAGAGCAAGACTCTGTCTCAAAAAATAAAAATAAAAATAAAAAAGTAAATAATTTATCTTTCTTCCATAAGATAATTTTATTTGCATTTTCAAACAAAAATAATATTAATCAATGTATCTTGATTAGGAATATATATAGTAATCAATATATATAATAATATATATTGACTAGCGATAGACCCTGCTTATTATCAGCTAGTACTTCATGAATACTAGTCAAAAATAACTTGCAAATATAAATGTATAAATGAAATAAATGATACATAAATGTGTGTGTCACCCTTAAAAACAGTATCAATAACAAGACCTCCCACAGATTTCCAGTGAATTCATTTACAAGTTACTGCTTATTTTAAGTCCATGAGATAAATTCTGTGGAATTCACTTTTTGTAGTCAGATATAGCCCCCTCCAAATAAATAAAGTTTTAAAAATAATAAAAATGTAAAAAAGAAATAGCCCCTGTGGACATTTCTGTCCAAGTTTCAGAGTCTGAAAAATTCACATTATTCTATTTGAACTTCCATCATAGAAATACAATTACCCTTTTGACACTTCCTTGACAATTTTGAAATTTAAAGAAAAGGAGGCAGTTAGGGGAAAATGACTTCAAAATGTAAATTAATGCAGGAAAGAGCCTTACCTCTGTAACAAACAAGCTCTGTGCTTCCTCTTCCGCCTTCGCAGGCACTGTTGAGCATATGTATCGACCCTGTCGTCTCAGGATGGCCGTCTGGAAACAAAAACAGGAGGAAAAGCCTTGGGTAAGTGAAGGAGGCAGGTGCCAGCCTCAGAGTGCAGCTGTGTGCCCTGCAGCTGGCCCTGGCAGCCACAGAGTCCCTCCAGTTTCTCCCATCCAGTGCAGCTGCCTCCTTCCGTCACACACAACAGATTCCACTGGGCAGCCTCAAGTTCCAAAGCCAGGCTGGGTTACAGCTCCTGCTTCTTTCTTGATCAGGGGCCCACAGATCCCTCCAGCTCAGCCCTTCCCGCAGGGTAGAGGCCCCGTTCAAAGTCCCTAACACCCCACCCCTAAGTGCTTGATCTAGCCCCATGACACAGCATCTTACTTGTCTTAACTGCCTTTTTTTATTCTGGTAAAATATGCATAAATTTACCATTTGAAACTTTTTTTTTTGAGATGGAGTCTTGCTCTGTTGCCCAGGCTGGAGTGCAATGGCGGGATCTCGGCTCACTGCAACCTCCGCCACCCGGGTTCAAGCGATTCTCCTGTCTCAGCCTCCCGAGTAGCTGGGATTACAGGCATGCGCCACCACGCTCGGTTAATTTTGTATTTTTAGTAGAGACGGGGTTTCTCCATGTTGATCAGGCTGGTCTCGAACTCCTAATCTCAGGTGATCCACCCGCCTCGGCCTCCCAAAGTGCTGGGATTACAGGCGTGAGCCACCATGCCCAGCCATTTTGAACATTTTTAAGTATACAGTTCAGTGGCATTAAGTACATTCACACAATTGTGCAACCATCACCACCATCCATCTCTTGTCATTTACATCTGTTCTTGTTCACTGCCACATCCCCAGCGCCTAAGAGCATAGATAACTAGACACACAGAAGATGCTCAATCAGTAATTGCTAAATGAATCTATGAACTGTGAATGCTACCTCCCCTCCAACGGACATTAGAACTGCTCGTGTTCATTAGGCTTAAATGCTTCTTTTAAATAAAATGACAGGGCAGGGGTAGCATCCTGTCTACCTCAATAACTAGGCTTAAGGTTTCCTTTTCTTTTTCTTTTTAATTTTTTTATTTATTTTATTTTATTTTATTTTTTGAGACAGGTCTCGCTCTGTCGCCCAGTCTGGAGTGCAGTGGCGCAATCTCAGCTCACTGCCAGCTCCGCCTCCCGGGTTCACGCCATTCTTCTGCCTCAGCCTCCCGAGCAGCTGGGACTACAGGCGCCTGCCACCATGCCCAACTAATTTTTTGTATTTTTAGTAGAGACGGGGTTTCACCGTGTTAGCCAGGATGGTCTCAATCTCCTGACCTCGTGATCTGCCCACCTCGGCCTCCCAAAGTGCTGGGATTACAGGCGTGAGCCACTGCGCCCAGCCTAATTTTTTAATTTTTTTGAGACGGAGTCTCTCTCTGTCACCCAGGCTGGAGTGCAGTGGCATGATCTCGGCTCACTGCAACCTCTGCCTCCCAAGTTCAAGTGATTGTCATGCTTCAGCCTCCTGAGTAGCTGGGACTACAGGCGGGCGCCACCACACCCGCCTAATTTTTGTATTTTTAGTACAGATGGGGTTTCACCATGTTGCCCAGGCTGGTCTCAAACTCCTGAACTCAAGCAATCCACCTGCCTCACACTCCCAAAGCACTAGGATTACAGGTGTGAGCCACCACACCCAGCCTTATTCTTTAAATAGAGATGGGGTTTCACCATGTTGCCCAGGCTGGTCTCAAACTCCTGGGCTCAAACAATCTCCCATCTCAACCTCCCAAAGTGCTGAGATTACAGGCGTGAGCCACCATGCCCGGCCTGGGCTTCAGGTTTCAGAAAGAAATATTCTAGTTTTTTTCTCCTATGGACTGTAACCCTTAGGTACTATTAACAGATCATAGTCGACTGGGCGCGGTGACTGACGCCTGTAATCCCAATACTTTGGGAGGCTGAGGTGGGTGGATAACTTGAGGTCAGGAGTTCCAGACCAGCCTGGCCAACATGGTGAAACCCCGTCTCTATTAAAAATACAAAAATATCAGCTGAGTGTGATGGCGCATGCCTATAATCCCAGCTACTCGGGAGGCTGATGGAGGAGAATCACTTGAACCCGGGAGGCGGAGGTTGCAGTAAGCCAAGATGGTGCCACTGCATTCCAGCCTGGGCAACAGAGCAAGACTCCATCTCAAAAAACAACAACAAACAAACAAACAAACAAACAAACAAAAAAACAGATCATAGTCATTAAAGCAGCATACAAGCAAACATTTTGCTGAGAGAATCTACCCTGTTAGCTCTTCATGGCAAATGACTACACTGGGATCTCACAGCATTGGTCCTGGCAGTTTCCTTTCTTCCTTTGGTTAGAGGTGGCTTTGGGTCAAACCTCTGCTCCCTTATCCCTCCAGCCTAGGTGGAGAACTTCAGGGCATGTGTTTTGTGTACAATTTATTTCCTGCCTGTATTTTCTCTCTCTGTTGTGTCTGCTTCACCTATATTTATTCTTTTCTTGCACTGTGTCTATCTTTGAAAGTAATCTTAAAGCCTATTTTTAGAATAAGGCTCCCCATTCTAAAGGAGTGGAAGAAATGAATTCTGTTCTTCACCAAAGTCCTTGGCAGGTAAATTATTTATTCCTTCAGCCTCCTAGGTCCTGACTTCTTTGTAAGTATTACAAAGAAACAGTGACCTTTATTACACATCTGTTCTTGTGAAATGCCACAGAGATGAGTGACCATAAGCATGGAAGACAGGCGCAATCTGTACAAAAAGCTACAAAGCAATATACTGTATATATATAGACTGTCACAACTGTTGTGAAGGACGGGTGCTACCTCAAAAAGTATACATTCTATGTTCCCACTAACTGTGTTATGATCTGATTTATCTGGGTCTTTCAAGATTTTTGAAACTAATTATCATACTTTTAAAACATTCATGAAATAGCTCACATCAAGAAATAGGACTATTAGGGTCACTTCTAGGCCATTCTTCATCCTAACATTAAGAAGAAAAACTTTATGACAAAAATTTCCCAGTAGAATAACCAACTCAAGAAACTTTAATTATGGGACACTTTTCCAAACACCCCTCTAAGGTGAGAAAAATAAAAGGAAATAGATCTTTTTTATTCTCTTATATCAAAGTCCCATTATGTTCTCACTTGGAAAAAAAAAAAGTAACTTTAAATTATTAAACAGAATCCTGAATTTTTTTTTCCTTCATGTATGTTCCACAGGAGGAGAGAAACCTGAGTTTTAACAGATAAGATAGCATGATGTTTCTCATTTTTAAAAGAGGTTTACACATTAACCATTACTCATCAATTCCTAACCTTGATGTTAACAAAGAATAGTTTTCTGACCAGACAGAGCCCTTTTTCTCCCCCAGAGACTTCATCCAATTAAACTAAACTAGGTGTGCTTCTTTAGTACATACGTAGTGTAGCATAACTGCTATTTCTTCGTGCATGTCTTGAACTACACACTATTTGATCTCTTTCAGATAATCTCCAAAGATGGCTGCTATCCTTCCTCGTCTATGCATAGTGCTCTGTACACCAAAAGGCACAGCCTGTCTCCCCTCTCCCTGAATCTGGGCTGGCTTTCACCAACAAAATGAGATAGAAGGAATGATGATCAGTTATAAACCTAGCCTCTGTTGTTGTTGTTGTTGTTGTTGTTGTTGTTGTTGTTGTTGTTGTTGTTTGAAACAGTATCTCACTCAGTCACCCAGGATGGAGTGCAGTGGGGCAATCACAGCTCAGTGCAACCTTGCCGTTCTGGGCTCAAGTGATCCTCCCACTTCAGCCTCCCAAGTAGCTGGGACCACAGGCATGAGCCACCATGCCTGGCTAATTTTTGAATTTTTGGAGAGATGGGGGCGGGGGGTCTCACCATTTTGTCCAGGCTGGTCTTGAACTCCTGGGCTCAAGCAATCCTCCCACCTCAGCCTCCCAAAGTGCTGGGATTATAGGCATGAGCCATTGCACCAGGCCCAAATCTAGCCTTTAGAAAAACTGGGAGCTTCTGTTACCTCCTTCTTGGAAGCCAGTCACCATATAAGTTCTACCATCTTGAGACCACCATGGTGACAGGAAGTACAAGGTAGCCATAAAGAGGATATATACAAGATGCCCCACCATCTCCCAGCTGGTCTCGGCCATTGCAGGCGAGATACTACAATGTGAGTGAAGAACCATCTTGGACATTCCAGTTCCTACAGACAGTGTAAAACAGAAGAACCACCCAGCTGAGCCTTGACCAGATTTTAGAATTGCAAAAAATAATAAATTATTGTCTTAAGTTACGAAGCTGTGGGATGGTTTGTTACTCAAAAACAGAAAACCAAAACAAGATTGTAAGACACTAGGAACATCTCCAAGTTACAGTACTGAAGAATACTGGCATTTTCATGAAAATGGATTTCAAATACTAGCTACACTACAGAGTTAAGACAGAAGTGAGGAGATACACTATGCTGCAATCTCATTTCCACAGTCACCCTTCCACTCAAGTCAATGCCACGAAAGAGGTCAAGTAAGATACAGTAAATGCCTGTTGGATCTTGAGAGTAGTTTGTAGTGTCTTAGGAAAAACATTCTACTGATCATTTAAGGACTCAGCATAAATGTTACTTTACCCATTCATCTATCCATCTATCCACACCTTACTGGGTCCCTACTTTCTTCCGGACACTGAGCTAGCAGCTGGAGACACAAAGTTTAATAAAATATAGTTGCTATTCTTTTAAAGCTTACAGTCTGATGAAAGAGGACGATGAGGAAATAATTATTAGAGTGTGATAAGTACAGAAGAGTATAGAGAAAAGAGCACAGAAGCACAGGATGATATGAGAGAAAAAAGTTAGGGAGTCTAAATTCAGTAAGGTAGAGAAGAGGACATCAAGAAAAGGTACACTGAGGGAAAGCTAAAATTAACTTAAGCTAAACTGTAAAGGATGAGCACAAGTCATATTCAGTACAAAATGAAGAGAAACATGGAGATAAACTTGCCCTTGGGAAGTTCAAAGCACAAAATTAAGATATAATGAATGAGATTAACTCTTTGCCAATAAATAAATAAATAAATATATCCATTAAGTCCTAGAACTAAAAACTTAAGTCAAAGGAAAAACTGCCTAGAATTCTTACTGATCTTGAATTAAACAACACTAAAAGTCCACATCTGGGATAAGAATAGGCCAACAGAAAGAACCAGGCTTCCATGGCTGGAGGAATTCTGTCAGTGTCTCTATCACTATTTCAGAGAAAGGTTGGAGCTGGGCATGGTGGCTCACACCTGTAATCCCAGCACTTTGAGGGGGCCGAGGCAGGCAGATCACTTGAGATCAGGAGTTCAAGACCAGCCTAGCCAACATGGTGAAACCCCATCTCTACCAAAAATACAAAAATCAGGCAGCGTGATGGCGCACGCCTGTAGTCTCAGCTACTTGGGAGGCTGAGGCACGAGAATCGCTTGAACTCAGGAGGCGGAGGTCACAGTGAGCCAAGACCACGCCACTGCACTCCAGACTGGGTGACAGAATGAGAGCCTGTCTCAAAAAATAAATAAAAAATAATAATAAAAGAAAGGTTGGAACCCATTAGGCTGGACCCATGGGGGAGGGGAGGACTACCAGGCTTGGCACCAATGGGGCCGTCAATGTTTGATACCACCAGCTGCTAAGGTCTTCTAATTCATTGCCCTTGCTCTGAGTACAGCCTCACTGAGCCACTTGTTTATAATATGCTTCCCATTTAGACTTTCCTACTGGGAGAAAATGCACAGCCGGTGTAGTATTCTGATCTGCTTGTGAATTCTAGTTCTCAATGCATATTAATAAAATGACATTCTGGTTTGTGCTCTTGTGGGGTTGCCTGCAACAAGTCAGTTCCCCTGAGCCTGAAACACTCTGGGTGACCAAATCCCATCTTTGGACTTGCAAACCTGAGGTCTGATCCTGTACCATGGTGACCTTATAAACCACCCCGAGACCTGTCTGAACAGCTAGTCAACCCTGACTCCATTATCCAAAACTCTCCTGTACCCACATGCCCTTCTTTACCCCACCAGATTGCAAATTCCTTTGAGAACAGGAGATACATCTTCCTATTTCTAGCTATGTGCTAAATACTCGGTAAATGTTTCAAGAATGAGTAAATACACTTTGGGAGGCCGAGGTGGGAGGACTGCTTGAGACCAGGAGTTCGAGACCAACCTGGGCAACATAGCGTGACCTTGTCTCTACTAAAAATAAAAAAATTACCCAGGCATGGTGTCATGCGCCTCGAGTCCAAGCTACTCAGGAGGCTGAAATGGGAGGATCTCTTGAGACCAGAAGTTCGAGGCTGCAGTGAGCTGTGACTAGGCCACTGTACTACAGCCTGGGTGATGGAGTGAGACACTGTCTCAAACAAAAAAAAAAAAAAGAAAGAAAGAAAAGAATGAATAAAGCAGTCAATGGAGACAGAAATAGGAACCTACCAATAACCATCCATTACTTGCATATAAGTTTTTTCTCCCTATTATTACAAAAAGTTATCTGGTCCATTATAGGAACTGACAAGGGAAGACTATAGCATGAGTGAGCACTCTGTTTTAATTTCTCCACAGATTTTATGTATTAAAAGTCATATTCAGATAATCATCTACTTTATGCCAAACTAATTCACACTAAATTTCTGTAGTTTTATTTATTTAGCTTATAGCGAAGTCCAAGTCAATACTAAGAGATTTATACTCCAAAAGCACTAAAGCCCTTCTCAACAATAAGTCAAGTTTTCTTTTTCATAGCTGTGGCATTCTTTTCTACTTTTCTATCAGTTAAAATCATATTTCTGCTAAAAGATAGGTCTATATCCACTTTATATAGACCCAATGCCCAACATCATTTGAATGCCCAACATAAAGGTGGGCATTCATAGCATACCAGTCCTATGTCTATGTTTGGAAACAAGCCATTTCCATTCCGCTAATAAATCTGTACATTTGAAAAGGGAAAGGGGAAAAAACATTTCACACCATAATTAGTGTAATATGGTTCTGAAAATTAAACCTAAACATTGCTAGCATCTCACACAACTATTTGGATAGAAATCTTCACAGCACAAACATAATTTCAAAATAAAAGCCCTTTACCAAGGTATGCACCTGCAAGAAAGAAAAGGAAAAGAAAAAGAAAAAAAGAAAGATAGGTAGATAGATAGATAGATGATCGATAGACAGATAGGTAGATAAAAGCCCTTTCCTAGCTATTATAACAGAAGGTAAATTATTTTCAGTCAATATTATTACTTAGGTTAAACACGTAGCCTTTGACACTAAGAAATTCTTAGTTACCTTCAGCAAATATGGACAGGAGTCTTATAGGAAGTTCCACAAAATCACAGGCATAATTAAAAAGGAAGAAAAAAGGGTGACATCCTTTCCCAAAGGGCTCATATGAGGATGCACAGATACCTGAGAGCCCCAGTCTCAATATTTATGGGACAGTTTTTTGTTTTGCTTTTTTTTTTTTTTTAACAGAATGAGCTAGAAAAGCACAGAGTTGCTCCCAGAATAAAAAGAGTGAAATTTACAACTGTCTCCAAGTCTAGTTTGGAATGACAAATTTCAAATAGATCCTTTTTACTTAAAAAAAGAAAAGTTTTTTCCTCTTAGTTGAAATGATCTCCTCCAAACACTGGGGTTACGGTGATGTTTCTGAGCCACTGTGGGAAGCCACTTAGCCCTGGGCAGCAGGGCAGGCCCACCTAAAGGGAGCAAGTGGAGGTACCTGTTTCCTCACCTGGGCCGACCCCTGGGGCCTCTGGCATTTCCTGCTTCTATCATCACTCACTGCTCTCTCTGCAGCTTAAATGTGGAATCCCTCTCTCCTAACGACATTCCTGACCCCAACCTGGCCGGGGCTCTGTCTGGCCTCCATCAGTAGCAGCCAATACGTTACCCTGACCCCACTGAAGCTGGAGATTCTGAGAAGCTCATGTTTCAAACCACAAGAAATGTGAAGCGAATCGTTTCATTCAACTTCTGATCTTAGAATTTGAGAAATGATATTGGAAAGAGATTTGAGTTGAGAGCCAGGAAACCTGAGTCCTTACCCCAGCTCTGCCTCTAATTAGCTGTGCAGTCTTGGGGGATATTTGAACTTTCCACATCCACAGAACAGTCTTCTAGGATCTCTAGGTTTCCTTTGTGGTTTAAAAATCCCACAGTTCTGTGAATATGGAATTCTAAGTCTGTTCCTCTCAAATGGTTTATCTGAGTGCTGGAAATTGCTTTGTAAGAAACTAAAACATAAAAGGCATCCAGAAAAAAGAAAAAAGATGAATACCATATTTGCTTTGAATTACAGTTGCATTACCTTAATTATTTTTCTTTATGGAAAGAATCGTTGGGTAAAAGGCAGGGAAGATTCACTATGTAGATTTAAATAAATATAAGAGTGAGTATTAACAAAGATTTCTATTATTTTTCTAACCCTCTCAACTCATGGCACTGGATTTTTTTTATCAATTACTTTACAATGGGCTTAAACTATGACAAAACAGCCCTCTTAATTCCTGGTGGGAAGTATGCAAATCCTTGGGATATTTAAAACATCATATTTTATAAAATTTTAATTAAAAGACCAACAATAGGCCCACCCTTGCCCTGGGACCATATGAGCAATGAGCTAAAGACAATCTCCCAGAGAAGTGGGTGGGCTGTAACCTGAGCCAGCTGCTGGAACCAGTGACAAAGTGTCTCCACATCTCTGCTGCTCAAAGGTGCAGAGAGCTGGGAGTGTCCTCCCTCAACAGAGAAACAAACACCAGGGACAGCCCAAAAGGGGAGCACAGGCTCTGATGCAGGAAGAGATGGGGAGTACCCAGCAGCCTCCCAGGTAGTTCTCGAGAGCCAACCCGAGGAAAGGGGAGACCACAGCGCTCCAACTGAGACACTGAGTCAGGACAGGGGAAGATGCTTCTCTTCAGGAGGAAACTGTCAGTGAGAGCAGGACTGCAGACCTAGGGAGCTGGAGGGTAATTTCAGGGTACCTGGGGTCCTGCCTCTAAGATGGTCTGCTCTCTGAGGACTGAGGATGACCTAAAATCAGAGAGAAGAAGGCCCGGGGTCCACAGTGACCACCTGTTAGAGAAGCCCAGCAGGCCTCAGACCCCATCAATTCCAGTCTACCCTTAGGCTAAACTGTGGAGCCATCAATCCTCTCTCCCCTCTTTGTAATCTCATGTAAAGCATCCATGCTTGTGCTTATTTTTGTGCTTGTTTTCATTTACTTAGAACTATCTCTTCAAACACCTGAGGACCTTATGCATTTGTCAGAGAAATAGTACTTGAATCTGCTGAAGGAAGGGCAAATCTTAGGGTGGGCCTGGGGCGGGGGCAAGGCACAATATGCAGAGCTCAGGAGACGGACGGACCTGGATGCAGCCAAAAAGCAAAGCCCAGGAGGTTCGAGCAAGACTGAGCTCTTCAGGAGCATTCCCTGGGCCTGGCCCATCTCCCTCACTGAGTTAACCCTAGGTTCAATTGTTATTGTTCTCAGCTGGGCCAAATGGAGAGCATCCACGTCCATGTTCCAAAGTTATCTCTGATTGCAAACTACTCCCTCTTAGATGGCTCACAAGAGCTCCTTCCTTTTGTCTCTAGGCCTCAGCCAAACTGCATGGTGCCTCACGTCTCTGTAGAATTATGTCCCTTTGATATCTGCTGGAAACCCCACTTGGTTGCACTGGTCTGTACATTAAATATTTTGTATCGAGTGCAGTATTAAACATTACTATTCAACAACTCTGGGAACATCACTGAAACTTACTGAGTGCAGAGGTGATGAAACCTTTCCAAGTTATCTGGCAGATGCATTTGTTTCAGAGCATATGACTTGCTTTTTGAGAGGATTCAGTACCAAGCTAGACTGGAAACTAAAATTTACACAGGGCGTTCCCACATTTTACCTCACAATTCATGTCTTGGCAGTTAACCCACGATGTTCTATTAACATCAGACAAATTCCATTTTCAGGCAAGCGTTGCCTAAAGAGCCTCGATGTTTAATTCCCTAATAATTAAGAAAAGGAGCAAAGCATAGGACAGAGAGGCTGAAGAAGGAATTCCATTTAGGTTTCTGGAAGGGATTTAATGAAAGCCAATTCCCAAGGAACACATTTAAAACATTACAAGGGCTGAGTTTTTTTGTTGTTTTTTAAGAGATAGGGTCTCGCTCTGTTGCCTAGGCTGGAGTGCAGTGGTGTGATCATGGCTCACTGCAGCCTTGACCTTCTAGGCTCCAGCGATCATCCCACCGTGGCCCCCCAAAGTGCTAGGATTACAGGCGTGACTCACTGCAGCTAGCTGGGCTGAGTCTTGATACGAGCAGAGAATTATACATTTCTCATGGACTATTTGAGCCTAAGCTCACCTAACATAGATTCTATAATCCATCTTGTTGGTGGTCTTGAGGTGGGGGGGCCTTCTCTGCCTCTCTAACTGCTCCTCTTCACTGGCACCTGCATGGTCCCCCATTTCTTTCTCTGGTCCTTCAACAGTGCCACCCTTCACTCTGCCTGATGTCAAAGTACCCACAGCGATGCACAAACCACAGTGCAGCACCCTAACTGGTAGGCCCACCTTCCCTCCATCATCCCTCTTATCTATTCTCTGCACACCTGCCATTTGTCTTTCTAAATCTCTCATCTGATAGCATCATGCCTCAGCTGAAATTCTTTCAGTGACGCCTCATTGCCACCAGAATAAAATCCAAACTCCTCAGCATGACCGAAGACCTTTTGTGACCAACCGTACTAACTTTTCTGGACTCTTCTGCCCTTCTCCAACAGTCCAGCAACATGGACTATTTCTGATTCCCTAATGCACCAGGCCCCTCTGACTGACACCAAGTTGCTCAGACTGGTCTCAGGAACACGTACCATTCTGCTAAGATTACTCAAAGATACTTCTGTGTCTCCTGCCTGACTTGAGAATCTGACCATGTTATTCATCTTTAATTCTCCAATACCCAGCAGAACACCTGGCACAAGATGAATGTTGCTGAGTAAATGGGAAGTTGGGACTTTAAAAGAGGGACTGCGCAATTTAGTTGTGAGATCACATGAGGTTCCAAATGAGACAGCGTCTCAGCAACACGTGAGACTTTAGACAGTTCCTTTCACCAAATAATGTACTGCTTCCTGAAAAGTCAGATTTCAGTAGACTTTGAGAGTCATATGAATTTCATTCTGCCACCTTCTCAAATCCCTTAAATGGAAGAGCACACGATTGTTTATTAAAATGCAGTAAACTAAATAACATAAATGTTCAGAACCCTTAATAACTAGTTATGAATTAAGTGCATTTTTGTAAAGAATTATATATTTTTTTGGTCTTACAAAGAAGCAATTTTAAAATCACTTGCTAAGTACTACTGCACAGCTGAGGACAGGAGAGTTACCCAGAAAACCAGGAGTAGCCTTGTGGTCATTTGGGGCCCACGTGGTATGTCTGCCTTCCCATTTAGTAAGGGATTGAGCCTGCTGAACAACTAAAGTTGAGGATGGCAACTAAAAACAGCCTCCTCAAAAATAAAATGACATTCCCTAGAGGCGAGAATAGAGGCTGTAATAAGCTCCCTAGTAACCTGGCGTCTGCCAAGCAATGGAAGGGCAGTAGCAAGGGCGTGCAGAGCTCTCCTGGATGGTAGTTATCTCTTTGGATTCTCAAACATCTGTGAGAACCAAATTTTAGGGGAAATATCATCACTGAATTACAGATTAAGAAAAGTGAGTTTTAGGAAGGTTTATCACTTATGAAAGGATCAGAGTAATAAGAGACAGACCTGAGTTAAAACCCCTGTGGACATACGACTAAATCTTGGGTCCTGTCACTACCTCTAGTGTCTAAAGCACCTACCAACTCTTTCATGTGCATTGCACTCAACCTTGAGGTAGGTGTAAGTAAGTGTACTTTCTTTACTTTCTTTTGTTTTCCAGTTGTCTGTATGTGTCTCTGGTTATGTTTTTTTTTTTGTTGTTTTTTTTTTTTGTTTTTTTGAGACAGAGTCTCGCTCTGTCCCCCTAGGCTGGAGTACAGTGGCGCGATCTTGGCTCACTGCAAGATCCGCCTCCCAGGTTCACGCCATTCTCCTGCCTCAGCCTCCCGAGTAGCTGGGACTACAGGCACCCGCCACCACGCCCGGCTAATTTTTTGTATTTTAAGTAGAGATGGGGTTTTGCCGTGTTAGCCAGGATGGTCTCGATCTCCTGACCTCGTGATCTGCCCACCTCGGCCTCCCAAAGTTCTGGGATTACAGGCGTGAGCCACCGCGCCCAGCTGGTTGTCTTTCTTTAGAATTCTATTTTAGTTGCTAAAAGGACCATAATTCTGTGTGAACATCTAGCACAGTGGATATGCTTCAAGTTAAAACATGTCCATCACAGTTACGTGTTGCATAACGCTAGAGATACATTCTGAGAAATGCATCATTGGGTGACTTTGTCCTTGTGCAGACTTGATAAAGTGTACTTACACAAACCTAGATGGTATAGCCTACCACACACCTAGGCTATAGGGTGTAGCCTATTGCTCCTAGGCCACATACCTGTACAACATGGGACTGTGCTGACTACTGTAGGGAGACGTAACACAATGGAAGTATGTGTGTACCTACACATATCTACACACGGAAAAGGTATGGTAAAATACAGCATTATAATTTGATGGGACCACCACTGTTGACTGAAAGGTCATTATGCAGTGCATGACTGTATTTATACATCTCGATACACCAGTGAACTTTCCTTCGGGACTTGTCTTAGGAAGACATACTCCCTACTGTGCCACCCATCATCCATATGTAAGGTTTCACTTATGCACTGAGTATAATTTCACTCAAATCCCTCTGAGTTGACCAGCGCCACACTGCTCCTGTCAGAGCAGCATTTCAGCTCCTGGGCTGCCATCCAGAGCCTTACTTCAAACACAGCGGAGAGTCAGCTTTGTAGATATAATGCTAAGCAGATGGGGAAGGCACTGTGACTCAAGACTTCTGACATCAGGGGACTTTGATAAACTTACTGAATCTGTCCTCTTTGGATCTCATGCACACACTCAAGGGTGTTGCTCAAACCCATGTGGGACACACTCAATATTATCTAGGTTCTTCTAGGCAACCCTGGTAGAAAAAGGCAGAGATACAGACATAGCTGGACTTGTTTTTGTTTTAGGAACCATAGAGATTTTGTGCCTGGTCATACGTTAAATGACATCTAGGAATTCTAAGGCCAAAACCTGGATTTCCATTTCCTTTAAGGACTCTTCGTTTGTGTGTGTTCGTTTTTGCATGCAAATTTACTGTCTACTTTACTTCTACTCCCATGATTTGCCACCTTGAGATATGCTCTAATGACCTCAAAGGCCACTGGTGCCAAGATCTCATATCCATTCATTTGTGTAATACCTATTAAGTGTCTACTATGGATAAAATACTATTGTAGGAATGTTGGCAAATGTAAACATGAATTTTCAAAAAACTATGGTTTACAATTTAAAAAAAAATTACAGCTTTCTAGTCTCATGGAGGCTTTATTTTCTATTTAGGGGAAAAAAAGCAGTTTCATAGTTACAAATAATCATAATAAAGAGGGATAGGGGATGAATGCTAGAGACACAGTATATACTTCATAAATTTCCATCTGATTAAGCTACCCCTGACGGAAGATATCATCCTTAGTTCAAATCTTCCTCTATCCATGCCTGTTGATTACCTTTAATATCCTAAGACATATACACTAATCACATAGATAAAATTGTCCTTCTATGCCTCATTGGTTTGCAAATATGGTCTGCATTTATCCAATTCCACCAATTGTAGAATTTTACCATTCTCTCTGACATATTTAAAATGTCAGCTAAATGTTATTTTAAAAAGAAAAGAAGAATGTGACCTCTCATGGGGAACACAAACATACAATGATGGACTACTGGGTTCATCAATATCCTTCATTCAGGATAAGAGAATAACATCTTACATTTACTTGATGTATACAGGTGGTATTTCATACGTGTGTGCTCTCTTTCTTCTAGTTACATGTGTAGTTAATGTCAACTACCCACTTAATCCTAGGTTTTCCTGAGCACAATATGGAGCAAAAATCACGTCACAGTGTCCACTATATGAGAAAAAAAAAAAAAAAAAAAGCTACTACCCTCAGCAGGCTGAGGAAAAAAAAAATAAAGAAAATGATGAAATACTTTGTAAGCATAAAAATCAACACACTGATCTTGTACCCTAACTGTTTCAGCAGGAGGCATCATGGTTCCGCTGAGTTCTCTGGCTCCTGAGGGCACCATTACACTGTGTTCCATGTGTGTGTCCTGCTCCCGCATAACATGTTCAATCACATCCCCTACAGTCCTATGCCAGGGCACATGGGGACACAGCTGCCCACACACCCTCCCCTGCCTGTAACAGTTCATGGGGATGCAGAGGGATACCCTGGGAACAGCGAGGAAGGCGGGAGAACCCTTTGAGGTGCCAATCAGCTGAACCTCACTTAAGGACAGCGGGGTCATGACCAGATCATCCTCCTAGCCTATCAGGCCTCCACCTTCATTTAGAAAGGCTGGCACAAATACAAAGTTAATTATGCTTCCCCAATATGTTTCTGTGGTTGCTGATTTGGACTCAGGCATAGAAGATATTTTTCAGAAGCAGTTTTCATCTTTAACACTTCCTTCAGTTTAGGAAAATAACACTGAATTTGCACAGTCCAATGCTGATCTTCTTGAAGTTTGGTGAGCTAAGCAAGATGGTTTTAAACAAATTAAAGAACAAATGAATCAGTCAAGGAAACAATGATTCTAAATGTTTGTAAATCACTTCCTTTTCCTACAATATTTCTAATAAGAAAGCTTATAACATACATCTTCCAGGGACCTGGGAATCCAGCTCAAGCTTAAATGCTCAAAATAGCCACTTGAAGAGCTCTACCCTTAACTTCGTATTTCAATTTGATATTATATCTGATTGACGTTTAGTAGGCCTGGTAAGTGGGCTGAATGTACATCTACGATTTTCTGAATTTCTTCCAAATGATTTAATGCTTTGTTACATGCTGATTCTCCTCACCCAAGAGCCGTCTAAAGTCACTCCACCATGGTCCATGTTGTCACTACACCTTCCTCCCGTGAGCTCTCAGACACTGACATGTCCCTTCCCTGAGTGTGCCCTGGTACTCCTCAAACTACCCCACACCAAGTATTTTTGCTCTTTCCTCCTCTGGGCCCTCTAGTGTCTTCTTTTCCCAGTCCAGGGTCCACCTCCAAAGACTCTCCAGCCTTGACTCCCTGGGAGGTCATTTTAGGACCTTGGGTCACTCACTCTCACCTACATCCTGCCACCATCACAGCCATCCATCCTCTGCTTTCTCTTCTCTATTCCCAGGTGACTGACATTTCCAACAAGGCTAATTGTTTTCACTGAAATCTTAAGTGGAAAGACCCCCCTCTTGGTTGATAATTCATTTGTTTAATTCTACAAATATTTATTGAATATCTACCACTTGTTCTACATGCTTAAAAACTAAGATCCCTGCCTCCTGGAGTTTACATAAGAAGCAAGAACATATACCAGTGTGAGAGGCTGTTAAGAGACAGGGAGAGAAAAAAAGAAATCAGAGCAAGGTAGAGAGGACCAGCAAGGCCAAAGAGGGGTGGAGCTGTAGCAGTCAGCAACAGCCTCATTGCAAAGGTCAGATTTGGAAAAAGGTTTGCAGGGGGCAAGAGATAGCCAGGTAAAGAATTTCCAGGGACAGGATAGGTCCCAAGCCTCGCGGGGGAGACAGGAGCCCAAAGAGGCCAGTGTGGCTGCAGACAGACAGCGGATGGTGAGAGAGGCGGGCTGGGAGAAGGCCTGGGAGTAAATGGGAAACAAGATCACAGGGACCCTTGGGCCACTGTAAGGCCTTTGCTGGGGGATTCTGAACACAGGAATGATATCCTCTGACTCACTTTTTAAACAGTCTCTCTAGCTACACTGTTAGGACAGACTGGAAGAGGGCAAGGAGAGAACCCAGAAGACTTGAGAGGAGTCTCTCGCATTAATCCAGGTAAGAGGGACAGACAAAGGCTGTGGCGATGGTTCCAACAGGGGGAGAACAAGCTGGTGAGACTTGACTCCCCCTGCCACTCTCCATGGCCTGCTTTCCAAACCCTTACTCACCCAAGCTCCCCCTGCCCCAGGCCAGCCTGACATTAGCTCCCTCAGCACAATCTGCCGCTACACTTCTCAATACGCAATGCTCTCCTTCCATTTGGAGCTGGCAGTATTTCTCCTTCCTCAACTCCTCCTCTAAAAGACCCTCAATTCCCTCCCCAGAGACCCCATGCGGAACCCTGCTTCAAAACTCAGACCACATTATCCTATATCTTCGATCTCTTCTCCATGCCTGGGTTTCACCCTTCTCAGCTCATTCTTGCTTTCCCAATCCTGGTAAAACCTCCCGCAGACCTTGTCACTGCTCTGAGCCACTCTGATTTCTTCTTTCTGTTTCCAGCTTACTCTAACCTGTGTCTCCCCACTCACTTCTTTACCCCTTCCTGGTCACCAACTCCACAGCCCTTTCCTGGGACCTCCCTAGCCATGGAGAGACTGTCTGCCCTCTCTGCCTGCCTTCTTCCAACTCTTCTTCTCCATTTCCTGGTTCTTATCCTAACTTCTGTCTCTGCTTCCCCTGCTTTTTCCTAAATGAAGGCACTAGCCCAGGCTTCAGTCCGTCATGCTCTCGGCCCCTTTCATGCCTGTCTCACTTTTCTGTGGATGAGTCCAGATCTTCCTTTTTAAACACTTCTCTCAGGGCTGGACTTCTGCGTTTCCAGCCACTTCAAGAGCTGACAGCACTTGAGTGTTCCACTAAACTCTCAAATAATACTGCCACAGTAGATTCCCATGGGACTAGATTTATGTCATGACACTGGTCCTAGTCCCCTGCTTATTAAGACATACCTTTATCTCCTCTCCTAAGTTATGAGCATTTTGAAAGCAAGGATCCTAGCTTATCTTTATGATTCCAAGCACCTCACAAAGCTGAGTCCTTTCACAAGTCGTTTAAGAATAAACATAAGTTAAATAAATATACCCTTAAGCTCAGCTGATCAGTGCTACCTGAAAAGTAAGCTTTTCTTTTTAAGGACTATGTGATGATAATTAAAAAAAAAAATCAATCACTATTTCCTGTAAAAGGCATTACTTGAACTAGAATTAAAATTCTCATATCCTCAAGGTTTAGATGTGTCTATTCAGAATTTTTTTTTTTTTTTTTTTGAGACGGACTTTCACTCTCATTGCTTAGGCTGGGGTTGCAGTGGCACAATCTTGGCTCACTGTAACCTCCGCCTCCCGGGTTCAAGTGTCCTGCCTCATCCTCCCAAGTAGCTGGGATTACAGGCGCCCGCCACTACGCCCAGATAATTTTTGTATTTTTGGTAGAGACAGGGTTTCACCATGTTGGCCAGGCTGGTCTCAAACTCCTGACCTCAGGTAATCTGCCCGCCTCAGCCTCCCAAAGTGCTAGGATTACAGGCGTGAGCCACTGCACCCGGCCCAGAAATATAATTTATCCAGATTTTTCAGTTAGGTCTAAGCCTAGACATGAACTAATATCCCACAAACCACAATGTTCACAGAAAGTTACACTGTTGGCCACTGAATTCTTACTGATGAGAATTTTGAGGAATTTATGAAAAGAACACTTTTCAATAAAAAGCCAAAAACAAAGTATTGAGGGTTTTTTTCTTTTGGCTCTATATAAGAAAAGAGTGAGGACAAAACATCGTGAAAAATAAGTTTTTTTCTTTTCAAAAGGACAGATGGGAAATGAGATCAGGGACTTCCAGGCCTTTGTAAGCAGCAGGCACAGCTTCCTCTCCATGTCAGTGATTTGTAGATCATTATCAGTCTCATGTAAGTAGAAGAGGAAAAGAACCAGAGGAAAAATAAAACTCAGGATGTTATTGAAAGGGAAATAGAGTAACCACATTTTTCTGTACAATGCTGAGAACACTCTAGGATTCTCCTGTATTCAAACATTTCCAAAAAGTAAAATTTCTAGGATTGTCAATTTTGAATAATCTTTGACCTGCACTCCTATCCTTTCTTTTCAATTCTCTTGCTAAGACATTTATATAGGTAATACACCATGAATATCAGTGGGAAAAGCACCTAAGGACTCACTCCTCAACCTGATTTTGCAAACAGTTCTAAGGATGACAACAGTTTCCCACCCATAAATATAGCACAGAAATCCTATAACGAAATCCTATGCTTTTTAAAAATCATTATTTTAAATACATAAAACACAAAATATACCATCTTAACCATTTTTAAGTGTACAGTTCAATGGCATTAAGTACATTCTCATTTTTCAACCATCACCACCATCCATCTCCAAAACTCTTTTCATCTTTCCAACTGCGTCTCTGTTCCCATTGAACAATAACTCCCCATTGCTCCCCACCTCCATCCCTAGTAACCAGCATTCTACTTTCTGCCTCTAATGAATTTGATTCTTTAGGGACCTTACATAGGTGGAATTGAACAGTATTTGTCCTTCTGTCACTGGCTTATCCACTGAGCATAACCTCCTCAGGGTCCATCCATATTGTAACATGGGACAGGAGTTTCTTCCCTTTTCAGGCTGAATAATATTCCATTTTTTGTAAACACCACATTTTCTTTCTCCATTTATCCCTCGATGGACACTTGGGTTGCTTCCCGCTTTCGGCTACTGTAAATAATGCTGATCTCAATAGGGGTGAACAAATCTCTCTTTGAGTCCCTGCTTCCAAGTCTTTGGGGCATATATCCAGAAGTGGTATACAACATGCTTTGAGACAGGGTTTCCCTCTGTCACCCAGGCTGGACCGCAGCAGCACAATCATGGCTCACTGCAGCCTCAACCTGTTGGGCTCAAGTGATCCTCCCACCTCAGCCTCCCAAGTCGCTGGGACCACAGGTTTGCGCCACCATGCCCGGCTAATTTTTTCTTTTTTTCCAGAGACAACTGAGTATTTATTTTTGTACCTTTCTTCCTATGTGTATTTCAAGTCTTCAAAACAAGGCCCCAGGAACCTCCAGACTCAATTATGCCCCTGGGCTTGGTCCACTGTTACAGGAGTCTTACAGAGCCTTGTACATAGCTTGAGTTACTCATTCACAATAATAAACCATAAGACAAAAGATGCAACTAAGCAGAACTCCCTCCTCCATTCCTCCATGGCAGATGCTGATTTCAGATGAGGGGGCAGCCAATGTAGAAAACATTGGAATTTTTCCTTGGAAATGACTGTGATGAGAGGTGTCTGCCATGAACATCACCTACTGTCTTTTCTTCGACCCTTCCTTTCCAGTTTTTGAAGATTAAGCAGGAAATAATCTTATCTGAAGATACTTGATAATAATTCCAAAAAAACCCAAAACACACGCTTCCACTACACTGTGCTTTCAGATATTCTGGGTTGGGTTCAGCTGGTGGATGAGCTGATTGATGTGTTCACCCCAGGTGAGGCCATCTCCTTGAGGAAGCCCACTCTATTCTTGGTAGCATGATGGGCCACCGAGAGGTGGAAAGGGTGCAAGACCCATGAGATCTCCTGGAAATACTTCCCTGGGAAGGCAATTTCATGTATGAGGTCTCCCAGGCAAATGACACCAAACTCCCCCAGGTGCTCCTCAATTGCTGTGCTGTCTGTCAGAGGGATGGTCTCATTCTTGACCTTGGCTTGTTCATGTTTCAAAATGAGTTCTTGGACAGACTTTAGATTGGAAATCCCCAGTTCACATAAGGTTCTACTATAAGCAACATTTTAGGCTCTTTGGGGTGACTTTTACAAAGATACCACTGAAAATTTTCTTCAGGCAAAGTCTTGCAATGGTTCTCTGCACCAGTGAAGTCACACCATTAATTCTTTGGATGCGTAAAACAAAGGCCAAGGAATGTTTATCTGGCAATTCCAAGGCATGAGGTTTCACTTCTAGTTGTCTGAGATGCAGCTTGTCGTGTTTCTGCCACGAGGAATCATATAGGAATGATTCCAGTCGCTTAAACCTGAGCTGTTTTCCTTTCTTCTGCTCCTTCTTTGCTAAAAGTGCCTGCTTTGCCTGAGTGGCTTTGAGGGCTTGATAAGCCTTCCTCTTTTTCAGATTTTCTAGAACCAAAGGGATTTTTCTTTGCTCTTGCTCTGCCATCTTTCTAGTATCTAATATTTTTTAAATTTATTTTTTGTAGAGACGAGGTCTTGCTGTGCTGTCCAGGGTGGTCTTGAACTTCTAGGCTTAAGCAATCCTCCCACCTTGGTCACCCAAAGTGCTGGGGTTACAGGCGTGAGCCAACGAACCCGGCCCAACACGCTCTTTTTATCCTTCCATACAAGCTCTGTCCTCTGTTTGTTTACACCAGACACCAAAGTCTAATTTTTATGAAATATGAATGGTAGCTTAAATTGTCTCCCAACATTCTTACTACTCACTACCTTTCTCATATACTGTCACTTTACATAGTCGCACAAGCATAAGTAAGCTGTGTAACAAGTCAGGATACAAGGAGCTTAAAAGCCAGATGAAGATGCCGTCGGTTAATCGCAGGGTTAACAATGTCCCCACCAACAGGACCATCTGGTAAAAAGACCTCCACTTGAAGAAGAATCGTCATTGGAAATCAATAGTCAGCTGCCACCCAAATCCCATGTCTTTGATGGAAAAGGCAGGCGTCCTGGGCTTGACTTTCAGTTAAACAGAGGCTCATCATGTCTTAAGCGACAAGTCAACTTATACAGCTTGACCTAAAACCTTTTAATCTAAAGGTCATTACCTCTGTCTAACTGCTTGTTAAAGTTTACCTCTAACTTTGCTCATGGAAAAAGTAAGTTCTCAGATTTACGCCAAATAAACTGGGTAAGACAACAAAACAATAAGAAAAATAAAGGTTTATTAATCACTAGGAAAAAATACTCCTCTCCAGTCCCTGTTTTACCTGCATTTTTTAATTTTAGAAATTACCTACTTCTGCCAAACCAAATCATTGATCCTGCAAATATTTTTACAAATCTAGTCGCTGGGACTATCACATGTTCCAAACAGTATTAATATTTACTTGATGAATCAAAGAAAATAACCTAATGCTTGTAAAAATTTTACTATTAGTAAGGTAAGCAATGGGTATTCAACCCTAGCACCTAGCAAGAAAGGGATTTTGTGCATGTGTAGGTGGGCAGGTGGGTGGGAGAACAGAGGCTCAAAGCCAGCCCTTCTCAGGACCACAGCACGGGGCGGGATGCCTGCGTGCAAGAAGCCTAAGAAGTAGGTCGTGAACAGCCAAGACCACATACTCAAGTGTTTATGTGCACGGTGCAGACAGGCAGTAGGAAAGGAATTGAGACAGTGGGGGGAAAAGTTTCTGTGGACTTAAATAGCTTCAGACAATATGGGATTTCAAGTGGTCTCTAAAGGGTAGGAAAGATCTAGAAGAGAAGATGCTGCTGGCAAGGAGAACCATGAAGCCAAAGCACAGATGGCAGAGATCCCCAAGCGACAGGATCTGATTCTGCAAAAAGAAGGGCCATCAGCTAGTGACGGCTGCAGGCCCCATGGCATTCCTGTCCCTGGCCATGGCAGATCACATGTACTTTACTTCATTAATATTCCCTTTTTTTTTTTGAGATGGAGTTTTCCTCTTGTCCCCCAGGCTGGAGTGCAATGGCGCGATCTTGGCTCACTGCAACCTCCACCTCCCAGGTTCAAGCGATTCTCTTGCCTCAGCCTCCCAAGTAGCTGGGATTATAGGTGCCCACCACCATGCCTGGCTAATTTTTGTATTTTTAGTAGAGACGGGGTTTTGCCATGTTGGCCAGGCTGGTCTCAAACACCTGACCTCAGGTGATCCACCTGCCTCGGACTCCCAATGTGCTGGGATTACAGGTGTGAGCCACCGTGCCCAGCCTACTTCATCAATAACCTGATGGCTGGGAACTATTATTTTGATTTTTTGTTTGTTTTGAGATGGAGTCTCACTCTGTCGCCCAGGCTGGAATGCAGTGGCACGATCTCAGCTTACTGCAACCTCTGTCTCCTGGTTTCAAGAGATTCTCCTGCCTCAGCCTCCCGAGTAGCTGGGATTACAGGCATGCACCACCATGCCTGGCTAATTTTTGTATTTTCTGGTAGAGATGGGGTTTCACCATATTGGCCAGGCTGGTCTCAAACTCCTGACCTTGTGATCTGCCCACCTCGGCCTCCCAAAGTGCTGGGATTACAGGCATGAGCCAGTGCGCCTGGCCTATTCTTTTGATTTTTAAAAATCCACGTTTACTTCATGTCTCTCTTCTTTGCTGCTGTTGTAGTAACTACTCTTCTGTCATCCTCAGGCAACTACATGCAACCCGCAAATCTTTTCTTGACACAACTCATTTTTAGAGAACATGTAGATGCCTTTAGGATCTGACCAGTAAAGGCTCAAGATCAACATGTGCCTACTTGAAAAATGTACACAAGCATCACCACTATCCATGCTTATATTTTAGTAAATTGTCATTTCAAATATATTTGGCAGAAATGGACACCAAGTTCTATTATTTTAATAGTTAACTTATACTGCTAAATTATTTAAGTGCAGTAAATCACCCCTCAGCATGCGTTTTGCTGCTGCCATTTCCTAACCAACTTGGTATTACTTTTCCATATGAAATAAAACACTTTCCCCAATCTAATTTGTTCCCTCTGCCTCTAATAATACAATAATTCTGCTCTTATTCTGCCTAAGAAAACACAGATAGAAAGAATCTGTGGCACTGTTAAGACCTTTCACTCATCCAGCTAATTAGACAGTTAATAACATCACTGAGACAATTTAACAAGAAAGCACAGAGTACATGGCTTTACCTGATAAGAAAGTGGGAGTCTATAAGAAAACAAATAATTGTACCCAAACTTCACTGGGGCCCATCACAATTCCTGTGATGAGGATTAAAGCTCCAATTCAAGCTCCTAAATCTCTAGGAAAACTTCTCCCCAAACAGAAAATAATATTTGCTCATCACCTTAGCCAACAAAATGCTAGTGAGTTCTTTGCCTTTCCTAGAATATTTGTGCCTGCTATCACCAGAGTAGTTAAAAGCAAAGGGGACACAGAAGTTTTCTCAAAGTTTAAACTGTCTGATTCTGCAACTGCTTAAACATCCAGATACCTGTTCCCCTGGGATAAAGATGACACTCAACTAACTGTATCTCGTTTCTTTGGTTTGTTTCTTAAGCAATTTTATCTCAGTCATACAAATAGAATTTTTCATTCTAGGTTGCAAACTCAAAAAAGTTGTTACTTTAATTAATACCAAGAAGAACACATACTTCATGTTGAGAGAAATTTGAGATAACCTTTAGCTTCCTCAGACAACACTACAGGAAAATCTTGTCAACATGCAGTACAATTTATAATCATTTGATTTTGCTTTTCATTTGTTGCCAAATCACAGGCAAAAGGCATCATTCAGAGGTTCTCATTTATTAGTCCGTTCCCATGCAGTTTAGTCATGAAATGAAGTATGCAAAGCATGGTATTGTTTGGCATGACCTCAACCCATTTACCTGTTACTTTGGTAGCAACACCACACGAATGGTCAATTTCATTCCCATGGGCATTCCTTTTATGCAGGACAGAGCTAAAGAATAATCATTTTGGGGCCCAGGTATCTCTAACAAGTTAGAAAGAGTGAACATTTGTGAAAATTCTCACCTCTGTTGTAAGCTGGAGTCGCTTAAATTTGGTGGGAAAAAACCTTCAAGGATCGTAATTTAACAATTTCTATTAACATGGAAGTTTCTAAAGACAAGTATGCACAGAGCTGTATACAGTTAAGTCATGTTCTGTGGGATGGGATTAGAAGGCGTGGGGAGGCTTTTCATGTCAATTATTTCAATATTTCCCTCTCATTTATCTTTTTGTACATGGATGTAACACTTTTGGAATCAAACAACAAAGAATCAGTGAAGCTTAAAAAAAAAAAGGCAGCTCGATTCACAAAAGACAGGGCTTAAATGGTAACAGCATCAGGTAGAGAAGTGTCCAACTAAGAGCATCAAAGGAGAGGAGAAAGAAGTGCCAGGATCAGGTCCCAGGAGAGCAAGGAAAGTAACCAGAACCTCCAAATGGACCAAGGTGGCTCGCTGCAAGGCATTTAACACCACCGGGTTTCCTGGAGGAAGAATGTCATTCTCATTCCTCAACAGCCTCACAGCTTCTTGTTAGTCTCTTAACCACAGGCCATAGCCTGAAAGAGCGGCACACAGCAGGAGCTGTGCTGAGTCCTCCACATTTCTTCCAAGGAACAGCACCCACATTACACTACAGAGGTAAACTTCAGGCCATTCTTGGCTAACCTTGAACGCTTTGCTGGGAGCCCACACAGAGTGCAGGGCCTCTGAAGGCAGGCTCCCAAATGCCATCCTAAAAAAAGGCATGACGAAATCTCCCACTGCTCCCCAGCAAAGCCCATCATTAAGATTCTAAGGTACTTGGCCAAAAAATCTAAATCAAAACAAATCTCAAAAGACAGAAAGGCACTTGTGCCCACTAAATCAGCCCAGACAGAGTATAGCACTTTTATTCAAGATACACACACACACACACACACACACACACACACACATTTTGGCATACTTATAATTAATATGCAAAAATAATACCATTAAAAATTATCAACTCATGAAGGATGCTTGGAAGAATATAAAATAACTTTTCTTTCTTAAATAACATCTTATTTTCATCTTTTAAAAACCATAATTAGGCCGGGCACAGTGGCTCATGCCTATAATCCCAACATTTTGAGAGGCCAAGGCAGATAGATCACTTAAGGCCAGGAGTTTGGGACGACCCTGGCCACCGTGGCAAAACCCTGTCTCTAATACAAAGACAAAAATTAGCCAGGCATGGTGGCACACGCCTGTAATCCCAGTTACTTGAGAGGCTGAGGCAGGAGAAATGCTTGAACCCAGGAGGCGGAGGTTGCCGTTGAGCCAAGATGGCACCACTGCACTCAAGCCTGCGTGACAGAGCAAGACTGTGTCTCAAAAAAAATAATAATAATAATAATTAACTAACCAAACAATAAATCAATACATAGAAAAATACTGCTTGTTAAGATCAAACACGTGGTTCTACGGATAGAAACATAACGTTACTTACCTGAAAGTCATCGTAAGGGAAGAGCAGCATCTCCCGTAAACAGTCGTTCAGGATCTGAGTCTTCTTCTGGACGATGACATTTTCATAGTCGAGTGGCTCAATTAGCTTTGGCTTTGCCTGGAGGGCGAAAAGATAAGCAAGACATTCTCATACACAAATGCCATTTCTTAAGATAAAGAACTTAGTATGTTCTACTCTATGTTTTGTATTTTCTACAATTAGAGTATGCTAGTTTTGGTATCACAAAGAAACAGAAATAAGAGTTGTTTCCAAAGGGACAAAAAATGCTGGGTGGTGTCCTGCTACACAGAGTGATGCTTGTTCAGTTATTTAAGCACAAAGGAAGCTCTGCATTCTGGTGGAGCTTCCAGTCATTTCTCGGGTCATCCCTGACTAGCTATGTCCCCTTCCAAGCTTTAGGGTGTGCCAGAGTTGCCCTGGTTAGGTGTCCAGCCATGGCCTGGCAGTTGAGGCCAGATGCCCAGAACGGCTCCAGCCACGATACCATCCCTCCTTGGCCCAGGGCCTAAATGTATCCACAGGACTCATTATTTCAGACAAGGGGCTCCAAGACGCCCTTCTCTGAGTCTCAAAATATCCCTGCCTATCCCCAGATATCTATACTTAATATGTAATACCTAAAGGTAGAAAGATAATGAGCTGAGCCCAAACCAGCCAAGAGGCTGGGTCACAGCCAGGGGGGCAGGTACTACTTAAACCAGGGCTCATGGGTGAATCCGAGGGGATGGGGACGTCCATCCCTAGCATGCACTGAGCAGGAAAAAGAGGTAACGAGTAAGTAGGGAAGAAGAGAATATGGCTTTTCTAGCTATTTCCAAAGTTAGCTCTCTTGGTTAAAATCCCTTTATCTATCGCCAGTCACTGCCACCTTGTTTATGGCTCGCTTTCCACATGCGAGGCATTGACTGGGCTAGGTTAGGGATAAAAATACATATTCAACTAACTATACTACAGTATGCCAAATGCTAAAATAGGCATATAGAAGATGTTATCAGAAGTAACTAAGTCCAGGGCAGGCGTGGTGGCTCACACCCGTAATCTCAGCACTTTGAGGGCCGAGATGGGTGGGTCACCTGAGGTTAGGAGTTAGAGACCAGCCTGGCCAACACGATGAAACCCTGTCACTACAAAAAGTATAAAAATTAGCCAGGCGTGGTGGCATACGCTTGTAATCCCAGCTACTCGGGAGGCCGAGGCACGAGAATTACTTGAACTGGGGAGGCGGAGGTTGCAGTGAGCTGAGATCACACCATTGCACTCCAGCCTGGGTGACAGAGCAAGACTCCATCTCAAAAAACAAAAATTAAAAAAAAAGTAAGTCCATTATATCAATAGTTACTAGAAGATTATTTTTGAAACTATAATCATCTGATATATACAATCTCAATAAATGCTTTATATATTAAAATGACAATTTTTATATAAGAAGTATATTAAGGATATTTCGTATGTGGCATCCAAATTGGCAATTGTGACTGAGGCTTGCTATTTGTTTCCAAAACCTGTCTCCTTTCCAATACAGGTGGACCACATTTCCCAGCCTCCTTGTGTTTTGGTGCACCCATGTGACTGTCTTCTAACCAATTTTATTCGAGTGGAAAAGATGTGGCCACTGCCTCATCTGGCCCACAAAAGCCTTCCACGTGGCCCCTCCTCCTTCCCTCTGCAGCCACGCACACAGGATCCAACGCAGAACTGGGTGGCCTGAGGAAAGGATGGAGCCTAAGATGGAAAGAGTCTGGGTCCTGAATCCCCTTGTAGAAGACCGCCTGCTTAAACAGGCACTGAAATGCCCCAGGAGCAAGAACTGAAACACCTACTGTGTTCAGCTGCTGAGATTCTGGAGTTGCCTGAAGTAGCAGTCAACTTGCTTTGCCTATTGCACATATACATGCTCATATTTAACTCCAATTACTTGATTTAACAACACTCTACAAAGATGTTTTGACATGCTAAGAAAAAAAGCAATGACCAAACAAGTACACAATTATTATAATTAAGTAAAATATGTGCTATGTGGACAGAGACTAAAAATATGCAAAATCAAAAAAATTAAAGCTATAAAGTGTTGGTAACAGTAAACTGTATTTACATTCAAAAAAGGAAAAAAAAAAAACTTTATACAAATTATTTTTAAATAAGAATTGCCCAGAAAATTTTTTTCAAAATATTTTAATTAAAAAAAAAAAGATTTACTCTTTTATTTGTTTGTCATACTGCATAGAGTAACCAGTCAATAAATGCTTGCTGGCAAAATGAATGGATGTCGTGATTAATAACATTTTCCCTAGGAACCGTAACCATATTCCTAATAAAACCCAAATATGCACACAGCTTTCTAAAATTCCATTACAAAGAGGTCAGATGGACCAATACTGCAGACTGGGGCAGACTCCATGTTCTCCCTGGCTTATGTGGTGGCTGCCCCATAACCACAGGCCAGGGAGACTCTTTCATGACAGCCCCAGCTGCCTGCACAGGCACAGGCACAGGCACAGGCTGGGCAGGGCTGAATCCTCAGCTGGGTGCAGCCCCCTTGGCTCCACTCTCCCCAGGTAAGGCCCATGATTCTTCAGACTGCCAGAAGGCAGAGGTGCATTGTGAGCCCTGGACAGGGGGTTGGAGGGACACTGCTGAGAATGGGCTGTTCCCAGGTGCCAATGTTATTAGGTTTGGGGATTTTTTGGGCTTTGTTCCTACAGCAGGGCAGCCAGGAGGCTTTCTGGGAGAGACAAAGGGCACACCCTCCAGGAAGCTGCACTGGCATCCCTGCGGGCAGCCATCTAAAAAGCCCTGCTGCCACCCCTTCAGCAGCTTCCCCCCAGTGGGTGGCTCCCTGCCCACCAGCTCCAGCCCACGGCACCTCAGCAAACTTGGCCACCAGCCACCATTGCTGGGCCACAACCACACTCTCCAGCTAGGCCTGAATCTCTGCCTTGGGTGGGGGTGAGAGGCTCTTCCCAGTTTGTTCCTTCCTTGGGGATCTCTGTTCCCGAACTTACTATTCTTGTATTCTTAGAGCAGGAGTCGACAACTCTTTCTGTAAAGGACTTTGCCAGCCTTACAGTTTCTGTCACAACTGGTAAACTCTGCCATTGCGGCACAAAAGCAGCCACAGACAATAAGTAAACACATGGGCATGGCAGTGTTACAATAAAACTTTATTTATAAAAACAGGCAGCAGCCAGATTTTGCCCAAGGGCACAGCCTGCTTTAGAGTTATCTTTACCCCCTAATAGAGTTAATCCCCTTTCACCAATTTAGTAATTCTTTATATTAATTTTCCATGTTCAATTATTGATGTGTTTCCTGTCTCTGGACATATAAGATACAGATATGTTTACAACTCTTAACATATTTAATGATTTTTTTGCATCTATCTGATTAAACTTGGGTTGCTTAAAATGTTTGATAATAAAAATATTCATGGGTCAGTTTCATGTATTTAGGGCACCAAATAATACTTTAATTAGATGAATTTCTGTTTCCCCCCAAGGTGTATCTTGGAGGTATCTAATGAAAGGATGCAATGTTGTGGCTACTGTCTTCCTTTTGTGTGACAAAGTGTAACTTTCAAGGTGTTTTTACTGTCACAATTACCACTCAACAACTGAGGCTGGAAACTGAGGATCTCAAGTTAAGCTAATTGCTACAAGTGTCCCACCAAGTACCCAGCAGGACTGGATTGGGACAGGACACAGTCTTCTGTTAAACAGAACTCTTTCTTCTCCCATACTGGGCTGCCCTTTGAACAATGTGTGCTTAGCAATACTCAACCATAGTAAATGTGTGAAAGACAGTTTATAAGCCAACATTTCTGTTAAAGACTGGTCATGCAGTACCATGACCAGGAAAACTCATGGTACTGACTGAAAAATAAGAGAAATCTTATGGAGGATTAACATGAATCAAGGACTATAAAAATTTTCAACTTGTACAAACCCTACCTCAGGTCACTTAATGAAAGAACTCCTAGTGACCTCATAGGGCAGAGGTCTTCAGCAGCTGCTGGAAGCACTTCCGGGACACATGACTGACTCCAGGGAAAAGGGATCAACTGGGAGTGGCTCACCTGCTGCCTAAGTTAAGAACAAGGCAAAAAGCTCTTGCTTCAAATACAAATACTGGGCACAATGCCTCCCTTCTACAGGTGTCCTTTGACGGGGGAAAGAAAGAAACAATCAGAGGAGAATGGGTGGAGAACAGAGACTGGTGAGGGAGACAGGGAAAAGGGAGCAGAAGGAGATGCAGGGGAGGAAAACGAAAAGAGAGGCAGGGATGGAGCCACCCTGGGGAGGAAACTGAAGACAGAAATGGCAGAAGAGAGGGGCTTGGGAGACTTGGAGGTGGATCTGTGGGAAGTCACACCACTGTATCTACCAAATTGTGGGTTAAGAGGATAATTGCCTATTTTCAACTCTTTTTTAAACTGTGATTCACTGGTGACAGCTGTTCACTGTTCTTCAGCCCCGCTAAGCTTTTCCAGGTGCTGGTGGGGCATGGAGGCGGGGACAGCCCACTAGGGTAGGGAACTGATTGGCCTGAGACATGATTAGTGACAAGAACATCACGCTAACAGCAAAATGACATAGGCTAATTACCAGACTGCCGGTCCCCACTATTATTTGCAAGAACGAGGCCTGGCACAGATCTGGCACACAGCCGTGGTTTTAAAGCTATCGCAACATGCTCAAATTCAATTCTTCCCTTGGTGACAGACTTCCGAGGGAGAAGTTCTTAATTTTCTATCTTCAAAAGAAAACCAGAATTACCCAAATTCTGGTTGTTGGTGGAGCTGCTCCGGGGCCATCAGCACCATCATGTTTGAAACCCTGAGAATTCATGAGTTTGAATTGTGAATATTTCAGGATACTATTTTTCCCTAAGCATGGTGAGGCCTGGCTGACTCCCAAGCCTATGACATTCAGAACATACACACTGGGTGACTGCTGCTTTTATAGTGTATAAAAATCTAACTTGGTCTATGTACAAGTCCTTCAGCTTTCCCCGTCACGTAGAGGCTCAAGTCCTTATCTGTGAACATTCATTCCTCAGGCTTCCTGTGAAATCAGAAAGGGAGAGGGCGTACTTTCAGTCCACAAATAGTCCATAACGGTGGTTCTGAAAGTGATTTCCCGTGAAATCAGAAAGGGAGAGGTAGTACCTTCAGTTCACAAATAGTCCACAACAGTGGTTCTGAAAGTGGGTTCCCAGGAACTGGTGATTCAGCGTCGCCTGGGAACTGGTTACAAACGTAAATTCTGAGGCCCCAGTCCAGAGCCAAGTCAGGAGCTCCAGGAGCAGGGACCAACTACCTATACTTGAACATGCTCTCCAGGGGATTCTGGAAAAACCCTGATCAATCATGATGCCCCAGGAACTACATTAGAATTTTCAGTTTCAGGGAGGAAGAAGAAACAAGGCCGGTACTGAGCCTTCTCAAGGTTACAGACCCCTTTGAGAGCCTGGATCTTCTCCCCCTGAAAATTGTATACATTCTTTGCTTTCTATGATTGTATACACAGCTTTGAGGGGAGGGCTGTAATTCCCTGGAGAGTGGTCATGTGGAACTGAGTTGAAGCAGCCCTGGGCTAGTGGAAGAGCCAGGCCTGTAAACATGTAGCTCAACGTAGTGAGAGGTACTGGCAGAAGTTAAATGCAGAGCTAAGGTCAAGCCCATTGCCCTCCATGGGCTGTTAAGTTTCTTCACTTTACTAAGGAAGGGATGCTTGGAGAGAGCAAAGAAGAATGAGAATTCTTCAAGTGGGCAAAAGTTTGAACTCCCTACCAACAACAGAGCCCCCACTTAGCTAGGCAGATGCAAGGTTTCCAGTCTCATGGTAAGCCCGGGGGCCCGCCCAGCAAAGAGGCAATGTTGCGTCCACTGTTTCTGACACGAGCCAGCTCCAGTCCCTCCCTCTACAGGGATAATGTGCCCCTCCCACCTCTACACCTGTCACAGTCCTGCAGCCCCTTGGGTGACGGTCTACAAAGAACGCAAATGTGGCAATGCAGCAAAAAAGTTAAAGCCAAGCTGCTCTAGCCCCAGGCAGGCATATAGCACTTCGCATGTAACTGGGGGGCCACCTCCCTCCTCCCCACAAAGGTGGCCTTTGGCGCCTTGCTGCCACATCCTTACTTAGCAGCAGTCCTGGGATGCCTCTCATGACAGTCCTCGGCTTGCTGTGACCTGCAAACACTCAGCTCCACTATCAGTGCCTCAGGGCAGGGCTGAGTCTTGTTATCTTTGCCACCCTCAGCATCCCACTCAGGCCCCAGGGACACGTCCTGTGGGGCTAAAAGAGCTTGCCAGTGGTTCCCATACAGCTCCATTGTTGCTGGGCACCTTGGCTTAGGAAGATTTCCAGGAACGTGCCCACTGTGTCCACCCAATGTCATGACACAGAAGATGGGACGCCATGGCACAATTCAGACATGTTCTAAGGTATGTGGCCCCAGGACTACTTGGCGGTATGTAAGATTAGTCATTGCACAAACTGAGAATGCCCCCAAACTGCATTGCTCATGTACAAAAGAAACCTCACAGAAGCTTTTCCAATCCTAAAAATTCCTGTGACATTCCCAGATGTTGTGGAACTAGAAGAAACTTTTCTAAACTCTCAATAATAAAATACAAATTTGGACTAATCATGCCAAGGGAAACACTGATCTGTTCTTGCAATGAAGAATGATAATACAAAATCATGATCATATGAAGAGGCAATAAAAGAATATGAAGCCCTAAAACTATAGGGAAGTAGTATGGAGGTGTATCTAGAGGTTCATTGATAAAAATGTGTTGTTTCCCTGGATTTCTGGTGTTTATGGCTTGTGTTAGCTTTTTAAAATTTCTTTCTTTTTAAATTCTAAATAAATGTTCACCTCCGTGCCTTATTTTGTTTTCAAATGTTGAATTATTTTTCTTAAAGAAAGCCCCTAAAATTCTGTAAGCTTTGTCCCTCACAAAACCTGACTCTGCCCTGATAGGGTCGTGTGTCCACACGAATGCTGACGAGGATGGCAGCATGGTTAGGAAAGCCGAGCTGTGCAGTCATGTGAGGCTGCTGCTGGACTCAACTGAGTCAATGCATGGAAAAGGCAAAGCCTGGCAAACTGTAAACACATATTATAATAAATAGAGCTATTCATATTATTAAATATGTTGCTTGCATGATAGGTTTTAAAAAAAAAAAAAAGAAAAAAAAACTTTCCTTGACCTCCAGAAACATACAAAATAAAACAGGCAATAATGACAGGGACATGCACAAAGGAAGACAAATAATGACCCAATATAGAGAAAACTGCATCCAGACACTGAAATTCAGGGGCTGAACCCAAAGGAAACAGACAGCTGCTTATACCGTAGATGGGACTGAGTATTGCTGTGGTGTGTGCCAGGGAAGACGAAGAATAACCACAGCTGGGGGTGGGCGATAGAGAAAAGCACTTCTGACCCCCTCCCATTAGGGCAGCTCCATGACAGCAGCAGGGTCTTGGATTGTGAAGAAGAGAGCAGGCAGGCAGGACACCCCATGGGACACTGCTCACAGAGGGTTATGTGGCATGATCAGAGTGGGTGGGGAGAAAGAGCTCCTCATCTCAAGGGACAACATGGACACAGGTGAGCCACTGATACCGAGGCCCCGCCAGTCCCCATCTACTGAGCATGGCAGCGGGCAGCATGGCGCGCCTCTAGCAATCACACTTCCCTACACCTCCCATGGGGGCCAGAAAGCAGGACCCCAAAAGGCCCCACCATGATCCCCCCACCCTTCAATCTCTTGGAACTCCCTCCCTCCCACAGCATTTGCTGCTTAGGGTCTGGCGGCCCAACATCATGCAAATTGAAATTCCAGATCAAAAGGCAATCAGAAGCAGGAAATGTTCTTAGTGCCAGGAAAATGAGATTCCTCTGGATCCAGCAGACCTGCACAATGTTCGCCCACAAACTGAGTTCAGTTCTGGCCAAACATGTACAAAACCTCGAAAACCATGGGAAGAGCTAAGCTCCAAAGAGCACAGTAATTTCACTGCTCTTGCCTCGGATGTGATAGCTTCAAATGAACTTTCCAGTCATTTCTTGCCCTTGTGTCTCTGGTGATTAAATGTTAAGAAGAGCTGAAATCCCAAATGCCACTTCTTGAAATAGCAAACTAAATGGCAACTCTTGGAGCTATTTTAAGAAATGAGAAATTCGTCATTTCTGCTTATAAAGAATTTAGGACTTCCTTGATTTATCTGCATGGCTATAAAAGCTACTTGATAGGCTGAGATAAAGTTGGTCCACTTTCAAAGCGCTTCTCAATGTTGCCAACAGGACACCAGTACTGTTGCTGGGGATAGGAAAAAGGAGATGGCAGCTTGCAACAAAAAGGGGCTTCTGAAGCCACGTGCTCACAAGTGTGGGACACACAAGCCTTCCTGCACTCCTATCATGCACGTGACTCTCGCTACGTAGCCCCACCAGGAATTTCTTGAAGTTGTCAAGTTTGCAGGAAGGATCCTCATTTTCCTATAAGTAGGGTGGGCACAGGAAAATAACAGCGGCCTCCCTTCCTTGTGTACACATGTGATTAGCAGTATGAGTTCCCTCTCTCCACAGGTATTTACTGAGCTGGTTCACATGCACTGTGCCAGAGACATCAAGATAAAAAGAACACGGCCCTGCCCCAGGGAGCTGGCAGTCAGAGGGAAGGCACATGTGTGAACAATCAGCAGAATGAATGACAGCAGCAGGGACCAGGAGTGGCATCTGGCCCACTAGAAGGAACCCAACCTTTGCCCAGCTAGATTATAAGCTCCATGAGGGCAAGACAGCCCTATTGTATTTGCTGCTTTCTCCAGCACCTAGAACAGCACCCAGCATAGCAGAAGCACTCAATAACTGTGTGTTGGATGAGTGAGGGACCCCAATTATGTGGGGTGCTTCTTAAAGGAGGTTCCTGGAGCTGATCAATGAGTTGAACAAGCCAGCCAGGATTCAGGGCAGATTGAGGATTCCCTGCAGAGAAAATTGAGACACCAGGGAGCATGTGCATGGATGGAAGTAGATTTTGTAAGGCCTGAAACATGCACAATTACAGTGAGGTCAAAAAATACAAACTAATAGATATAAAATTGCTGGAATCTCTTCCAGTGCCTTGAAAGGGATCCTGAAACTTAAGCTTCATGAGCTTCATGCTAAATTCTCCCTGAGCATGGTGAGTTCTGGAAGCAGCCAGGAGTTCAGAATAGCTGGATAAGGCTGCATAAAGGGGGCTTGGGGTCCCAGGCTCCACAGGTGCTCTAGCACCATTGGAAATCCAAGGTGATGGGGAAAACTATACTTAGGAGAAAGCCCTTCTGAAAAAGAGACTCCACACAGCTGCTACCTGAGGTGAGCAGCAGGCCTCCCAGATGGACGTGCTTGAGGAGCACCGGATGGGCCAGTGCCCTCCCATCCTGCTTCCTCTGCAAGGATGGATAACACTGGAGTCAGAGAGCAACACTCCTCACAAGAGCCCCCTGCTCCACCTTCACCCATACAGCCCTCAGTCTCTCCTCTGAAGTAAGCAAATATTGGAATAGTGTTCATTTGAGGGGGTACCAATGATTAGCTCACCTGGGGTGCCTACATGTGCCAAAGCCACCCCTGGACTATAGCCTGCAGGGAGAGATGAGGCCGGAGTGGCAGGTAGGGCCACAGTAAGAAGGGCCCTCAGGAAGGCCACAAACAGGAGGAGGGGTGGAGAGACACACAGGAAGGTCCCACGCCATCCTCCAGTGGAAGAAAGAAGCCCTCCATCAGCTTGTCACAGACATGCTCTTCTGTCCCTAACTCAGGACATTACAACTAGTAGATGGTGAAAATCAAGATAGAATCCCACTCTCATTCAGTAGTATATGTTCTTCTCCAGACTGCTCCTGAGTGTCTGTAGGGACAATGATCTAGAAGCTGTTTGGAAGCATGCTTTTTAAAAGGTACTACAGATTCAGTAATACAGCTTAAAAGCTTTTATTTAGCACTACAAGCTTGTGCAAACATCAGAACCTGTGATTATCCAGTCCAGTCTTCTCATTTTACACATTGGGAAACCCAACCCTAGGGACTGCCCTGGGGTCCCAGGAGGAACCTCCTGAGCCCTGGCCCAGGATCTTGTCTCAGCCCGTACTAAAACGATGCCTACATTTTAATTTTGCACTTTCATTGACAATGTGCATACACATGTAATCTAAATACTAGAGGAAAAAGGAAAACTTACCTAAACTTAGATTTAGAAATAAGCTCAAACCTGAGTGTTAAACTACAGCAGTTAATGCTTTGGAGAATATTTGGAAGAATGCATAAGAAACACCAAACTCCCAGACATCTAAATATATTTTTCATGCTCCAGTGTGGTGTTATCCTAAGAACAGACTAACACCAACAATTAGACATTTGTGAATGCAGTTTTTTATATTATAAACACTAACACGATGTTGAATTTCCTTTTTATACAGCAGTTATACAGATTTGACAAATCTGACAAAATCTGATTTTGTCAAATCAATAGCACCTGAAATAGGTAAGAGGAACATGATAATGGAAATGGAAATAATAATAAAGACAGGAATAATAATACCAATTAAGGAAAACCTACACAACTCCTCGCCTGCCGTCGTCAGCTGTGCTCGCTGGGGATGCTGCTGAGAATGTCAATGAGGAGAGGAAGACAAGACGGGAATTTAGGAGACTTCCTCCATGTCCTGTGCCCGGGGAGTCACATGAGGAGAGAGCTAGGTGGAACGGGAGCAGCTCCCTTGCAAGTGCAGTGCTTCATGTGTCTTCTCCCTACCCTGATACCGGCCATGGGCCAACACCAGGCCAGGAAGGGTAAAAGGGGAACACAGCGAGAACCAGGTAGAGCGCCTGCAGTGGGCCCAGCATGTGTCTCTCACACACATACAGTAGTCTCGGCTTCTAATTCTGCCTATTTTTTCACATGTGGAAAGAAATAAAATCAAAAAAGAAAAAGATGTGCTATTACAGTTGTATAAATAATTCTATCTCAAATCTAGACTGTAGACTCTTCCAGGCATTTTTCTTCCTTTTTTAGCATTATGACCTAAAATTGTTAATTCTTCCTAGGTCAGTAAAAACAATTTTGGAACTCTGAAATGAAGAGGGCAAGTAATGAAGCTAAAAGGCTCTAAAAGCCAGATTTAGTCAGATTTCAAAACAATGTACTTTAAGCTACTTATTTTAAGATATTGGGGATAGGGAATGGAATATTCATAACACATAGTTCACAAAACAGTTTCTGCAGACTCCACTGCCAGGCAGGCAGTATAGAGACCAGTAAAGGGCAGGTGTTGGGAGTTAGAGTTTAAATCCTAGTCCCAAAAATGTGAACTACTGCCAGAGGTGGTGACAGGTATATGGGAGTTCATTACATCAGTACAATGGTTCTCTAAGTTTGGTCCTGGGCTAGCATCAGCATCACCTGAAACATGTTAGAAATACACATTCACCCCAGGCCCACGGAGTGAGAAGCTCTGAGGTTGGGGCCTCACAGTCTGTGTTAACAAGCCCTTCAGACGATTCTGGTGCCCATTCATGTTTGATAACCACTCTACTAGTCCATCTACTTTCGTGTATGTTTGAGAATTTCATATTAAAACGTATTCTCAAAAAATCCTGGCTTCACTGCCTATTGGCTATGTCACCTTTGGACAAGTTGCTTATTTAACCTTTTAATCTCCATACTTTAATCTAAAGATGGGAAAAGTAACAATTTCTGTTATCATTATCACCAGGTTATTGCCAGGGTTCTACATACAGTGCCTGGACAGTGCACGAATGCACCAAATGGTGGTGGTGGGGACCACACATAGTTATGTGTAGTTCACATTCAATAGAATTTTAGCCCCTACAACATACACACCTTGCTGGATTACACGCATATTGTCTCATTAAACCTCCCCACAACTATATGGTTGCATCATCACCATTTCACTGATGAGGAAACTGACACTTAGAGAATTAGATGGTTTACTGAAGGTCACACAGATGGGTTGATCCTTGGGTCTCCTGGCCCCAAGACCAGGACCTTCCCCATCACACATGAACAGTACGCATGATGGTATTTCAGATTTCTAGAACCAGAAGTGCCTCTCCAATGCCTCTGTTCCTCTTTATATGAGAAATGCTGAACATTGCTCCACACGAGGATGCTTCAGGCTCCACGTCGCCAGGGAGGAGGGAATTCTCCCCACTCTGAGATCTGCCAGGCACTGAACTAACCAGGCTTTACAATCTCACTACAGCAGAGATAAAAAGCAGAGTCCCTTCCAGGAAAATAATCATTTTCCACTTCAAAAATATTAAAAATCCTACTCCAAAATACTAAATCTTTCCAAAGAACCAGGTTTAAATGTCTTCACACATATTAATGCCATTAAGTAGTATGTAATTTATAATACCATCAAATATTTCAAGGCATGACCTTTGTAAGGAAAACTCACATTTAAATCATGCATTTTTTTCCTACAGAAAAAAAAAATCACAAATATTTTTCCTCATCCAGTGACTCGCCCCCAAAATGACAGCTTTTTAGTTTGAGGCTTTTAAGCTAAAGAATGTGTAAGTATAAACCTGCACTGATCGGTGTGGTAGCTACTAGCCACAGGTGACTACTGAGCACTTAAAATGTGACGATTCTAAATTCAGATGTGCTGTAGGCATAAAACAGACACCAAATGTCAATGACATCTTACGAATGAAATATAAAATACCTTTTTTTTAAATAAGAATTTAAAATTGAAATGGTAATATTTTGGAAATACTGGGTTAAAATTATATTACTAAAATTAGTTACACCTTTTTCTTTTTACTTTAACTTGGCTACTAGAAAATTTTAAATTTGACCAGGCGTGGTGGCTCATGCATGTAATCCCAGCACTTTGGGAAGCTGAGGCAGGGGTATCACTTGAGGCCAAGAGTTCGAGACCAGACTGGCCAACATGGTTCACCCCGTCTCTACTAAAAATACAAAAACCAGCCAGATGTGGTGGTGCACACCTGTAATCTCAGCTACTTAGGAGGCTGAGGCACGAGAATTGCTTGCACCCTGGAGGCGGGGGTTGCAGTGAGCCGAGATCACTCCACTGCACTGCAGCCTGGGTGACAGAGCAAGACTCTGTCTCAAAAAATAACAGAGCAGAAATTATATGTATGGCTCATGTTATATTTCTATTAGATAGCACTATTATAGACTGTAAGAAATTTTAATATACAGGTAATTTTTTAAACTTCATGGCAAAACAAAGGACAGTCCACTTCCTGAAATTTTTACTTGGGCAGACAATAGTTTGGAAAAGCATACCACATCAGAGATAAAAGTTAGGTCTAGTCTTGGTTCTATAAAGCAGCAGACCACATTCTCCAGTGTCTCCAATAGGCCCCTCCTTTCTGAACTCTTTCTCCCTGGAAGAGCCATCTTCTCTGCCTGTATCTTGTGGATCTCCACCCTTTCCAGATATAATCAATTTACTGAGAAGCTGTTGTGACAATGTCACATGGTGATTTTTCCAAGTGTACTATGACCATCAAATATGATGTTAGGGTTTCAGGTACGGCTGCCAGGAAGAAGAGGTACTGATAACAGAAAGGGGTGCTGGCTAAGAGAGGAACAGGAAGGGGTTTGACTCTGGGAACCTATGTCTGCACTTCTGTACACAAAAGTACTCTGATAAAATGTTCACCAACATTTTAATAGAGATCAAAATCACAGATGCACAGGAGAGTAAAGGGGCACAATAGCCACGTCCCATGTAAGTCCAGCATGTTCCTCTACTTGCATCCCTTTCTACTTTTTGGCAATTCAAGACATTTGGATATTGATGGCTAAACCTTTGCAGGTGGAAGGGAGGCAAATGAAAACGTGAATGATTTTCAGATCTAGTCTTTCCTGCAGGCCCTTTCGCAACCTTTTTTTGCCTATACATTCCCCAAAGAGTCACCAGGACCATGCTGAGAAGCGGGAGAAAGAAAAAAAAAAGAGCTTTGACATTATATCAGACATCGAATACAAAGAAAACAAAACCACTCGGGTGGTTCTTGTTGGGCAGAAGCCCCGTTAGTGAGGGAGACTGGAGTATAAACCTTCACTACAATAAAGCGGGATGCCTGACAACAAGCTGGAACAACGACGCCATGATGGGCTACAGGAGCACACAGTCTACTGGGAAATGTGGGGAGAGGGTTTGCAAGGGTTTCCCAAAGAAGCTGGCATGTGAACTGGGGCTTGAAGCATAAAATGATGATTTTATCCTTTTAACCAGGGCAGTGCATGCCAGGCAAAGGCAGAGCTGTGCCCAGGTGTGAAAGCACCCCAGGTGGAAGGAAGACTGGAAAGCTGGGGTCAGGGCACATTTTGGAGGCTGCAGGAGATGAGGTCAGCAGGCAAATTCAGGGTCAGCCTTTGTGAATCAAGGAAGCTATGCTTTGCGTTCTCTGCAAAGGAAGAGTCAGAGAAGACTTTTAAGCAGATAATTAACAACTATATCTGTTGGCTGTGTTGTTTTGTGTTTTGCTTTTGAGACAGAGTTTCACTCTGTTGCCCAGGCTGGAGTGCAGTAGCTCCACCATAGCTCACTGTAACCTTGAATTCCTGGGCTCAAGCAATCTTCCCGCCTCATCTTCCCAAATAGCTAGGACTACAGGTCTGCCCCAAGCTGGGTTAATTTTTTTATTTTTTATTTGTGTAAAGACAGGGTCTTGCTATGTTGCCCAGGCTGGTCTCAAACTCCTGGCCTTAAGCAATTCTCTCACCTCAGCCTCACAAAGTACCGGGATGACAGGCCTGAGCTACCACGCCCCACCCGTCTCTGTTTTAGAAAGAGTGGTCTGATAGCACAATGCAGCATGGCTCAGTGTAAGAAAAGACAGAACGTGGTAGTGGAACAGGCAGTCCAGAGAACCTTCAGAGATGGGGGATCTGGAGGGCAGCCACTGCTACTACCTCTGTCTGATATGCAATGCAGTCCTGGCTTAGAAGTGCCAAGTGAGCCTCCTGTGAGTGAGTGCTGGCTCTCTGCATCGCTTGCTGCTGCCTTTCCCTTGGCAGTGACAACTCTCCATATTAAGGAAATCCCAAAGCAGAATACGAGACTGGCTCCTCCCCGGGAACCTGGCAGAGCCCTTGAGACCCACTGGTAAGTGGCACTTACATTTGTCAGGAAAGGGAACGCTGAAAATTTCCAAAGCCTCAAAATGTCATTCTAAAAGAGACTTAGCACTAGTATATCACATTACAGGGTATTTCAAACTTCTGGAAAGTTGGGGGAAAACTATAATTTCCAATCCTTCTTGGTTCTAAAAGTATCCTCACAGTCATATGCTATCTGTAGGCTGGAGCTAGGCTGTCTTGTTATCTCCTGCCTAGAATGCCCTGCTAACTCCAAATTTTTGATTCATTTCCAGGTGGCCAACCCATTCCCTTGGTCTTACTTCTTACACTGGGTGGAATTCCAAGATCCCATTCTGTAGCTCCAACAACTCAAAACCCAAACAATTTTGAATAAACAAAGCTTAAAACCTGAAACTAAAACTCCACAATCCTAAACCTGACTCCATCCCAGGTTATTCTGAGATCAAAGATGCTAACACTAGAGCTTGAGTCCCAGACCTTAGAGATTATGTACGACAGGCTCCTCATTTTACAGGTAAGAAAACTGAAGCCCAGGAGGGTGGTGATCTGCAGAGATTGAGAGGCAGATGCAGGATCAAAATTAGGTCCCTGGTCTCTTGGCCCACCCGTGCCACCAGCCAGCTGGACATTGTTCTGCAGCCTCGTGTTTAGCTGCTACCTTTCCAAGAGTAGAGCACACCTGCACAAATGGCAGCCTCTGTAAACACTATGGGGACCACAGTGCCCATTTTACTAATTAGGGAATAAACATTTCAGGATTAACCTGGATCATCTATAAATTTTTTAAAAAGGAAAATAGGGGCCGGGCGCGGTGGCTCACGCCTGTAGTCCCAGCACTTTGGGAGGCCAAGGTGGGCGGATCACGAAATCAGGACATCGAGACCATCCTGGCTAACACGGTGAAACCCCATCTCTACTAAAAAATACAAAAAACTAGCCGGGTGTTGTGGTGGGTGCTTGTAGTCCCAGCTACTTGGGAGGCTGAGGCAGGAGAATGGCATGAACCCGGAAGGCGGACCTTGCAGTGAACCGAGATCGCACCACTGCACTCCAGCCTGGGTGACAGAGCGAGACTCCATCTCAAAAAGAAAGGAAAATAGGGAGGAAAACGGGATGCCTGCAGATTCTTAGACTCTCACCAGTCTATGCTCCTATGTAACTTTCTGGGAAGATGATAAAATGTAACACCCAAGATAAGAGTGACTCCTGACGGCAGCTCTATTTCATTCATATTTCTTAGTTCTTCACATGACCACCATTGTCTTCATGCTATTCAACCACTGTTGGTTATCACTTATAAACTGGCCTTTCTCTAACAATTTTCAAGTTTTTAAGAGCAGTGTGTTTTTCCTTTCTTGTTTATTGTTACAGTCTCAATGCTAAGCTCAAGTGAATACGTTCATTTTTGTTCATGAATCGTGCATATGTGTCCAGGTATGGATTTTAGAAAACCTGACCCAAAGTCTACAATCCTGGCTCTGCCACTTATTGAATGTGTAACTTTGAGCAAGAGGAAACTGTGCTCAGTTTCCTCGTCTGAAAAAGAATAGAGCCTGCCTCCTAGAGTTGTGAGGATTAATTGAAATAACATTTAGCAGGCATAAAACAGTTCCTGGCACAGAGCAGGGAACCATATAAGTAGTGGCTATTTTTATTATTACATGACTATTGGCATTACCTTGCTATAAAAAAACAGTCACCAGCCATTCTCCCTCCATGCTGATGGCAGATCATGAGAAAATAAATGCCGGAGCTGGGTGGATTTTAGTTTTTAGTTTTCTATACAAGCGATTTTAGTTTCTATACACTGCTACCCAGGAGGTAGCAGTGACTTGGCATGGCAATGAGGTAGGGAACAAACTGCTGAAGCCCCATGTCTGAGATCATTTTCCAGGCCTGGCATGGTAATTAGATTCACTCGGACCCTATCTAAGCATGCACTCCCCAAAGATTCCTTCCACCGACCGCTCCACAAAATAGGTGTGCAGCAGCAGGAGCCTCATGTAACACTGATCACATGAACAGTTAGGGGTTCGGCCTGCGCCTTCTGCAAAGCCTGGCTATGCCTATGTTAGCTGCTAAAAAATCTGAAGCACGTCCTTCCTGGAGCTGCTGATGGTTTAAGTGTTGTCTGCCTAAGTGTCTAGAAAGGACAGGGCGGCATTAACACTCACTGTGCCTGATAAAGATCACATGAAAGCATTCCAGAGGAATGAACCCCTTCCTTCCTCATGCCTTGCTGCCTGGGGAGAGGGAGGGTTTTGATCTTATTTGCCTCAATGCACTGTCCAATAAGATTGGCAAGTCTCCATTCTTGTAAATGTGGGTTGACTGAATTAATGAATAAACAAATGAAACACAAAGAGCATTGTAGTGAAGGTGTATGGCTTTGAATAAATAAAATTTCCTGTTCTTGTCACTAGGAATAGGTCACTATATAAAGCTTTTGGGAACATCTTTCTTTCACCATCCAATATTTTAAAAACAAGGAAACTACTTATTAAATATTATTGATGTAATATCATTATCTTTTTCTAAAGTTGTCTCTAAGGGTGCAGGAAAACCTATAGGGCAGAAAGGCTATTGTCTAAGCATAATTTAATTAACTCAATCACAGTCACCTAAAGTCTAATTGAAAATTAACAACATGATCATTGCCCATAAGCTTATACCTCACTTAGTCTGCTATTTCTAGAGCAAACAGAACTTCAGGGATAGGAAAGATTTTCTAGTCTCATTCCTCCTCTGTCTGAGAGACAGAAGAGTTCCCAGATAAGGTACTGGTGTGTCCAACCAGAAGCCAAGTCCTACTACTACTTTCTACATCAAGTACTCGCACTGCCTTCTCACAGAGTTATTTAGCTAGAGTAATCACGTGGTCATTCAAACATTAAAATAAGAACTAAAATTCTGCTTTTAACACTTGAGGATCCCAGGAAAATATGAGCCACCCAAAAGGTGTCTCTGAAAAGAAACTTTTATTTTCTTTGAGACAAGGTCTTACTCTGTCACCCAGCCTGGAGTCCAGTGGCGTGATCTCTGCTCACTGCAGCCTCAACTCTCCCAGGCTCAAGCAATCCTCCCACCTCAGCCTCTCGAGAAGCTGGGACTATAGGTGCATGCCACCTCGTCTGGCTAATTTTTGTATTTTTTGTAGAGACGGAGTTTCGCCATGTTGCCCAAACTGGTTTTGAACTCCTGAGATCAAGCAATGCCCACCTTGGCCTCCTAAACTGCTGGGATTACAGACTTGAGCCACAGTGCCCGCTGATCCTTTTCAAAAAATACCTTATGAGTACACCTAATAGGAAAATTCAGCTCTTCTCAATCTTCACATCCTTCAACCTTAAAAATTCCCAAAATAAGACCTGTGCTGCAGTCCCTACCAGCCTCACAAAAGGAACCCAATGAAAGGGCTGCATAAATGGCATATAACCCAGCCTTTTTTGGCACTTTGAAGCCACACCTTTTTCCTCTAAACTGTTGAGCAGTAACAATTAGAATAAATTGTTTCCAGGAATTACGTTAGAGTTTTGAAGGGGGGTGGCGGGTAGGGGGTAAAAATAGGTATTCAAATGTGAGCAGGGAAACTAACATGCAGACATCAAGAATATCCTGCCTGTTCCCCTGGTAGTGATTTCTAGCCCCCAAAGCCATTTCTCAGTGGGGTTGGCAGTAAGCCTGGATAGAAATGGGGAAGTTTCACCATGTGCTTCCTCCCTCACTTACTGTCACAATGCAGGGGACAAGACCCACCCATGTAGGTGCCTGTAAGTTGAACCTTGCAGCCTCTGAAACTTTATAATGTCCAAACACATATTCTCTTGGAAACACTAACTTTTAGCCGGTCGCAGTGGCTCACACCTGTAATCCCAGCACTTTGGGAGGCCAAAGCAGGTGGATCACCTGGGGTCAGGAGTTCGAAACCAGCCTGACCAATATGATGACACCACGTCTCTACTAAAAATACAAAAATTAGTCGGGCATGGTGGCATGCGCCTGTAATTACAGCTACGCAGGAGGCTGAGACAGGAGAATCGCTTGAACTCAGGAGGCGGAGGTTACAGTGAGCCGAGATCATGCCATTGTACTCCAGCCTGGGCAACAAGAGCAACTCTGTCTCAAAAAAAAAAAAAAAAAAAAAAAAAGAACAACTCCACCTCCAAAAAAAGAAAGAAAAAGAAATACTAACTTTCCCTAACACTGAACAAGCAGCCACTGCTAAGGGAAACCTTCAAAGCGGCCCTGGCAGAGGAGAAAAAACATTACCACCAATCATAAGGGCAGGAGGGAACTTATGATAGAAAGTTTCTAGAACAAATACTGGCTTGCCTACATGCTTTAAGATCTACTTACAGGTACATTTATGGTAGCCTCATTACTAATGCAAACAATTAGAAACAAATTAAATAACGATCCAATTATAGTACAGACCTAAAATGAGATAATATGCAGCCATTAAAATAATGGCATAGGCCAGGTGCAGTGGCTCACGCCTGTAATCACACTTTGGGAAGCCGAGGCGGGCGGATCTCCTGAGGTCAGGAGTTCAAGACTGGCCTGACCAACATGATGAAACCCTGTCCCTACTAAAAATACAAAAATTAGCTGGGCATGGTGGCGGGCACCTATAATCTTAGCTACTCGGGAGGCTTGAACCCAGGAGACGGAGGTTGCAGTGGGCCGAGATCGTACCACTGCACTGCAACCTGGATGACAGAGTAAGACTTTGTCTCAAAAAAAAAAAAAGGCATAAATCCACATATGGTGACAAAAGATGTTACTGACGTGTTCTGGGAGAAAATCAATCCAGAAATCTACCATAATAGTATATTCTCTAAACACATACACACACACACACACACACACACACACACACACACAAGTTATACTGTTCTAGGCACAGGAGAAAGTCTGGAAGTATATACACTGAATTATTAATAATGGTCACCACTGGAGAGTAAAAACAAGGACACTGTCTTTCCTACTGCTACACTATTTGCATTTCTTGTTTTTCCTACTTCTATACTACACGCATTAATTAATTTTATCCGTTTTAATTTATGTAATATTTTTCCCCAAGGACTGTTTCTGTACATAACTAAAAACAGCAAAACTTTATTTCAAAATGCTACCTCCTGAATAAAGCATGTTACCTACATTTAAACGTCTCTAGGTATAATGCATTCAAATGATAGACAGTCTTGGGGATTCTTACCAAGCCCGTGGGCCACTGACATTCGAACAATGAATAGTACTGCCACAAACAGGTTGCACAATGGTGTCTGCCTCCTTCTGAAAAATCATCTTGAGAAACAAGTTGCCTTTCCAGCAGTCTGTTGAACTCTTGTTTGCCAGTGGGCAGCAACAGCCACAGGTAAGAGATCTGCCCTCGGCAAAGGCCCTGCTGAAATATCCTTGCTTCCCTGATCTGACATTAGCTCTTCTTATCTTGTTTACCCTGCTGGAAGAAGAGAAACACTGCCCGATAAGAAAAAACTTCTGGTATCACTGTTGGCTTCCTCACTCCCTCACCCCTCTCTGCAGGTGCGCAGAGCTGAGATCACACTGCCACAAGCTGCTGGGCCCTGACAAGTGTTCCCACCAAATGCAGCTGTAGCCAGCACAGCTTTATCCATTGCAGTGGAAAAAGACCCCCAGAGGAACTGCCTGGAGTGAGATTTACCTAAACAAATAGCTAGGACATAAATGGCAAATTTCTTGAGCACTAGAAAGAGAAGTAAGTTTAAGAAGTCACTTGTGTGCTTAAAAAAAAAAAATTGCATAGCATCTTTCTACAGTGTATTCAGTCCTGTAGACAAATATTTCTACACAGCTGGAGAATCACTGACAGAAGATTTTTAAGAATATTCACAAGGGAACCTAAACCACACAACTTCCTCCAAGAAATCCTAAGTTACATCAGCTGCTTTAAGCAGTGAAATCCATACAGCCTGTGAGCAACCCAACAGAGAAGTGGGCTATTATATTGGCAGCAAGGAATCCAGAACAATGAATTACATTTCTAAACAATGTAGCAGAGGGTGAAGAAAAGAAACCTAAATCTCTAAGATGAAAATCTGCAGTGAAAAAGACCATGATATTTTACTAACTTTTCAGTTCAGGGTTAGCAATATAGTTTTGAAGGCAATAAAATATAGGGCAGTCTCACGAGTCACAAAGAAAGCAACTCAGTTCAAATCAAATCTGTTATAGGAAAGTTTAAGTTCAGATTCTTAGACATTAATTGAAAATTAAGTAAATTAGTAAGCAAACACTTCATGGTAACATCAACTGAACCTCCACGTTAAAGAAAAAAAAAAATCACTAAATAAAATCACTACATATCAGTTTAACAATCTCTTTAGCAGATAATTTGAAAGGCTCAATTGTCCCCCCTCTGCAGGGCATGTTGGTGGTTTTGTGCAGCTTGCTTAAAAAATTATGTGCCTTTATTGTACTGAAGAAATTCCGAGAGAAGCACAACCTACTCACTGATGATAACAACACAACCATTTTTCACATTCCTCCCCTCCAAAGTCCACCAAAGCACTTGGCTTTAGACAAATGCTGAGAGTTTAGCTGATGTTAAGAACAGAAACGTTTCTATCAGCTGGTTCACAGTTTAGGTTCTTCCCTACTTTATTCAAGGCAAACCTCCTGGTAAAATGAGTGAGAAGAACATATGTGATTTTATCCTTTCTAAACTATGTAATATTTCCAACAGTTATGTTCCTTAAAACCCCCAATGGGACCTGCCTCATTTTCTCAATAGCATAAATAACGTAGAAAAGGTTTTAATTTTGCAAAGCACATCTTTTTTCAACCCTATAGTTGCAATTAAAATATGCTTCCTGGGTTTACATTTGCAAACACTGCAGCTAGGTGGGACATAATTGTGAACAATACATAATTGTCCCATACAAAGAAACCTCCCAGAAACCATATTCACCCACAAAATGTCAACATTTCTTTCTTCACAAAGAAGAATCAAAGGGGAATCGAAGTCATATTACAGGGAAAGAGTGGAGTTCACAAGGGACAAGCAGAGCAAGTTTTGAAATCAAAGACAGGCAACAGGCGTCAACCCCGTCCACACGCACAATAAGAACCCAGCATTGGGTAGACACAGCAACACTTTGTACGAGACCCTCTTACCGGCACAGGGCCCGGGCTCTCTGCTTCCACTTCGCCCTGAGCTGCATCCTTGTATTGCAGGGGGGACTCAATCACCAGTTCCTTTTTGACACTTCTACTACTTGTCCTGCATTTATCAGCCTGCATTCTCGGCTGAAAACGCAAGTCAGAAAGTCTGCAACTGGAACAGCTGCGAGTCCCTGGCCGTGCAAGGCACAGGCATGCCAGTGGTCCAAGGAAGGAAAGGAAACTGGCTTCCCAGGCACAAGTGGTCAGCCCCGCTGGCTGGGTCTGCAGAGCCTGTGGGGTGGGAAGGCATGACAGCAAAGGCCAGCCTCCAGGGGTGTTACTACTCCATGCAAAAGGGGAGGCTCCTACTTGCTGGCCAAAGGAAAACAAACTCCAAGCTGAACAATACACAGTGTACTGCCTCTCTGATAAAGACCGGCTTTATTGTGTCTGTTCCACACAGCGTGGGCCAAATCAATCGGAATCAAAATACTGCAGTGTTTAAAAGAAAACCAGTCACAGTTAGACTCCTTCATAATTACCTTAAATCTGAAGCTCGTGGAGCTTAAGAGACAGCAAGGTTGTCTGCTTGTTCTAAAATTCTTCCAGTTTTGGAATGCTTTCATTTGTGTTATGGTTAAAAACCAAATGCCTGGCTGATGATTAAAGCAGGGAAGAGCTACCAGCAAGTATGTTCCCATAGCCTGCACCTCGTGGATACAGGTGGAGGAAATGAGTTTCACCCCGCATGACAGACCACAGCATGAAACACTTAATTTATGTACTATTTGATGCCAGAAAGATGAGGTCATCAAAACATTTTCATGGGATACCACATATCATAGTAAATGCATTTATTAAACAGAATATTACTTTAAGTCCAGATGTGTGGGTATCAGAAGGTACCCCCAGTACTAGGTGCTGAGAGGATCATACTAAAAGTATAAGGTAGAGTATCTCTCCCTTCAAAGAACTTCACATCTAGCTGGGAAGGCAAGAAGAGCAGACATCATAAATGACAAATTAATAAAATTAAGAGAGAGATGCACAAAAGCACGGGAAAATAGCTGGATCACCAACCTACGGTTCAATGGTGGTTTAGTAGCACCCAAAATATGTGTTCCTAAAAGTCTGTATTTTTATTATTTCCTCACATTTAACAGTGGAGTCTTTTTTACCTCTTGGGAAAAATTAAAACAGAGGTATTAAGGGATTTGTCTAAAAGTTATGTAGAAATGAACATTAAAGGGGGGATCAAATATTACTCTGTACTTCATGGATACCGCAGAGCTTTTCCTAGTTACTCTGAGTATTTCCTGGACATCAGGGAAGATTTAGTAACAGTAGACAACAAGCAGCAGCAGCAGCAGCAGCCGTAGCAGTAGCAGTAACAGCAGTAGCAGCAGCAATAGTAGTAGTAGTAGTAGTAGTAGTAGTAGTAGTAGTAGTAGTAGTAGTAGCAGCAGCGGCGGCAGCAGCAGCAGCAGTATTCAGTCAGTCAACAACGAGAGTAGTTATCATGTAGCAACAATAGGTGCCAGAGGAACTCTACCCAGGGAAATAACATAAACTATTATACAAGTCACAGGTAAAAGTCTCCCACTTTCCAGACAAAGGAACGCAGCCAGGAGGGCTCAGAGGAGGCAGTGGGGAGAACTGAGATGCCACCCAGTCCTCGCACAGCCGCCTCCCTCTCCTAGCACCTGCTGCAGCTGCTCTACTTCAAGAGTGAAGCTGAAGCTGGGTCTCTGCCACTTGAACACCAGGAACCCTTCTGAGTGTGAATATCAATTATGTAACGATCTCAAAGGATCAATGAGTCCATCAAATAAATTAATGGCTTCTATAATTTTTTTTAAACTACCCAATCTCTCAACCTTGGGTAGTCTTTCAGGGTTAATAGAAGTCCCCCTACCAAATCTGTGTTCCAAAATAATATTATCTATAAATTTTAAAAATCTTTCTTTGTAAAGTTACAACAGAAAAAACCCAGTAAGAAAAAACTCTCACTTACCTATAGAGTCGAAATTATAGTAAAGTAAAAACTTAGGAATGTCCTACAAATCAAAGAAAGGATGAAGCCACAAGCACAAAACAGACTAACTGAGCCTTAGTAAAGGACAGCCCAACCAACAACTCAGAAACCTTTTTGAGATGGTTCAGGAAGTTCTAAATAGTCCAGTTCTTCCTCAAATCCCCATCGCCATTAAGCCATCAGAATGTCTGGGCATTAATAAGAGAAATGCTATTCTATTTGTTATTGTTGTTGTTTGAGACAGGGTCTTGCTCTGTAGTCCAGGCTGAGTGCAGGGGCTCGATCATGGCTCACTGCAGTCTTGACCTCCTGGAGTCAAGGATCTTCCTGCCTAAGCCCCTCAAGTAGCAGGAACTAGAGGTGTGAGCCACTGTGTTCAGCCTACCCTATTTGTTGGGTCAAAATACCCTGGTATTCTGTAAGGAATGAGAAATGAACTTTAAGATATTTATTTGACAAACACTGTAAGTGCTGGCTATGGCCCATGCCTGTTCAAGCCCTACAAAGATTGTTTATTTAATCTTCATAACTCTATGTAATACTGTTATCCTCATTTGACAGATGAGGAAACTGATGCCCAGAGACGTTAAATACTTGCAGAACGTTATACAGAGAGCAGGGGCAATATGGATCCAGTGTACACACGCTTAACCATGATACTATGTTCAAACTGCTAAAAGGCACAATACCAATCACCAGTCAGCAATTAAAGACAGCAGCATCTGGCTTTAACCCTATCATGGAAGTGAAGAGGTAAAAAGGTCTTTAGATGGCCTTTAGCCTTTAAGTGCCTTGTGCAAAGCAGGTATTCATTTGATGGTAACTACTGTATTGTTGCTGTTCTCATTCCAACCTGAAGAAATTAATTTTAGTCTTAAACTCAGGGCTTTTGCTGTGTGATCTAAAATGACAATTCCACCAACCGTGTTGCTATCACACATTACAAAGCGCTTCAGCAACTTAGCATCAACCATTCTTCCCTCTCTGTGGCTTGATTATGACAGCTGCCTTCAAATATTCATTTTGAACCCCACATGTTCATGTCATGAGCCAGGCCTTCTTCTTGAAGTTTTTCTATATTTTTCAAAATGGTTAGCAATGACTATATTTTTGTTTTATGATCAAGGAAAACACTTTTAATTTGCTCTGAGTTTCCAAGTAGCCAGGACAAAAAGGAAAACATGATCAGTTCCATAATATATAACATCAAAAGGAGAAAATATATCAAGTTGTAAAGCAAGTAATTTGTTTTTTGTTTTTTTTTTTTCAAGGCAGGGTTTGGCTCTGCTGCCCAGACTGGAGTGCAGTGGTGCAATCTCAGCTTACTGCAACCTCCACCTCCTGGGCTCATGCAATCCTCCCATCTCAGCCTCCCAAGTAGCTGGGACTACAAGCACATGCCACCACACCTGGCTAATTTTTATATTTTCTGTAAAGACAGGATTTCACCATGTTGCCCAAGCTGGTCTCAAACTCCTGGGCTCAAGCGATCCTCCCACCTTGGCCTCCCAAAGTGTGGGGATTATAGATGTGAGCTACCATGCCTGGCCCAAGCAAGTAAAAATTTTTTTAAATGCCTCACACACAGATTTATGTAAAGGGGGACCATCAATGTGCAATATACAAGGCTGGCAATGTGTTTGCAGGAAATGCAGTGACAAAATTCACATAGCTATTTCCTACTCCCATCTCAGAGCAATATACTGAAATCCAAGATTGAGAACAGCAATTCTGAGAGCAAGGCAGTCATCTGAGTCCACCGCCTTCCAGCTGGCCCACCTTATGAAAGAAGCAAACCCTGAGGGCGTGGAGGAGAGAAGAAACTGCTGTCAGCTTTCCCATCACACAACTTCTCAGGCAGTGCTGGCGCTCTCCCCTGCTCACTTAGGACAAACCAACACTTTTGGAATCTGACTGTCAAGGAGAGTCACATGGCACCGCGTTTAACCTCAGATCCCAAGCCTCCAAATGGGATGTGGTTTCTCCAAAGGGCTCATGAGACTGATGTGTGAGGACATGAGGATGACATCCGGTTGGTGTGGCCACTAGAGGAAATGCCATTTTACCAGGACAGGAAGTAGGTGGCCACATTTTCCTTTCCAACATTTCAAACAACAAGGTGTATGTCCGACCCCCGATTCAACTTTCACAAACCTGCACTGAGCTCCTACCATCTACTAACCTTGAGTTCCTTCACACACCAGCTTGTTTAACCCACAACAAACATATCTATGAACACGTATGAAAGGTATAGAGTTTCACTGTTAAAAATGTTGTAAACCCTGTGGGGAAGAGGAAGGCTTCAGAAGCAGGATGGAATGAATGCTTCTGTAATGGGGTTCAGGTCTCAAATTTTAATATGTACACAAATTTATTATACAGCTCGGGTACTCAAAACCATGAAAACCTCACAGGAAATTTAAGAAATGTTCCAAGGGCAATTTGTGACTCAAAGGAAAGCTAACTTTAAATGCAAAACTCCATCTTCCTCTTCCACCCATAAGATGGACTTCCATCACACTCTGATTAGTGGAAGGAGTGACTCTCTCTGTAGAGGGAACTGCTACCCATGCCCAAGACCCAGTTTAAATACCATCTTCCCCAAGAACCCCTCCAGCCAGAATGAATTGGCTCCTTCTCAGTTAACCCTCTGAGCCTACTTTTTACCTCTATTATGGAGCTTTTCAGAGTTTACCTTTTATTAAGTTTGCCCCGGTAGAAGAACCCTTTAGTGAGACTGTTAATTCACTGAGGGCAGGGACTGTATCTTAACCACCTTTGAGTGGCCTTAGGGACTAAAAGCACTCACGATGTATTTGCTGAACTGAATGCTGATAGCAGGTTTGTCATCTTTGGCCCTAAAGTGAAATGGTGTATTTGTAAAAATATGCAAACATTTTCATTTGTTAAGGGCCCAAATTAAGGCAGAAGCTTTCAATTGCTTGAAAATAAAAACCCAACAATAGTTTATTCATAAATCAAAACCCAACAATTTTCACTACTACTAAAAATAAAAATGTTCCTTTCTCCCGGGTAAGAAAATTTTATTCTGCAAAATTTGCTAGACGTTTTTTGAGACGAAGTGTATTTGAAAACAGTAAAACTAAAGTTTTAAAATGTACAAATAAACGTGTTTTTAGCAATAAATCTATATAAATTTTGAAACTGTAGATACTGTAGCTAACCATAGCTAATAACCATCTGAGGAATAACAATACGAGGAATAAATCAATTATCTCAACCTAACAGAAGTTATTTACTGTCTTTATTAGGGGTTCTTGGCATATCAGAAGGATACTTATAACAAAGGCAAAAGAAAAATATGCATACACACACATATGTACACCTATATTACTTATATACATGTACTTGTGTATACTCCAAAGTTATCATTCCTTTTCTCTTGTTCTGGGGAAGTAGAAACAATAAGTAGAAATTAAGAAAAAATGCAAAAGAAAACAAATGACTAAAGATTTTCCGCAGTATACTGTTGCTGGTCAGCTTGCTGGCCAAAGAAAAGGGGCCCGAAAATGATCTGCCTTCTGAGAAAGACAAAAGCATGGAAGACAGCAAGACAGGCAGCAAAACAGAGAGCAGAACGGCACTGCAGACAACTGATTCAGGGAGTGAGGCAGGAAAGAGCCAGCGAGGGAGGAGAGAAAGCTACATACAGCAAGAGAAGATGTGGTGGCAGCCAGTGGTGGGAGGGGGAGACAGTTTCTCGACCACAACCCTTAGGGCCTCTTAGAAGAGTTAATATAGGAAAAGATACATCTGATATAAAGTCTCATGCCCTCCTCAATTATTATTATTATTATTTTTTTTTTTGAGATGGAGTCTCACTCTGTCACCCAGGCTGGAGTGCAGTGGCATGACCTCGGCTCACTGCAACCTCTGCCTCCTGGGTTCAAGTGATTCTCCATCCTCAGCCTCCCGAGTAGTTGGGATTACAGGTGCCCACCACCACGGGTGGGTAATTTTTGTATTTTCAGTAGAGACAGAGTTTCACCATGTAGGCCAGGCTGGTCTCGAACTCCTGACCTCAGGTGATCCACCCACCTCGGCCTCCCAAAGTGCTGTGATTACAGGTGTGAGCCACTGTGCCCGGCCTCCTCAATTATTTTTTATCATTACAGATTTAATCAAATAGTCACAGAAATGTAATCCACATTATCACCTAGTCTAGTGTCTCTTAGCCCAGAATCCAAGGCTGAATGTTAGGGAAGGTGGTCCACAAACCCTCTAAAATTACATATGAAATTGTATGTCTGTGAGTTTCCTAAAGAAAGGCCAAGGGAGTTCACCTAGTTCTCAGAAAAGGGACCATTGGAAGGTCCTTCACTCATAGAACAAGGAGACCGAGGCCTGGAGTGAGGAGCTAGAGAGCCAACCAAAGTTCTGTGGTACAAATCTCTTCCCATGGGCAGGTTCACATTCTATTTAAGGAGGGGTAACAACAGGAATTTAAACATCAGGCATGAGGTAAACAAACAACCAGTGGATGCCAATCAGCAGTGTCAACATGTGCACAGTCTACTCATTTGTTGACACAAGTCAGTAAATGGATCATTTGAAGCCTAATGCCAGTTGGACAACTCGAATTCAATAGTTGTATCTCCAAAACAGGGCAAATAACATAACCAATAAAAACTGTTTTCTAAGAACTTTAAAGGACATTGAGAAAATGCTCACACTATCACACACACAAGACTAAAAAAAATACAACAGAATGTAACTACTGATTACCTCTGGTACATGGTACTATTAGTGATTCTTTTTCTCTCTAAAGTCTTCTATATTCTGCAAGTTTTCTGCAAAAGCTTTCATCACTTCTTTAGTCAGAAATCAGTGAGCTGGATTATGAGATAATGGTATAGAGGAAGCTCATGCTGGGGTTCTAGCCACTCACTATGCCCCACAACAGCTGTGTGACATTAGAAAAAGTCACTTCACCTCTCTGGGCCCCACAGACTTTACCTGTAAAATGAAGGACTTACACCAAAAAAATCTTTCCAGCTCTATATATCTATAATATTAAGTATGAGAACTTTCCTTATTGATAATATCTGGGGAAAAACAAACCACTCAATGGAATGCACTGACCTACTATATACAAAAGAAAAACACAAAGACAAAAAAGTGGGTATCTTTCTAAACATGTCAGATTCTCATTTCCAACAGAGCAGGGGCTGAGCCAAGGAGCCAGCAGACAACAAGAACATAACAGAACTATAACGTGCTATCAGTGAAGAAGACTATGGGGGCAGGGGGGTGGGCAGTTGGGGGGGTGGGGCCTGCGCTCTCAGCTCTGGGAAAACCCACAGCACTGGCACAGCAGGGGGCAGTCCCTAAAGAAACCTCTGTTTCCAGATGAGGAAGCTAAGATGGGAGAGTCAGGCTGACGAAGGACACATCCCACTGTTTAGAGAAGGCTCTGTCTGCAGCCATGGAAGGTTTAAGAAGCTTCTCATTAAAGACAGCCCCACCCCCACCTGTAACATCCTCCCCCATTTCCCGGCCTTCATTTTTCCATAGGCTCTATCACCATCTGGCATCCTATTCTACTTTTCTTATTTAATGTCTGTCTAACCTTCCCTACCCGCAGGTAGAAAGCTCCACGAGGGCAGCATTTTTGCCTGTTTTGTTCATTGCTGTGTTCCCAGGTCCTAAAACACTACAGGTGCTGAGAAAATATACATTGAATGAATTTACTGAAGGCTCAGGATCCTCTCAGTTTGGAAATGGGGCTGTTAAGCTCTGGACACCAACGGTTTTTCTGTAAACTATCAATTTATTTTGATCGTGATAACAATAATTCAGTTAGCTAATGTCAATAATTTATTTTAGAGATGGAAACTTACAAAGCCAAGAGAAACATAATGTGCCTGGGATTTTTCTCAGGAAACTAAACTCCTGGTATGGGTTACCAAAACCTGGCCTCAATCTTGTTTCGCGTGATCTGTAACTGTTTTATCTCCCTTCCTCAGCTTTGAGCGCTGGTGAGGAGGGCAGGGGGCTATCCCCCTACCCCACCCCACGCCCGGCACAGTATTGTGTACACAGTAGGCAATCCATAAATGCTTGCTTCTAGAATAAATGATGAAGGTGCCTCACTTTGGTATGATTTATCACAGGAGTTCACAAGCTAGAATTTTCTCACTTTCCTCACTACATCACAAATGCTGAGGTTAAGGGCCAGAGAATGTATTCTTCGTGAAAAACATGATCAAAACTTTTTAAAAAGCGCTCAAGTTTTCCTTTCTAAATAAAATGCATCATTCAAGTATAACTAAAAGACAAATGTTCTTTTGTTCACTTCTCCCTGTCCAGCTCCCAAAGCAACCTAGCGGAAAACACAAATTGCCGCCCTTCAAGTTCATTGGTTTTGTAGACCTTATATTTGTATGTTAAACTTACTTAAAGCAAGTTCCTTCAGTGCTTACAAGGTGCAAAGCTGGTGGACCATCTCAATTTATAGGTGATGGAGATGGACCAAGCTGGCAGGAGTCGCAGTGTCACAGTTCACAGCAATTAGCTATCTAGCATCGGGGGTGGAGGGGACAGGCCGCCAGGCCAACTCTAGACTCGTACTTCTGCAAAAAGGAACACACTCTCAGGTTACAAGGGTAAAGTCCACCAGAAACTTTACAAAGGGAATTGTAGCATTTCCCCTAGCACTTCTGGCTGAATTTAGTTTGCATTTAGAAGACAATGACCGTGTATAGTAATAACAGCTCCCCAACAATCATCTGGAAGTCCCCTCTTCTAAAAAGCAATAGGTTATATCCCTTCCATAAAATAATATCATCAGCAGCAAAGATGATGTATCCCTTTCTCATCCTGCTGCCTAGAGGAGGGCCTTCTATTTCCTCCAAGCTCATTGTAACTGATTTCCTATGTGAACTTAAGAGACCGCCAAGAAATAGAAAACACTGCCAGATAGTTTTAGGGGCTCACACGTTGTTATTCCTGGGCCACACGTCCTAAGAAGTCAAACTTTTCCCCCTGGGTGCTTGTAAAATATGTAAGTAAACTAAATTAAACTTATTCACAGGTAGATATGCTACAAATAAAGGTGACTAGAGTTGGAGATATAAACATGGCAGGTGAGGAGGGTGAATGCTAAGGAAGGCCATCAAAGCCTCCCTTCTCTCTGCTGTCAAATCAAAGCACACATCATATAACTTAGAAGTAATCTTAGACTGTTCAGCAGCTTTATTAAAAGACCAAAGGTCACTGCAGCACCATCACCATCTTCACCACCACCACCGCCACCACCACCACCACCATCAATGGGTTTCTGTTACATTTCCAAATAACTTTCAAATTGCTTAAAGATTTGATTTTAAATGTTCTCATCACAAAAAAATTGATTAAAGTGTCAGGTGATAAATATTAGCTTGATATAATCATTCCACAATGTAAACACGTATCAAAACATCACATTGTATCCCATAAATATATACAATTATTTGTCAACATAAAATTTTAAAAAGAATTATACATGTAACACAACGGGTTTCATCTTCCCCTCCTGAACAAAGAAAAAAACTCTTCTAAGAAAAGTGTGGTTAAAAAAGACAGCGAGACGTTTAATCAAACTCTGAAAACTTGAACATTGGTGGATATGAACATTCCACTGGCCCATCTACAAAGAGCTAGGTCTTAAGCCCTTCTGTCGTTTCAAAAACAGGAGGTTAAATACAAAACAAGTGAGGTTTACGATGTTACATAAGCATTTAAGAACTCTCCAGACACGCTCTTCCATTTAGGCTTTGCCAAGACCTAAAGCTAGAAGTCAATACTTTTTTATTATAACTGCCACAGGTGAGCAAGAAAAACATTTAAGGGACCCCTGCACACACACTTGACATACATCCTTATTCAATTCAGTTCAATTTAACCCTCGATGCTCTTATGAATTAAATAGCTTATCAAAAGTTCACATAGTTACTATGCTTTGGAGTTATGTTCCAAAATTAACATAACTGGTAAATAATAGATCCAAATATTTTTAAGTTTTGTTTCAAACATAATTTTGTCTCCTTTTTGAGCATATATCTCCTTTGGGAGAGCCACAAAAAATATTGGAGAGTTGTCCAAGGCCTGAAAGTATTAAAAGATAACAGCATATAAAATTTTTTTTAAATTTAAAAAATAAAAACATTAAAAAAATTTAATGTTAACAGTAGTGTGTCAGAAATGTGAAACAAATGGCTTTTATTTTCCCTTCTTTCTACTTATCTGTATATTTAAAATTTTCCTTTAAAAGTATCAATTACTTTAGGCACTTTAAAAAAAATTTTTAAGTTATTTATTACCACTTGGGAAGTATTTTAAAATAATGTCCAGGAAAGTAGCAAATGCTTACAGGGTGCCTCCTTCAGAGCTGGGACCAGAGGCAGGTGAGCGAGGTATTCATTTCGGGAACAAAATATACAAGAGCACTAAAAACTCAGTAACTGAGATACTATTTTAATGAAATACTTAAATTTAAAAATAATACCTTCCAAAAGCCATGATAAACAGTCAAAACTTGAAATAAAGATAGGAACAGTATTCCAAGTTATTTTCTTTTGCCTCAAGTTCCAGTGGTACTGGGATAAGCACTGTATCTGGTCCTCCGTCCACCCTGAGACAGGTCTCTTATTTTACAAAGGAGGACAGCGAGACACAGAAGTTAAAGAACCGGTTCAAGGTCAGAGCTGTCACGTGGCAGAACTACTTTAAACAGATTCTTTAGAGGTAATTTTTACATTCCTTGACCAGACAGACAAAATCAACACCCATTTTTAAAGGTACAAGTGACCAGATCTTCAAATACCATCCACTGTTACTATAAAGACTTAAAACTGAAGCTCAACGTTCTTCTTCTTTAGAAGATAAGTAATACAGGGCAATCTGGGCAGAGGACCCAAACCCTACTGTATTGAAACCTTTTTTATTTTATTTTCTTGTGCACACATAAATGAAGCTCCTCATGGTTGAAAAGTATTGAACAGAGGGAGGAAAAGAGGAAATGCAGATGCAAGAGCAGGGATTCCTCCTCCCACATTAATTCCCCCGTGAAAGAAGTGGGGAAGGAATCTGGAGATCTCGCTCCCAGGGTAGGACGGCATCCCCATGTGCTGAACGGCAACCACTGGCCCGGGGCCACCCTTCAGCCACTGTCTTCAGGGCTGACACACCCTGGCCCTTCCTCACCACTCCCTGCCTCAAACCTTTGCAGTAAGAACACTGTGTTGCCTCCTGAAGCCTCACCTCATGTCTCCAGAAATGCTGTCAATCTGCAATGTTCGCCCACCTCTTCCTGATCTTAACCTGTCAAATGCCTACTCACCTTGGAAGGTTCTCCTCTTTCATGAGACCCTCCAGAATATTCCATCCCAAAGAATATTTTCCTCCTTGGTACTCCAGCAAAAGTGAGGTGAAGCCAAGACCCCTGTCTTGTAAGGGTTGCCAAACCTAGTTCTGCCTCAAGTCATTTTGGGAGCTTGAAAATTAATAATAATGATGATGATGATGATGATGATGATGATGATAATAATAATAATAATAATAATAATAATAATGATAATACAGATTCCAGGACCTCACCCAGAACTTCTGAATCGGAATCCTGAACTGAGCCTCAAGGATCTGAATTTTGCACAACTTCCCAGGTGAGACCTATGCTGCAGGCTTTTACCCACCCATGTTTCGGAATCACTGATCTTAATATAACTTAAGATACAGGAAGAACACCCACAATGTTTAAACACAGATCCAAGACAAGGAAACACGAATGGGTTCCCAGAAATATCTCTGCACAGATATGACACATATGAGGGTATTTGGCTGAAAGTGAGAGGTGGAGTGGGGTAGAGATTGAAGCCAAAAGTTTACCATCCTCCACAGGACAGAACACACACCTTAGCCTTATTCCAAATGCCATGGTAGACGTTGACTCATTAATGACTGATCATTTTCTATTTAACTGACTTTTTTAGAAAAAAGAAAATTTTATATAGGGTTCATGCTATACAAAGTCTTAGAATCACCATTCCCCCTCTTCCCCCACTCCTCCTTCCATGCTCAAGTAAAATGCCTTTCAATTTCAAACCAATAAGAAAGGGTCTACAGAGCAGTACAATATTCACACATCTTTCAAATATTTGTAATTGTGTGATCACATATTGAAACACTTGCTTAGCAGTATACTTTCCCAGAACAAAACCAACCCTAGTGTTCTGCTGCCTACAATTCAGTCACAAAAGCCTTAGTTGCTCACAGCCTCAGTTACAAGCTCTTGAAATTCAAGTTCAAATGTGTGACCATCATAGGATGGTAACTAAAAGCAATGAACCAATCTGTTTAGAGAAGAGTAAAGGCATTTCTAAGGTTTTCCTTTCTCTCCACCATAAGAGGAAAAAAATGCAGAAGTCACGTCTTCCGTATGCATTCTTCACAATTCACTGCAATGAAAATAATGCCCCATCCAGTGTTACAGACTTAATGTACTATTATTTTCCTTTTAAACAGAATCTGTTACTCAGACACTGTATTGATATAACTTTCATGAGCTTGTCTATTCCCTGGTATAAGACTTGAAGAAAAGACGGTAAAATAAAAAATCTTAAGCAAGTTTTGTTTGGCAGCATTTTACAATTGAGAGTATGTTAAATAACACGTTCCCCAACAACTCATTTTGAAATAACTGCAGCACATACTACTACAGCTTATAGCTCTTCATTAATTTGGGGAAAAACATGAGACTTCTAGATTAATTGCAAGAGACTTAAGGCGACCACAAGTGCTGGGGGATTTGCTCCCCAAGGCTGGTGTGCCACCTCCATGTTTCCACTTATCTCAGGGACACACATCCACAAAAATGAGGACAGACAATCCCATGGTCAAGTTCTTTTCAGCCCAAACTCTGCAATTCAGCAATACATATGAGCACCCCAGTTAATGGGCTCACTTTATCCTTCTACTATACTAATTTTGTCATACTGTATGCAACCCAGCACTTATCACAAAAGAGAACACCTTAGGACTCTCACTAAAGTAGTCAAAAGAACCAAAAGGAATGCGGAATGCTCTCCTGTATTTACTCATTAATCCATTCATTAATGGATGGATTCATGCATTAAATTCCTTCCTTGCTAATCACTCAGCAAGCATTTCTTAACCACAGAGCGCTGCACAAGGTTTGGGAAATAAGGAACACACAATCTAGTTCAAGAGTACGATGTCTGAAAGTGGACTAAAAGGGATGCAAACAAGTAATTTCTTTTTTTTTTTGAGATGGAGTTTCGCTTTGTTACCCAGGCTGGAGTGCAGTGGCATGATTTTGGCTCACCACAACCTCCGCCTCCTGGGTTCACGTTGATTCTTTGCCTCAGCCTCCCCAGTAGCTAAGACTATAGGCATGCACCACCATGCCCGGCTGATTTTCGTATTTTTAGTAGAGACGTGGTCTCACCATGTTGACCAGGCTGGTCTTGAACTCCTGACCTCGTGATGCTCCTGCCTCGGCCTCCCAAAGTGCTGGGATTACAGGCGCGAGCCACCGCACTCGGCCGCAAACAAGTAATTTCAATAACAAGTGTGACAGGAGTAGCTAGACCTGTGCTGGCCAATATGGTAGCCACTAGCCACACGGGGCTACTCGAGATTTGCCTAGTTGAACCTGGATGTGCTATACACACTGGGTTTCAAAGACTCTGTGTGACAAAAAGAATGTAAAATATCTTAAGAGTTTTTTTATTGATTACTTATTGAATAATATTTGAATATACTGGGTTAAATAAAATATATTAGTAAAACTGATTTTATCTGTTTTTTATGGTTTTTAATATAGCTAGCAGAAAATGTAAAATTATATATAAATATAAATTACATATATACATATATAAAAATATTATATTTTTAGTGGAAAGTGTTGGACTAGGCAATCCCCAATCCTGTCTCTTCTTCCTAGGCAGTCGACTTTCCAATCTCCTTGGCAGTTAGGCTGAAACTACGTCACTAGGTTCTGGCCCAAGAAAAAAGTAAAAAAAAATAATAATAAGGTCGCAGAGACCAGGCACAGTCAAGGAACATGCTGCTTGATGATCCTTGCTTTCTCCCCACCTGTGGGGCCACTGGATGCAGGGAATCTGGAGGAGCCTGAGGCCCTGGCTACACAGGAGCCACAGAGGTAAGAAGCCAGGCTCCTACATCATCACATGGAAGACCACCGCATGTACACCTGGTGAGATCGTGTCACACATGAGAAATAAAACTGTACAGTGTGAAGCTACAGCAGTTAGCCTACCCTGCCTAACCAATACAGTGAAAAAAAAAAAAATGCCCCAACAGGAGGGATGGCTGACTACCTGTTGAGGAGTTATCAGGATAAGCTTCAGGAGATGGGGTGCTATTTGAATGGTGTCTAAAAGGTGGTGGTTCCCAAACTCTTATCATGTCAGGATCATTTAGAGAGCTTGTTAAAACAGCCCACTGGGCCCTCTTCTGACCCTCTCAGAAGACCCAGATGGTCTATGTGGGAGTGTCAGCCCCTTAAGGGCACTCCGATCTCCCCCAGGCCCTCCTCGGAGCTACCATGAGCCTCCCCTCCCAGCTTCCCTTCAGTTGGGTAGGTCTACTCAGCGGGTCTAGAATGCAGCTGATATGGTTTGGCTCTGTGTCTAAACCCAAATCTCACCTTAAATTGTAATAATCCTCACGTGTCATGGGAGAGATCCGGTGGGAAGTAAGTGAATCATGGGGCCAGGTTTTTCCCCTGCTGTTCTCATGAGTAAGTCTCATGAGATCTGATGGTTTAATAAAAGGGAGTTCCCCAGCACACCCCACTTGCCTGCCGCCACATAAGATGTGCCTTTGCTTTTCCTTCGCCTTCCACCATGATTGTGAGGCTTCTCCAGCCATGTGGAACTGTGAGTCCATTAAACCTCTTTCCTTTATAAATTACAGTCTCAGGTATGTCTTTATTAGCAGCATGAGAATGGACTAATACAGCAGCTGAGAATCCACAGCTCTCCTGATGCTGCTGGCTCAGGGAGCAAACTTGAAAAGCAAAGTCTTAAAGAATAAGCAAGACGTTCTGAAGCAGTGAAGAGAGTAAAAGGTGTTCAAGCAAAAAGGAAGTACATATCCAGAAAGGTGTGGAAGTCTGAAAGAGCATGGTGTGTTTGGGAAACAGCAAGACTTTAGATGAAGCAGCACCCCCAGCATGGCAAAGCAGGAGAAAAAGACAGAAAGGTAGGTGGAATCAGAATGAAGACAGCTGCAGTCTTAGTCAGGAGTATGGACTCTGCCTCCTCAATGAGAAGTGTAAAACACAGCCTCTTTTCCACAGCATATGCAGTAATAAAAATAATTACTCCAAAGTAAATATGGGTATCTGGTAGTTAATACTTCAATTACCGGCACAATTCCTGGGTAAATGACAGGGGCATAATATGGTAACTTGATCATTACGGACCCCGTATGAGACTCCAAATTCCTAATTCTCAGATTCTCTACCCATATGTTGTTATCTCATTATGTGACATGAGAAACAATTTAAGCAGAGTAACATTCGCCTTCAAATCTACTTCACAGCAGCCTTTGAGAGGTAGGAAATTTTTTAAACTGTTCCTAGGAAGATGTGTATAATTTACATGAGAGTGTCTATTATTTTAGGTGGCTGTCTTGGAGAGAAGCAATCAGAAATAACAAACCATGATAAAGAAAGGAAAGACTGATGGGCTTGTGATCAGTGAAGGAAGGCAGTAACTATGGAAAACAACATGTCTTCACTAGGAATACTTCCACTAGGTGGTGGCGGGCACCTGTAGTCCCTGGAGGCTGAGGCAGGAGAATGGCGTGAACCCGGGAGGCGGAGCTTGCAGTAAGCTGAGATTGCGTCACTGCACTCCAGCATGGGTGACAGAGCGAGACTCCGTCTCAAAAAATAAAAATAAATAAAGTTTGTAAATAAAGTTTATATTGTAAATAATAAATAAAAGTTTTGGTTTTTAAAGTTTATTAAATGTTTTCTCTCACTGTAGTTAGAATTATCTAATATGTGAAATTTGCTTATGTTGAAAATTCAAGGAAGTAAATAAGTTGTACTTCAAAGAGAAAAAAATATTATGACATTACTATCAACAATAAACCTTAGTATCATCAAGTTGTAATGTGAGATTGCGGGCAATCCAATTCACAGGAGTAAATGTGTGATTGAAGGAAGAGCTCCTTGCAAAGCTGGGTTTGGGATGGTCCTTAAAGAATAAGAAATATATTAAAATAAAAAAACTTTAAAATAAAAAAATAATCAATGGACTAGACTTTATCTACTTTAGAAAAGTCTACTGCAGGTGAAGGGCTGTTGGCGTGAGTCCCAACAGAAGCTGGGGTGCCTACCATCTCCTAGGACAGAAGCTGTTCTGCCCACTTGGGCTTGTTTGAGCACTTCTCCTTTGTAACCTGAAGCATCAGGTATTCTAATCTAGTGGTTCCCCACTGGGGGTGATTTTACCCTCCAGCAGGGAATGTGGCACTATCTGGAAGCATTTTTGGCTGTCATGACTTGCAGAAGGGGGGTTGTACCTGCCATATACTGGGTAGGGCCAAGGATGCTGCCAAACATGGTATAATACAGAAACCGGCCCCCTCAACAAAGAATTATCCAGCCCAAAATGTCAACAGTGCTAAGGCTGAGAAATGCAGCACCAATCCTACCGGGAGAATTACTTTTCAAATTTGAATCTTCTTCTGTGACAAAGGAATGTGTGTCCAGAGAGTTCAGTGTATTCATCCTACATTTACATATAATTGTGTTACTCATATATAATCAGATATGAGTGTATATATTATGTAATTATATATCTAATATATAATTATATCCTTGATCAAGATCAATTAATTCATTGTTCCTTCCTCTTAATTGTGCTCCTAGTAAAATGTCTTTTTTGTCTGTATATCAAGTGGTAATTCCGCTTCCCCTTTCTTTCCATACATTCTTTTGTATGACTTCTACAAAAAAATTAAGAACATATATATGGTAACCAATTCTTTGTGTCAAATATATAATTATTACATATTAAAATATTCTAGAAGCTCAAAAATATTAAACACTTAAGTTTTACTTTTCTGTTCACTTTAAATTGTAAACGAGTGAAAAATTCTAAGTTCGTGAGGTATGGTTATTACCCTTTGACAAACAGGAAATTGCATAAACAACCCAGGTGCTCTAAAGAAATGTACGCATGGGAAAAAAATCAAAAGGATGTGAATTGTGCTGTTAGAAGTGTATCTGCTAGATAGACACATGTGCAGGCCCATCAGTCATTACAGACTCCAAGTCACACCATGACAGAAACAAAACACCGTTCCCGAGGAAATCTTTGTTTGCAGACTGTTTCTATTAATTTATTTCACTCATGAAAAGCTAATGCTGGGGTGTCGTGTGAAGTAAAAACATTACAGTGGTTCATCATATACACCAGCAAGCAGGCTGGAAGGAAGGAGTATTGGGAGATGTGCTGACCAGGCTTTCTACAAGCATACTCAGAGACCACAATGAAATCAACCAGTAAACAACTAGCAACACGATTACTAGTTTATTTACAATTGTGTTAAGTGCAATGAAAGAAAAGTAGAGGATGCGTAACTAGTCTCAGGTTAAATAAGCCTCCTTTGAGGAAGATACTTTTTTTTTTTTTTTTTTTTTGAGACAGAGTCTCGCTCTGTCCCCCAGGCTGGAGTACAGTGGCGCGATCTCGGCTCACTGCAAGCTCCGCCCCCCGAGTTCACACCATTCTCCTGCCTCAGCCTCCCGAGTAGCTGGGACTACAGGCACCTGCCACCACGCCCGGCTAATTTTTTGTATTTTCAGTAGAGACGGGGTTTCAGCGTGTTAGCCAGGATGGTCTCGATCTCCTCACCTTGTGATCCGCCCGTCTAGGCCTCCCAAAGTGCTGGGATTACAGGTGTGAGCCACTGCGCCCGGCCGGAAGATACTTTTAAACATGGCTAGAAGGAGGAGTGAATTCTGAATAGTGGCTGAGTTAGTGCAAATTGAGGGGTGAGGAAATAGCATGTGCAAAGGCCCTGAAGCGCAGAATAGTTTGCCCTCTTTGAGCAGCTGAACAGTGGCCCATTCAGTGCAGTGGTCCAGGGGAGAACAGCACACGATGAGCCCAGTAGGGTAAGCACGGTGCAGATCATATTGGGCCTTGTTAGCCATGGCAGGCATATTGAGGATTGTGTATTTCAACCTGAGCTAAATGGAAAGCCACCAAAGGGCTTTAAATAGCAGATGGCATATGGACATATACGCACTGGGATGAGGTATAGGCCTTCAGATGCAAACAGAGATGACCACATATAGACAGGTGGTGGCTACAACAATGAAAGTGAATGTCATCACCTAAAAAGAGGATGCTGGCCAAGGATGGAGCCCTCAGTAATACAAGTGCTGCTCGTAATTACCACAACCCATCCTTCTCACTCACAGTGTCCACGGCACAAAGCAGAACACAACTAAGACAGCGGTCACACATCTTTTTCCAGATCCCGAGTAGTACTAACAGCAATTCATCACTAGCTGACTTATGTTATACCTTGTAAGCCATCTAGAGCTAAGATCAATACTAATATTATATAACTAACTCTTCACAAATGTATATTTCACATTCCAACTGGACTGTGCCTTACAGGTCCTTACATTACCCATATATTCCAATAATCTATTTCAAAATCAAAGAATTTCTGACCTGGAGGGGATAATCTAATCCAAGCTTGTCCAATCCACGGCCCAGGGCCATATGTGGCCCAGGATGGCTTTGAATGCAGCCCAACACAAATTCGTAAACTTTCACTTTCTTAAAACATTATGAGTTTTGCAATTTTTTAAAAGCTCATCAGCTATCACTAGTGTTAGTGTATTTTATGTGTGGCCCAGGACAATTCTTCTTCTTCCAGTGTGGCCCAGGGAAGCCAAAAGATTGGGCACTCCTGATCTAATCCTTTACCTTCCTTGGTTTTATTGTTTATATTTCTTATTATAATAACTTGGAAGTAAGTTGCTCTGCCAATGGTAAAGCAAACAGCATAGTTTTACCCCAAAAATGCGGATCTTCTGAAATCCAAAGAAACTCCTTGCATACTAAGTCCAATCGGTACTCATTCCTCAGCTGGCATAACAGAAAGAAGACAAGAAAAGACATGTGCTCCCCTCTCACAACCTGAATGGGAAAGGAGTATTGGGAGATGTGCTGACTATCCAGGGTTTCTACAAGAGGACAGTGGAAAAGAGGGAAAAGAGGGCTTCTCGAATGTGTAGTCAATGTGTGCAGCAGACACTCACAGCGCACTTACCCTAGAACACGCCGCTTCGCAGGGCACCTGTGTCTGCTGCCTGCAGGCCCACACGTCTCAGGAACTAAAGCGAACACTGTAAAATCACTGAGCTGTGGCCCTCTGTGGATCACCTCACTTTCCTCTGGTTATTCAGGCAGGGTTCGCCCACCCCACGCCCAGAGGCAAACAATAAGAAAACTTGGAGTAAAAAAGAACTTACCAATTCAGCTCAAATTTCTAACTAAAGCCTTTTATTTGACCAGCTCAGTCCTGCTGAGCCCCGCACCTCAGAGTTGCTTTGCCTAAACATCTGTAAAGAAGACCTCTCTCAAGGGCATGACAGTAAGTCTCCTGGCTGACCACTAGATTCCTATTTGCCACATGTGAAAGAAGAGCAGACCAGTAGCGATGTGAAATGAGGTTTGTCTTCAAAACCACCCACTCTTTTGATATCCTTTGTTGGTCTCTCAACACTTCCTTCCCTCACTCCATCCACATCAGACTATTTCCAGGGATTGCCATGGGCAGCCTTCACTGTTCTTTGTGGGAATTATTTTCCTGTCTCTGTGCATTGCTGGCTTGCAATTCCAGCCCTGGCTGGTCAGGAATACTCCAGTCACCCCCTGACTTTGTGCATCTTTGTTATACAATAGAAAACATTTCCATGTGGGGATTCTGGGAGAATAACTGAGAAGCATGCTGCTTTCCAGCCCCGTAGCTAACGAGAGGTCTGTTCTGCCAAAGTGTGGCACTGGCCCAGCCCCACCCTTGACCAACACAGCAGATTCTCCTAAGTCCCCAGGATCATCTCTGTAAAAGCCCTGAGGATTTTCTCAGACTAGGGCTGAGGCCATTCTGCTCTTCCAAGATTTGCTGCAAACCACAGAAACATCTCCAGGGTGATGGTGAGGGTGTCATGCATGTGACACCTGCCATTCTCCTCAGCTTTTCCTCTGTACTTGGTGGACCTCTGTGAATGAGTCACAGATGAGAACAGCTGAGGTGGGGCCGGGATAGACAGTGGAGCCTTGGGGCAAGGGTGATGGCAGCTGGCAGGCATGCATCATCAGAGAAGCCAGACAGGGCAGCAAGGTCCGGGCACCCAGACACCCACAGCGCACATGTCTCAATTCACTAAATGAAGTGGAAGCCCCTGAAGGTAGGACCCACCCTACCCTCAAGATGCAAACTCTGCTCACCCTCTGGGTATCCACTAAGACTGATTATTTGTCTAGGCATAGAGACAAATGGGAAACACCTGGCACCAATTATGTGTGGAGCACTCGAAAATCCTTTTTAACCTCGGATGCACTTACAGCACTCATGGCCTTGGTTTCCATCTGAATGATCCGGGCAGAGTCTCACACCAAGCTTCCAAAACCCTTTTAAGAATTTCCGAACCAAGAGACTTGGTGAAATCCATGAATGAGGAAGTCTTGTGGTACAGGAAGCATGGTCCAGGTCAGCCCCTACCCTACCCACCTGGCCTCTTCCAATCCATCACCCACCCAGGCACAGAGGAGCAACATTCTCAAATGGGGCTGAGATTAGGCTGCATGGCCCCTAATCGTCCAACTGCTAAAGTCTAGGCACAGACTCGTTGGGACCCCTCATCTCACCCTCCAATGATTACCATATAGTCATGGAGAGAGGCGAAGGCACAGACAATCCAAGGCCTTCCAGATTTCCCTGTGGGTCTGAGCAACCAGGCTCATCTTCCTAATGGTGTTTCACTTTGGGCTACTGTCAAAATTAGTTTGCAACCCCAAACTCACAATAAGTGGGTGGTGGAGGAAGCCAACCATAGTGTCCTTGGGGCTGGAGAAAGGGAAGCAAGCTCGGATCACACTTTTGCTACGTGAATCACCTAACCACAGATAACAGGGTGACAGGAAGTCAATGATTTGTATCATCTCCCCCTTTGACTCTTGAGATAAAAAGACCTAACCCAAACTTCAGAGAGTCACTGGCAATGGAGGCTAAGACACTGCAGATGTGGGGAATAAAAGCCCAGTGTGGCGATTCCCTGAGTTCCTTGAATAGTCTTTCCAACTAATTAATCTTCTTGTTCACATGTTCAGAGGGTGAGTGTGTGACCTGGAACACAGGTCATAGGAGCAGCTTATGAACAGATGTGTGCACGCATGCACGCGCACACACACACACACACACACACACACTCTCTCTCTCTCTCTCTCTGGAAGGTGACTAATGAGAGGATACCAAAACAACCCTTCTTTTAACAAGAAAAGCAAAAATAGTTTTAAATTGGCTTTTAAAATCTCATTTCCTAATAGAAGGATTTCTTGAATGATGATTTCCCTTGCTTGTTTCCAGATCATCTGGCCTTCTCCTGAATTCTCCAGTTGCCTGATTTGAGCCAAGTCCTGCGTGTCTGGGGTTGCAGGACAGACAACATAAACAGTACTAAAACTTATCCTCAGTGTTTCTTTCTTTTCATGTTTCTTTTTTAACAGAAAGAGGGCGATTCAAAAATTATAAAAATGGAAAAGGGTTTAAATTACTGATGCACAGAGAGGTTGTTTTTAAAATTAAGACCATTCCTGCATACTTTGCCTTTGGATGGTGTCCAGCATTTTTCAGATAAACATGCATCTGCACAAACTATCAGCGTTTCCACTTGTTTTACAAAACTGGTCACAAAGAGTATGATTTGGACAGAAGCCTGTATCCTTCTGTAACACAACAGCCCAGTCCAAAAGGTGGTTGAATGCTAAGGGTGAAAAGTGAAAACGGAAATTCAGTATCAAATCTCTTGCACCAAAGTTCCCAGGCACCATGACCACTCCCTGCCTTGTTATTTGGCAAAGAACTGGTTAAAAAAAGAAAAAAAGAAGAAGAAGAAAGCAACAATAAGACGATATACACTTTTGGGGAGTAGCTAAAATGTTTAGGGCTCTGCCTGCCTTAATACTCAACCTACCTGACCCCCTAAATCAGTTTGGTAAAAGCAAGATGACCTGATCTGATTCTGGGATCTGGGAGAAAATACACGCAGAAGGGGCTCCTATCACCAACTCTCATTATAAATATGCCACAATCCTTTTCACAGCCCTTCTCTGAGTCTTCTCCTGCCCTGATGTGTCCTTCTGAAGATGCAACACTCAGTTCTGAACAGAATGCAGAACCCCAGCAGGTCATGCATCTGAATGAGAAAGCAGTATCTTCCTGTCCTCTCTTCACAAGGCCCCAGGATGTTAGGACCAGCAATGCAATCTGCTGATGTTTTCAGCTCCTTTCAAAGCAAGGTGCTAGATTCCCAAACTTCTCCTCCTGAGGGCTTGCTTGGCAGAGTAGCTTAGTAGAGGGTGGCTTGCAGGTGGCAAGATACAGCACGGTAGGACACCATTAAAAATCTCATGCCCTCCACAGTTAAACATTTGAAATTTGCTCAAGAAAACTGTCACATACTTGAAAAAAGAAAGAAGAAAAATGAGGTAAAATCATTCTCCTCACTCGAAATAAAAATTGAAACTCATGCACAGAGATGGGCTGGCATACAGACTCCATTTGTTCTGCAGCTTGGAAATGAATGACAAAATGCCCCCAAACCTTCCATATTCACCTCCAGTGCCACCCTCAGTTAACAACTCCCCTCCAAAATGCAAATACCCTTTAGCAGATACAAGTCTATTAGCTATTTTTACCATAGTGTGATTTTTTACAATCAGATAAGAACGTAACATCTAGCTGAGGTCATTCACATGCAGAAACTGTTAAGTTCTGGCAGTGAAAAAAGATGAGTGGCAGTGGAGCTCAGGAGCACCTAGGGTGGGAGGGCAAGGCTCTGCAGTTTGGGGTTCCAGAGGCCAAGGCGCAACAGCAGAAGAGAGGACAAAAAAGGACAAGAAGGGGCTTCTGTGCATTTCCCCAAATACACCCTTACCCTGGTGGCGTCAGCACTTACCTCTCAGCAAGGAAAGGCCTTCAGCCTGAGCTGTGAAAGATGAAGACTAAACAATGATTCTAAGGTTCTCTTCTCCACTCCCATCTACCGAACTCACTTCGCAAGTAGTAAAGGGATAATTATTTAAATATACTGCCTTACATTTACTTGCTGGTACGAAACCACTTGTAATCTCTATTCAGAAACCACTTAAATTTGGTTTCAAAATTTTGTTCTCAGTGAGGGACTTTAGGTAAAGTAGTTCCCCAGAACTCCTTAATAACAGGAAAAGTTGGAAGTGCTATGCCCATTATATACACAGCTACCAAGTCCTGTTGACAATCTAAATGGAGAGAGTATCTTTTCATCCTCTTTCTGCCATGGGTAGTGATCACAGACTGGGGCCCTCATCCCATACAAGCCCTTTGTGGCTTTTTCATTCAGTTTCTCTTGTGTGTTAGAAGAGGTAGCAGGGTAACTTTTTCTGTGAGAAAATCAGAAGGCACGCCTTAGGTGTATGGGTCTTTCCAGACATCACACTAAGGTAACTCTTGGATTAACTTAATTAGCTCTCACAGTCAAAACAAGATGATAAGCCTATGGCTGAGAGAGGAGGACTTGGGGCCTTTCTGACACCAAGGAAGACACAGCATGGAGACATGAAAGAGGACAGGACAGCCTGAGATATCTGCCATGAGGCAGGAGCAGGCTGGGAAGTTATCGAAGCTCAAGCGTCCGCATGCTCCCTTGCAGGGGCTCCCCCTATGGTCTCGTACCTCACTTGGTATTTGTAATTTTCTATTTGTTTTCTTAAAGAGGGACTTCCAACTGGCAAGAATGTTAGGGCCCTATGAAAGCTGGATCTGTCCTTGACCTGAAAGTTCCTCAAGCACTCAAACTTAGCAAGACCAAGAGTGAGCTCCCGATCTCTCTACCCCACTCCCCACCTACGCTTACATCCGTCCTTCCTCTGCGCTTGCATCTGATCAAGGGCACCACTACCACGGAGTCAGAAGATGGGGCATGGGGCACTGTTACCCCTGCTCCCTCATTCACTTCCATTGTGCATCAGTCAAGTAAATTCTAGTAAAAAGTAAATCTATAAAAATTCTCTAGTTTGACCCTTTCCCTTCATCCCCTTGGTCGCAGGGTTTGTGTGGGGGATCAGAGCTTTCACTCCTGCTCTCCCTGTCTCTCCCTTTCTGATTCTGATCCCACTCTGATGTGAGAGGAGGATCTAATATCACCCCTCAGGGGCCCTGCAAGCCTTCAGGCTTGAACATAAATTTCTCAGCCCACGTGTGCAGCTCTGCACAAATGGCCAGAGCATTCCAAAGGCTGAGCTTCTCAGGCTTCCTTGAGCATCACAGAACACACTACTCCCTTCAGGGGCAACGTCCTCCCCACCCACATCCACATTCTAACCTCCTAGGCATCTGTGTTCATCCTTCAAACCCAGCTCAGGTGTCACCTTCTCTTCTATCCTTCTCCACGGTCCCTGGTCAGTGGGTTCACACAGCCTTTGGTTGCTCATGGAATTCAGCAACTTTTTTCTACTAATGTTACCTTTTGCTTCCCAAGCTAGACCAGGCTCCCCATTCAACTTTGTCTCATCTTTTTCTCACTCTTCCACTGTCGTGGGGTTTGCTCATTTCTGAGAACTTTTCCATGCACTGTCCTGACTTCACCTTTCTGCTAAGCTCAGCTGACACGCAGGACTCTGTGGTATGGAGGGAAAGAGCACACAGGGCTCTGGAACTAAGTGACAGGTTTGAATCCTGGCCCGTCCTACTCACTTGCTGTGTGATTTTAAACAGTATTTACACTTTTCTTTGTTCCTTGGCTTCCTCATCTATAAAATAAAGGTAACCACAGTTTCTACATCAGGGGGTTGTCATAAGGATGGAACAAGTAAATAGACATGGAAACGGCATGATAACTAGTTAACAATAGAAGTCTGCTCTTCTGATGGAGGGAGGGGAGGGGAGGGGAAAGAAGAAGAGAATGGTTTTATTCAATGATCAATTCTTTCCCCAGTCTACTACACAAGCCCCTTCCAGGCCAAGGGGATACCTTGAAATTCTGTTGTGCCTAAAAGGATGGTGTGCACATAACATATTTTGTTAAATGTTCCTGCGGACAGTAAAGATGATGGTGTTGGTGAACTAGAGGCAAGAGGCTTAAACAAACACACTCAGACAGAGGTCTTCAAGCCGTTGGCATTTATTTCTTTAGCTAAGATTCTGTTTCCAGATGCACAGCAGGCTCTCCCCATCCCTGAGCACTCAGCTCCAGGCTCCTTTCCCAGCTCCTTCTCCTGTCCCTTCCAGGGCCCTTGGCTCTTTGCCTTCTGAATACGCTCACCAGGAGATCTCATCCCCTTCCATCCTTCATTACCAGACATCTGTCTGTGCTGGGATCCACACTCTAGCTATGGTCCTACTAGTCGCATCCCACTGGTTTACATGTTGTGATGCGCTAAACCTCAAACTCAAGATGTCTGGAACTGAAATCCTCCTTTCCCAATTCTTCCTGATCCATTCCTTCAGTGCTCCCACCTCAGCAGGTGGCACCCTGGAGGTGCCCAGGGCACAAATACCAACACTCTTGACTCCTTGTCTCTTATTTAACTGCCAAATCTCTCATTTAACACTCTCTTAAATCTTCTATCTCCTCCACCACCTGCTTCAGGCCACCATCACCTGTGACCCCCCAATGACCTCCTCACTAGTGTTCCTGTCTTGAGACCTCTCCTTTCTCTAAGCCGTTATCCACCCTGCAGGATAAGTACAGTATGAGATTCATTAAAAACATGAACATGTTTCTTTAAAACCTTCACTAAATGGCTTCCCTCTAATACAGGAATAAAGTTCCAACAAGACCCACCATGATATGTCCCCTGCTTACCTCTCCAGCCTCACTGGTCACCCTTCTACTCCCACCATTGTCCTACAGCCTGATAAGCCCCCTCCAGCACTGTGGAATTACTAGCAGTTCCAAGGAGCCCTCAGCTCTCCCTCCTTGGGACTTTGCTCCCTCTGCAGAAACGTCCCTCTCCTTCTCCTTCACCTGGTTAAATCCTTCTACAAGGAGCCCTGCGTAGGTGCTTGTGGTACCTGTGCTTACCCCCATCATGGCCCATATCCCACGTGGCAGCCTTATGGGCCCTCTGAGAGCAGAGATTATGACTCTTTCATATCATACCACCCTGTAATTGGCAAACATCCAATGGATGTCTGAGAACTGAAGAAAATATGGGAGGTTGGGGGAGAACAAGGAAAAGACCTCAGGATTCTCTTCCAGTTGTTCTTCAACAATAAAGAAAGCACAAGGAAATAATAAGTTACAAGACTGAGTCTTTGATAATGTTGTTACCTGTTTCTTAAGCCTAGAAAATATACAGGAAATACCAAACATCCATAAAACTATTTAGCATACAGGACTGCATCTGAGAATCCCATAAACAGTCTCACTCCACAGACTCTGCAAAGGCAGAACCTACTCAAGAAGCAGAGAAAACACCTATCATCGGCAATTGGCTCCAAGTGGTCCCTCTGCTTCTGTTCACAAGTCATTTCTACTTTGAGTCTCCTAGGATATGTGTTTTTCCTTGGCAGAGAAACAAATGCTGATTGAAACGTATCCTAGGATGAGGTCATTCATTGTTCATTGACATTTGAAAAATAGTAAAGTACACCTTTATTCAATATTCTAGTACTGCATTGACCAAAAAACTATAGACACACACACACACACACACACACACACACACACACAGTCACATGTACTTCACACACACATATTCATATCCAAACCTTCGTATACACTATAAAATCTAGTTAAGGAGGGAAATTAATTATCCTTAGAATTTGTATAATGTATAAAAGGAAAACCAGAATGTACTCTTCATCTATAAATGTACAGATATATTTCCTGCAGACATGAATAGACTTTGTTTGGAAACTCTGCTAGCACCTTTGCTTATATTTTGCTGGGACTTCTTTTGTTAGCAAAGACCGGATATACCAAAAAAAAAAAAAGAGTAGATTCAAATCAAGGTTACTTGAGGATGCAGCTGCCACGCTGGAATTTTTCTTTCATCAAAATGCCCCAGAGAGTCCACATAAAGACAAGCTTGATCTATTTTATGAACAGGCTATTTACTGAGGAAACAAACCTACAAATATAATTAACTGCTCACTTAAACCTTAACCCTTAGCTCCTGAATCTTAACCAATATGTCTCATAAGATCACTTAATTCAGCAACTTACGCAGTACAGTCTGTTTATTCTATCTTTAAATTATAGAATTTATGTCTCTCCCCAAATTTCTTGTTTTCATTTTTCCTGAATTGCAATTAAACTGACAGCTGTATAAGAACCTTGCTTTTGCAGGGCACAGAGAACACTAAAGAAAAAAATGGGGAGTAGGGGAAAAAGGAAAAGGCCTTAGGGTTTTCTTCCAATTGTTGCAAAGCCTAGTATATAAAAGAACATAAAATATAATAAAGGCAGTATCACAAACCACTGAGTAAGGAATGGATTATTCAACATGGGACTGGGAAAAATGGGTAGGAAATTGAATTAGGATCTTAACTAAACTATAAATCCAAATAAATTCTAAATCTACTAAAGCAGGGCACAGCAAACTTTTTGCAAAGGGCCAGCTAGTAAATATTTTAGGTCAGCTGATAATATTTATCAGGTGACTTTATCAGCTGACTTAAATAAGTGTCTGTCCTAATGACTCAACTCTAGCACCATTAAAGCAGGCCTGGACAATATAAAAAAACAAATGTGGCTATGTGGCAATAAAACTTTATTTACAAAAACAGACAGCAGGCCAGATTTGCCCCATAGACTTAGTCTGCTAACCCTGAGGGGAAAAGACAAATAGTAAATAAACAAACAAATTCCAAAAGAAAATACTGGTGAATATCTGATCTCAGATAGGCAAGAATTTCTAAGCATAAAGGTAATGGAAGAAACCACAGAGGAAAAGATGGTTATGTATACCATTTACATTCAAACCTCAGTTAGTAAAATAAGTACCATAAAGAAATTAAACAAAATCAAAAGGCAAATGACAAAACAGAGAAACACGTGATGAAGATAACGAAGGATTTAGAGTTTGAAAGGTGTTATCTTTTGTTTCTCAAACTGGCAAAAATGATGCTAGCCAGGATCATATATAAAAAAAGCACTAATAGTCCCTGCTGCTAGGAGTGTAACTTGGATCAGTCATCACACAATAAAACAATATGCCTTAATAGGCCTTTAAAAAATTCATTCTTCGCAAGTTCACTTTTATAAATCTAGCCTACAAAAATAACTATAGATCCACACAGATTTTTGGGTAAAGATGTCTTCTGTAATCTCGATTTATAACAACCTAAATACTGAACAACAGAGAAGTATTTAAATAAATTCCCGTACATATATTACAATGGAATACTATACATATGTTAAATCATGTTTTAGCAGAACTTTATGGGCATAAGAAAATGCTCATAATAAAATACAGTAAGTGAAAAATGCATCAGAAATTTTTATGGACAATTATCCCTTTTTTAATATTTGCAGAAGCAGAGAAAAATATCAGAAAACACATACCACAAATTAAGCAGTTTTGGTTTCTGGGCTGTGAGTTATGGGTAATTTTTGTTTTCCTCTTATTCTTCTTTGTGGTCTCTAAATTTTCTACAGTACTTATGTATTCTAAATATAAAAGACAACAAATGTTACTTTTAAAAAGCAAAAAGCATGGTGGGGTGTGGTGGCTCACACCTGTAATCCCAGCACTTTGGGAGGCCAAAGTGGGTGAATTACTTGAGTTCAGGAGTTCCAGACCAACCTGACAACAAGGTGAAAACCCGTCTCTATAAGAAATACAAAAAGTTAGCTAGGCATGGTGGTGCTTGTCTGTAGTCCCAATTACTCAGGAGGCTTAGGTGGCAGGATGGTTTGAGCCCAGGAGGCAGAGGCTTTAGTGAGCCAAGATTGCACCACTGTACTCCAGCCTGGGTGACAGAGCCAGACCCTGTCTCAAAAAAATAAAATTTAGGCCAGGTGCAGTGGTTCACGCCTGTAATCCCAGCACTTTGAGAGGCAGAGGCGGGTGGATCACGAGGTCAGGAGATCAAGACCATCCTGGCCAACATGGTGAAACCCTGTCTCTACTAAAAATACAAAAATTAGCTGGGTGTGGTGGCACGTGCCTGTAATCCCAGCTACTCGGGAGGCTGAGGCACAAGAATTGCTTGAACCCAGGAAGGGGAAGTTGCAGTGAGTTAAGATTGCACCACTGCACTCAAGCCTGGTGACGGAAGAAGACTCCATCTCAAAAAAAATAAAAATAAAAATTTAATTTAATTTAAAAATTAAAAAATAAAAAGCAAAAAGGTCACTGCTTCTCACTAAGGCCATGGGAGAAATAGAAATCAACTTCAGCAAAGCAGTAGCAGCTTTATTCATCTGTTTCTACTCAGTATTTCTGCTGCTGCTCTTTACTTCTGAATATCCATGAAATAGCTATATCAACTCTAAAAGGGTGAAGACCTCTCAGAACAAACACATTCCAGCCCCCACAATGGAACATTTCAGAACTCTCCTGGGATGTTTAAGAATGCTCATGATCATGCTTCCAGAAGCAGAGGCAAAATTAGTGCTAATTTGAACCCTGATATGACTGTGTTACTTGCCTAAGTATACAGCAATCTAAGTCACTGTATTCTGTTCAACAGGTGACCCCATCATCAACTTCATAAATAGCAATGATGAAAACAAACTGCTCGAAGTCAGAAGAGGTGAACACAAACTTTCTTATCTTGAATTTTTAAAAATCTCCAAATAATCTTTCTGGAGGGTAGTCTGGCTATACATACCAAAATCCTTTAACAAGTAAATATATTTTGAGCTAGCTACTCCAGATCTGGAAATCTGCTAAGAAAACAATTGTATAAATGTTTAAAGTATATATGCATAGATATTTATCACAACATTTATAATTGGAAAGGAAAATGGAAGAGAAGGTATAGGTTAAATAAAATGTTACATCTGTAAAATGAAATGACACCATTAAGAATGAGACATAAATGTCCATTCATTGACATGAACAGATGTTTATGATATATTGTGCAGCCTCTCTCTCTCTCTCTCTCTCTCTCTCTATATATATATATATATATATATTTTTTTTTTTTTTTGAGACGAAGTCTCATTCTTGTCCCCCAGGCTGAAGTGCAATGGTGTGATCTCAGCTCACTGCAACCTCCGCCTCCCGGGGTTCAAGCAATTCTCCTGCCTCAGCCTCCCGAGTAGCTGGGATTATAGGTGCCTGCCACCACACCCAGCTAATTTTTGTATTTTTAGTAGAGACGGGGTTTCACCATGTTGGCCAGGCTGGTCTCAATCTCCTGACCTCAGGTGATCTGCTTGCCTTGACCTCCCAAAGTGCTGGGATTACAGGCGTGAGCCACCGCGCCCGGCCCATGTGGAGTCTCTTGAAAGCAAGATACAAGACTATATAACATAACAACATTCTTCTTATACTCTACTTGTATCTTAGTCAGCTAAAGCTGCTACAACAAAATACTATAGACTGGGTGGCTAAGCAACAGAAATGTATTTTCTCACCATTCTAAGACTGGAAGTCTGAGATCAGGGTGCCAGTATGGTCAGGGCCTGGTGAAGGCTATCTTGGCTTCTTCCAGTGTCCTCACTTGAGTTGGCGGGGTCCCAGGAGGATCATTTCCTCTTTAAGGCCACAGTACTATAAGATTAGGGCCCCGCCTTTATGACTTCACGTAACCTTAATTACCTCCTAAAGACCCTATTGCCAAACACAGTCCCATTAGGGGTTAGAGCTTCAACATATGAATAGGGAGGTAGGGGACACAATTCAGTCCATTGCAACTTGTTACATATATTTTTATGAATAGTGGTATTTGTGAATGATATCTGGAAAGGTTGTGTCTCAAAATGTTTAAAACAGCAGTTGTCTCTGTGTTCCTGGACACTGGCATGCTTAGTTTCTACAATAAGTGTGCATTACTAGTTTATACTTTAATAAATATTAAAGCAAAGGAATCCCACTGATAAATAAGACAGTATATTTTAACAAAGTTCTGGGGAAAGGTCTGGCCCTCTCTCGTGCTCACACACATTGGCTGCACTCAAAAGCAGCCACAATAGAGCAGGGCAATCTTAGTTATGACACAGGAAATGGATCAAGGAATCAGAGCAGACTGTTCCTTGAAAACATCAGCCTAGTTTACTGTTGTGATCAAAACAGACAACAAAACCCACCGGGCATCATTAAGAAAAATATTAGAACTAAAATGGAAAACAGCCTACCCAAACCATGGTGCTGTGACCAGACTTGGACCCAAGGAGTATTCTGGCACTAGAAGGCAGCCAAGCAGGCTCCGGGCCTTCATGACACCTCGAGGCAGATAAAACCGATATAAATGTACAAGAAAAAGCCATGAGAACACCTAAGATAATCAAGATCTGGCCTCTACTTTCCCTGCCTGCCTCCAGCTAACAGGTATTATTATTCCATTTTCACATACCTTGTCACTGATTATTCACTTACCTCTCAGCCAGCCCCCGAGATCCCACCTGTCCCCACCCCCAAACCCACAGACACACAAGCAGGATGGGGGCTTTCAGGGGCCAGAAAGCGTATCATCTTCAACTCTGCTGTCTTTGCACAGTGCACACATTCAACAAATGACTGTTAAATAAGTACATGATCAATTAAAGGATTTTTTTCATAGCCGGTAGGTTTTTCTCATTAGAAAAGACTGTTTAGTCCTTCGGGACTGTTTGGGGAGATTAAAGTGGTCTGATAAAAGTTTATATAGTACTAAAGTATGAAGACATGTTGAAGACAGTTAGGAAATCTTGTAATGACAGAGACATGAAAAACTTTAAGGTTTTAAGGCCATAAGGTAAAAAAAAAAAAAGAGAGAGAAATATTAATTTACAATGGGTAAAATTACAGCTGCATTATCCCAACATGTCACAAAAGAAACTGAAGACAAGTTTATTTTCTCCTCTTGTGACAAGCACTTTGCCTGTATTACTGCTCTTCATTAAGCAGCTGACAGGGTCCTAGCTGCTGTTAAAGTTCTAACCGAGCAAGTTCTTCCACTTCAGTTATAATTGGCAAAAACAGAACATGTTGAGAATAATCCATCAGCTCTTCAATTCTTCCACAGCTACTTGACGTGGAATATGATATTGGTAGCTATGAGTAAAATAGGTCAATCCTAGCCAGAAGGCTAGCCCCATCACAAACTTGCCTAGACAAGGAAAAATTGAATTGACAATGTGTTTTGTTTCAGCCCAAGCTTCCTTCTGAACCTCCACTGGAGATTCTAGGCTGAGCTATCCTTTCCTGTCCTCAGGCAGTACCTGCGTGTCCCATGTGTCAGCGTCCCCATCATTTTTGTACACTCAGCACACATAAGCAATCAAGACTGCTTCCTAAATGAGTTGAACTAACACAGTCAATTAATCCGAAAAGGGGAAATACTTTAGGAAAAATCTACACTCAGGAATAAGATCTTCCCAAATCAGTCTTGTCCCTCAACTGTGGTAGAATTACTAGTCAAAATGTAGGTGTCTATACTTGAAATTCAGCCTGTCCCCAACTACCAGAGAAGTACATCTCCTAATGTAGCGCCCACCATATGGCTGATTCACTGTTTAAATATAAATTCCAGTAGGAGCCTGAACAGCCCTAGCCTTACAAAGCTAAATCCTGCACTCAAGACATCTGTTTGTTACTTCAGAGCCATCCTTAGTGATGGTAAAAAGGCTTTTTCTTCACTATATGCTTCTCTGTTAACCTTTTTACCTTTCTGAGTCAGGGTCTCACTCAGTCGCCCAGGCCGGAGTGCAATGGTGCAATCTCGGCTTACTGCAACCTCCACCTCCCAGGTTCAAGTGACACTCCTGCCTCAGCCTCCTGAGTAGCTGGGATTACAGGCAGTGCCACCATGCCCGGCTAATTTTTATATTTTTAGTAGAGACAAGGTTTCACCGTGTTGGTCAAGCTGGTCTTGAACTCCTGACCTCAAGTGATCCACCCACTTCGGCCTCCCAAGGTGCTGGGACTACAGGCGTGTGCCACCATGCCTGGCCTTACCTTTTAATTTATATTGTAACTTATTTCAAAAGGATTTAAAGTTATTTACATATATACATAATAAAATTTAAAAGTATTTTAATAAGCAGATGATAAAAAGCAGACTGATAAAATGGCAGGTAATATAAAAAAATAAGCAAAGTTGAAGGGCAATATAAAAGTCATTTTGAAAAAGCCTAGAACCTGCTAGAATTTGGTCATATGTTTGGAAATAAGCTTTAACAGTTAACTGATGACTTGGCTGGGATCAGCTACATGAACCAGACTGTATATAAAATGAAAACAAAGTAGTTCCTCATGAAAAGCACAACCATTCATATTATGAAGAGAAGAAATTTATTCCAGGGCTCCTCATAAAAGGAACACCAAAAAACAGAAATGACAATGATTATAACAGCTAACAATTAACACTTATGTGCAAGACAATCACCTAGGAACTTTAGACATACTCACTCATTTAATAGCCCTATGAGGCAAGTACCATTATTATCTACAAATAGCAGATAAGGAAACTGAGGAACAGAGTGGTTAAGTAAATTACCCAAAGTCACACAACTATTAAGTTGTGAATTTAAGAGGATTCAAACCCCAAAGGCTGTCTCCAGTATCAGCATTCTTTTTTTGTTTATTTGTTTGTCTGAGACATGGTCTCCTTCTGTCAACAGAGCTTGAGTGCAGTGGTGCAATCACAGCTCACTGTGGCCTCAACCTCCAGGACTCAAGTGATCCTCCAGCCTCAGCATCCCAAGTAGCTGGGGCTACTTGGCATGCACCACCACGCCCAGCTAATCTTTGTATTTTTTGTACAGACGGGGTTTCACCATGTTGCTCAGGCTGGTCTCGAACTCCTGGCTGTCCACCCGCCTTAGCCTCCCAAAGTGCTGGGACTACAGGTGTGAGCCACAGCGCCCAGCCCAGAATCAGCACTCTTAACCACCATACTACAGTGCCTCTTGCCATTCCAATAGCAAGTAAGCAATGCCCTCAATAACATCCTTATAGTAGATTCCATTTTCTTAAGTATGTTTCTTATGACGTGCTTCAGTATAGGGCAAGAAAAAAATCACAAAGCTTAGATCAGAAACAGAAATTCCACTGAGGACAAACTAGGCAGACCAGGCATGTGGTTCTCTGACAGATGGATAGATATTTGGGACATCTAGGGTCTTCAGAAGAATGGGTGGCCTCGAGCCCTTTAGGCCATCCTTCATGAATGTTACATTCCCTCCACAAAGGCTTGGTGCACACTGAGTAGCTGAAGTAGGGGTTTTGCTTTCTGAGGGCAGGTGAAATACAGCTCTTACCTGATGACAGTTAAGCCAGAATCACAGGCTGGAGCCACCACCTGAGCTGGAGGTAGGACAGACATCCTACCCAAGCTGAGAACCCTGGTGCAAACCCACATATGAAGATAAAGTCAGCCTATCTTTGCATGGGGGTGACCCAAGGAAGTACCAATGGGCAGGGCTCCCTTAAGAAATGCGTCATCAATAGAGGTAGTCTGGACAATATCCAATTGTCAGTCATTACCACTGCAAGCCCAGGGAACATTCAACCATGAACCACACAACTTCTTGGTGTGTGTTCTTGGTAACCATGACAGAAGGGTTAGAAGCACACCTCTAGGGAGTGGAATGGTCAACAGGCTCAGAGAGATCATTAACAGAGAGCCAGTTACTGTTTGGGGAAACTAAAAATTTAAAAAAACACACATTTTGGCTTTAGAATAAGTGATTTTAACTAATCTTCTCAGTAGTTTCTCCAAGTTCAAGTTCAGGACCGTAAAGCCATTTCATCAGCATTCCCTCATTGATTGAGCATTTACTATAGAGCCAGGCACTGTTCTAGCTGTTAGGAGAAGAGCAGTGAATAAAGCGTACAAAAATCCCAGGTATCATGAATCTGATTCTTTTTTTTTTAAGCAATAGGATCTTGCTTTGTTTCCCAGGCTGGAGTGCAGTGGTGCACTCACAGCTCACTGTAAACTTGAACTCCTAGGCTCAAGTGACCCTCCCGCTTCAGCCTCCTGAGTAGCTAGGACTACAGGTGTGTGTCAACATATGTCTGGCTGATTATTTTGTTGTTGTTGTTGTTGGTAGAAACGAGGTCTTGCTATGTTGTCCAGGCTGGTCTTGAACTCATGGCCTCAAGCAATCCTCCTGCCTTGGCCTCCCAAAGCACTGGGATTACAGGCGTGAGCCACCACACACCTGGCCATGAATCTTGTTCTTGTTGTACTATAAGTGTACTCCTAGTAACACATACTACTAATTACTATTACTACGCTTATGCTGTTATTCTGGACAAAGAATACGTCAGGTGAAGAAGAAACTATACAGGATCTGGGGAAAGGTGTGCCGGGGCATTTTAGGGTTAAGCAGGGGGTCACAGGAGCCTCACTGAGAAGGGGGTCTGAGCAAAGGCCACGCAATGAATGGTGCAATCCCTGGTGGAGATGTCCTGGGAAGTAGAAACAGCAAGGCAGCCTGGGTATCCAGAACGAGGTGAGGAATGAGCAGCAGAGAAACAGACACACAGGTGAAGAGAAGGAGGAAGTGCTGGAGACGGGGCTGGAGGCTGCTGTAAAGATTCTGCATTTGACCCTGAGCTGCAGAAGGTCCAGAGCAGAGGAGTGACATGGTCTGACTCGTTTTCAGAGGGCCACTCTGCTGCGTGCAGAAGAGGTCCCAGAGGGCAACGACACCAACAGAGAGACAAGCGTGGAGTGAGAGGGCGCATCTTTCCATCCAGCAGCACCTCTGCCACATGCACAGACGGCCTGCTGGTGCAGGCAAGAGTGGTGGGCAAAGAGCAGCCGACAGGATGCATGACAGCAGTGTTCTAGAATCCCAGACCCAGAGCTCTGACAGAGCCCCTGGCAGGTTACTCTTCCCCCAGGCAATAAAAGAGAAAAGAAAAACAAGCAGAATCCCTTAAAGTCAGGTTAACCAAAGACAAGTCAGTCTGGTCTGAGGGAGCAGAAGCTTGCCGCATGGGAGGGGCACTGCCATTACTGGCCCAAGCAGGTCCCGGGCTGTCTGGTTATGGATACACTAATGGAACAGAGCGCTACAAGGAGCTAGTCCTTCTAATCTCTGATACCAGTTATTCGCAAAAGCATATTCCAAAATACCTCAGAGCTTAAAATATTTAACAGTTAATATAGCACCACTTAAATTCCAACATACATAACACTGACTTGCAAAATGCATCTGATGCCTTGAGTGATGCTCTCCTTTCTTCCTCCCACATATTGCGAGTGCTAACATAAGACCCTCCATAAAATGCATCCTCTCTCTGGGTTCCCGCAGGCTGGGACCACCCAATCTGATCACAAGGGCATATGGCATGCCAATACCCCCTTCTCAGTCTCAGATGGTAGCCTCACCAGCCGGGAAAGGTCTCAGCATTTCTGCATGCTTCGCTGTACCAAGCAGCTGCTGGCAAGACACACACAGAAACTCTGAGATATATTTGTCCCCACTCATTTTGACAAAAGCTGTGAGAAGAACAGAAGGAAAAATGGCAAGGCATCCTGAGAGAGGAGGAGACCCATATGTGGCTCCTCACAAACCTGGTGCTGGTGGGAAGGCCACAAGAGGCACACCCATCTGTGACTTGACACCTCTTCATGCCTGATAAAGGGACAGAACACGGAAGTGTCATGTCAAACTGCACTTCCTCTCGCTCTCAAGACCCTTCACCCCAAAACATGTTAAGTAGCTGGATTTTTTAAAAAAATAAAACTATAAATATTTGTCTCATACCCATCATAGTTTTCTTTCATGCTCCCTTTAAATTTCTCCCCCCCGCATCAAGGACTGGCCATAAGCCATTAGTAAGAAAAACCTGGCCAACTAGAAGACTGGAATGTAAAGGGGCTAAATAATTCACTATAACTGGGAGACGGTTCACATATATAATACCCTAAATATACACTTTACCACATATTATTTCTAGGACTATACCAAGAACATGTAAGCTGATAAAGCTACATTAGAAAACTATTCTTTAATAAAATATCTTATTCCTTTCTCTGTATGTATTTAGCTTTGATGAATACATGGCATTCTCACACATACAAACACTCACTTCATAATTTAAACTTAAGGCCACTAATTACCCATTTATACACACAGACTACATACATATAAGTACACTTAAATAAATATATTTGTTTACAAGTAAAGACTAGTTTATTCTAACACCATTAAACTACTTGTTAATTAAGCAAGATAGCATTTACCAGCCAGGAGGAGATCAATAGTTCTGAATCTTCTTTTGTCCAATTGTATGCTGTATATTCAAGGGCATTATTCTCTCCTTGCTGTTTGCACATATAAGCACAGTTTCTTTCAAAAACGGTGCGGATGCCTTTAAACAGAATCACACTAGTAGTGCAACCCATCCCCAAGGTGTGGATGTTCAGTTTTTTAGCAATCTCTACTCCATTTCCACATCCTCTTCCTTGGCTCTTCCGAAACAGGCTCCCACTGTACCATCTTCGTGACAAGCAGTCACCGGTACTGGAACAGAAGGGAAGCTCTGAGCTGCCGTACTAGAATCCGCTCCTGCTCAACAGCCTGACAAAAAATCCAGACTCCGAGTGTAAAACAGGAGGGGTGGTGCAAACACAAGATGACACACCTCGGATGCACCAAACCTTTAAAGTATCGTTTTTCTAGCTGATTGCTTCACTCTTAATACCAAAGAACAAATAAGCAGGAGATTTACATGTGGCTCTACTGGAAAACTGCCGGCTCCTGTGATTTGCTTGGGATTGTTCTGAATCTCAGAACCTGCCCAAAATGAAAAAGACAGTGCCAGACAGCCACACTGCTGCAGATGCTGCTGGGAGGCACAAAGAATGTTCATCTGCTGCAAGAAATCGCTCTCCCAGAATGCTTAGCCTAGCATCTATATTAGCAAACATCTCTTTCCTTGACCTAAATATGCTGTTTATTTAATCCTGCATCAGCGGGAAACAGAGAAGCAAAGGAAAAAAAAAAGTCCAAAAAACGAGTGAAATCTCTAAGATGACTGCTGCTATGGAAACACATGCAAGCCCACTTCAAACAATCTTTTGCACGTATGGATAACAGCTTGCTGACAGCAAACCACAAGGGAACACAACATTGCTGTGTCGATCTTGACTTCAGCCCACCTCTACTCTTTGCTAGAGAGGGCTAGCAAGATTGCACTGCTTAAAAGGATTCTCCCGTCTCTGGTACCCAAAGATGCAAATGAGAACATGAATAAAGGGCTACCCAGTCTGGCTAGATGCATGCCTTCTGAAGCAGCACTCCAGTATGCAATGGGAAATACATGCTGAGGTCTCACAGTCAGCATGATTATGTTTGGTGTGTAAGTAATCCAACTCCTTCTACTGTAGACTGAACTCAGTGACACTACACTACCTCACGTGAATCTCTGGGAATGGCTAACAGGGAAGCTTGTCAATGATATGATACCAAGTTGACTCTTGCCATTTTCCTTCTTCAACAATGAAAGGCTAACTATATAAAAAGACCATGCTGCACATACAGGAAAACTTTTCCCAGCCACAATATGTAACTAGGAAAAAAGTGATCAATCTTTTAAAATCTGCTCTGATATTATTCCTTATTTCACAAGGCAACAGATAATTTCATTTCTCTCTATAGATGTGAAAGTTAGAGTGAATTAACTGACTGAGTACCTGGGGGCTGTGTAAACCCACGCATGTAGTAAAATCATACCTGTAGGGAATACCATCCGGGCACGTGATCCCATAATGTCTGTTTTCTATGAGTAGTTTAGCCATTGGGCCCCACAGAAAACCAAAAATCTAGGCTTATTCTCTCTCCTGTATTTTTATGCAAAGTGTGTCTGATAGCTGTACAAGATCAAAGATGGGGAGATGTTGGCCACATGCAAAAAACAGGATGACCCTCTGGGGTCTAGAGCATTCCACTTCCAAAGGGTGATTCTGTGAAAACAGAGCTATAGGGTTCAAGATTACACCCAAGTTGTGACACTAGGAGAATCTTCATGCGAAATCACAATGCTGACAGATAAACAACTAGAAACTCACCTACCCAGAAACTGAATATTGGAGACTATAAAACACTAAACACATAAGTTAAATGTCAGTTTTGAGAATTCAGAAAATCTACCAATTAACCTGACTCCTATACAGCAAGAGAAATAGCTTTAAAAGCAATAGTTCATTCAACAGAAATAAAGAGAGTACCTGGAAATGTAAAATTAATTTGTTATTGTTATGACATATTTTAGACATCCTGCCTGCAGAAGCCAGGGAATATTATTTGAGATACAAAAGATTACGTTTGAACTTTACCGAGAATTAGAAATAACCAAGCAAATTGGAAGCTGCTGGTATATGCTGTTTGATTTACTTTTAGAACCCTCCATTCGTGTTTAAAACAAGAGTCTAAATCAGGAGTGTCCAATCTTTTGACTTCCCTGGACCACACTGGAAGAAGAATAATTGTCTCGGGCCACACATAAAATATACTAACACTAATGATAGCTGATGAGCTTTAAAAAAAATCACAAAAAATCTCATAATGTTTTAAGAAAGTTTACGAATTTTTGTTGGGCCACATTCAAAGCCAGCCTGGGCCACATGTGGCCTGAGGGCTGCGGGTAGGACAAGCTTGGTCTAAATGGTCTCACCACAAAAAAATAAAGAAAAAAGGTAACTAAGTGAGGTAATAGGTGTGTTAGCTAACTCAATTGTGGTAATCATTTCACAACATATATCATCATATTGTATACCTTAAATTTATACAATTTTGCCAATCATATCTCAATAAAGCTAAAAAAGATAAATAAAAGTAAAAGCTAAATTTTAAAAAAACAATAAGAGAGAATGAAACAATTTCCTAACTCATTCAAAGGAAAAAGCAATGTTTTCTGGAGATAAATTAATAAAATGTTACAGTTTGAATGTGTCCCCCAAAGTTCATGAGTTAGAAACTTAATCTTCAATGGACAGTGCTGGGAAGTGGGACCTTCCAGTAGTGATTAGGGCAGAGCCTCACTGATTAATGGTGTTCTCAAGAGTGGGTTTCTAATAAAAGAATGAGGTCAGTCCCCTTTCTCTCTCTCACTCTTGCATGTTCTCTTTTCCTTCCACCTTTCACCTTCCACCACAGGATGATGTGGTATGAAGACCCTTACCAGCTGCTGCTGCCATGCTCTTACATCTTCCAGACTCTAGAATAGTGGGACGAATAAATTTCTGTTCATTACAAATTACCCTGTTTGTGGTATTCTGTTATAGCAGCAGAAAATGGACCAAGACATATACACATTGAAGCAACTTGTGCCAAATTTTAAGTATTAGTCATTTTCCAACCAACAAAATTAGTGGGCTCTTGAAAAGCAACAGAAAATATTTAGAGTGAAGTATTCAGAAACAGGTCTCATGATAATAGAAGCAAGACAAAATGAGTAATTCAAAAGGTATGTTTGGTTTCACTGACTTTTCTGTATCAGAATGAACTTGAGTTGTTCTAAATTGAAAATTACCATGAATTTCATCAGAGGACATGAATAGATGGATGGTATCTATTGGCAACCAGTGTAGCCACCTAAAAGAGTATATATTTCAATTTGGAGATCACATTTACTCTCCCATCTTTAAATGTCACTTCTAATTTATACAGCTCCTAAGACTAAATGTCTGCCTTTGAATCCCTTTTGAGATGCAGGCCCAGGTCTTCCTCTCCTGCTAATACTGACACCTGACTCTCCTACCATCTCACCCTCAGATGTTCCAAATGAATCATCCTTTAAAATGACAAACTCATATGGCACATCCACACAATGGAGTATCATTCAATCACAGGCAGGAACAAAGTACTGATGCATGCCACTACACGAATGGCCCGAAAACCATTATGTGAAGGAAAGAAGCCAGGCACCAAAGACCCCATATTGTATTACTGAAAGGAAATTTCCAGAACAGACACATCCAGAGAGATAGAAAGCAGATTAGTGATTATGGAGGGCTAGGGAGACCAGGAAATATGGGGTCATTGCTAGCGGGTATGAGGTTTCTTTTTAGGGTAATGAAAATGTTCAGAAATTAAAGTGTTTCTAATATATATTCTCAAATGTATATATAATCTATACACACATATAGTCTGTGACTACTGAATTGAATACATTTATGGCGTGTGAATGTAATTTTTAAAAAGTGACTACACTTGTGATGCTTTGAAGCCTCATTCCTCCTTCATCCCTTTCTGTCCACATCTGGGCAGGCAGAGAGGAAAGTCCAGGTGGCTCCCTCTTATGACACCAACAGTAAATTCAAACCCTTCAATGGGAACCCTCACTCCACACCATCCCCCAATAATCATCACCAAAAAAAGCCAAGCCAGTCTCTTTTCCCTGCTCTCTCAAGCCATTTTAGGACCTCTTGGGAGCTGTCCTATTCTCCCCAGAAAGCCTCATTATATTTCACATCCTCTTGGGGTGGGTGTGATGTCAGCTGACTCAGTATCTAAAGCAAATGTGGCCAAGTGGAGGAGATCCATCCCGTTTCTGTGGAGTGGCCCTGACAGTGAATTCTATCTCAAAGCTGCTATTAAGAATCGGGGTGGGGAGGCCAAGCACAGTGGCTCACACCTGTAATCCTGGCACTTTGGGAGGCCGAGGCGGGCAGATCACCTGAGGTCAGGAGTTCGAGACCAGCCTGGGCAACATGATGAAACCCCAATCCTACTAAAAATACAAAAAACTGGCCAGGCATGGTGGTGTGCACCTGTAGTCCCAGCTACTGGGGAGGCTGATGCAGGAGAATCACTTGAACCTGGGAGGTGGAGGTTGCAGTGAGCTGAGATGGCACCACTGCACTTCAGCCTAGGTGATAGAGTGAGACTCCGTCTCAAAAAATAAAAAAAATTTAAGAATGAGGGTGGGGAGAATGGCACCTACTCTGCCCACCCCATAGGTTGTCAAGTTCAAATAAGGTAACAGGAGAGAACTCAACAAGAAATTGCTAGAAATATGTAAGTACCTATTGTCTTATACTTCACAAAGGATTTACTGTGTAACCTAAAACAGCACCTTGCTTGATAAATTCAACAATTTCTGAACATTGTTTTGGTCCCACTTCTCAGCAATATACTAAACCACATTAACATGGGAGGTGGCTGGGGCTACCTCAGGGTGTGCATTTTAGACCTGGGAAAGGGGCTCCAGGCTGCACAACCCCCCAGAAAGCCCGCACAGAAAATAAATTCAGGTTAAGACCTGCCAGCCCACTTGGTGGTCATAACAAACCTCAGCCATGCAGCCTGAGACCATAGCTAACAGGTCCCAAGCTTTGAGCTCCTGCAAAGCTTAAGCATCTGCAGCTGCTGTTCCCACCTACAGCTCTCTCTTTGCTGACTTTCTGTTTTAAATGTATTCCAACAGACAAATTATTTTGATTGGTAGACGTATTTACTACTCTTCTAGAAACATGTGAAAAAAGAGGAATCTAGAGTGACACCTAAAAAATCTAGAACTATAAACTGGAATTAATACTGTATTTCAAACAGATATAAGTCTTCTACTTATATATCAGACCTGGGGTCTATCTTAGGAGGCCAGGAAAGGAGAGGAATTCTCTCCATTCTGCAGTGGCTGAAAGGAAGATCTCACATAATGATAATACCTCATACATGATACAGCACACTTCACCAAATCTAAGTAAAGGGAGGACAGATAGAATTCAGTCTAACACGTCATTCATTCTATTTAAATGCCATTATGATAGCCAGTCCATTTGAAAAGTTTACTTCCATATCTGACAGTCCATATTTCATAAATCAAGGCAGTGAATTCTGCTGAGCAAAGAAATGTTATGTAAGTTGGTCTCTCAATGCCTCGTTCCTTTTATAACCAATCAATATAATCAAATGTAATTAGAGTATCTGGCACAGAGCCTAGTATATACCACATGCTCAATAAATGCTGGTCTCTCTTCTTCTTTTGTCCCAAATTAAATGGTTTTCTTCCCTGATAATGAGACTAAAAGTAGGGTAATTCTTCTAAAAATACAAGCATCTCATACAAAATTCAAATACATGAGAATTTCAGATATAGCAAATTCAAACAACAAATTTTATTTTTGTTGAAAAAATGATTTAAAGAGGGAAGGCCAGGCGTGGTGGCTCATGCCTGTAATCCCAGCACTTTGGGAGGCCAAGGCGGATGGATCACGAGGTCAGGTGATTGAGACCATCCTGGCTAACACGGTGAAACCCTGTCTGTACTAAAAATACAAAAAATTAGCCGGGCGTGGTGGCGGGCGCCTGTAGTCCCAGCTACTCGGGAGGCTGAGACAGGAGAATGGCGTGAACCCGGAAGGCAGAGCTTGCAGTGAGCCGAGATCGCGCTACTGCACTCCAGCCTGGGTGACAGAGTGAGACTCTGTCTCAAAAAAAAAAAAAAAAAAAAGAGGGAAATGGGGATGTTGAAACATGAAAAAAGAGTTAAGATAGCTTGTAAAATAAGGAGTGGAGCTTTCAGCAATGACCATTAGAGACAGGTTTTTCTCCAAACACCGCATGTTCTCATACATAAGTGGGAGTTGAACACCGGGGCCTGTCAAGGGGTGGGGGACAAGGGGAGTGAGAGCATTAGGACAAATACCTAATGCACGCGGGGCTTAAAACCTAGATGACGGGTTGATAGGTGCAGCAAACCACCATGGCACACATATATTTATATAACAAACCTACACATTCTGCACATGTATCCCAGAACTTAAAATTAAAAAAAGACTTTAAATAATGGAAATTAAGAAAGTATTATTAAATAAGTACATTTTAAATAAAAGTGTGAACTCTTACCATGGTGCATTTCAGGAACATAATCTTCAAAATTTCGACTTATTGCATATTTAAATTTATCCATCATCTATTTTCCCCATCTCAATACACAAGAGAGTTAGAACACTTTGAGATGTCTAGTGCCAGTTACCTTGAAGTGAACAAAGGTGACGGGCAGGTCCAGAGGGCACAGTGTGGACAGGAGTTGTTGGACCCCTGCAAGAGCTCAAGGCTGTACTCCTTCTGCCTGGACCACTCTGAAGTAAAATATTTTTGCTAAAAATATATCCCTAAAGTTATGACCACGTAAAATATTGGAGTCAGGTCTGTTGCTAATAGTGTTATTTAAATGTTCTCAAAAGTAGAGAACGCAAAAGAACACAGGTTTCTCCAGGTTGGTGCCAGAATGTCAGGGTGGCAAACAGTTCCTGTGGGCAGCTCTAACAACTGGCAAGCTCAATGAGTGACCAAGTGAAAGGAAGTGGAAACAACCAGACCTAGCTCCAAGGAGCAAGCGTCCAGGGAGGGACGGTGGGGGTCTTTCAGAGACCACAGTCACTCAAAAGAAATGAGAGAATCTTCCTTTTTCTGGTAGGAGATCAAGTTAAATAGCTTTTAAAATAACACAGGTCAGCCAGAAATGCTAGCACCTATAATTCCAGCACTTTTGGAGTCTGAGGCAGGAGGATCGCTTGAGCCCAGGAGTTCAAGACCAGCCTGAGCAACATAGCAAGACCCCAGTCTATAAAAAAAAGAAATTTGAAAATTGGCTGGATGTGATGTCACAAGCCTGTAGGCCTGGCTACTTAGGAGGCTGAGGCGAGAAAAATCACTTAAGCCCAGGAATCGAAGGCCGCATTGAGCTATGACTGTGGCACTGCACTCCAGCCTGAGAGATAGAGACAGACCCTGTCTCTAAAAATCAATCCATCAGGTCTTCAAAAGGGAGAAACATTTAAGAAAAACAGCTTATTTGCTGGTAGAAATGTAAAATAGTGCAGCTGTTATGGAAAGCAGTTTGGCAATTCCTCAAAAAATAAAACATAATTACCATATGATCCAGCAATTTCACCTCTGGGAATAGACACAAAAGAAATGAAAGCAAGACTTGAAGAGAGATGTGCACACCCACGTTCATAGGCAGCATTATTCACAATAGTCAGCGTTATTCACAACAGCCAAGGGGCGAAAGCAACTGAAGTGTCCATCAGTGGATGAACAGATAAGCAAAATGTGGTATCTACACACACAATGGAATACTATTCAGCCTTAAAATGCAAGAAATTTTACATATGCTACAACGTGGATGAAATCTGTGGACTCTGTGATAAGTAAAATAAACCAGATACAAAAGGACAAATACTGCACGATTCCATTTGAAGTATTTAGAATAGTCAAATTCATAGAAACAGAAAGTAGCATGGTAGTTGCCAGGTGCTGGGAGAAGGCAAATAAGGGGTTAGTGTTTAATGGGGTCAGATTTACAGTTTCAGAAGATGAAAAAGTTCTGGAGATGAATGGTGATGATGGCTGCACAGCAATGTGAATGTACCGAGTATCACTGATGTGTACACTTAAAAATAGTTAAGGTGATAAATCTTATGTTACAGGTATCTTTCCATATTTTTTAAAAATAGAAAACCAACTTGTTGGGCATTGTTTTCCTATCACTTCTAGAAACAGGTGAGGTGTAAGACCAGAAAAACGAGGATGGTAACTGGTCTTTTCTCGTCCTCTCTCCATTGGCCTGTCAGCCCCTCACAAAGGGAAGATAAGCTACAGGAACTATCCCTGTTGTTAAGCGATGAATGACTGCATTGCACTTCCTAGAAAAACCTTCCAACTATATAGCATCACAGAAAAAAAGATGCCTGAGATTTAAATTTCTGATTCATAGACAACTTCCACTACTTTCATTGACAGCCATGAAACGAATGAACAAATACAATGTACACAGGTCCAACTGACCCCTCAGCTCAGGAACCTGCCAGAAGTGGCAACTTAAATTACTGTTACAGGAGGTCATGGAGCAAAACCATGGTTTCTTAGGGAGCTCAGTTCTTTAAAGAAAAACCAATAAATCCATAAATGCTGATGCTGTATCAAACATAAAAAGCTGCCAAACAGCACATCTATTGGCAAAGCCGTCTAGCATCAGTGAACACATCTGCAAGGGCTGATGGCACCAAGGATCACATGAGCGCAGGAAGCACCCATGGCCCCACTGTAAATTAGACACTGGATGAAGAACAAGGAAGCAGGACAAACTCAATGGCATAATGAAGTCAGAACTCAAGGACCTCTTCTTGGCCTCCACCAGCCATTCCCAAAGAAATTATATTTTAGGCAGACACCCAAAAAGATCACTTAATGGCAGGGTATACTGACTTTAAACAATAAAAGAGATATAAAGTATAACTTGCATACAAATGCACCCTTGAAACTGTTCACGTTCTTCATATATGGAGTTATGGCTGTTGAAAAGTTGTTCCAACATGTGAAGAGACTAAAATTCAGATTCTACATACATCAGTTACTTTTATCTTACATTTTAGCAGCTGACTGTTTTAAGTCTTTTACTGTCATTGTGGCAGTATAGAAATGCTGTCTCAACATGAAGAAATATTCCTTGAGGGCGAAGAGGAAAACATAAAACACACATAAGATTTGAATTTGACTTTTTAAAAACTATTGCAATTTAGTGAGATTTTCAATTAGATTAATCAAAAGTAATAATGATACTAATGTGGTTACCTCTCTAAAATATAGGAGGGGAAGTGCAATTTTTCAAAATAGTCCTATTTTTTTTAAAAGCAGTGTAAAAAGACACAAAATAAAATATGTACTCTCTTGTCCTGGCTTATAGTCAGGTTAAATGGAACTAAACATTCCATATTTCCCTGTTTATAGAAGCTCATAAAAATTTACATTCTTTAGCTGACTCCTTACAAGGTTTTAATTTCTTTTCACAAAGACACAAAATTCTGAACCTTCACAAGACTCTCTTTTATATACAGCCAGTTGGGTTATGACTTAACTGTAACTAGGTTTTAAAAGAGTGTTACTTCAATCAAACATTCCTTGACGTTTATGTGAATTTAGGTCAAAGAAGTGGGGAAATGTAGGAGAAACTATCCTCCACATAAGAACTGGACAGATTACAATTATTGCTATCCCTCCCGGTCAATTAAAAACAAATAGGTGCTTGCTTCAACACCACATATACTATTATAAAATTGGAATGATACAGAGAAGACTGGCATGGTCCCTGCACAAGGATGACACACAAATTCATGAAGCATTCCATATTAAAAAGAAAACAAAAACAAAAACAAAACAAAACAGATAGGACAAAAAAAAGATGACAATAAGCAAGTGAAGAATCATTGGGGAAATGCAAGTCAAAACGACAATGAGCTTTCACTTCACACTCACTAGATGGCTAAAATCAAAAAGACAAGTATTGGTGTAGCAATTGGATTGGTATACCAATTCGATCGGCTTTGCTAATCAAAATAACAGGTATTGGTGAGGATGTGTTGAAAGTAGAACCCTCGCACACTGCTGCTGGGAATGCAAAACAGCGTAGCCGCTATGGAAAATAGTCTGGCTGTTCTTCAGATGGTTAAACCCAGGTTACCGTATGATCCAGCAATTCCACTCCTAGATGCCCAACGTTGAAAATATATGTTCCCACAAAAACTTATACATGAATGCTCTTAGCAGCACTGTTCATAATAAACAAAAATTGGAAACAACACAAATGTCCATCAATTGATAAATGGATAAACAACTACAGAATACAATGAAATATTATGTACCAACTTTTAAAAAATGAAGTATGATCCATGCCACAGCATGGGTGACTCTTAAAACCATGCTAAGTGAAAGAAGCCCCGCATAAGGATCACATAGTGCATGAATCCACTGCTATGAAATGTCCAGAACAGGCAAATATCTAGAGACAGAAAGCAGATTAACAGTTCCCTAGGGCGCCACTGCAGTCCGCAGTCCGGCCTGGGCAACAGAGCGAGACTCCGTCTCAAAAAAAAAAAAAAAAAAAAAAACAGTTCCCTAGGGCTAGGGGGTTGGGTGGAGCAGAGTTCCGGGGTGATGGCTAAGGGGTCCAGTGTTCTTTTGGAAAGTAATAAAGATGTTCTAAAATTGACTATGGTGATGGATGCACAACTCTGAATATACTGAAAACCACTGAACATTTTAAATGGATGAATCATTTCATGTATGAATCATATCCTGATAAAGGTGTTTCTTTAAAAACAAGACAGCACATATCAGAGGGTACATCAATCCAAAGTTGAATTTCTCTTGAAAGTACCCTAATTTCAATACCGTTATCTTTCCAAAACATATCACTACCCTAACACAGCAAATGCCCAAAAGCACTCCTGGCACTGCATATGCAGAAGAGAGGACAGCTAAGAATGGTAAGATGATTTCTTCATCAAGAGCCAGTTAAAGCTATTCTGCTTTAAAATTAAAGAGCACTTAAGGGAAATCTTTTGTCTGGTCAATAACTGGTTCATTTATTATGTTAGGGAGGTCTGGACCTGAGGGCCAAGCCATCTATCCCAATTCATTCAAAGAAATTTATTTTGCAGATGTTTTCCCACAAAATTTTCATCTCTGCTTTAACCACAAAGTTCTCAAGATCCAAGAAAAAAATACCAATTGGAGAAAAAAATCAGAGGAGGGATGGAAAAAGGTTAACAGGAGATATGAAATTTTATTCATATTTAAAAATCGGCTCTATTGAGGCCAGTCTAGTCATCTCAACAATGTAGGAGATTTAAATTTTAAATGTAAAACCTAAAGATAAACATTACATAAAGAGCACAGTGCAGAGTACCTCTAACAGAGTACTCTAGCAGAGTACCTTTAACAGTGTGCTACACGGGAATGAATTCCTGCTATATTCCAAATACTGAGCACAGAACTGAGTCACATGGTCTCATTTAATCTTGTTGTTGTTGTTGTTGTCGTTGTTGAGACGGAGTATCACTCTGTCGCCCAGGCTGGAGTGTAGTGCCACAATCTCGGCTCACTGCAACCTCTGCCTTCTGGGTTCAAGTGATTCTCCTGCCTCAGCCTCCCAAGTAGCTGGAACTACAGGTGCCCGCCACCATGCCCAGCTAATTTTTGTATTTTTTAGTACAGACAGAGGTCACCATATTGGCCAGGCTGGTATCGAACTCCTAACCTCGTGATCCACCAGCCTCAGCCTCCTAAAGTGTTGGGATTACAGGCATGAGCCACCACATCCGGCCTCATTTAATCTTCTAAACAACCCTAAAAGTTGAGTTTTACATGTGATCCCATTCATAATGGCCATCTTTGGACCTTGTTCCAAGGAAACAAGATTTTGACAGAAGCCCATCCTCATGCTCAGGCCCACTGAAGGGCTGCAGCCAATGCGAACACCACGTGGAGTGCTACCGAGAAATCAACGCATTAAACCACCAGAGGCTGGGGATAAGGGAACCGCAAGGTCAAATGTCTCTTTAGACCTCTAGCTTTCAAAGTATTGTCACCATGAATCATATTGAGAAACTCATTGTAAGTCATGATACGGTAAATGTGTGTAAAAATATTTCCAAAAATACAATTGCAATTACAACCTGTGTCACACAATATTAATTGCTATTCCAGCGTCTCTGGTCTATTAGAGTTCACTGGAAGGAAGAGAGGGAGGGAGGAAAGTGGTATAGCTCACGGAGCTGTTTTCAGGACCACTCGTGGCTCATGGCCTACAATTTGAAAAACCACTGAATGTGCCAGTTCTGAGCCATCTCTCAGCACTTGGAATTCACCAGTCTCACTACATATCCCATCATCTATAAGCAGGTGACCCAGCGGAAGAATGGCACAGCCTACTGAAGACAACAGTTGTAAGGCAACATTCTGAAAGATGGAGTTCTGTCTCACACAACACAGCACATGCTTTGACTCACCTGTCTCCCCAAAGTAAGAAGACATTGGTCCAGAAATCAATAGAAGAAGTAGGAGTGGCCCCTCTCACTATTACCCTAATAACCCACTCTAAAAATTTTTGGTTTTCATCCCTGCTAGTACAGAGGTCCTGATTTTAAGGGAGCTATTAAAGGGAGGCAGCAATGTTTCCAGTGAACTGGAAGGTGAGACTGCCACTGAGTCATTCTAGGCTCCTCAAGCCACTTAGCCAAGAGGCCAGTGAGGAGGATACACTGCCAGTGGGGGTGAGAGGACCCTGGGATGCTGCCTCCCAAAGAGTCAGGAAGGACCACGGCTTCCTTCATCAGGGCAGCTCTTAGTACTTCTATCTCCAACAGCAAAAGTTAATGGAAAACCACAGCAATCCAAAAAAAGGCAGGACCACTGAGAATTCAGACCTTCAGGTACAGAAACCTAATCAGTTGAAGTCCTGGCTGAGTGCAAAAGAAACAAGGAACAGGTAACAGGAGAAGAAAGATACAAATCTCAACTACTGAAAAGTGGCAGATATGCATATTTCCTTCTTGCTTTTGGAGAGGGAGGGAGGGAACGAGAACAAATTTCTTCTCCTTCTTCTTGCATTATTTATACAAACATTGTTGAAACTTACCTCTACAATTTAACTCTGGATAACACAACATTCAAGCAGAACTTTAATTAAATTTAAGGAGAAATTAACAAAGCCCAGCAACAGGTAATGTGACTACCTCCCAGAGATGGATACACTAATGAGACTTTGTGACACTGCATTTTAGGGAGCTGGTGAGAACATCTTCATTTGTGTGAGAATGTTTATATTCTGTTAGACGAAAAGAAAGTAGTTTTTGTTGTGTGGAAGTTAAAATATGTTTAGGAGGATAGGTCTAGATACTGAATATTCAAAGGGGTAGGCTGGCCAATTATATAGGTATTCTCTCCCAGCTCCAACCATACCCTTCCAAACTTAGCTTTGTAACTCTGAAACCATATTTCTGTTTTACCAGTTGGCTCTCTGTTAGGCTCTGCCACCAGGGGACACTAGAGGGAGACTAGCTCCTTCCCCTCTGCTTCCTGCTGGCTTTAGCTCTCAGTGTCATCCCCAGCAACACTTCTTCACCAGGGCAGCAGCAGTTCCTTCTAGTGCAGCAGCTGAATCTGGCCTGCAGTTTTTCAGCACTTACAGAACCAGCCTTGTTACACTCCCCTCAGAAACAGCTGCACCATCACCCACACCTCACAGGTCTGGGTTTCAGCTCTGTGGGGCCTCTCCTCTAAGCTTCTAAAGATTTAATAAAGATTTCACCCTATTTGCCCCCAGCCCTACAGTTGATGGCTGCTTCCTACAGCCACTACCTCTACAATATCTTAGTATTTGCTTTTTATCTTTTCAGTTACCTACTTATTAACAATTTTATACCTAATAACAATTCTTTATATTTAATTATCTCTGTTAAAATAAGTGGAATAACTTTTGTTTCTATGCTGGACCCTGACTTTGTATTACATTAGGTTATAAACAATTTTTAAAAACTAGGATCATCAAAGAAGATATGAAAATGGCCATGAGCACATAAAAAGATGTTCAACATCATTAGTCTTTAGGAAAATGCAAATTAAAACTACAAGGACATCCTACTACATATCTATTAGGATGGCTAAAATTTAAAAAGACTGACATAGTGAGTGTTGGCAAGGATGTAGAGTAAGTGAAACCCTCATACATTGCTGACAAAGCCACTTTGGGAAACAGCTACCACCTGACCTAGCAATTCCACTCCTAGGTATCCACCCAAGAAAAATGAAAACACATGTCCACACAAAGACTTGTATACAAATGTTCACAGCAGCATTATTCATGACAGCCAAAAACTGAAAACAAACCAAATGTCTATCAACTGGTAAATGGATAAACAAAATGTGGTTTATCCAGACAACAGAATGGAATACACTATTTGGCAATAAAAAGGAATGAAGTACTGATACATGCTACAAGCACAGATACATCTCAAAAGGGACCAGATGCAAAGGCTACCTACTGAGTGATTCCATTTATATAAAATGTTCAGAAAAGGCAAATCTGTAGACAGATTAGTGGTTGCCTGGAGTTGGGGGTACAGAGAAACTGCTAATGGGCATGAGACTTCTTTCAAGAGTAATTGAAATGTTCTGAAATTAGATAATGGTGAGGATTGCACAAATGTGCAAATTTACTAAAACTTGTTGAATTGTACATTAAAATTCAGAGTGCTGTAAAATAAAAGACTAGGAAAAATATTTCAAGAAAATCTAGTGTCACAGGCATATGAAATAAATCATAAGAAACCACAATGCACTGACATACAAAAATGGAACATTTGTTTCTGTACATATATAATTGCATGTAATAAATACAGCAAGCCTAAGAACCAAACCATGTTAGCAAATGATTAAAGAACAGGTTTCAAATGCTTAAGGACAGGTTTGGTAAGAGACATTAAAGAAATGTCTAGCTTAAGGGAAAGATGGTTTCACTGCTTCAAAACAGAACAGATGGGATAGTACCAGCATTCAAATCTAGCTAACATCATTAAAGAGAAAGATAACATTTTTAAGTTGAGAAAATTCTCTCTTGTGAAGAAACAGCCTTTTTCTGCTTTAGGAATGCCTCTTAATAGTGACATTGCCAAGGAAGACAGACTAATGATGCCTCATTATAAAACCACAAAGCCTAATTGACCACTGGCATCAAATACAACCAAATACATCATGTACATCACTGAAATTGTGCTTGACTTTGAAAACGAATGTGACTTTGAACTCAGGTATCATTACAATGTACAAGTAAGGGAACTCTGAAGACAGAACCACTCCCCACACTAATGTTACCATTCAAAAACATGCAAATTCTTTCTTTTTAATGACTGACTCAGATTTTGAATTCATTTGTTGATTGCTAGATGATGATAAATGTTCATGCTTGCTACAGAGTTTAACAGGAAAAGAACTAATCTTTAGCCCAAAGTTCAATGCATTCATATTTTAAGAAGATTTTTCTCCAAAAACTCATGTAAATTATCTCAAAAAAAAAATTAACAACATAGACTTTATAATAAATATCTTACTTTCTGTAATTGATGTTTTTTTTAAAAAAAAGTATCCTTATCACTTTTTAAAATTAATTTCTGGTGCTTTTATAGCATAAAATTATTTTCTGCAATAGAATCGCAATTTGTAACATTGTGCCAAGGAAATGTCTATGAATTTAAAAGAGATCACTTCAAATGTTATCCAGGAACTAATTAAGCCATGAGACGTGGGTCACCTGAACACTCTTCCATTACAGATGAAGGCTCAGAGAAATAAGCTAACTTGACCAAAGTCACCCAGCTGGTATCTGAAATATGAGCCAGGGCTCTCTGGCTCCAAAGTCCCTGCTCCTTCCAGCATGCCACATTAAATCCTGTTAACAATAATGAGGATAATATAAGAAGGAATTAAAAATCATAAAGTATTTACACACATAAGATTCTGAGGAACATGAACTTACAGTTCTTTATGTAGTTACATTGGTTCCTTAATATAGATGTGGTCCTCTATTTGAGAAACCTAAAGCTAAGCTAGGTCTTTTTCATCAACTGAAAGGGGCAGTATAAAACCACAGAGCCAAAGAGCATCGATGAAAATGTTCAGTAAGGGGTCAGGTGTCACTACTATCCCAGGCCCCCTAGCAAAACTTATAAAACAGCAAAGGTGGTTCACACATAGCCAATGTAAAGCTTTTGTTTTCAGGCTTGCTTCATGTTCCACCTTCTTCCATGGAAGATGAGGAATTATTCCTAATGTTCCTGATGAGAACCAGAGTAAATTCAAGGGCTGATGTCACAGCAGCCTGCTTAGGGCATTCCAAAACACACCTCTAAAGAGAGGGAGAGATTTGATTCCTCCAACTTCCACAAATGAACACACACAAGGACACTTCTGGGAAGATATGCTTCTTGATTTCATAATAGCCAGTACCTGGGTTAAATATATTATGTAACCAAAGAAACATCCTGATGATTCAAATTTCCTGGGGAGAACTAATGATAACCCATCAGAGTCATCAATGTGGGTCACTGGAGGTCACCAGGAGATCAAGGTACATTTTAATGCTAAGTGGCTTCAGTCCAAGGAGTGCCAATGAGATTATACACTGTTAAAACTGATTCCAGGCTGGGTGCGGTGGCTCACGCCTGTAATCCTAGCACTTTGGGAGGCCTAGGCAGGCCGATTGTCTAAGCTCAGGAGTTCGAAACCAGCCTGGGCAACATAGTGAAACCCTGTCTCTACTAAAAATACAAAAAAAAAATTAGCCAGAAGTGGCGGCGTGTGCCTGTAGTCCCAGCATCTTGGGAGGCAGAGGCAGGCGAATTGCTTGAACCCAGTAGGTGGAGGCTGCAGTGAGCTGAGATCACACCACTGCACTCCACACTTCAGCCTGGGCAACAGAGTGAGACACCATCTCAAAAAAAAAAAAAAACCTGATTCCAAAATTCATTCAAATATACGCACCCCTAAAACCCCTCTTTGGGAAAGATAAGGCTGAGGCTAGGTCCTCTTCCTCAACTGAAAGGGGAAGTACTATAAATTTATTAATTTATATGACATAAATTTATTAATTTACATGACATAAATTTATTAATTTACATGACATAAATTTATTAATTTATATGACAAATTAAAACAGAGTTGGTGTTTTGTAGCTTTCCACTTGAAATACAAAATCTGTATAGTTTAAAAGGAATACTTGAAGAGTCTGTTTCCAAATATCACAAACTCTTGTATTTGGCAAACAACAAGAATGTCAACCTATGTGAAAGTCTTTAATTTAGCAGATGTGTATTTAATTAAAAATTAACAGAAATCAGGAGTAGTGAGGTTACACATTCCCATAGTTCAAAGCTACCTAAAAATGGAAGTTTTAATTTCACTTCATTAAACACTTAGGAGCAGATTCCAGTAGTCTAAGTAAGACATCATTGGCTTTTAGGAACAAATGTGTCAACAACTGTTAAAGAATAGTTCCTTGTTATGAAACCTTAAAATTCTAGGACATATGATGTTTTAAGACATCTGAGTACAGGTAGCAGATTTAAACATACATAGCCACCTTCCTATCTATCAGTTGAGAACTAAAAACTAAAAAGCATTTTGATAACATGTCTAATTTCTTATATAGCATATCATTCAGGCAGGACCAGTAGTAGAGAAGGCAAAAAACAAATATTCCACCTTAGTTCTAAAACAGAAAATCTGAATATGAAAGACAGATAAGATTACAAGATATGGGCTGCTCTGGAAGGATCAACCAGGACCAATAAGTAAAAACTCTAATAACCAGTGTTGCCCTAAAATAGGATAAACCATTTGTGAGGGAATGAAACTACTGCCCCAAGGAGGGGTTCATGCATGAGCGGGAATGCCCGTGGGTGACGGAAGTATCACAAAGGCAAATGAACTAATGCCGTCAACAAACCCTCCAGTCTTCAGTGGGATGGATTTTCCATGTTGTAGACACTGTCAGCGAGTGCAGTTTCAAGTCAGGCAAAATGGAAGCTCGTGCATCTTTGATCGCGCAGGTGGTCTAAAGGGATGGCACAGAGGCCCAATATACCTAACCTGTAGAAGGCACATCTCACATCTCACCTATTGCAACAGTGATAAAAGTGAGGACACTGAGGCTTAAAGACGGTTAAAGACCAAAGTCACAGAGAACTAAAGTGTCTGAACTAGGACTTCTACTCTCACATCCCCAGACTTCAGATTAGAATTCTTTCTACTCTACCATGATGGTTTTCTGTCAGGTCCCAGAAGAACCTCAAATGCTCCCTACATATAGATGTGCTGAGTAAATAAAAGTTTTATATTTAGAGAGGAAAAAATAGAGATCAAAATGCCTGGCCAACTTCAGGGGGTCTGTGACATGGCTCTGATATGAACACCATGTCTTTTCTTCCAACTTCTAATCATGAAATATATTCAAACCAGCTGCTCCATCTAGTGGATTAATGGAAGATCCTCAGGATGAGAGAAAAGCACATTTTTAATACTGTTCAGCTCACACAACCCTAAAGCATTCATCTGCTATCCCATACCTCATATCCAAAATAGCAACACTAGAAAAGAGATTATGAAGATTACAAGCTTTCAGGAGTCAAGGATGAATTCATTCCAACTGGTTAAAACCATATTCCAAATTTGCTTCCTCCCTCATTTCCCCAGTTTCCCCCAACATAAGTACAGAGTCGGCAAAGCAGGTCACATCACAAGTCACTGAGGTAACAGCTCTCCAGTAGCACACCCAAGAGGTGTAACTCCAAACTGAAGCTGAAGCTCCCAGAGATTCCACAGCCCCTTGATATACTGTGTTTACTAATCATCTTAAGCCTAAGACCTTCTTTCCAAAGAGAACAATATGTGGTGGGAAAAACCCAGGCTCAGAAGTCAGCCAAAATTCCTGGTTCTGTCAGTTTCTGACTGTTGTAACCTTGAGTCAATCATTAAACTTCTGCCTCAGCTCCTCATCTGCAAAACATGGATAATGGCACACCCCTCAGGGGTGCCATGAGGATGGAGAGGTGACAAAAAGAATGCACCTAACACATTCCTGAAACACCGCAGCACTCAACGAACAGCAGAGACAGATAGGTGGACCTGAGTAGGCTCCAATTTAAGGGCCCTTTATCTGTTTTCCTTAATCTTCAAATTTCTATTTTAAAAAGGTAACAAAAATGGTGAGCAGAGTTGTTAGAAGACATAGAGATGCGTAATAATAAGGAACAGTGAAGGAACTGTGATTCGGTGTGGCCAGAACACAGGCAGTAAAGGTGGATGCCAGGAGTTGAGGTGAAACAGACAGGCAGTTCCTTGTAAGCCATATGGATGCATTTGGATGTCATCCAGCAATCAATGTGGAACCACCGGATTATCTTCCCATTACCCCAATCTGTCATATTCTAACACTGCTCCAAAACTTTCACAGTCACCTACTTCCTAAAGAATGAAGTGGAACAGTCTTAACAAGGTGGGTTTCTGAATCTGTGTTTCTGTCTTCTGTCTCAGCTTCCCATTTGGTATGTCAACTTTCATGTGCAGGTTTGCTCAAGACACGTGCTTTAAGATGCAGAAGAAAGATCAAATTCAATAACATTAATTATGAAACTTAAGTTGTGTCACAACTCTCAATCTCTCAAATTTGAATGAGCAGATTTAATATTAGTAAACATTCTGAACTCCAATCAAATGTAATGCAACACAAAACATGAATGAACACTATCAGAGACTGATGAATACCTCCCTCACCCCAACATCTATCCTTCCCTTTTGATATAGTAATAGCAGTGCTGGTGGGCCTCTGGCTACCCAGCCAAAAACTACATTTCTCAGTCTCTCTTGCACTGAAGTGTGTCTACTGGATTGGGTTCCAGTTAATGGGATGGTTAAAGTTAAAGCTAATGGGACGTGTTAAGTGATACGTGCAATTTTAAAGTCATGCACTTAAATGGGAAGGAGTACACCATTCCCATACCATCTCCCTTTTCTGCTACAAGGAAGTACTATGTGGAAAATGGCAGAGCAACAAGATAGAAGGAGCCTGGGACCCCAAAATGGTAGAGTCATCAATCAACCCTGAACTGTTTACACTTGGACTAAGAGTAAACCTAACTTCCATCCTTTATAAGGCATTGTTTTTTGATCTTTGTTAAAGTATATCCTAACTGTGATGCTTTCTTTTATGTGTCAACTTGGCTAGGCCACAGTACCCAGATATTTGGTCAAATACATGTGGATACTTCTGCGAAGGTAATTTTTAGATGAGATTAACATTAAATCAATAGACTGAGTAAAACAGATTGCCCTCCATAATCTGGGAGGGCCTCATCCAAGCAGTTGAAGACCTTAAGAAAAGGACCGACCTTTCCTGTGGAAGAAGAAATTCGGACAACAGACTCACTTTGAACTCCAATTGCAACATCAGCTCTTCTCTGGGTCTCCAGCTTGTCAGCCTTCCAAGCCTGCCTGCCTGCCTACCCTAGCCTCGCAATTTTGGACTTTTAAGCCTCCATGATCGTTTAAGCCAATTCCTTAAAATAGAAAGAAACATATGGATACATGGATGTATAATACATACACACATACACATCTTATTGATTCTGTTTCACTAGAGAACCCTATTATACTGTTACAAACGGAATATTTGTGCTCCCTACCCCACCAAATTCTTATGTTGAAACCCTAATCCCAACATGATGGTATTTGGAGGTGGGAACTTTGGGAGGCAATTAAGTCATGAAGGTGAAGTCCTCATGAATGGGTAGGTTTAGTGCTCGTATAAAGAAGAGGCCAGAGAGCTTGCTAGCTCTCTGTCTGCTATGTGAGAATACAATAGAAGTCATCCTTCTTTAACATGGAAGAGGGTCCTCATCAGAACCCAACCATGCTGGCACCATGATCTCGAACTTCTGGCCTCCAGAACTGTGAGAAACAAATCATTGTAGTTAGTAAGCCACCTGGTTGTTGGTTTTTTGTTTTGTTTTGTTTTTGAGACAGAGTCTTGCTCTGTCACCAGGCTGGAGTCCAGTGGAGTGATCTTGGCTCACTGCAACCTCCGATTCCCTGATTCAAGTGATTCTCCTGCCTCAGCCTCCCGTAGCTGGGATTACAGGCACACACCACCATGCCCAGCTAATTTTTGTATTTTTAGTAGAGACGGGATTTCACCATGTTGGCCAGGATAGTCTCGATCTTCTGACCTCGTGATCCGCCCACCTCGGCCTCCCAAAGTGCTGGGATTACAGGTGTGATCCACTGTGCCCGGCCAATGGGATTTTTTTTATAGCAGCTGGAGCTAAGACACTAACACCGAAACAACTAAGACATCTGAAAACAAACATTTTGTCCATTCAGCAAATATTTGGACCTAGTGTGTGCCAAGCATAGTATAGGCTCTGCAAATATAATTGAGAATAAGATACAGTTTCTGCCCTCATAGAGCTCAGACTCTGATGGATTTTTTATGACTTTGGACTACAGTATTTTTTAAAAAGACAACAACATGAATGTACTTCATGCCATTGATCTCTACTCTTAAAAGTGGTTAAAATAGTAAATTTTATTATGTGTATTTCATTACAATAAAAAATTGCAAAAAGAGAAAAAAATTATTCAAAAGAAACAAAATTTAATTCAGTGATTTAAGGTTTTCAAATCACATACCTGATTAAAGATTTGTATCCAGATATATAAAGAACTTTCAAATCTCAATAAGAAAACCAATTAAAAAATACAAAAAAGATTGGAACAAACATTTCGCCAAAAAAAATACACAGAAAGCAATACATTAAAGATGCTCAAAATTATTACTAATCAGGGATATTAAATTTAAAACTGAATGAGATACTCCTACCTACTTATTAAATGACTACAATTAAAGACTGGCCATACAAAGTGTTGGCAAGGATGTGGAGCAAATAAACTCTCATACTCTGCCGGTGGAAATATAAAACGATATAACTACCTTGGAAAATAATCTTGCAGTTTTGTAAAAAGTATACATTTACCAGCTATACAACCCAAACATTCCACTGCTATTATAGATATTTACCCAAGAGAAATTAAAACACATATCCATATAAAAATTTGTACACAAATATTCATGGCAACTTTATTGGTAATAACCAAAAACTGGAATAAACTCAAATTTCCATCAACAAACTAACTGACTGATAAATTACAGTATATATCCACATAATCAAATTAATTCATCAGTATAAAGAAATGAACTTCTGATACACACAACAACATGGATGCGTCTCAAATTATGTGAAGAAGACAAAAAAGAGTTCATACTCTGATTCCATTTTTATAAAAACTAATTCAGAGTAACACAAAACAGATCTGTGTTAGATTACCTAAGGATGAGGAAAGAACAGGAAGGACGGATCATAAAAGGCACAAGGAGACTTTGGGGGTGATAAACATGTACATCATCTTGAATGTGGTAATGGTTTTACAGATGTGTATATAGTCAAAACTTATCAAATTGTGTATTTTAAATATGTGCAGTTTAATGTACATCAATTATCATCAATAAAGTGATTTGAGGGGAAAATTGTCTTTAAGGCAATATTTTCACACAACAGCCTCTCAGATTTACTATGCTCACTTGTTTTAGCTTGAATCTATTCAGACTCTAAAGTTATCAAAATATCCTAGTCTTTATAATTAACCGGAAATAACTATTAAGCTGAAAAACTGGCTTTATGCCCCCCTTTTTTTTTTTTTTTTTTTTTTTTTTTTTTTTGGAGATAGAGTCTCACTCCTGTTGCCCAGGCTGGAGTGCAATGGCGTGACCTTGGCTCACTGCAACCTCTGCCTCCTGGGTTCAAGCGATTCTCCTGCCTCAGCCTCCCGAGTAGCTGGGATTACAGGCACCCACCACCACGCCCGGCTAACTTTCTGTATTTTTAGTAGAGATGGGGTTTCATCACGTTGGCCAGGCTGGTCTCTAACTCCTGACATCAGGTGATCCACCCACCTCAGCCTCCCAAAGTGCTTGGATTATAGGCATGAGCCACCACGTCCGGCTTATGCCACTTTCAACTCAAAACTAGCTTCTGATAAAAGAGAAAAAGAACTAATATTTCACACCCTGTCCCTTGAAAAACAAAAGGATTTCAGTTTTCCCACGTGCCACTTATGGCATCTGTCTTGGGAAAGCACATTTACACTCAGCCTGTGCACATGTGTATTCTTTAAAGGGGGATTACGAAAGGGAAGGATAAGTAGTACCTAGAAGTTATTGAGCATTTGTGGATAAACCAAAGTCCTCCTAATTCCACTATGAGAATTTCTTAAAGCACAATGAAAAACTCACAAATATAAGATCTAATGGATGTCTTGGAAGCTATGCATGTTTGCTGCATGACATTCATTATTCCACATCATCTTCTGATTATAAAACATTAAATAACTTAACTTTTTAATCCACTTGATTTACATCCGCCTACTTTCCTAGAGAATTTCTAAACAAAACTCTGTGCTATTGCATTTACTATACCCGGCAAAGACTACAAAAGCTGTCAGAAAACATCTTTTACAGATTAATTTTTTAAGGCACTATTCTAAAAACAACATCTGTCTGGGTAATAGGTCCAGCAAATAAAATACTTTTTGAAGTTAGAAAATTTATTGTTTTGTATACAAAATAATTATGTTCACAAACTCTACCATACATAAGGCAGGAGTCTTAAAAGCCATGGCATTCCAGCTCACAAAATAAAACCTATAATTGATGGGTGTGAAAATGGCTCTACAATCTAACTTTTAAGTACACTATTGCCAACCATGACTCATGGGAAGAAAACCATTTTCTTCCTTTCTTCATACTTGAAAGTTACTTTACTTTTTACTAAAGGAAAACCCTGCTCTTAAATGAAACTGTGGGAAAATGTTACAAAGAAGAAAATGTGTTAGAAAGTCATGTGTGTAATATTTTAATTTAATATCAATGATAATAATAAAACATCATGGCTATTCTCTGCAAAATGATGCCATTGGGTTACCATTCTCTCAACAAGCACTATGCTAGGTGGTATAAATATAGTGAAGTAATTCATTCCCATAAGGATCTCTGTCTAGCAGAGATGTTTTCTACAAGAGGTGAAGAGGAGCCCATTCTTGGTAACAGAATGAGTGTTTCCCTTTGCTCAACCATCAACGCAGTAAAACCATTAAGGGCTGAGTACCATTATACCTTGAACACAAAATCCTATCTGGACTGTCCTATGGAGTTAAAAATTTCTGATAGCACTGAGGGTGGACAGCCCTGATTTGAGGAGTTCCAGCTCCACTTCTTACTGGCATGTAACCCTGAACAAGTTACTTAACTCCTCTAAGACTCAGTTTTCTCATCTGTCAAATGGGGACAGTAACAGTACCTACCTCTAGCATATTAACTAATGTGAGCTATTGCCATATAATTCCCCTATGAAGTGAATGCTTGTGTTTCCCCAAAACTCATATGTTGAAATCTAATCCTCAATGTAATATTTGGAGACAGGTCCTTTGGGAGGTGACTAAGCCCCAGGAATAGTGCCCTTATAAGAAAAGGCAAGAGAGTGTTTGCTTCATCTCTCCCGCACCCCTACCTCATGTATGGATACAATGAGAAGTCACCATCTTCAAACCAGCAAGAAAGCCCTCACCAGGCACCAGATCTGCAGGTACTTTGATTTTAAACTTCCAGCCACCAGAACTGTGAGAAATAAATGTTTATGTTTAAACCATACAGCCTATGGCATTTTGTTACAGCAGCCCAAACTAAGGCAAGTCCTTTTTATAACACAGTCAGCAGGAGCAATAATCTATCAATACTGTTAAGACCCAAAAGGAAATTGAAAAGAAACAAACAAAAAAACAAAAAAAATCCTGATGCTGACTTTCTGAGAAACCAACAATATCATAGTCAGAAATATATAAATTTTAAAAAAAATTGTACATGGTGATTGTATAAATAAAGCATTCTACTTTAAAACTCAATCCAAACATTATACCAGATTTAGTGACAGCATAAATCATTCATGGATCCCCCAGAATTCAAAATGTCATTCACCAAACATTTATGAAGCACTTCCACTGTGCGCCAGACACGGGAGAGGATACACAGAGACAAGATCTGTCCCATCCTACAGGAGTCCACGACAACAGAGGGTGGAGAAATTAGGAGGGAGGGAGGACACAAATCATAATAGGATGTATTTGACCAACCCCTTCCTGACTCCTGCTCCATCCAGGACCCCCCAAAGCATGGTTAATGAGACTATTCCCTAAGTCAGCAATGTAACAAAAGATGGCTTTATTCCACTAAAAGCAAACAAAATGAAAACTGGTTTGGCAGCCTACATAAATATTTGAAGAGTTGGTTTTCTGATTCCCAGTCATTCTACTAATACCCAAGGTGGGCCCTGCAGAACCTTTTATCCAGAGGTGTCTAAGAGTCATCAGTCAACAGTGTGGAGCTACTGTGTATGGGGCCACTGGACATCTGTGGCCAGAGCACCTATGAAAGGAATACTGGGGGCATGAAGAAGTTCAAGCAGGACAGTGGGTAGAAATAAGACAAGCAGATGTATTTTTTTCCCCTGATTTCTTTACACTCTCCTGTATTTTTAAAATGTTCTACTGGCCAAGCACAGTGGCTCACACCTGTAGTCCCAGTACTTTGGGAGGCCAAGGCAGGTGGATTGCTTGAGCCCAGGTGTTCAAGACCAGCCTGGGCAACATAGAGAAACCCTTTCTCTACAAAAAATAGAAAAAATAGCCATATGTGATGGCATGTGCCTGTGGTCCCAGCTACTTAGGAAGTTGAGGCAGAGAATTGCTTGAGCCCTGGAGGTCGAGGCTGCAGTGAGCTATGATCAGGCTATGACATTCCAGCCTGGGAAACAAAGTAAGACTGTCTCAAAAAAAAAAAAAAAGTTTTACCACAAGCTAAGAATGAACTACATTGTCTAAAACCATCAATCCCCAGAGGTGGACAGCTAGTGCAGGCCACAGGGTTCCTGAAGTACACTTCCTACTCATCAGGATACAGATGGAGACTGTGGTAGGTTAGATGGTGTTCCCCAAAAAGGTATGTCCACATCCTAACCACCAGAATTTGTGAATGTGACTTATTTGAAAAAAGAATCTTTGCAGATATAATGAAGGATCTTGAAATAAGATCATCCTGAATTACCCAGGTGAACCCTAACTCAAATGACAACTATGCTAATAAGAGACAGAAGCGGAGAAGACACAGACGCAGAGAAGGCCACGTGAAGACAGATGCAGCGACTGGGGTGACATGGCCACCAGCCAAGAACCACCTCCAGAATCTGGAGGAGGCAAAGAAAAATTCTCTCCTTAAGTCCCCAGAGAGAGAATGGCCCTGCCAGGCTTCAGACTTTTGGTCTCTCAGAAGTGTGACAGAATAAATTTCTGCTGTTTTCAGCCACCAGGTTTGTGATAATTTGTTACGGCAACCCTAGGAAACAAATACTGAAACCAGTATGATTACCATGGGACCAATATGGTTAACATGGGAAACTCTGTGGTTGGAAGAATTTTCTGGTGGCCTTTAATTGGCAGCCTGCAATAAGTCAGGCCCTTTTACTTCTGTTACAGACAATAATTCTAACAAGTCTAACAGGTATTATCTCTGTGCTACAAATAGTCACTGATGCACCAAAAGTTAACTGCCTTGAGATCAGGCAGCAAGATGTGGCAGGGCAGCATGTTGTGAGGTTCCTATGAATCTGGTCTTTTTTCTTCCCTTCCATACCTTCTGTCCAAAACATGTCCAGCGCAAGGACACTGTCCAGCCTTCTCTTCCTGCACATCAGCTGCCTCCCGTCAGTCCTGCTGAACGGGGATCCTTCCCAGATTTCTAAATGGGGGACGTGAGTCCCACGGTCTGCTTGGATGTCAGGGAAGACGGTATCACTAACACCCCAGACAGAGCAGGTTTAGGGGCAATGACTGACTTTAGTTTAGGACATGGATTGGAGGTGCCTAAGGGACATCTGGTGTAGGGGCCAGCAATCTCCTGTCAAAAGAGGAAGGAACGTGAAAATATTTTTAAGCTTTGATTGAAATATGTTAACACCAATGAGTTACTATTCCCCAGGCGTTTACATTTTTAGACATTTTACTTTCAACTGTGGAACAGAAAGATTTGTCACAGTTATATAAATGGGCCAAAGATTGTCCCTAGGTAGTTTATTTCTTCACTGCAGGTGGAGACTAGTTAGCACAAAAGCCCTCTAGCATCAAACTCAAATTTTTATACATCCAATTATTTTAAAAATAGCCCCAAACAGGCAGATCTTTTGCCATGTAGCCTGCTTCACAGACCCACTGAAATCTTGCCTGAAAACTGTCACCCACTGACAAGATAGGGCCTTACAAGGCCCCAAGCAGCTATGGCCCTTCTGAGCTCTCTGACCCAGAGACTCCCACAGCACTGCTGGGTGACATCATCTAGGCACATGGCACCACCTAGACACAGTCCCTTCTGAGTGGTGGCCCCAGATGGCCTCAGCCCGTGAGGGACATCCCCTCTCAAGCAACCCTGTCCCACCGCCATCCAATAAAGCTCATGGGTCACTGCCTCTCAGGGTCACATCTTCTTCCTTGGTCAGCTCCAAATCCCTGGAAGCCCCTACAGTGACCTCAGTAGGACTTTTAGGCAAAAGGAAGAAACTGGGGAAGATATCATCAGTCTATTCCTTGCCTCAGAAATCAAACTTCTCTTCCAGCTGGCCCTGAAGACAGCCCACTCTCAGTGAACAGCTGTAGGCTGCCTGAAGCCTGGGCATTTGTGGGGAATCCACCCATCCCGGAGGCACCCCTGCCCCAGCCCAGAAATCCTAGGTAGGCTCTCTTCTCCCTGAGAAGGGGCAGCCCATCTGTCTCTCTACGGTCTCATATCCTGGGAAGTCAGCCCCTCTAGCTTTCCATCAGTTGCCATGCAGAACCCAGGAGCAGAGGACTCAGACACTTGCAGGTACGTCGGGGAGAGAGGGAGGCTGCCAAACAGGTCCACAAACAGGACCCAAGACACATAAAAGTGCAGCTGCCAAGGCTATCTATTTTCTTGTCCACCGGGGTAAGGGAAGGGAGCTGAGGACATCCCAGAAGGAACATGGGGTCTAAAGTAATTGCTAATAATGAAGGAGAACTTACTCCTTTACCCTGCCTCATCTTACCCACATCCTTTCCACAATCAGCCTGCCCCCTCCTTGAGGCCCTCCATGATGGGACGGCCAGCTTCAGTGTTTGCTTGTCCCCGCCCACTGCCCTACATATGCCACTACTGTAGGCAGGACAATACTGGTGTGACCATCCCTCCACACCAGCCTCAGAAGAGCACCTCATACACTGCCTGGCACCAGAGGCCTCTAATAAAAGTTTGCTGAATGAATGAATAAATGTGACTCACTCACTTACCATTTATATTTAATTACCATGTAACCCAATTGTGATTCTTATTTATATGACAGATTAGCTCTGCTCTAAAGTTATCTGCTAACAATAGCTCAGGGAGACTCAACCATGGTTTACAAGGCATGTTCAACTGCTCACGCGACACTGTTGAATGCTCGTAACAGGAAAGCCAGGGCCAACCCTGTGTATTCACTGCCCTGAGTTTTATTAAGCAAATTAATCTTAAACACAGACATTGAGTGAAGCCACCAGCCAGCCTCCTGTAATTGATTCTGGTGGAATCACTGAATCAAGAACACTGCAGGCAGTGGGTCTTATTCATGTTTGTTCCCTCAGCAACCAGCAGGATGCCTGGTATACAGTAGGACATCAATAAATGCTTATTGTGAAGTTCTTGAAGCAGCAGATGCTTCCTATAGCTGAAGTATTTCAGCTTCTAGAGACCACAGATGTCTGCCACCTGGCTGAGCACCCCAGTCAGACCCACACTGATCAGGACCACCACACCATGGCAACCAGAAAGGAACACCAGACTATTATGTATGAATACCACGATCGCTTCCTAGCTCTTATTTCAAAGTGATACAGACTACTCACTAACACTTTAAAAATGTGCAAATTTTGCCACCAAAAATAAATGAATTTGGAAATACAAAAGTTTAGAACAAAAAGCTACGGAGCTAACTTAAAAGACACAAACTTTGGGCTCCCTTATTAACAATGTGTTGAAGACAAGAGCAATCATTCTCCCCAAACTATAATACAGTGCTTAAAGCCGTAAGTAAAAGAAAAACCAAAAGGACTGTCACCTGACTGTACAGCCAGGTTCTTCCATCACATGCACAAGCTCCTCCATGCCTTCCTACCCGTGTTTCTCAGGAGCAGGACAGGATTTTACCATACTGAGAGCAGAGGGGAACTCCCACCACAATTCCAGCCCATAGACATATTCACCCACAAACCATTCAGTGGTACCCAAGTCGACAGACCTTCTTCAAGAGATGTCTCACTAAGAGGATGTGGTGGAAAGGGAATCCCTGCATGCTGTTTGTGGGACTGTAAATTAGTGAAGCCACTGTGGAAAACAGTATGGGGGTTCCTTAAAAGATTAAAAATAGGACTAGCATATGATCCAGCAATCCTACTACCGGGTACTTGCCCAAAGAAAATGAAATCGCTGTGTCAAAGCGATATCTGCACTCCCATGTTCATGGCCGCACTATTCACAACAGCTAAGATATGGAATCAACCTAAGTGGCCATCAGTGGATAAATGGATAAATAAAATATGGTGTATACCGTATATACACAATGAAATATCATTCAGGCGCAAAAGAGAAAGAAATCGTCTGCAACAACATGAACATAGAGGACATCATGTTAAATGAAGTAAGCCAGGCAAAGAAAGGCTAATACTACATGACCTCACTTAGATGTAGACTCTAAAAAAGTCAAACTTACAGAAGTAGAGAGTAGAATGGTGGTTACCAGGGGCTGGGGGTGGGGTTTGGAGAGATGTTGGTAAAAAGATACAAAATTTCAGTTAGCTAGGGGGAATACAGTATAAACATGGTGACTACAGTAAATAAATAGCTGAGAGTAGAACTGAGTTCTCACCACAGAAAATGTTAAGTATGTGAAGTATTGCATGTTACTTAGCTTGATTGAACCATTCCAATTTTAAAACATCATGTTGTATACCCTAAATATACGGAATTTTTGTCAAAAAATGCATATATAAAAAGAGATGCCTCACCAGCTTAATCATCTTTTTAAAAACAAAACAAAACAAAACAAAAAAAACAGCAGCCGGGTGCGGTGGCTCACACCTGTAATCCCAGCACTTTGAGAGGCTGAGGCGGGCGGATCATGAGGTCAGGAGATTGAGACTATTCTGGCTAACACGGTGAATCCCCATCTCTACTAAAAATACAAAAAAAAAAAAAAATTAGCCGGGTTTGATGGCACGTGCCTGTAGTCCCAGCTACTCAGGAGACTGAGGCAGGAGAATGGCGTGAACCCGGGAGGCGGAGCTTACAGTAAGCTGAGATTGTGCCACTGCACTCCAGCCTGGGTGACAGAGTGAGACTCAGTCTCAAAAAAAAAAAAAAACCAGCATCACTGTGTCTAGAATTCACAAGACAACCAGGAAATATCTTAAGCAACGACAGAAAAGGCAGAAATGTATGTCCCAACACTGAGCCCAGGCTCAGCACGGGGCAGAACAAGCCGAGCGACCTCCCACCTGGCATATCTTCACTTGGAAGGTGGGACGCACACCAACAGGTTTTGCTGGAATGATGCCCTCCTGCTTTGAGTAGGAGGATCCTTAACTCCAGGGCCATAACACATTGCACAACCAAGGGCTTGGCCTGGGCTTTGCCACTCACCCATGAGATTAACAGAGGAAGTAGTTTGTTGGTTTTGAGGTTTTCAAAAGGAGGAAGGATTTTGCGCCCAGTATGCTAACCTCCTTAGCTGCGCTCCGGAAAACAGCACTTAAAGGGTTGCCCAACTTGTGGGACTTGTCTCGACAGTAAACACCTCATAGAACATGCCTGGTTATGAGGGGGCACACCTGACAGGAAAGTCCAGGACTCACAGATGAGGGGCCTTGAAGAGCCACTGTGAATCACTGCTGTGTTATCACATACTGTGTGTAAGTGCATGGGTGTAAAATAAACACACACAGCCTGGAAACCTGTTTTATTCAGAGTATAAGCTCAGATGTCAACATCTTTCTCTGCCTAGATCTATCACTTACTTTACTTTCATTCTTACATCTAACTCCTGACCTCTTAATCCTCCTGAAGACATCACCAGAAATGTCTCATACTTCATGCCTGCGTTTAAGGTACAAAGTGTAGCTTTGGATAGGTTTTTAAAAGGTTCCTGTTTAGGTTATGCTCCAAAGGAAAGCCCATCTTGACACTTCCTCTCCCATAAGGATGAGCGTGAAGAGAGCCAAAGTTGGACGAGTCCAGGTTTAATCTCCTATCTCTGATGATTAAAAGACAAAATATTTATTTAAAACACGGCCAAACAGCCACTGACATCTGTGCAATTTTTGGTGGCTATGTTGGACTATTCATGGGGGTCAAATAAATAAAAATGGCCAAGCCTATGAGTAAACTTTTCCTCATGGTAAAGTTTCCCAAGATAATGTGCTAATTGAAATACACGCCAGCTGACCCTAGAAGTAGGGCCTATTTAGAAAATTTTAAAAGTACATATTTTTTATTTCCTCAGAAACACAGCCTTTTCTGTGTATAGATTCAGGCTCTCTCTGGATGGGGCAGAGAACCACAGGCTGAGGAGTATCAGCTGCCATCGCAGCACATAAGCACGTCTGTTACCATCAGGGTCCCCAGGTTAGAATAAGGAAATTGTCTTTCTACTTTTAAACATTCTGGGGCCTAAGAACATCTTCTTAGTCTCATTTATTTTCACTCCTTAGGTGTTGTCTGAAAATAATGAAAGTCAAACTTTTTCTGAGAATCAGTGGTTCTAATCCTTTTTTTTTTTTTTTTTTTGAGACGGAGTCTCGCCCAGTCGCCTAGGCTGGAGTGCAGTGGTGCCATCCTGGCTCTCTGTAACCTCTGCCTCCCACCTTCAAGCCATTCTCCTGCCTCAGCCTCCTGAGTAGCTGGGACTACAGGTGCACACCACTATGCCCAGCTAATTTTTTTTTTAATTTTTAGTAGAGACGGGGTTTCACCATGTTAGCCAGGCCGGTCTTGAACTCCTGACTTCAGGCGATCCACCCACCTCGGCCTCCCAAAGTGCTGGGATTACAGGCAGGAGCTACTGCGCCTGGCCCTAATCTTGAAGCATCAGCCTCAAGCAACCACCTTTCCAGGAAAGTGTCCCTGGATACAAACTCAATGTATTGTTCTCCCTCCCTTTCACTGGCCTTTTACAACTCAATTCCTGCCCTCCTGTATAATACCCAACAGCAGAGCTCCTAGGAGTCAAATCCTGGGCTCTGACACAAAGTTTCACCCTGGGCAGGCCTCCAGTTTGGGGGCAGCACCAGGGACCTCAATGTCAGCAAAATCACGAATCAAACACTGATGTCCGATGACAGTTCTCACTGAGAACATATTCCATTGTATTTTAAAGTTATGGAAAATCTTCATACGGTGTTTAAAAGTGTTCATGTGCTGCTTCTTGGTTTACAGTTTTATCTGTTTTGTTTTGTTTTGTTTTGTTTCTGCCGGCTCAAAGCCAACAGCAGGATTTTCACCAAGTTTCCAGTTTTGGAGTAAGAAGCACGCCTGAAGACAGCCAACCTGGAGACAGCCTGCGTGCACCCCAGCGGAGCTTCCCCAGTTACCATTCCCCTCTGCTACTGCTCATCTTCTCATCACTCTTATTTGTCCCTACTCTAGAAAAGAAAATAAGAAGGAATTTTGAATAATGCATGCTCTGTGTTCATCAGTGTTCATTAACGTAACAAGCACATAACTAAAAATACAATAATAGGGCTTATCACGGAAAGCAAGGGTGGCCTGGCTCACCCACTCCACTCCCAGCCCTGCTCCTCGGAGGCAATTCCCTTCCATATTTTGGTGCTTCTTCCAGTGTTTGCTCTCCTCCTGCTGCCCCCATAACTGTAACATACAGATTTCTCAATTTTATCCTTTCCAAATATTTTCAACTGACTTTCTGCTATGACAAATGGGGACAGCTCACATGCAACACTCCCATCCTCACAGTGCCACTATTTCTCATTCTCTACAGTTCTCTTTGTAACTGTAAGCACTAATATACTTGTACCTTTATTATTCCATCACTGACCACTGCTCGGGACTTCCCACTTTGTTAGGTAAAGACTTCACACCAAAAAGCGAAATTCAAATCCCTGACATTAAGCTCTGCTACTAATAAACAGCAAAGCTTAATAAGCTGAATAATCATAGCTAAGTACAAATAATGAATATAATAATAATAAACAGCTGAATAAGTCTGACTGTGGAGTTCGTGTTTAATTTTTTGTTTGGTTATTTTCTGTATGGCTAAGAATGGAAAGAAAATGAATAGTTAAAAATATGTTTTGGCATTGTACAGACTTCAATCAATCACTCTGTTTTCTGGACCCAACAGAATCATCAATGACTACCCTTACTCAATTCTCTCATTACTCAAGAATTTTGGAGATGAAACCCAACTGTGAAATGAAAATTCTTAAATGGTAATACTGTTCATCTGAGTATGTTTACAGTACTTCTGAATCCACATACCTTATCACCCCTCACCTTCCAACCTCAGAATATCTGGCCAAAAGGAGGTAGCAGGCAATGCTGAAGGCTGCTCCTTGGACAGGGGCAGTGTGGTCAGCCTTGTCATCGGGAGGCATGGTGTGGCCATGGAGTAAGGACATCTTAGAAAAAGACAACTCTAGCTGGGCATGGTGGCAAACGCCTGTAGTCCCAGCTACAAAAAAAGGAAAAGAAAAGAAAAGAAAAAGACAAATCTGGACTGAGGGAGTGTGTTAAAGGCTACTGATGTAACAGCTGAAATTTTTTTTTTTAAACAGGGTCTTGCTCTGTTACCCAGGCTGGAGTGCAAAAGCACAATCATGGCTCGCTGCAGCCTCAACCTCTAGGCTCAAGTGATTCTCCTGCCTCCCACCCACATAGCTGGGACCACAGGTGTGCGCCACAGCGTTCAGCTAATTTTCTACAATTTTTTTGTAGAGACAGGGTTTCACCATGTTGCCCAGGCTGGTCTTGAACTCCTGGACTCAAAAGATACTCCCACCTCAGTCTCCTAAAGTGTTGGGATTACAGGAATGAGCAACCACACCCAGCCAATAGCTAAATTTTTGAAAGCAGGACACATACTGTATTATCAGATAATGATCCCTAACATACAAAACTGGATTTCATTAGGAAATGATTGATCTTTCCAGATAATGAATGCTGCAGGTTCTCTCCTAGGCCAACATCTTCATGACATCTAAAAATACAAGAAGCAATTATGCTATAGATTTAAAAAATTGAAATATGATATGTGAAAATACTGAAAATAACCTATGGAGCTATCAAAGTTTATGGAGGATATTTAGGTTTCAACATGTAAGATGACACCTGCTTGCATGTTGGATCCTGTCTAAAATTTCAAGCCATGGACAGCAAGTAAAAACAAATCAAAAATGGAAAGACACATAGCATGTGTAGTTTATCTATGTCACAGAGCAAAAATAACACTTTGGTAATGCTTTAATTAAAATCAAGTACCTAGAGTTCATTCCATATTTCAGGCCTGTAGGAGAAAAAAAAAGCAAAACCACTTCCCCTTGCAGTGATACACGAATGGAAATATCCGAGACAGCGAAACCTGAATCAGCTACAAACAGTATGACCTTGCATGACTAACTTATTCTCCCATCCAATCAACATGTCATGACCGGGCGCAGTGGCTCATGCCTGTAATCCCAGCACTTTGGGAGGCTGAGGTGGGTGGATCACGAGGTCGGAGTTCAAGACCAGCCTGGCCAACGTAGTGAAACCCTGTCTCTACTAAAAATACAAAAAATTAGCCAGACGTGGTGGCGGGCGCCTGTAATCCCAGCTACTCGGGAGGTTGAGGCAGGAGAATAGCTTGAATGCTGGAGGGGGAGGTTGCAGTGAGCTATTGCACCACTCCACTCCAGCCCAGGCGACATGCGAGACTCCGTCTCTAAGTAAATAAATAAAAAATAAACATGTCATAAGCACCCACCATGTTGTAGACACTAATGACAAGTCCCACAAACTCTCTCCATCTATCCCCTAGAGCAGCTGTAGCCCAGCCCACTTTAATGTGTCGTTGCTCTAAAACCAGCCTCCACTTCATATACATGGCCCCCCCAGGTGTTGGTAACCCTTGGATCCAAAGATGTCTGATTCTCAAAATCAAAGATTAAAACTTTTCAGAGACAGCTGCCAGGACGTAAGGCCAAGCACAAGCAGCTCATCCTGCACAGGTGGACGTAAGAAGGATGAAGAACTCAGTGGGAGACTTCCTCTCCATCACCTGCCCACCCAGCTTCCCAGCCCGCCTCTGCGAGGACCCCTCCCCTCTCCATCCAGCAATAAAGGGCTGTGCGAGCCACTGTGTTCTGTGCAACTTCCAGTTCCTCCACTGTCACCTGAAGCAATGGGGGAGGGAAGGGGAGGTAATAGTGGCCTTGAAAGGCTGAAGGGAAGCCTCTGGCATGTTCTTTGCCTAGGAGCCAGCTCAGTGCTTCCTTTGACACTGTGAGCTCTTCAGGCTCCCCCTTTCCCGCCAAAGCTCAGTTCTTGCTCTTTGCTTTACTGATTTCTGCTTGAGCCCACAATGCAGGCACAACACACCTGCAACTTCCTGAAAGTCCCTGAAGCAGACAGAGCCTGAGGAGGCACAACTTCTTCACCGAGGGCTTGGGGCCGAGTCCCAAGGACTTTTCATTCATTCTTCTACCTTCTCTCTTGAACCTCGCAATGGAAACATGAGGTCTGCAGCTTTCATACTAATGAAAATTTCATCCAAACAGGAAAGAAAAATACATCTTTTCAATACCCAGAACTTAAGGTTATCCGAATGCTCTAAAGGTCATTCGCTGATAGTGATACAAACATCCCAGGCAAACCAAGCAAAGCAGGAATGTGAATGATGAACACAACCTGCAGACGACTTGACTCAGCTGTAGAAATGAGACCTTCACCACCACTACACTCATCCTTTTCACCTGCAATTACTTCAAACCCCAGACAAAAGTGGTCCCAATTGCTCAGGATGATCCACAAAGCAAGTACACCCTATCAAAATTCAACCAATAAAAACTACATTTCCAGTTTGCAGCTAAAGAACATGTTCCACTAGTGGCAAAAAAAAAAAAAAAAAAAAAATCAGAACTCACAATCTGCTGAATTTCCTCATAACAAATTTGTTCACAAAAACACCAGAACCACAGGAAACACCACATATGAAAGAGAAATCAGTTGGCTTTTTGAAAATAAAGAAGACATGCAATGAGCAACAGAAGCCAAACTGATATTCAGCCAAGTACCATTCCTGTTTAAAGATTCAAAACATCCTTAATAACCATAAGTCATTAGCTCTCAGCACGACCAATTTTCCCCATGGAAATGCTTGACTATCAGAGCTGGGGGCTTCTAGTGGGGATGATGGGCACAGCTCCACAGCCCCTAGGGAAACATGAAGGCCCTGCAAGGGGCAGTGGATATGCAGCAAAGGTAGGAGTGTGCCCTGTCTAATGTCAGCATCCTGTGCTTCCACAGAGACCCTCACCCCTGGCCCACTACTCACTGCCTGGCCATGGAGTAGGATGGAAGGATCTCCTGGTAAACAAATGCCAGCACACAGCTTACTTCTCCCTGACCTCAGCTCCCCATCTCCCTAGATTCCACAAAATATTCTGCTATCCTAAATGATTTCAAAGTACAGACCACACTCCGTATCCAAGGGTTCCATGGTGTGAGGTGGTATCTCACTGTGGTTTTAATTTGCATTTCCCTGATGATTATTGATGTTGAGCATTTTTCCATATACCTGTTGGCCACTTGTATGTCTTCTTTTGAAAAATGGCTATTGCCCTTTTTTTTGGGGAGGTTTGTGGGGGTAGACACAGGGTCTCACTGTGTCACCCAGGCTGGAGAGCAACGCAGTGGTGCAATCATGGTTCACTGCAGCCTCGAACTCCTGGGCTCAAGTGGTCCTCCTACGTCAGACTCCTAAGTAACTGGGACTATAGACACATGCCACCACACCAGCCTTCTTTTTTTTTTTTTTTAAGTAGAGACCAGGGTCTCACTATGTTGCCCAGGCTCTTTGCCCATTTTTTAACTGAGTTGTTTTCTCACTTTGAGTTGAGTTTTTTATATGTTTTGGATATTAATCCCTTATCAGATGTACAATTTGCAAATATATCCTCCCATTCCATTGGCTGTCTCTCCACTCTATTGATGCTAATGAATTTCTAATGGTAGGTTTTTCAGGCCTCAGTAGGGATTCGCCGTTGGGATGAAGTCTCTCCCATTACTCCTTCAGTCAAACCACTTCCAGTTCCCAATTTCTTGGTTGTCTCCAGGAGCCCAGTTCCTAAACACACCTGAAAATAAAATAGATTACCACTAACATCACTCCTGCGCCCTCTCCCAGCTGCCACTGTGTTCACATCCCTACTGTCCTTTTCTATTGAAATCAGATAAGAATTATGTCCACAGTAACTTAAGCCACAGAGATTTCAAGAGCTTTGTTAAATGACAAAATTTCCTAAGCCTATACAAATTTGCAGGAGAGCAAAGAAGATAAATTTTGTCACTCTTGTTCAGAATTCTAAGCTACTATAAATAATTTCCCATGCAAATCACGTTTTGTGGCAGAAGGAAAAAACCAGCAACCTTAATACATATTTCTAAAATAGCTCATTATGCTTCTAAGAAAAAAACTTAGAATATAAATTTAATTATTCAAATTCAATATAATTTAATTAAATGTAATTGAATTAAATTGCTTTCTAAGGTATTCTTTCTGTAAGCCACTTGAACCAAGAAAGCCACCTGGTTTTATTTAAAGCCAATGGTAAGAACTTTCTGAGACAAGGAGAAACCTCTGTAACTCAGACCCTTGTACAAAAGAATTAAAGAAATTAAAACCGGGAACCAGGTTTCAGTAACTGCAGGAGGGTTCTCCTTCCTGCCAGGGCCTGGAGTGAGGATCAGTTACTGTAACCAAGAAACCTCAGACTGTTACCTGGTCCCCAGCGATAGCACAACATGTGGCCTGGGCCCATCAGATAGCACACACTTGAGGGTTATTACAAGAGGAGCGAAGCACCCCACACCCTCCACCTCCCCTCACTCACCCTCCTACTCCCAAGAAAACACCAGGAGGTTTTGGAAGCAGGGTTAATCTTGCATTGAAAAAAAAACACAAAGCAGATGGGGCTGAGTTAGTCTGACTACCACATCTCAAAGAAGATTATCTGCCTAACACGGTAAGCAAGAAAGGGGAGTCATGAAGAAGTCAAAAGCCAAAACCAGGGGTGAATTTCTGCATAGATCATTTTTCACTGTCTTCCTTTTCCACTGTAAGACACTGCAATTCTTTGCCGCATCTCAAAAGAGGAGACTCTTCTGGTGGCTCACTCTAAAATCTAGTTCATGGGGATTACTCAGGCATATTTATAAACCCAATGGCTGCAAAATTACAAATATTAGTGCTCTCACTTAGAAAAAAAACAGCCTTGGTCTAGAGTAATTAAAACATAAAAACATTACTCTCCATGCTCTGAGACCCTTAATGGGGTAATTTGTGGCCTCGCCAAAAATTTGAAAGGTGGGCTTCCATGGCCCACTATAACCTAGAGCTCTAGACCAACATAGCCTCACCCAGAATCTTTGTACATCCTAACAACCAGACACTGACACTGAGCTCACAACAGCAGAAATAATAGCAATGGTAATAAAGCAGGTTTTACAGAATAGCTGAGAAAGCCACACAAGTCCACATAAAGCAGTTAAGTCCCTAACTGTGATAAATCTAAAAACTTGGTTTGCTGTTAGTTGTTGGTTGGACAGGGTTTGAGGGCAAGCAAGAGGGAAGGCATAAGCCCAGAATCACATCTAAGTTCTTCCATTGCTACTGCCCTGCCTCAAGCATAAAGCACAATAGTCTGATGAAACCTGCTCCTCTTTTTACCTTTGCCATGTTAAGTTCTCTCTCCTAAGCTGGGAGATTCTTAACTACGCCAGTATCACCAGCAAATCAAGCACTATCACAAGCACCATCAGGCTGAAGTTAAGGGATGAGGCTGAACCTTATACCACCTTCCATCTGTGCTTGCCTTTACTACGAGAAAAATTTTAAATGAATATCCCACAGAGAAGACAAAAAAGATGGCACCTCAGTTTTAAAGTGCCTTCTTCACTTACTTTCCTAACTTAGGAGAGGTTTTCAGTCATCCATTTCACAAACCAAAGAGCTAAATCAGTCATGAATTGCTAATAGTAGAAATGAAGCAGGGAAAGAATTGCCTCATCCACTTTTTTTGCACAAAGGTTCTGCTATGAAATTTTCTTGAATGAACATATGAATGAATGGCCCATTACTCTACTACTATGGATTAGCAAAAAATAATAATTTGAAACAACCGGGGTATCTAGTTAAAGGGTACACCAGGACTTCCTTATACTATCCTTGACTTTTCATATAAGTCTGAAATTAAATAAAAGTTCCAAAAAACAGAATGGGAAGAAAATAACTTGCCCTCTGTGTAGGGTAGGGTCCCATTGGAGATTAGCACTAAAGGAACTTTCTACAAACTTTCAAAAACAAAATCTGTGTCCCCATGCGGTAGCAGGAAAAGAGGACTCCCTGTGAGAAATGAGAAAGGAAGAGGCGATTCTGTGTGAACAGGAAGTGGGAACGTCTGCGTTGGCTGGGCAGCCTCCAGTGCGGGGAAGGGGGCATCGCACCTAAGAGAAAGCGAGCCGGTGCTTAACTGTGGAGGGGACCGCAATGGGAGAAATTAGAAGAGAGGAGCAGCCAGGCGCACAGGGTCAGTTGTGCAGGGCAGAGCAGGAAGAGAGGCATATGGAATGTGGATTGGGATTTTAATGGAAAACTATATGCAGTTCTTTGTGGCCTAAGCTGTATTACTCAATTACATTGATAATATTGACTACATTGATATTATTAATAAGTTATACTATTACCATAATATTGCACACAGTTGTCAACTGTTCTCTAGGTTCCTAACAGCTGTGCCTAATAAGCCTGTACAGCCTTTCTCCAGCCTTAAATGAAGACAGACACTAGATACAGGCTAAGACAGCTTTTAACATATACTAGCTGTCTGCAGTGACTAGACCCAGGATCTGAGGCCTATGATAAATTCCTAGGCCAAAGAATCTGGGATTTTTTTCAGAAATCAGCCAAGCTTTCCAAAAGCACTGTCAGGACCAAATATCAGCTGCACTAAGCATCACAGGGACGTGGAATGGTAACAACAAAAGTGCCTTTGTAGCTGAATGAAACAGAACCTGGTCTGGTTACTGTATTCTATACCAAAGCCTTTGAAGATGACAAATTTAAATTCCACAAGGTCTTTCCAGTTTAGTGAACATAGAGAGTTTCCCTGGAAATATATATTTTTTTCCTGTAAACGGAGTGCCAAATGTTTTGATCATTTTTAGAATATATATGTAAAAAATACTTTTGAAAGTGCAATTGTGAGATGTTTCACCATACAAACTAATAACAGGCAATTCAGCTTCCCTGGCTATCCAATCATTGCTTGTTTGACATTGTTTGGGCACATTAAATGGTACTGATAAAGTTGTTTGAGAGTTTGTCTTTTAAAGCAACAAATCTTACTGGAAAACATTATCAAAGTAAGGTTACATACTAAATATGCAAAAGTATTATAAAGATACATTAATATCTTTAAAAAAGATAAGTAATATTAGTTTATACATTAACTGAGGGGAAAAAAGATATTATGTCTGTAATGATTCAACTAGGTGTGGCCCAGACTTGGCTAAAAAACCAGCTCCCAGTCACCCAGAGCAAAGAAATGAGCAACCTAGAAGTCATTTCTGGATGGATTTATGTTTGGGGGCAACAAACTCCTCCCCCACCAATTCTATTTTCTCAGCTAAAATAAATTTAATGGAGAGTACACCTGCTGGGGTGGCTGCCCGGCACCTCCCTTTCCCTGTAACGTGTTGTTTTTCTGAGATGTCCTCTTTCCCTTCCCCCAGTGGCAATCAGGGTCATTCATGCCAGGTCTGATGCAAGGCCCCCCAGGACAGGCCTTCCCTGGAGGCCAAGGAGCAGCTCCTCGCCCTGAGGAAAGACAGTGGCCCTGAGGAGCCATGCGTACAGCAGCGGGGATCCGAGAAGCCACATTCCTACAGATGACCCCATGACTTGGTATCGGACCCAATGTGGATCACCTCCCTGGGGGATTAGAGCAGCCTGAGAGAAGGACCAGTTTCTTGCCAAGTAGCTGGTCTCTCAGACAGCGAATTCCTACCATGTAGACTAGAAGCAAAGAAAGTCAATCTCCAGGCAGAGGACCCAAAAACTCTAGAGAGCAGCCGAGATAAGAGAGGATCTTGAAGGCTGGGACCCCCTCAATACACTCAGCTGGACCCCCACCCTTTAGTTCTTGGAGACATACTGTGTCCTTACAACATATATCCCTTTTTTCCTTTAATTACTTGGAATGAGTTTCTGTCACTTGCAACCAAGAGTCCAAATTAACACATCTAATTCCTAGCATACAGACAAGAAAAAATAAGTAGTAGTCTCAAAATGTTACGAGTTGACATATTGGGCCTGAAATCTTACAGCACAAAACAGGTAACCACTGAATAGGGGGAAAATGGTATTCTTAAATCTTAATTTTGAGACAATTACCCTGCCACTAAGGCACGGTAAGTCCTGGGTGAGCTGAGGACCAGATCTTCATTGCGCCTCTGATTTCTTTACTAAGCCACTGACTCAGGGACAACCTTGCATTTGGAGGATTTCCACATCTTGCTGTTGTGCAATATTTCCCAAATAAAAGAATAATATTTAACACCTAAAGGTTTCCATAACACTGATTTGCTGCTTTAAAAAAGAAAAAGCAAATGCAACTTATAAAGATTAAAAATACAAATTATAAATTTACAAGTGGAACAGCTTCAAAGCTGTTTGAAACAATAACAATCCCTTCCTTAAAGAAAAGCAATTTCAAAAGCATAGATAAGCAATCCAGGAGTGCCACACCAGCTTACAACACAGAGATCAGCAGGCACTCGCCTTGGACAGTAAACTAATTGACACACATTTAACTGAGTTTGAACATACTGTCATTCCCATTTATTTTTCTTATACTGATAATACACTGTAATAATACACTGTAATTCTGTTATGTTGAAAACTGATTGTATACTGATTGAGACCTAGATTTACAATCCTAGAATAATTACATAACTTTTATTAGACAATATTTCAAAAGGCAAAAGACGGCCAAAACAGAGGGGGAAGGGTATTTATACAATATCTCTCTCAAACTGTACATGACCAACAAACCAAGAAAAATATGAAATGTCCCAACTTCAAAAACACCCAGGCCTGGGTGGGGTGATTCTGACCCACAGTGTACTAACAGTACTTGATATCTTTTTTTTTTTTTTTTGAGATGGAGTCTCACTCTGTCACCCAGGCTGGAGTGCAGCAGCACCATCTCAGCTCACTGCAACCTCCGCCACCCAGGTTCAAGTGATTCTCCTGCCTCGGCCTCCTGAATAGCTAGGATTACAGGCATGCGTCACCACACCCAGCCAATTTTTGTATTTTTAGTAGAGGTGTTTCACCATGTTGGCCAGCCTGGTCTTGAACTCCTGACCTCAAGTGATCCGCCCACCTCGGCCTCCCCAAGTGCTGGGATTATGGGCATGAGCCACTGCACCTGGCCAAGAGTACTTGATATCTTGATACAAACAGTGCCAGGGGCCACAGAGCACAGTGAAGAACCAGATGAGACATCTGCTTGTGTCAGCAGGTCCCAGGACCCCCTGCCCTAATGCTGCACCTCTTCCCTCATCCTGCTCTATGTGCCCCATAGAGCCAGGGCCATTTACCAAGGGTTCCCCCCATCCACCCTCACCCAGTGGAGGCCTGGAAGCACCTGGTATGCTCAAATAAGGCCACACTGTAGAAGGTAACAGAGCCAAGGAAGGCAGGCTGGGTCATGCTGCCCTTCAAGCACTGCAAGGACTCCACCCCCTAAAGCACTCATAGGGCACATGTAGCAGCCACACACGAGCCCTGCTTTGGGGACATCTCTGCAGCACCCATGGCCCTTACCAAAGCCATCACTTCACTGGTGAATCCAGTGCAAACTCTGCATGTACACCCCACTTCACCTCTCAGAAGGTTGTGGCACCCCAGGAAGCCTCCTGGCTTTGGAAACACACTTCCCTTGGCTTCCCTGACACCTGACCTCCTGGAGGCTTCTTATCTCTCTGGCCTTGGCCCAGTCTCCTGTGAGGTCCTCTCTCCACTACCCGTCCTGTAAATGGTGAGGGACCCACTCCTCATCTCCTCTACACACTCACCACTAGAAATCACACCCACGACTGTGGCTTCAAGGCGGGCCATGGTAAATACACCATGACCAGAGATCCTGGCTCAAATGTCTGCAGTCGAGTCCAAGAATTTGCATTTTTAGCAAGCCCCCTGAGATGCTGGGTTCCTGAGCTCTGTATCAGCTGCCTACTCAACACCTCAATGGGCCTGTTCCAGGGACATCTCCACGGGTCCAGCTGTGGCATGCCGAGGTCATCTTTCTTCCCTCACCTGCTTGTTCTTCCACCCATGGATCAGCTGGGCATACAGGCATCATCCTTGATTCCTCTCCCCTCCCTCCTACATCTAATCAATTACCCAACCCCACTGAGTTTTAGATTTTGGACCTGTCTACTTCCTATCATTCCCGCAGCTATTTCCCAATGTTCCTCATCTGTATTATTCTAACAGTCCCTTCCAAGCCAACTCTTCACTGCAGCCAGAATGATCTTCCCAAAATACAAATGCAACCACATCACTGTCCTGTTTAAAATCCTTCAGAGGCTCTCAACCAACCTCAGGACAAAATACAAACTTGTGTTTTTAATAAAGTTTTGTGATATAATTCACATACCACAAAACTCATCCAAAGCATACAATTCAGTCATTTTACTATATATCCACAAAGTCATGCAATCATCATAACAATCTAATTTTCACCACTCCAAAAGAAAGCTCACACCATCAGCAGTCACTCTCCATGCCCCTCCCTCCAGTCCCTGGCAACCACTCATCTACTTTCTGTCTCTATGCTATTCTGGACATCGCGTATAAATGGAATGCAACAATATGTGGCCTTTTACGTCTGGCTTCTTCCACTTCACATAATGTTATCAAGATTCATCCATACTGTGGCATGTGTCAGTACTCCACTCCTTTGAATGGCTGAATAATATTCTATTGGGTGGATATACTACACATCAGTTACAGACATTTGATTGTTTCTACTTTTTTTTTTTTTTTTTTTTTTTTTTTTTGAGATGGAGTCTTACTCTGTCTCCCAGGCTGGACTGCAGTGGCATGATCTCGGCTCACTGCAAACTCCGCCTCCAGGGTTCACGCCATTCTCCTGCCTCAGCCTCCTGAGTAGCTGGGACTACAGGCACCCGTCACCGCACCCAGCTAAATTTTTTTGTATTTTTTTAGTAGAGACGGGGTTTCACCGTGTTAGCCAGGATGGTCTCGATCTCCTGACCTCATGATCCACCTGCCTCGGCCTCCCAAAGTGCTGGGATTACAGGCGTGAGCCACTGCGCCTGGCCCGATTATTTCTACTTTTTGGCTATTATCCATAATACTACTAAGAACACACAAGTACACATTTTTATGTGAACATATTTTCAATTCTTTTGGATATATAACTAGGAGTGGAACTGCTGGGTCATAGAACTAGGTCAAATAACTCTATATTTAACTTTCTGAAGAAACGCCAAACTGTTTTCCAAGTGCCTGCACCATTTAACACCAGCAATGTATGACGGTTCAAATCTCTCCACGTCCTTACCAACATAACAATAACAGACATGGTATCTTATAATATCTGTCTTTATAAGATGTCACTCCTTGGGTCTAGAGCAGGTACCTTTCTCATATCATCACAGGGCACCCCACACATCTGCAGTATCCTGTCTAGGGTATCTTTGGGTCCCTGATCCCACTATACTGGAACTGTCTGATCAGCTACTTAGGTCCTGACCAGACTGTAAGGTCTGCAAGGTCAGGGGCTGAGTCTGTCCCATTTACAGCTCTATCCTCAGGGTCTGGCAGAGTGGCTGGTGTGTAACAATACTCAGTGAATGCATGTTAAATAAATAAGTTACCAAAATCAACAGATTATCCAGTCTGAGCCTTCACTTTCCCTTTACATGTTAATCCTACATTACCTGTAATAAAATAACTAGTGGATTTGACAGTAAATATGTTTTCACAGATACAAAAAAGCCCAAGGCAGTTTAATCCCTTGCCTTTTAAGGATCTCTCATCTTTATAAGCTAAAGCTGACTGAAAGTATACTCTACTGACAGCTGCTCTATAAATGTTTACTGAGATAAAACAGTGAGCCCAAGCTGTTTCATTCCATAGAACACCTAAGCATTTGTCAATATGGCAAGACACTGAGGGGAACAGGAGGGTCAAAAAGACAATGAAGGATGTCAAGGACTGCTGTACACTTTCTCCTCCCCCAAAAAAACATTTTATTTTACTTTTCTGCATCTTTTAAAAAATATTATCTCCCTTATAGCCAAGATTCTCAAAGAGTCACACACACAACACTCCCTCACTGATAGAAATCTGCCTGTCTTAGAGACCCTCCTTGCCTAGCACTCCCTCGCCTTGACTAACAAGATGGGAGATGCACTGAATTAACTGGTCTTGCAACTTGCCATTACAGTTTTCTAGTGCCAAGCAAATCTGGAATGATCAGGTCTAGACCCATGGCAGACTGGGGAAGCCAGCGTCAAAGGGTATAAAGTCACAACAGAAGGTGTAGTATCAAAGTGAGGCAGCCTCACAGGAAGGGGAGCTCACTGGGGGCCTGAGTATCCCAGTGAGGTTTCCCTGGCCCTCTCCCCACCCCCACTGCTCCCAGGCGACCTTCCTTTTCCTTCTCACCACATCACTCTCATTTTCCACCTCCATGCCTTTCTATCCCATTCCGGTACTGTTTGGTTGTCTGTAAATGTTTTCTAATTTTCCTATAATAAACATGTATTGCTCATGTAATAAGAGAGGAAAAAGCTTTTTGTTTTTTGTTTTTGGTTTTGTTTTTTTTTTGAGACACGGTCTCACTCTGCTGCCCAGACTGAAGTACAATGGCGCCATCACAGCTCACCGCAGCCTCTAACTCCTAAGCTCAAGTGATCCTCCCACCTCAACCTCCCAATTAGCTGGAATCACAGTCACATGCCACCATGCCTGGCTAATTTTTTTATGTTTTGTAGAGACGGGCTCTCGCTATGTTGCTTAGGCTGGTCTCGAACTCCTGAGCCCAAGTGGTCCTCCCACCTTGGTCTCTGAAAATGCTGGAATTGCAGGCATGAGCCACCATGCCCATCCCTAGTTCATTGTAAAATGTACCAAAGAAAGGTCCCCTAAGAGCATCTGACAAGCCAACTTCTTATAAATCTAACTCAGTAGGAATTGTGCCATCTTTAAGTGATTTTAAACTTAAAAATAAATAAAACTTGTATAAAGTTTACATTTACTTTTACAGTTCATTGCCCCCTCCCAAGCAAACTTCGAATGACCTCATGGGAAACCAACCAACCAAAAAACCCACCAATCTATTTCGTTTTTCTAATTTGTCATGTGTTATAGATCTCTGGTCTGACAAGTTTTTAAATCACAAAACATACACTTATGACCTCCTTGATAAGCACCATAAATAAGAGGAAAACCATTTGGATGTGGCCTGCAAAGTAACCAATTTCCTTCTCATCTCCTGGCTTTTCTTAAAGACACGGAAAGAATGAGGGGCACTTGTCTGCATTCGCTCCCGCAAGCCTTCTACAACAGGATATCGCCATCCGCTGCCTGCTTTTCTGCTTTTTGTTCACTGCTCGTAACAGGAAAACTTGCTTTCCTGCTTTCTCAATACCAAATGGGTTACTCCTGCGAGGGAAAACATCCCTTCAGAATCCACCCCAGGGCTCCACAGAAGGCAAGAGAAACAAAAGCTGCACCATTCTCTCCCCAAATATTCCATTGGCAGGCAGCCCAGGACCGCGCCAGTTCAGTGGTTTAATATCCTGTCTCTTTGGCAGAAAAGGGAGAAAGAATTATGGAGCTGCCAGCCCAGGGTCCCCGAATCTACTCTCTACTACTCTGCGGGTGTTACCATTTGCTGGGCATCCATCATGACACCATCTTTTGAAGAAAGACAAACCAGCCACTGTCAGATAAGGGACCGAATTAGGAAAAGACCCATGTGAAGGTTCACGACTCAGAATACAAGAGGTCCAGGAAAGCCAGCAACAGAAAGAATCACTCTCTATGTCAGAATATTAGAGAAGGATTTAAGAAACAAAAGAAAAGAACCAACAGGAAGGCTTGTGCAGTAAGTCTAGACAGAGGCAAGGTAGAAAAGAACAGGGACAAACGAACGATGAAAAGCAAGCCTGGGTCATACTGAAAGATGTCGTGCTCTATTCATGGCTAGTGAGCCAAAATGACACTGCTGGTGACAGCCCTACGGCCCTACCCAGACTGTGGGGAACCCTTCCCAGCCTAGAAGGCCTCACCGAGCAGAGAATACACACATTCCTACCAAATGCTGGGGCTAGGCCTCACCTGGGTGTGGGTACCCAGGTGTCCAAACACCTTCCTCCACCCTGCGACTCCCACAAGTCACCGGACACCATGTCATCAGGGCTCCCTTTGCCTCGGGTGAGCATCCATATGCCTCCCAACCTGACACCCCTTGGTTTCTGGGGCCCAAACCAACCACTTCAACTGGAACATCCTCCAACTACCATCTTCACATACCTACAACAGGACCTCTCAAACCATGTGTGGTGAGGGTCCTCTTTCTCCTCCAAGCCACTGGGGACCAATACTTTTATAAAATACAAATAATCTTGACAATTACTAATAAATGAAATAAAAAACAAACCCATACAAAATATAAGCCCCAAATTTTTGCTAGATTCAACAGATTTAAAGTTACCCTGTCGATTTGTTAAAAGTTTCTAAACACGAATTCTCAACTTTTTTTTTTTTCCATTCATCTTCAAGCACAACTCATCTTGTCACAGGTCAGTTATAAACAGTTGACACACCAACCTGTCCGCAGGTTTCACGCTGAGGAGCACTCCCTCCCTTCCAACATGAAATGGAGGCTCAACACTTTCATAGCCTCACCTCCTACTATGCTTCTCTATTCTGAAGCCTTCTACTAAGACCTGTAGATCTTCTTCCATTTGAGGTAAACTCTCCTTTATCCTCCACCTTTTTCTCTCATCTTCTCTCTTCACCAGCTAGCTTTCTCCTGACCCTCACAGATGTCCTGGTCAAAGATGTAAATCAAGACTTAGGAATGAGTCACTGGAACAGAGGCAGTAGCTCAACTCTCTGAAAGTGAAAGGAGAACAGCAAGTCCCCATTTTCTATGGGATGGCCACAATAGGAAGCTGAAAGAGAAAATAATGAAACAGAGAGAAGGGTGCAAAGAAAGACTTATCATTATAACTGTTGTCACTATATTGATAAATAACAGGTGGCGGTGACAGTATTTGGATATCAAAGGAAGGTGGAGTTTCAAAGAGAAGAGAGAGATCTATGGTCACATGAAGCAAAGAAATCTAAGAGGAGGAAAACTGAGAACAGTTTTCCATCTATAATTTATCAATCCATGCAGTGACTGAGCTTTTATTTGGAAATATGAAAGAAGTTCACATCTAAAAATGAACCGGGGCCCCCATTGCACATTTATTTTCTCTCACCTGGAAAAAGTAAACGTGCAAAAAGGCATAACAAAATAAATTACCTAACTTTATATCCCCTCTCTAAATAACTATTTATGAGCTTACTATTTTTAAAGGCTTCTTTCATTTTTCCCTTCAAAGGGAAGCATGGAAAGGACATTCCTGAAAACTGATATGAAGTCAAAATGTCAGCTTTGAAGACAGTGGTGGAGAAGACAGCTGGTCGGGGGCCTCATGATTAAGCACACTGATTATGACTGAGTATTTTAAAGAGGACAAGATAAATGGTTTTTAAAGCTGTCTGTTCTACCCTAAACACTCTCTAAAAAATGAAGGCCCCCTAATAGCTCACTGCTAATCCATTCCTCTGCTGGTGGTTTATAAGGGGAGATGAGATTCTCATCTGTCTGCAATGGTTTATCTGAAATTATCTGAAAGCGAAGGACCAGATAAATTCTACACTCTTCTCAAGGCCTGTGTAACGGGCTGGATGTTCTCAGGTTTCTGCATCACCACACTCCCAGCACAGTCACGCACGGCTGAAACCTAAGGCTATAGTTAATGCCTCTTGCTTCTTGACCTCACCTGGCCAGGGAGCTCCAAGCTCACTGTGTGGAGAGAGGAAGGAGGATTATTAATCAAAATTCATTGAATAAATAAATGTCCTAATCTAATCAGGTTCAAATACACATCAGCTTAGTCCCAAAATACTTCTTACACATAACTTACACATTACTTTCTGCCCTCATTACCTGCTGCCTAAATTATGGCAAAAGTCTCCTGAGTAACACCTCAACCCCCAGCTTTCTAATCCCACCCAATCCCCAGCAACTAAGCTCTGACAACACAGTCACTGTATTCCCACAGCAAAGTTCTAATCTTGAGGCCTTCCAGCTCGAAAACCCACAACAAAGCATCAAGTCAACACTCCACAGCCTGGCCTTGTCTGCCTTCCTCACTCCCTGGGTGACCAGAATCTGTGTACCTCTAACCCTCCATACATGACACCAGACGCAACTACTCACTGTTTCCCAAGTACACGCCATGATTTCCTTCCTCAAGGCCTGTGCTCCTACGGGTCCCTCTATCTAGAATAATTTGTATCTCTCACATTTCCTTCATTACCCTTTTTCTGATTCCCTCCACTGGAGGTAATCTCTCTCCTGAGACCTCTTTAACGCTTTACTTATAACTCTCCAATGATACAATCTTCTATTAGGTATACATGAAGCTCATTTTGCAATCTTCTCTCTCCTATTAGTCAGTCGGCAAGATGGGACAGGATCTGTCTCACTCATCCTGATTCCTCAAAGCACCTAGCACAGTGCTTGGCACTCAACAAATGTGTTTGGACTCAACAAATGTGTTCACTTAATTGATGCATGTACGAAATTTAAAATTTATCAGTTCAGATATATGTGGGAAACAGTTTTCAAGCATCTATAAAATACATGTGCATGCTTATTTGTTTGCCAATCAAATAAATACTTGCTCATTTCTTTACCCAGGAGATTAACATGACCCACACACGTCCTGAATGGCATAAGTAAAAAAGATAAAACTAAACAAAGATCAAGGCTAACACAAGTGTACACATCTTTATCTAAGAACCAACTTTAGTACTTTAGCATGTTTCTTGGCACTCAAAAAGTGGTGTTTTTCTAGAAACAATGATCATTAGCCCCACTGCAAATCAGCAGAATGTCACCTTGTTTCCAAAAGCCCCCAAGCTAAGTATTCAGCATCTTTTACAATCACTAAAACCCAAGGAATGGTGCCATGCAAATTTGTGTTCTATGGAGCTTAAAAAAAGACTGAATTTTCTTTTCATGCCCAGTACACACAATCATTTCAGATTATTTTTAATCTAGAACTCCACAAAAACTGGTTTCATTTTCAATTCTAAGGAAAACTGGTTTCATTTTCAATTCTATATCAACTATGATAGACAAAGAACTATAATAGCATACTATGTTACTTAATATAAATTTAATATGTTAATATACTATATTATTTAACAAGCTTAACATGGCTTCTGGAGTTAATTAAGGACATCGTCAAGATCCAACTCCTTGCATATTTTGGGGATCTTTGCACCTATGGAGCGTATTCTAAATTCCAAGAGAAATAAATCTCTTAAATGCCCTGTTTTCCCTAGTTAGCTTAAAAGGAAATTACCTGCATATAGCTACAAAATGCTAATTTTAGGAGTCCTTAGGTTGTCAATAGCTACATTACCATAAAACTAAAAAGCCTCCCATCCCATCTCTCTAGCCTGTTCCTTGGAGTCCTGACCCACAATTCTCACTGCATGTATCTCATTCATGGTAATTTCTTCTGCCACTACCCAGAATCTTTACAAGAGAAATATCCTATCACTACTCCCATGAATAACAGCCATATTAAACATCCGGTTTCTGAATCTTGCAAAAGGAGTGTAATAGATAAGTAGGTCCCAGTATGTTTCTACTACCCAGAAGGCTGACTTCAGTCTTGACACCTTCCTACAAACTCCATCTGCACCGGTCACAACCTTCCTTCTTCCTTCCAGGAGCAAAATAGCCAAGCGGCAGAGGACCCTAAAAGAGGACCTCAACACCAAAGCTCCCTGGGTCCCATCTGTGTTCCTTTGTCCACTCCAGATTCCATGCTCCTTGAGGACAAGGATAGTGTCTTCACCAAATGTTTACCTTTCTTTAGTGTTTGTTGAGTCAATGAATCATGAGTGACAACCTGAGACCTACTCAATACTAAGGTATGAGAGCTTTAAAAACTTCTAACAGCACTGCATTTTTCTCTGCTAACATCATCATCAAGAACTCAAAAATGACTCAAGATCTGCTAAGATCCTCAACTAAAAGAGGACACTGAATCCTCTCCAAATTCCAGGGAAAGATGCCCTGGCCTGAGAATGTGGAAAAAGATCACAAGGGAAGCCTGCAGCAGAGAAGACTGGATTCCATCTGGCCTCTGCCCCTCCTCTCCCAAAGGTCACTGCAGATGGAAGTGAGCTCCAGGTCTGCACCAGGCCAGACTCAAAACCAAATGATTTGGTCAGAAAGGAATCAACTCTGCAGCTTAAATCAACTCCAGGCTGGTCAGTGACTTCTCCATTGTGCAGGTGCCACCCATAGGCACCAGGCCAAGACCATAAAGGAGTAAGTAGTATGGGTAAAATACCATTTTCCTGACATGAAATGCAATGCTCACTGGAATATGCTGATTCTCCCACTGAGTTGCCCAAGAGATGGAGAGGTAGGGCTGCTTCGGGGCCCATTGCCCAGGGTGGAGGATATCCAAGATGCCAAGATTCCACATTGTAAGGACAGAAGCTTTTTTTTTTTTTTTTAAATGTCTAACAACTGAAGCCATGGAAAAAACATCTGTAGTTCCCCCAAATTCTGGGAGCTATTCTGAAACTCTCCCCCATCAAATAGAGTTCCCTAAGCCTACAGAAAGAACCGATCCCCAGTACCCCACATGTGGTTCTCCACAGCCCATAATCTTCAACCCCCCACCTCCTGCCCCAGCATTGATACTCTAGACCAGGATATGGAATCACCAACTGTGACTATCCTCAATTCAAGAAACCCTCATCTGCTATTGGTGATCCCTTTTCTCTCATGCCACCTCTTACACATGAAGGAAATCTCAACACCAATGTGTTTAGTAACTTCGAGGAGAAACCAACACTGTCAGGAATCTCCGCCTCTCTGAGTTTTCAGTGGAGAACTAAGAAAGTCTCTTTAAAAACCTAATACCCTGGCCGGGCGCAGTGGCTCATGCTTGTAATACCAGCACTTTGGGAGCCCCAGGTGGCAGATCACCTGAGGTCAGAAGTTTGAAACCAGCCTGGCCAACATGGAGATAACCCCATCTCTACTAAAAATACAGAAAATTAGCTGGGCACAGTGGTGGGCGCCTGTAATCCCAGGTACTGGGGAGGCTGAAGCAGAATCACTTGAACCCAGGAGGCGGAGCCTGCAGTGAGCCCAGATCGCGCCCTGCACTCCAGCCTGGGCGACAAAGCGAGACTCCATCTCAAAACAAACAAACAAACAAAAAACCCTAATACCTCAATCAGTTTTTCACGAACTCCACAGAAATTAGTTAAGCACATACATCCTTCAGTTTAAAAAAAAAAAATCATTTAACAGCAGTTACTTTCGATCTTTTAGGAAAAAAATAACATAGAAGATTCTTATAAGAATAGCGAAGGAAAATAAAAATGGCAAAATGAACACAGTAAAAGCCTGGGAAGGAAAAAGTTAACCTAAGAGATTAAATATCCTGTAAATTCTAGCTAGTATAATAGTTTACAGATGAACCTACTATACTATAAATATTATGGCACCTCTGCTATCACCATAGGAACTCTGCTTTCTACTTAAGAAAACAGCAATATGTTAGAGTGACAGATTAAATAAGTCCTCTAAACAATCTTAGAAATGCAACTCTTTCTATAATAATACAGTTTGAACCAAATTGTCATTTACAGCTGAATATTTATTTTAGCCAACGCAAAGCAGCCTGAAATGTAAAATGACCTAGATTAACAGAGCTTATTCTACACTAACAAATTTTAGGTTAATAGGCCTAGGGAGGTTTTTTCTCAAGCCACATCATAATTTTAACCAATGTACGTGTAAAACTGTGATATTCTGTCCCTTCAATAACATTGACTACTAAATTAGTTCTTCCTTCATGAATAAGTTACTACTGAGACCTTTTTTAGATTAATTTTCTAAGTTTTGCTTTTTATTTCTTTCTCCCTTTCATCCTAATACCCCTTAAACAGAAATGCAGAACTCCTTTCTTGGCTTGTAGAAACATGAATATCAATTTCACCAACAAACTAGCTTGGGACTAATGAAATATACAAGCACGGAGGAGATCCATGGTGCAAATAGATGTTTCATAGTCTCCTATTATCTGATTACCAATGACACTTGACAACACACAAGTGTAAACAAAGTAATGTAATTATTTTCTATAGTCACTGGAAAATTCACTGGACCAGGAGTTGGCAAACTCGATTTTGTTCTTGTCTTTATAACTAGCTGTAGACCACAAAGGTTTATCCATGGCTGATCTCATCTTCCTCATCTGCAAAATTAGGAAGCTGGACCAGATGACCACCAAAGATGACTTTCATCTCCAAAAGAATATTTCACTTTCATGTCACGCATTTCTATAAACCTAGAGAATTAGTGGTACTTTCCAAAAAATATGTTTAATGATTCAAGTTAATCGCTTAAAAGTTTTCAAGAAACTCCAACTTCAAAATGATATCTTAAAATGTTTTGACACTTTTAGACAATCTCTGCCATCTTGCCAGGAAAAGGGTTAAGGTTAGCCAGGTGACCTTAATTAAGCAAGTCACTTGATTTCTCTGGTCTTTAATTCCTCATCAAGAAACAGAAATAATAAAACTATCCCTGTCTATCTGACCAGATTTTCCAGAGGCCAAAGATAGACTTTTTTTTTCTTTAAAGAACTTTATAAACAGTCAAATGCAAAGTTGCATTGTTTCACAGGGGCATCCCGCCTCTATGAGCATTTAATGCAGGGCTCTTAACTGTTGACAATATTTTTGCTTCCAACATGCATGTGTGTGCCCTCACTTCAGGAACATATTTTACATCACAATGCCCATGTGTACAAGCACTAAGATATACAAGTGTAATTTTCAAGCATACCGATTTGAACATCTTACATGTAGTACAAACTTTCCTTCCAATATTCAATGTATTTGCTTTTTCTTAATAGATTATTACCTATTCACTTAAACAGCTGGGAAATCCTAGAATATATAAAAAACAAATCATATTCCTATCTTTTCATGTGTTTCCTTCCAATATTTTTCTTAAACATGTTTTCACACAATTGTGACCACACGCATTTCTGCTTACTGCGTTTTTTTTGCTCAACATTGTAATTTTCCTGTGTTATAAATTCTCCGCAAGCAGCACTTTAAAGGGTTATATGGTATTTCTTTAGCTTGCCCCCATAAATAACCACAGCTTGCACTTAGTGAGTATTTACTGTGTGCCAGGCCCCATTCTAAGTGCTTTATATGCAATTGCTCGCTTAAGTACAAAGATCTATGGGGTAAGTGCTATTAAAATGTCCACTCTCTGGGTGAAGAAACTGAGAAGGCAGAACTAGTAGATGAAGAGCTGGGGCTGAAGCCTCCTGAACCCAAGTTCTCATGCACTATATCCTACTGCCATCCATGGCAAGAACTATCCCCCTAGTAACAGAAACTTGGTTATACAACTGCATTTCTATGTTTAGAACTGAGGGAATAAACATTTGATATTTAACTTATTCTTGAAACAAAAGAGAATGGCTTACTTTAGAATCTGTAAGATCATAAACTTTTTTCCGTGAACAAAATATTGCTTATTTTTTTCATAAAAAAGTAAATAGTTCTGTATATTACAGTTAACTCTTGAACAACGCAGGAGCTAGAGCTACCAACCCCCTGCACAGTCAAAAATCCACCTATAACTTTTGACTCCCCAGAAACTGGCTAATAGCCTACAGTTGACTGGAAGCCTTACTGATAAACAACACACAATTTGTATGTGATATATATTATACTGGTTTTTTTGTTTTTTGACACAGGGTCTTGCTCTTTTGCTCAGGCTGGAGTGCAGTGGTGTGAACACAGCTCACTGCAGCCTCAACCTCCCAGGCTCAAGCCATCCTCCCACTTCAGCCTTCCAAGTAGCTGGAACTACAGGTGCTTGCCACCATGCCTGGCTTTTTTTTTTTTTTTTTTTTTTTTTTGCCATGTTGCCCAGGCTGGCCTTGAACTCCTGGTCTCAATCCATCCATCTACCTTGGCCTTCCAAAGTGCTGCAATTACAGGCGTGAGTCACTGTGCCCTGCTATTACACTCTATTCTTACAATCAAGTATGCTAGAGAAAACATTATTAATCATAAGGAAGAGAAAATATACTTACTACTTGTTAAATGGAAGTGGATCATCATAAAGGTCTTCATCGTCTTCATAGTGAGTAGGCTAAGGAAGAGGATGAGGAGGGACTGGTCTTGCTGTCTCAGGGGTAGCAGAGGCAGTAGAGGTGGAGGGTGTGGGACAGGAGGCAAGAGAAGCAGGAACACTAGGTGTAACTGTACTGAAATACATAATTTCTGGCTCGCTTTTTAGTTTTTTAATTTCTCTAAAAATGTTTCTATATAGTACCAATCCTTCCACCATTCGCTTTAGTTTCAGTGCCCGTATCTTAAAGGGATCCATGCCATAAAAGAAGTCAAAAGCACTCTTGAATAATTAGCATGCTTCTGCCAGACTGTCTGACGTCAACTTCTTTTCTGGCAGTGCCTCTTCTTCTACGTCTTCTTCCTCATCATGGGGCATTAGTTCTGAAGCACTAGTTTCCATGAGACCTCTTCTGTTAATTGCTCTGGTGTGGTGTCTATTAGCGCTTGAATTTCTCCAAGGTCTTTATCTTGAAACCCTTCACCCCAGCCCCACCTTTTTTGCTATATCCACAATCTCTTTCACGGTTTCCTTGATTGGCTCTGTCATAAATCCTGTGAAGTCATGCACAACATCTGGACACAGTTTTCTCCAGCAGAAATGTTTCAGACTTGATGGCTTTCACTGCTTTTTGTATAACAATGACGGTATCCTTCAATGATACACTCCTTCCAGACTTTCATGATGTTCTATTTGGGTTGTCTTCCACAGCGCTACGGTCCCTTCCATAAAGTACAGTGTGCATTGAGCCTTAAAGGTCCTTATGGCCCCTGATTTAGAGGGTGAAGTAGGACATTGTGTTTGGGAACAAGTAGACCACTTCATTGTCTTTGGTGTTGAACTCATGTGTTCTGGGTGGCCAGGAGCATTGTATAATATCAAAAGAACTTTAAAAGGCACTCTCTTGTTTGCAAGGTACTTCCTGACTTCGGGGACAAAGCACTGATGAAACTGAGGGAAACTAAAGATGGGGTTTAGCATCAGCTCACCCCAACCAGAGCATTCTTTCATGCATCCCCAGTGATCACAAAACCCCATACCACTACCTCGCTGATGCTATCTATACCCACTAACCCTGAGGCTTTAGTCAGATAAAGAAAACACCCATTCTAAATTGTTCTTCTGTGTTCTCAGAATGTTTAACCATGCCTTTTACTTAAAGAATTCCAGGGGCCAGGCATGGTGGTACACATATGTAATCCTGGCACTTGGGACGCCGAGGCAGGAAGATCACTTGAACTCGAATTTGAGACTAGCCTGGGCAACATGGCAAAACTCCATCTCTACAAAAAATACAAAATTGAGCCAGGCATCATGGCACACACTTATAGTCCCAGCTACTTGCAAGGCTGAAGATGGGAGGATTGCTTGAGCCCGGGAGGTCAAGGCTTCAGTGAGCCAAAATCACACCACTGCACTCCAGCCTGGGTGACAGACCCTGTCTCAAAAAAAGAAAAAAGAATTCCAGGAATTGGCCATAGGAGATCCAAAATATGGAACCAAGGTTGCAGAGTGTCTCACCTCAGGAAGGAATGCTGACCAACTGATTTATAGCCTTGTTGCCACCGGCCAGACCACCATGTGGCCCATCACTCAAGATAACCATCGCAACCAGATATTCTGACCCGCATACCCTACCACGTGCTTTGCCCAGCCCACCCTGCATATCCTACCCCTGATGTCAATTCCCATGCTTTGCCTAATAGAAAATCCCTACAGGCTCAGAGAGTCAGCTAAGGAATTCTCTCATTCTCATTCATTCTCTCTCTCTCTCTCTTCTCTCTCTTCTTTCTCTCCTCTCTTCTTCTTCTTTTCTCTCTCTCCTCTCTCTCTCTCTCCTCTCTCTCTCTCTCTTTCATGCTTCCTCCCTTATGCTCAGGCATAAGCTCCAATGAAGGCTTTTCTTTCGGCCTCGGGTCGATTTCTATTGCATTGAGGGCCCAAGAACCCATGGCTGGTAACAAAACCAATCCAGAAAAAGGGTTCTCCTTGACCAGGTCTTCTTATACAATGAACAGACTGGCAGCTGGCATTGATCTTTTCCCTTTAAGGCTAGGGGGTTGGCAGCTTTATAGAAAAGGGCAGTCCTGATCATAAACCTGATTGCATTTGCACAAAACAGTAGAGTTGGCCTAACCCTTCCTGCCTTCAATCCTGGTGTTCACTTTTCTTCCTTACTAAAAAATGTCCTTTGTGGCATTTTTTCCAGAATAGGGACTTTAATCTGTATTAAAACCCTGTTCGGGCAGATATCCTTTCTCCTCAATGACTTTCTTAACGACATCTGGGAGCTTGTATGCTGCCTCTTGGTTGACAGAACTGCTTCTCCTGTTATCTTGATATTTTTAAAGCCAAAACTCTTTCTAGAATTATCAAACCATCCTTTGCTGGCATTAGATTCTCCAGCTTCAGATCCTTCACATTCCTTTTGCTTTAAGTTGTCATATAATGACTTCACCTTTTCTCAACTCATCGGTCTATAGGTATTCCTTTCTATAGCAATCCTGTGCCCACATAAAAGCTGCATTTTCACTACAAGATAAAAAGGTGTTTTGCAAGAAGTGCAAGGTTTTTATGCCTGCTGACGCAGCTACAGCTCAACAGCTCACAAATTTCCTTTTCTTTTTTCACAATGGTCCTTAAACTGGATTCATTTATCTTAAAATGGCAGGCAACTGCAGCTGCAGAACACAGTCTACAAAACATATCAAGTAATTCAACTATTTCTTGTAATGTCATGACTTCTCTCTGTTTCCTAGGAGCGCTTCCAGGATCTTTGTAAGGGCTGACACTTTGTAAGGGTCCAATGGTGTTATTCAATGTCTATGGTATTACACTGAACATCATATACAAGAAGGCAAGAGATCACTTTTTACCGCAATAAGCAATTTACTAGAGAGAAAAGAAAAACAGCTCGGAGCAGTCTGAGCTATGTGAACTATGCAGGCCCAGAGAAGAGACATGAATATGAGACTTCGGGTCGCCCCACTCCGTGCCCAGCGGCAACTGTTTAAAGTCATTTGGTTCCTGACTAGCTGCCTCCCCCATTATCTTCATGTTCCCAGAATGTGTGATACAAAGAACAACAGATGAGCCAATCAATAGCCCATGTTGTTTTCATGTGAATTCTTGGTAAACAACTCAGAAACTGCCTCTTCTTTTCCTTTAAAAATCCACTTGTAACTCCTGTTAATCAGAGTGTATATTCAGGGCAATTTGAACCTTTGCTCCTGAGTTGCAGCAAGCTTGGCCCAAATAAACTCTCTACTTACGTTAAATTTTGCCTCCTCTTCTTCTTTTTGGGTCAGCACTGGAAAGAGGAACTGCTCACATAGGGATGATTGGTGTCACACGGTGTTTTAAGTGGATATTCACAACACAACACTCACCACAAAAGCTACAGGAGGTGGCTATGAAATCATTACAGTAGTACAATATGTACTGTAGTTAATTTTATGTAGTTATGATTTAATGTTGCATCTTTACATTTGTTTCTCTGGACTGTAAATGGCACCATGTATGGTCTGTGTTTGTGTGGGTAAGTTTTGATAAATTTTAACTTTTTATAATAGATTTGTGTATCATTTACAGTAGTAAATGATAAAATAGACTAGTATCTACACATTATTTTATATATTAATGACATACCTTTTTCTTAATTTCTTCAACGGCTATGCAGTTCATCTGTGAGTTTTTTCAAATTGTTGCACATCTCCAAAAATGTTTACAATACACTTATTTTTTTAATCTGCATATAAGTGGACCTGTGGAGTTCAAACCCATGTTGTTCAAAGGTCAGCTGTAGTACTTTTTTTTTTTTTTTTTTTGAGACAGTCTCACTTTCACCCAGGCTAGAGTGCAGTGGCTCAATCAGAGCTCACTGCAGCCATGACTTCCTGGACTTAAGCAATCCTGCCATCTCAGCCTCCTGAGTAGCTAGGGACTACAGGTGTGTGCCACCAAGCCCAGCTAATTTTTTCTTTCCTTTTTTTCTTTTTTTTAGAGATGGGTTCTCACTTTGTTGCCCAGGCTGGTCTGAAACTCCTGGGCTCAAGCATTGCCCCACCTCAGCCTCCCAAAGTGCTGTGATTACAGGTGTTAGCCACTGCACCCAGACAATGGCACTATTTATAACTTTTTTTTTTTTTTAACTTAGCATGGTAAACATCTTTCCTTAGAACATTTGCCTAACTGTATGACTGAACATCTACTTTGTTAAGACACAATGTTTAAAAAATAGACATGAATCTCAATTTGAATCTCAATCTATTTTAAGAGTTTTAAAATAAACTTCATGGGCTTAATGGAGACCCTGGGTAGTTCATGACCATCTGCTTTCAGATTCACTTTCAGATTAACATTCAATAGAGGGGGGAAGTCTCTACTACAGGCCCTGACCCAGCCTGTCTTCCAGTGTCATCACACCCAAGCGCTATCTTAATTATCTTTATCCCTGTCAACCTCAAAGAAAGAGAGGCAGGAAGATTCAAAGTTCTGATCAGACAGTAAGTCTCTTGCTACCAATTCACCAACAAAGAGTCAAGAAAGAAATAGAAAGTAAAAGTATAAAATAAGATAAATTCACTGATAAGGAGTCAAAAAAGAAACAGAAAATAAAGATGTAAAAGATATAATGTCACCATCCACGTGCTCCTTGCAAAACTCATTATTCAGTGAATGAAAAGCACTCCCAGTGATTTTTATTCCTTGTATTTTTGTTTTGTTTTGCTTTCTTCCAGATAAATGAGTTACTAAATATTTAACACAAGAGTTAGATCAGTGTCTTCTTTTACACATTGGAGCTCTATGGAATTGGTGAAAACAAATGGTCCTAACATAGAAAATTAATCTTATACATTTTGTACAAGATGTGTGGCTGCTTTAAAATCCTATGCAAAGATCCCCATACGGATTTACAGACAATCTGAACAGCTTTTCCTAAACTAAAACAAACACAGAACCAGCCTCAAAGTGATACACATTCTGATGTGCAAAAATATTGGCAAATTAGTCATATGTAGCAATGAGAAACTCATGATATGATAGAGCCTGTGCATTAGGAAAATTAATCTGGCAGCAGGAGGTAAACTGGGATGAAATAAATAGAAATGGGTGCAGGGAAGAGAAATTAGAGGTAATAGGAAATACGAAAAGGATAAAATGAAGATATAGAGTCAGATGTAGCATCTTCAGGGTTTGTTCATTCATCCAAAAAATATGACTGAGCCCCTGCTATGCACCAGGCCCTGCGAAAACCACGGTGAACCAACAGTCCAGGGAGGGAAAAAGACATTAAGCAAATGTACAAAAATAAATAAATAAATAAATTGTGATAAGTGGTCAAAGGAAAGGAACAGGCAGTGCATGCTTTAGTTTGGGTGGATAGGCCAGGACATGCGAGTACAGTTTCAAAGGCCAGAGAGAGTGGCCTGGCAACTGAGAGGGGTGGCCAGGGGTCATGATTATTCCAGGCAGAAGTGAGAGCTTTTTACCTCCTGGAGTATGAGAGAGGCTGGCATACATGGGAGGGTGGTGTCTGATAAGGAGAGAGCCTTATGGTCCAAGGGAAATAGTTTGTATCCCAAGGGCAATGGGAAATACTAATGTCTTCAGGGTTTAGAATTGAACCTATAAGGATGGATTAATTACGGTAGCAAAGAAACCAGATAAGAAGGATCCTATCCCCTATGATATGGTTTGGCTCTGTGTCCCCACCCAAATCCCCAGTGTTGGAGGAGGGGCCTGGTGGAAGGCGACTGAATCATGGGGGCAGACTTCCCCCTTACTGTTCTCATGATAGAGTTCTCATGAGATCTGGTTGTTTAAAAGTGTGTAGCACCTCTCCCTTTGCTCTTCCCTTTTCTTGCCAGCCATGTGGAGATGTGCCTGTTTCCCCTTCACCTTCTGCCATGATTGTAAGTTTCCTGAGGCCTCTCCAGAAGCAGAAACCTGTACAGCCTGCAGAACCATAAGCCAATTAAACCTCTTTTCTTTATAAATTACCCAATCTCAGGTATGCCTTTATTGCAGTGCAAAAATGGACTAATACACCCTACTACTGCACAGACCAGGAAAGAAAGGAGACAGGAAAGGGGATGCCAGGTTGCAGCAGGCATCAGTGCTGCTCACCAAAGATGTGAGTCCTCCTTGCAGACACATAGAAAGGACTGTACTTCCCTGCTCCTGGAGTTCGGTGCTGCCATGTGATTTGCTTTTGCCACACAGACCTGCCACATTCAAGATGGGGGCTGTCCCATCAACTGAGGTCCCAGGACAATATGGAACTAGGCTCCCAGCCCACACTCAATGGAGAGGTAGCGTGTGGAAGAAATAAACCTTTCTGTTCTAAGCCACTGAGATCTGGGAGTCCTTGGCCCATAACGACTGATTCATGACAGAAAGTAACGAATGTAGTGGTTCTTGAATGAGGAAGGCAAAGGAGATAAACAGAAGAGACACAGGAGGAGTTACAGATTTCATAGTTGGTGATGAAATGACACTCCCCACTAAAACAAGAATGTAAAAAGGACAACCTAACTTGGGATGAAAAGTGGCAATTTATGTTTCATAGATGCTGAACTTAAGGAGCTGGTAGGACAGCCAAGTAGAAGAGTCAGGCAGGAAAACAGAAAAGCAGGTCTAGGGCGGGGCACAACATGCGGTAGAAGCGGGGAGAATCAGAACTGAGATAAAACTGTGGAAATTGCAAAGAGGTGGTGCCCCCCTTCGGAGTGAAGGGAAACAATTAAATTCTATAAACCAGTGGTGGAGAAGAGACCCTTTAGGAATGCCCCTTTGTGGTGACTACAACAAAAAGAGTGAAGAAGATAAAGGAACAGACATCAGAGAAGGAGGAGGAGATGCAGGAGAATCCTGTTCCACAGAACGGAAGAGGGTGCTTAGTCGTATGGGGTGAGCCCTGAGAGGCCGCCCCACACTAAGGACATGAGCAGGTCACAGGGATAGGGAGCTGTGGATGGTGAGGAAGCAGAGGCAGACCAGCCAGTGTAGAAGTAAAGATAAGAGCTGGGTCAGTAGAGCCAAGAAGCCCCAGGCCAGGGAATAGCCAAGGGCAGAGCCTGTGACAGATAGCCTCCGGCATCTCAGAAACTCCCAGCCCTCCTCTCTCCACCACTTGCTAAGTTCTGAGCAACTTTTTAAAATTGCAGAAGCTCAAATATACAACAGGAAGAAAAAGAACTATCTCTCAGGAGTAAGTGGCTTCGCTCTGAGGGCTCCAATTATCACAGCACATTCTCAAATCATTTTCCTGTCAATATTGACCAAAGTGATAAAAGTAATACATGTCAACTGTAGAAATCTGGGAAGGACAGAAAATCGGAAGAAAAAAAAGTGAACTTCCCATCACCCCACATCCAGAGAACCACTGTTAACATTCTGCATTCTGGTTTATGTTAAAGACTAAACACAGATAGGTCAGGCCGATAGCCAGTCAACGAATGTATATAAGAGATTTATGCTAAAGAAAAATAATTTTATGACAGGTACACTTTTAAAACCTCATTCTTATCAAACCTACATTCCATACTGTACAGTACAGCTTATGTCCATGTGAATGCGGCCGTGGAGTTGCAGAATGGGGTAGCCCTCCAAGCAAAAAGTTTAACTTAACACTATGACCAAGAGATCTCTATAGACAAATAGCTACAGGGCAAATATTGTTTCTAAGCTTACTGTTTGACTTTTGTATGGTACTTACAGAGACAGACATTTAGTGTTAACATGGGGAGGCAACAGGCAGAGTGGCTAGGAGCTCAGGGTGTGAAGTTACAGTGCCAAGCTTCAAGACTCAGCCCCCATACCTACACCTGTGACCTCGAGGTAACGTAACCTGTGTGTGAAGCCTTCAGATGCATTCTAGGGCATCATAGGTGGTCAATAAATGCTGGCTCCAGAAATATTTAGTCAAGATAATCAATCTTCTCCTTTAGTAACATAATAAGAGCTTGCATTTGCTAAGCACTCACTATTAACTACTTCACATGCATTATCTTACTTAATCTTTACTTTTAAAAAACTCTGTAAGATAATACCTACCAATCCCAATACTCAGATGAGCAAACTGAGACTCGGGCAACGTATGTTGCTCGAAGTCCTCAGCCAATCAGTGGCAAAGCCAAGGCTCACCTCCAAAGCCCAGGTCCAACTGGTTTCTTCCTGAAATTTCATACTTCAAAAATCCCTCTCCAGGCCGGGCGTGGTGGCTCATGCCTGTAATCCCTGCACTTTGGGATGCCGAAGTGGGTGAATCATTTGAGGTCAGGAGTTCAAGACCAGCCTGGCCAACATGGTGAAACCCCGTCTCTACTAAAATTACAAAAATTAGCCGGGTGTGGTGGCACACGCCTGTAATTCCAGCTACCTGGGAGGCTGAAGCAGGAGAATCACTTGAGCCCGGAAGGCAGAGGTTGCAGTGAGCCAAGATTGCACCACTGCACTCCAGCCTGGGTGACAGAGTGAGACTCCATCTCAGATAAATAAATAAATACATAAATATCCCTCTCCAGTCTTACATGATTATTTCCCCATGTTTTATGTGGTTTCTTTTATTTTACAAATAACTCTTATATTTCACTATAATTTATTTCAGTATGTTCTGTAAGGTAGGGCTCCAACATTATTATTTGTAACACCATTTACTGAATGGTAACTCACCATATCCGACTACTGCTCTCATGATACCTAAGTGCCTACACACACACAGGCCTGTTACTGGATTTTCCCTTCCACGTCACACCTCCCATCCCATTCTTGGGCCTGCCTGACAGAAAACAGTCACATTATTTACTCTCAGGATTACACTTAGGGAAGGTCTCTCTAGGAAGCATATGTTCATGGCTGGTTTGAACTTCTTTCCTGAAATAGTTTCAAAAAGACAAAGGAAAAAAAATCTATTTCAGGATGTGTTCTCAGCCAATCAATGAAATTGTTCCCAAAGTTGGCAACTGTAATTTCTCAAAACCTCTCTCCCTTCCTCCAAAAACTTGCTCTTCTTTGCCCAAGCCGCTCTGCTCCTTCTTGGTCCTACCTGAGCATACTAAGCATTTGCTCAATTTCTTATTCTTTCCTAGAAAAAAAGGATAAAAGTCTTCCTTATCTCTGCATCTTCCAGGTCCAGTTTAATTCTTAATAAATTCTTTCCCGAATACACTGGTTCTGTGCTTTCATCTTCCTCTGGTCACTGAACCACGTTTGACTCTTTCCATGGTGTGCCTTAGTACTGTTAGTCACCTTAGAGTAGGTGACTGACCCGTCCACCTGTTTAGATCATAAACCCTACACGGGCAAGGGCCTACTCTGACATGGTATCATGTTCTTAGCACCCAGCAGGGAGCCCTGCCCCAGGGTCGGCCCTCAGTAAATGTGGACAGTGATTTCACAGTTCCTTCCCTCCCTGTTCAAACTCAAGGCCTCACTAATGTCCTCCTGACAGTGTACTAATAATCAAAAGGACTAGAAGCCAAAGGAATGGAACCTGCTGTTAATGATATAGTCCAAGATGGGCCTCCACCCTGCTTCCGATATTTTGGGACATTTCTGTTTTCTCCACTGGAGGGTGGAGAAAAACAGTGCAGAGAAGCCCTGGCCAGTTCAGTTATCAGCTTACTGACATCTGATTTTAAATTATAGCCAAAAACGAGATTTTACCTTACTTGAGAATTTCAAAGAACACCATTACCGGGGTCTCACGTTACCTCCGACAGCACTGGAATCTTGAGCTGAATAAACGGGGCAGTGAGGGAAGCCTCAGGCAGACTCAGGGACACTACCATCCCATACCTTCTGTCTGCCCTCCTTCAGTAATACCAAGCGAAATTTAGCAACGACCTGACTTGGTTTCATTTGTATTGTTGGAATTCAAAGGGGTGAGGAGTGGCATCACTGGCAAGTGCTTGACATCGAAGAAGAGTTTGAAGTTGAACATAGTGAGATAAGATCAGTAAGGAAGCCGGGCAGCCAGAAGACTTGTATATTAATACCCAAGTGCAGGACAGTCAGCATGCCCATGCAAAGGGATGTGACCTGATATTCACACAAATCTTTCAGAGAAAGGACACTTGTAGGCTTTGAGTGGTATTAATACATCCTCTTAGATCTAGGTCATTATGATGCCATCTTTAATACATCTGAAAGACCTGAGGTAAAATCCTTTCAGGAGCTCTAAAAGTAATCATAACTCAACCCTGCTCAGGGAATTCTTTCTAGCTTTTCTTCTGAGTTCGCGTACGTTTTGAACATGCTACCTTCCTGACTATTCTAAATTATGGAAAGCTAATTCTGAAATTGTGAGGATTCTTCCTTCATTACCAAACATTATAAATTACTTTTCCTACAGTTAAAAATGTTCCTAGTAGCACCTCCACTACTTTTATAAAAGCAGCTTAGGGCTGGGTATGCTGGCTCGCACCTGTAATCCCAGGAGTTTGGGATTGCTTGAGCCCAGTTCAAGACCAGCCTAGGCAACAGGGCAAAACCCCATCTCTAAAAAAAAATACAAAAATTAGCTAGGCGTGGTGGTGCATGCCTGTAATCCCAGCTACTCTGGAGGCTGAGGTAAGAGGATTGCTTGTACCCGGGAGTTCAAAGGCTGCAGCAAGCCATGATCATGCCACTACACTCCAGCCTGGGTGACAGATTAAGATGGTCTCTAAAAGAATAATAAATAAGGCCGGGCGCAGTGGCTCACCCCTGTAATCCTAGCACTTTGGGAGGCCGAGGTGGGCGGATCACCTGAGGTGAGGAGTTCAAAACCAGCCTGGCCAAATTGGCAAAACCCCGTCTCTACTAAAAATACAAAAAATTAGCCGGGTGTGGTGGTGGGCGCCTATAATCTCAGCTACTCAGGAGGCTGAGGCAGGAGAACCACTTGAACCCGGGAAGCGGAGGTTGCAGTGAGCCAAGATCATGCCACTGCACTCCAGCCTGGGTGAAAAGAGCAAGACTCCATCTCAAAAAAATAATAATAATAAATAAATAAATAAATAAATAAATAAATAAAAAAAAACAGCTTCAAATAGAAGCCCATTGGTGGAATAAGGGACTCTAGAAAAACCGAGTATGCCTCTTATTTAACAGAGCAGGAACCTTGAAGTTCAGAGACATTAAGCAACAGTCCAAGGGGACTTAAGTAGCTGGTAGAATATACGCCAGCCACTGCCTAAGAGCTTCACCCACATAGCTCAATTAATCCTTCCAACAACAATACAAGGAAAGCATAATTATTATCTCCAATCTACAGATGAAGAAACTGAGCCCCAACAAGGTTAAGTTATATACCTAAGATTGTACAGCTGGTGAGGCATAAAACCAGGTTTACAACCCATGCTCTAAACTACTAAACCTCTAAGATTAAAACCCAGAAGTCCTGACCCCATGGAGGGTTCTCTCCATTATAAAGAATTCTGTCTGGGTGTGGTGGTTCACGCCTGTAATCCCAGCACTTTGGGAGGCCGAGGCAGGCAGATCACCTGAGCTCAGGAGTTTGAGACCAGCCTAGCCAACATGATGAAACCTCATCTCTACTAAAAACACAAAAATCAGCTGGGCATGGTAGAACACACCTGTAATCCCAGCTACTCCGGAGGCTGAGGCCAGAGAATCACCTGAATCTGGGAGGCGGAGGTTGCAGTGAGCCGAGATCACGCCACTGCACTCCAGCCTGGGTGACAGAACAAGACTCCATCTCAGAAAAAAAAAAAAAGAATTCTAAGGCTCATGAAAGAGCTAACCATGTTTGACAAGGCCTACAAAGCTTTTTTAGGTCCTTATTAGAACAAACTAACAATCAAATATTTTTTAATATAATCTGGGAAATGTGAAGAGCATACTAACAAGTTGTTAATTTTATTATGACACAGTTATGTAAGAATAGACCCTATTTTTAAGTAACATATACTAGTTATATAGAGGTGAAATGATATAAGGCCTGGGACTCACAATCACACATGAAAAATAATAGGAAGAAGAGACATATGAAGCAGGTTTGGCAAAATCTCAATAATTATTCAATCTGGATGATGAAATATGAAGGTTCATTATACTATTCTCTCTACTTTTTGTATGCTTATTTTCAAGCTTTTCAAACAAATTAATACAAAATCATTCATGAAAGTCCATGAACCTGAACACATGAAAAATGAAGCTATTGAACAATGAAAAATGGATAAGCCCACATTATGTTTACATTTTAAAGCTTGTTTTTAATGGCAGCCTTTATCATCCACTGAACTATTTCATTTTGTTGTTTCTGATCTCATGACCATCCACTCATCAATACTTGAAGTGTGGGAAGAGCTACTAAACCCACACATAGTTTAATTTTTTTTAAATCCATCTGCAGAACTGCTTTATTAGCTAGATAAGAATATTTATTGAGCATTTATGTTGTGGGCATTGTATTAGTGCTGACCCAAGTTATCAGACACAGAGTAATTATTTCCATCTAAGGACAGATGCACAGACCATGGGATTCTGAACCTGGCGTGGTTGCTGCTCTGCCTCCTGAGAAGTCCAGGGTTACCTTACCTCACCTCTTAGACCTTCATACAACAAAGCCCGGCCAGAACTTATGTGGCAGGTGCACCTGCTGTGGCTCCCTGGCAGACACTGGAGCCACTAGAGGAAGTAAGCAGTGGCAGAGTACCAGGAAGGAGGTGGGGGGATGAGGTGTGTGGGTAATTTTCAGTATCTGTAAGCCCTCCCAGATTCTTCCTTCTGCAATTCAGAACCATCACAATGCATTTCCTATTTCCCATTCAGCCAGGGGCCCTCACATGCCAGAGCAGGCCCACCTGCTTCCCTGCATTTTGTATCTGTTCCATCACAGGTTTCATCAGACAAGTGACCACAGACAGACGAGACTAAGAGTTAAGACAACAGCCGGGCATCTGGCTCTTCATGCTTAAGGGTGTCCAGGGAAAACGGATGTACTACTAAAGTATCATGAGATAACACAGTTGGCAGCCTGTCACACGTGGGAATGGACACTCCTAGGTCACCATTAGTAGGCCATCCTCCGATGGGAAGGGCAGATATTCGGGGACTACTGCACATCAGCAGTGTTGTGTCTGCACCAGCACTCCTGGGCTCCATCTACACGGCTTATTAAACCAGTACCTGCAGCACTTTGGAAATCATGGCACACTGGTACACTTTATTTACTCTTCTTCTGCCTCAAATCCCTGATGACCACGGCAGGCCCCAGATAAAGGAACCAACTTCTGTGTGAGAACAGAAAAGATGCCAAAGAAGTTGCAGGCTTTATCCTTAACATGCACTGGCAAAACTCAGGAAGATGCAGGAAGCCACACAGAAGTTAGCTGGTTATGGAAGAGATGGCCAGGTTCTGGTCTATTCCCAACTCCTGCTCTACTCCTTACCTAATCGACTTCCCTAAAATAGAAAAATTAAATCCTTGTTTACTATGGATCAAACTGGAGTTGGAGAAATTTGGAGTTGGCAGAGCTAGCAATCGAGAGAAAATTCAAACTGAGCAAACTGGATATAGAAATCAGCGAAGCTTCATCTCCAATCTCCACAAACGTCATTCACGCAATTCTGTGTCTGCCCAGGAAGGGCATCGATCTGCCACCAAAATGATGCATCCGCCCCTGTGTTAAGGGGCCCGGCACTCTGCCCCGACAATCCCCCACAGGGCCCAGACAACCACTTCCAAGGCCCATCTTCTTGCACTGTTCCAACAAACACAAGTCACACCCACCCACAAACAAGCCCGTTTCAAGAAAACAAATGCCGGCGGCAACGCAAGGAGCTGCTAAAAGTTTCCAGCTGCCCTGCAGAGCTCGCTCCTGCTCAAACGTCGCTCCACTCCCGCACCATCCAGGTGAATCGGGTTGTAGTGCGTTTCCAAATACAGCAGGACCGGCGCTGGCTGTGAAAAAGTTAATCGAAAACTTCATCTTCCTCACACCCAGAGGCCTATTCTCTAAAGACGTTCTGCCACGGGAAGATTCGTTTTGGGCTGATGGCTTTGCTTACTTAGAACCCCCAAACGTCACAGGAATTTGCACCAATACTAAATTAGCGAGGGTTCCCATCATGCCCCCCAAGCCTTCCTAAAAGGCGGCCAAACTTCAGGATACCGGCTTGGAGGTGGGGGGCGCAGGAGAGGATGCCGAAGTCCTTCCCTCCTGGAGTTCAGCCAACTCAAAGGGTTAGCAGGGGCATCTCCCACCCTGAGCGCAGACTGGATGAGGAAGCCCCCACCTCAATTCCCCTGCGCCCCTCCAAAACATGGAAGGAGAGGGAGGCCGGGGGAGGGATACGGGGGAGGGATGCGGGGGAGGGGGGAGAGTGTAATTTCCCAGTTGACAGAAAGCAGGTAAATTGGGAGAGAGCGGGGTGAAAAGAGTGACAGGGCGACATCACTCTGCGGAAATTTCCCAGGAGGAAGGGGACAGCGATGGGGACAGGATCTTGGGTGGCGGGGAGGGGTCTGGGAGTTGCAGCCCCTCCAGGACCTTCTCTTCTCCCCTGTCCAACTCCCTCCCGCCGGCCCCACCTCTTGATTCCGCGGACCCAGCAGGGTCGGCCGCTCTGCCTCAGCCCTGCCGACTAAGAGGCGCCCGGCCCGGGGCCCGCAGCTGCCTGCGCCCCCGCCATCCTCCCCCGGCCCGCGGTCGTCCCGCACTCACCAGGAGCACGGAGCCGCGCACCACCTCAGACACGCTCTGCCGCAGCTCGGCCGCCGTGCCCGGCTTACTCAGCGCCCGGGTGAACTTCCGAGTCTCCGCCGAGGCGGGGAGCAGCGGCGGCTGCGACATCCTCCTGCCCCCGCCGCCTCCGCCTCCGCCTGCTCCCGCGGCCCGGCCCGGCCGCGCGGCCGCCAGGTGCGCCCTCGGCGCCCGGCCCGCTCCGCCCGCCGCTCCCGGCGCCGCCGCCGCCTGCTCCCCCCGCTGCTCGCCGCGAGTCCGGCCGCCGCAGCCCAGGCCGCGCCCTCTGCACCGTGTCACGCCCCAAGGCGCCCCCCTCGGCGTCCGCGGCCCCCCGCGATCGCAGCAGCGCCCGGGCTCGCTCCGGGCGACCGTGCGTGTGGCGGCGGCGGCTCCCCCATGCCACCAGCCTCCCTCGGCGACCACTCGCCGGGCCGCCTCCTCGGGGCGGGGTGTCCGGCGCGGCGCGGGCGGGGCGGGGCGCCCGGACGGCGGAGGAGGGGCCGCCGCGGCGGGACGGCGGGCCAGGCAGGTCGGCGCGGCCCGGCGCTGGAGCTAGGCGGCCGGACTGGCAGGGGCGGCGTGCCGCGCGGGACCCTCACTGGGGAAGGTGGGGGGTCGGGGCCGCCTCCGCCCCGGGCCGCACGTCCGAAGACCGGAGGAGGGGACTGCGCACGCCACCAAGAGGGCGCACAGCCGAGGCTGGACGATGCGCGGTTTCGGAGCAGGGTTTCCTGCCCAGGGAGCCCGGCTGCGCTCGAGGGGACCCCGAAGTCACCGGCAGGGTCGGAGCTCGGTGCACCACGCCCCCCCTCTGCGCCCGGGGCCTCTGCGGGGACAGAGGTCTCAGGAAAGTAGCCTTTATTTATGTGGCACCGATCGGAACCCGCGGCCGGCCAGGCGGACCTGGACGGAGCGTCCCTGCTCGGAACCTGGCGCGGGGCGCCGCGCGCTCGTGTGGCGCCTCGGCCTCCCCACCGTTCAGTCCCCGGAGGCACGGAGCTCGCGGCGGGACGATGACGGTTGGGCCGGGCCAGGCGTGGGAGACTCCCAGACTCCGGCCCGCCGGGACGGCCAGCTGCGTCACCTTGGACGTGGGCAATACTTCGGAGCCTCGGTTATGTCGCCTGTAACCTGAGGACAACGGCCTGGAAGGGGCTCAGGTGACACGGCGGCCCTCACTGGGGCCGATTTAGCCGGTCTGCCGCCCCTCCGCGCCGGACCGCCAGGCGGGGTACCAGGGAAACTGCGATGCGCCGGCTTGCGAGCCCACCGTGACGCAGAGCTGGCGGCCGCTAGCGACAGCCACCCTGTGAGGGACTTTCCCCCCAATACCCTAACCGCTTTCCTGTCCCTAAGGGCCCGCTCCCGCCCCGGCTCCGTTTCTGTCTCTCTGAGGAAGCCCGGCGCAGCCTAACCCTCACAGGGCCGCGGAGAGGGCGCGCCAGGCGGGGATTTGCGCCAGGCCCGCGGCGCATGCTCAGTGGTTGGGGACTGGGCGGGTACCCCGGGCGGGGAGCCTGACTGAACGGCGGCTCTGCTGATTGGTCGGGCTGCTCACGCCACGCCCGTTGCCTTCCGATGGACAGTTCCTTACCTGCCGGGTCGGCCTCCGCAGAGAGTGGTGGTCTTGAAAACCCAGTTTTGGGAGAATACCTGCCGCGCCTCCCGCCCAAATACCCAGAGGTTTCATAGCCGCCATCGCTGCGGTGGAGGAGGCCGCCTGTTGCGTCCCACCCCACCAGAAAGCCTAACACTGGCCTGAAGCGTAATCTTAAAGTGGTAGGGGAAAATACCGATCTAGCGCAGAGAGCAAAACACCTCCGTTCTGGGTTTAATGGGCAGGTCTGGAGGTGAGGTATGCCGTCCGCACTCAATAATTACTTGCAGGATCGGATTGTTTCTCCAGTGGGTGGGGACTGCAGGATGTAGCATTGAGTGAGCCTGGCAGATTGAAAGATAAAACAAGGGTGATGATAAAAACAATTACACACTAACCCATTTCCTCCTCCGTGAAATGAGGGAATGGCCCAGACATTTTCCAGACCTCTTCTGTCCTAAGAGTGGAGCTGGGTGACAGAGCAGGTGCAAGCCGGCCTTTCCCTGCCTCCCCGGGGAACGCACTCTGTTCGGTGAGAGCAACTCAGCTCGCATTGACTCCTTTCAGCTGCAGGAGTGTGGCCGTTCAGTTCTCATTTGAACTGTTGACAACAGTTGTCTTCTGAGAATCATGAGTTAGAGCCTCCCTTTAGGCTTCTGACTCCCTCAAAAGTACCAGACAACACAAACTTTTCCCCTCTTGTTACCTTGGCTCTCTAAGCTGTATCTACTTCTATACAAGGCGAACAATTTTGTCTTTTTAAATTAAAAACAACAACAAAAGCACCTAAGGTTGTAGGGTTTTATATTCTTTTTTCTTTTCTTTTTTTAAGAGCTATATGATTACAGTAGAGTGTGTGTGTGTGTGTGTGTGTGTGTGTGTGTGTGTAGTCTAAAGAACAAAATTTCAACAAATGGTTTTAAAGATCTAATTGGCTTCTATTAGCAATGCATGAACCAGGCAGCATTCTGACTACAAAATAGACGGGAGCTCTTGTGGGAATGGAAGAACAGCTGGGTTTTGTTAAGGTAACTTAAGCAGGAACAAGGGAAAAGCATAGTGCCGAAAGCACATCGGGTAACTTCAGGTTACTCTCCTTTATGGGTTAAAGCAGAGGGGGCTGCCTTAGCTGGCTCAGGCTGACTGGGCCCCGTTTGACTGGTTGCTGTGAATCTCCTGGTTTTTGGAAAACTGGCCCTTTTGGGGATTTTCCTGTTTTTTAAAATCTCTGTTTAGTTACGTGGCACCTAACACAGTGGCTTCATTTTAGTCTGGTCTGTTGGGGCCTAGTTCAGGAGCTCAGTCCAAGACAATGACCTACCATAAATTTTATTTAAATATATGTATATCTGGAAAGTGAAGAATTCCCCAAACCTACCAATTTTATCCATATCTCTACCACTCCTAAATTCTGTACTTACTTGCTGATTCAGTATATTCTAGAATTGGCAGATTTTCATTTAGGAAGCAGAGAACAACAGACAATGTGCCAACAGTAGTCACTGGCAATGTCTAACCAAGCACAGGTTCTGACAGACAAGGCGGCATGGAAACGTGAACTAAGCCCAGGAAGATGGACCCAGCAACCCAGAGTGGAGCCTCTTCTTCCTGGTGAAGTGCTGTTGATAACAAATGGGACATTCCTAGTGTTAAAGTTTCAGCAGAAACTTGGTCCCTACTGTTCTGGGTTGAATTGTAGTCCCCCAAAAGATATATTGAAGTTCCAAACCCAGTACCTGTGAATGTGGCCTTATTGGAAATAGGTCTTTGCACATGTAACCAACTTAAGGTGAGGTCCTACTGGAATAGGTGGGCCCTAATTCAGTATGAATGGTTGTTTGTTTGTTTGTTTGTTTGTTTGTTTTGACAGAGCCTCACTCTGTTGCCCAGGCTGGAGTGCTGTGGTGCAGTCTCAGCTCACTGCAGCCTCTGCCTCCCAGGAGGCTGGGATTACAGGCACCTGTCACCACACCTGGCTAATTTTTTGTATTTTTAGTAGAGAAGGGGTTTTGCCATGTTGGCCAGGCTGAGGTCAGGTCGAACTCCTGACCTCAGGTGATCCGCCCATCTCAGCCTCCCAAGGTGCTGGGATTACAGGCGTGAGCCACCACGCCCAGCCTGAATGGTGTCTTTATAAGAAGAGACACAAATACATACACAAAGGAAAAATACTATGTGACAACAAAGGTAGGAAGGAGAATACTGCACACCTGCAAGCCACAGAACAGCAAGGATCACTGGGAACCACCAGAAACTGGAAGAGGCAAGGAAGGATTCTTCCCTAAAGTCATCAGAGGGAGCATGGCCTGCTGACACCTTGACTTCAGAATTCTAGCCTCTAGAACAGTGACAGAAGAAATTCTGTTGTTTTAAGTTTGTGGAACTTTTACAGCAGTCCTGGGAAACCAACATGCTGGCCAAAGGCTATTTTTAAAATTTCCACCAGAGTGGGCCTGGAATTGTGTGAATTCTTTTGGCATCACTATTTCCTGGAGAGCAGTCATACCTACAGAGGGGCAGAGCATCAGCCCAAAAGAGGGTGCTACCTGGCTACCTGGGATGAGGCTGACCTCTGGCTGGACTGGGTGGATGGTGTCTCAGGTACGGTAGAAGATACATCCACCTACATTAGCTTGATGGAGTAACCTCATCTTTGTTTTTCCAAACTATAGGAAGAAAGCTTTTCTTTCTGTTGAAAATTATACTAGTAGGTAGTGGAGATGAAATATAATTGCAGCCAGTTCTGAAATTTGCATGTAAATGACTGTACTACACCCAAATTTATAATTCAAGCATTACTCATGTTTAATGATAACCTCTTACTACATCATTTCCTTGTTAAGTTTGCTTTAGGATTTGTATGTGTCTTAATAACATATAATTAGTTTAAAATCTTTTCTGGATATATCTTGAAAGAGTATATCTGTTTTTAGCAAAAATAACAAGTGACCCATAAAAAGGAGGCACTCCTGTGCACTGTCACAGGGAAGTGTGAAAGGGGACTTTCGTTCTTTATTTTATCCTTGCACTGATTGAATTTTATTTATTTATTTATTTTGAGACAGATTATTGCTCTGTTGTCCAGGAAGGAGAGCAGTGGTGCCATCATAGCTCGCTGCAGCCTTGAACTCCTGGGCTCAAGCAATCCTCCCACCTCACCCTGCCAAGTAGCTCAGAGGACAGGTGCATGCCACCACGCCCACCTAATTTTTTTTACTATTTGTTGATACAGGGTCTCACTATGTTGCCCAGGCTGGTATCAAACTTCTGAGCTCAAGTGATCCTCCTACCTTGACCTCCCAAAGTTCTGGGATTATAGGTGTAAGCCACCGTGCCCGGCCTGACTGAATTTTTTTAATGAACATTCACTACCTTTATACTTCATTTATTAGGTTGGTGCAAAAGTAATTGCATCTTTTATTTCAGTGGCAAAAACTGCAATTACTTTTGCACCAACCTAAAAACTTTTTTTTTTTTTACAAATTTGTTTTTTGAAATTAATCAACTCATGCTTAGAAGTAGGCTCTTGTTTATTCCGCTAGGTAACATAAGTAGAAAACACATCTCTTCAAGACAGAGCATCTGGGAAAGGTATTACAATTAATCTAACACATGTTTCCAGATACCACTTAGGGTTCATGTTACTGGAAGAATGTAATCCCCTCTTTCACTTCTGTTTTACTTAGGAGACATTCTTAGAGGAAATGGAATATGAGGTCTTTAAGAGATAGCTGAGACGAGGGCATGTCGCATTTTATTATGTGTATAAGTCACCTGTGGATCTTGTTAAAATGCAATTCTGATTGAGATGGTCAGCTGTGGTGCCCAAGAGCCTACAGGGCTAACAAATTCCAGGTGATGTCAAGCTCCTAAATCAGATGCTGCTCACCTACAGACCACGCCTGGAGTAGCAGACAGTTTGACTTCACTGCAGGCTCTTGAAGATTCTCCAGCTGACTCAAAATTTAAGCAGGAAGGCGGCCAAACAATAGGAAAACGGGCAAAACTCATGACCAAACAATTCACAGAAAAGATATAAAATGGCTGGTAAACATATGAAAAGGTGTTTGACCTCATTTATGATGTAAGAAATGCAAATGAAAACTACACTGATATACAATTTCTCACCAAATTGGAAAAATTATAAGGTATCACACTTTATGTGGAAAGGCTATTGGGAAACAGGCACTGTCACACATTGCTGGTAGAGATGCAAGGTGACACAACTGCTATGCAGTAGAATATGGCAATATCTGACAACACAATGTATGCATTTGCCGTTTGTGCCAGCAATCCCACTACTAGGAATTTTCTGTGAAAATACACCTTAAAAAAAGGAAAATATTATGCACCAAGTTATTCATTGAAGCATTATTTATAATGGCAAAATATTGGAAAATATCTAAATACCCAAATATTGGAGATAGAGCCAATGTGGTACATGCACACAAAGATATTATTCAACTGAGAAAATGAATGAGAAAGATACCTATTAATATATGTGAAATGATTGTCAGGATATGTTGTTTTAAAAAGCAAAAAAAAAAAAAAAAGAAAAAAGCAACTGAACTATGCTGTCTTTAGGTAAAAAATAAGGGAAAGTATGCTAGTATCTGCTTATTTCTACCAAACTCCCCCAACCCACACAGGAAGGATAGCTAGAGATTACTAAGTTTGTCACCTTCAAACGTTAGGTGGGAACAAAGCAGAAAGAAGAGGAGGAATGGGGAACACAGGTTGAGTGATATTTCTCTGAATACAATTTTCTGTACCGTTCTTTTTGATGTTAATGTTTTACATATTCAAAAAAATAATAAGGCAGAACATAAAATTAACAAGAATAAAGAAAACTCGGCCGGGCGCGGTGGCTCACGCCTGTAATCCTAGCACTTTGGGAGGCCGAGGCGGGTGGATCACCTGAGGTCAGGAGTTCAAGACCATCTTGGCCAACATGGTGAAACCCTGCCTCTACTAAAAATACAAAAATTAGCTGGGCATGGTGGCACACACCTGTAATCCCAGCTACTTGAGAGGCTGAAGCAGGAGAATCGCTTTAACCCAGAAGGCGGAGCTTGCAGTGAACCCAGATCGCGCCACTGCACTCCAGCCTGGCGACAGACAAAGACTCCGTCTCAAGAAAAAAAAAAGAAAACTCTAAAATGGAATACAAATAAACACATGGACAGACCTATATAATCATAATGTAACCACACTGAAGTCAAAACATTTTTTAAAGAACAAACCCCAGTAACTTTGAACAAAGCATATGAACTATATGCCATTAGATCTTTAACCTAAAGAACTCTAAACAGTATTGAACTCTGGTAAACTGGCTGTTTTTGTTTGTTTGTTTGATGGATTTGCAGATGTATGGACTAGACATTCTGAAATGAATTTCTGTATATTTCAAGATTGAGAAAATAAGTAATATATTCTTCGTAATGGGAAGTGGGTTTCTCACTGTCAGAGAAAGGATTTAAAAATATGGAAGGAAGAAGGAAAGAATAAACCCTGTGGTGTTGGATTGGCTCTGGGGATATCAGTATAAACTCATGAGTTTTAATAGATAGATGACAGAGAGAGACAGAAAGAGAGAGAGATAGGTCCATACATATCACATCAGTGGTATGCCACTGGCCTGTACCAGCTCAGTTTTCAAGAATTTTGCAGCAGGCTGGCCAGGCGCAGTGGCTAACGCCTGTAACCCCAGCATTTTGGGAGGCTGAGGTGGGCAGGTCACGAGGTCAAGAGATCGAGACCATCCTGGCTAACACGGTGAAACCCCATCTCTACTAAAAAAATATGAAAAGTTAGCCGGGCGTGGCGGTGTGCGCCTGCAGTCCCAGCTACTCGGGAGGCTGAGACAGGAGAATGGTGTGAACCCGGGGGGCCGAACTTGCAGTGAGCCAAGATCGCCCCACTGCATTCCAACCTGGGTGACAGAGTGACACTCCTCTCAAAAAAAAAATAAATTAATTAAATAAAATAAGAATTCTGCAGCAGGCTGATATTAAACTGACTTTTAGATTGACAAGGATGGGAGTATTATCACCAAGGAAATTGGTAAATGCTACAAATCAGGGACTTTTTTTTCCCCCAGAGAGCCTACTGTTGAACATTCATCAGCACACTACTGTGTGTGTATGTGTGTGTGTACATACATGTATTTTCTAGTTCCATCCACTAAAATGTCCTATGAGCAGTCACTTTCATAGTAATGAGTACATCTAGCACTTAGAACTTGCTTTCCAAGTAGCAATCTCCAATAAAAGGAGCCAAGGCTTCCCAAACAAAGAGTTGATTTCAGAACTGGGGTGGGGAAAGTTCAAGACAATCCTGCAACATCTTAGCCAAACATGCTAGAACACAGCCTGGGCAGGTGTCCTGACTGTGCTAAGTCCAGTGCTTCCCAGAATGCATGGCCCTGCCCAGTGACTCCCCAGAGGGCTTTTGTACGCTCTCAGTGAAGCTGAAGCCCATCATGACCCAGAGACTCTGTTTAGCTTGTTCGCTCCTGGGACCTTCCACCTAAGAGTGCCAATATTGCCGTACACAGCTCAGTGTGTGCTCCCTACTTCATTTTTAGAATAATCACCATTAAGTTACATGTATATGTAAATAGTTCTTGACAAAATAAAATATTTAATTGAGAAAATTCAACAAACAGGTTAAAATCAGAGTGGGGCAGCTAAAGAAAGAACTAGTAAAAATAAAAGACAGATCAGAAGGAATAATGCATGGGTAGATGCAGAAGTTCACCACCTAGGTCCCCCTGCAAGGAAAAGCTTGTTGCCCAGGAAGTAAAAAGGACAGCCTCGACTGCCAGCTCCATCAGGATCTGCCTCTGCTTCTGCTGCAGAAAGCACCTCACCAGTAATCACATACTTGCCAGGGAAGCTCACACTGAGTGAAGGAATAAAGTAGGAGCTGGAAGTTGTGGCGGTTTCAGGCTGATGTGGGAAAACTCTGATAGACGATATTGATTCCAAAGCTCTCTGGTTGGTGGGCAAGTGTTTTGTCAAGCCTGCATCACTGTTCAACTTCTCTCTCTGCACACACCTGGATCCTCCTCTTTCCCTTCACAGGTGTTGATTCCTAATAAACATCACCCCAAAGTTGCACCCCAAACTTCATCTCAGCATCTGTTTATGGAGAACCCAGTCTGCAACAATCCAGAATGCAGGACAGAGAATCAGATGGAAGATATGAGGAAGGAGTTGAAAGAAATGGAGGAAAAGTGAAAAAAATCTAACATGAAATAGTAAGAGAGAGAAATAAGAGGAAATCCATACATACCTAGATGCATCATAATGAATCTGCAGAACCAAAGAGAAGATCATGAATATAAAGACAGACTGCTCACAAAGATAAATGACAGACAGCTCAACATCAGTGAAAGCTAGAAAACAATGGAATAGGCCAGGCGCAGTGGCTCATGCCTGTAATCCCAGCACTTTGGGAGGCTGAGGTGGGTGGATCACCTGAGGGTCAGGAGTTCGAGACCAGCCTGGCCAACATGATGAAACCCCGTCTCTACTAAAAATACAAAAATTAGCCGGGCGTGGTGGCAGATGCCTGTAATCCCAGGTACTCAGAAGGCTGAGGCACGACAATTGCTTGAACCTGGGAGGCAGAGGTTGCCGTGAGCCAAAATTGCACCACTGCCCTCCAGCCTGGGCAACAGAGCAAGACTGTCTCAAAAAAAAAAAAAAAGAAAAGAAAAGAAAAAAGAAAAAGAAAATAGTGCACAACACCAATGTGCAGACAGATAATACCTGCCAAGCAAGAATGTTATGCTGAGTAAAACTACCTCTCAAGAATGAAGGCAAAATAAAGATATTTTCAGAAAAAATTTTTTGCTATCAAAGAGAGGTCACAAAATGACTTTTAAAGAAGGCACCTTAGTGAAAATTCCTAGAAAGATGCAAACTGTCAACTTGGTATGTAGGAGAAATAGAAAATCTGAATAGACCTTTAACAGGTAGTGATTGCATTAATATTGCAAAACTTTCCACAAAGACCTAACATGGTCTTGTTTATAGAAAAGCCTAAGGAATCCACAAAAAGACTACTAAAGCTAATAAACAAGTTCAGCAAGGTTGTAAGATACAAGACTAATATGCAAAAATCAACTTTATTTTTATACACTAGCAAAGAATAATCTAAAAAATGGAATTAGAAAAACAGCTGTTTACAATAGCATCAAAAAGAATAAAATACTTGGGACTAAATTTAACAAAATAAATTCAACATTGTACACTGAAAACCACAAAACATAGTTGAAAGAAATTAAATAAAACCTAAATAAGTAAAAGACACACTGTAATATTGGATTGCAAGACTTAATATTATTAAGATGACAATACTCCCCAAATTGACATATAAATTCAACATAATCCCTATTAAAATCCCAGTTGTCTTTTTTTGCTGCTGATGAGCTGATCCTAAAATTCATATGGAGATGCAAGGAACTCAAAATACCCAACACCGTCCTGAAAATAAGAATAAAGTTGGCCAGGCACAGTGGTTTGCACCTGTAATCCCAGCACTTGGGAGGCTGAGGCAGGAGGATCATCTGAGGCCAGGAGTTTGAGACCAGCCCAAGCAACATAGTGAGAACTTGTCTTCATTTTTAAAAAATAAAAATTTGCGCCGGGTGCAGTGGCTCACGCCTGTAATCCCAGCACTTTGGGAGGCCGAGGTGGGCGGATCAGAGGTCAGGAGATCGAGACCATCCTGGCTAACATGGTGAAACCCCATCTCTGCTAAAAATACAAAAAGTTAGCTGGGCGTAGTGGTGGGTGCCTGTAGTCCCAGCTGCTCTGGAGGCTGAGGCAGGAGAATGGCATGAACCCGGGAGGCGGAGCTTGCAGTGAGCTGAGATAGTGCCACTCTGCACTCCAGCCTGGGCAACAGAGCGAGACTCTGTCTCAAAAAAAAAAAATTAAAAATTAAAAAAAATAAAAGCACAATTGGAGGACTCAGCCAGGCGTGGTGGCTCACACCTGTAATCCCAGTAATTTCAGAGGCCAAAGCAGGTGAATGGCTTGAGCTCAGGAGTTCAAGACCAGTCTGGGCAACATGGCAAAACTCTGTTTCTACAAAAAAAAGACAAAAAAAATTAGCTGGGCGTGGTGGCACATGCCTGCAGTCCCAGCTACTTGGGGGACTGATGTGGGAGGATCACTTGAGTCCAGGGGGTCGAGGCTGCAGTTTGCCATTAGGGGACTCAAACTTCCTTCCCTATGTCACAACTTGGTACAAAGCTACAATAAACTAAACTGTGTAGTATTCACATAAGGATAGAAATACAGATAAATAGAATATATAATTCATAGTCCAGGAATAAACCGGTACGTTTTGGGCAACAGTGCTAAGACCATTCAGTGGGGAAAGAATAGTCTTTTTCAACAAATGGTGCTGAGACAACTTGATATCCATGTGGAAAAAGAATTAAATTGAGGCTGGCCATGGTGGCTCATGCCTGTAATCCCAGCACTTTGGGAGGCAAGATGAGAGGATTGCTTGAGCCCAGGAGTTCGAGGCCAGCCTGGGCAGTGTAGTGAGACCTCATCTCTACAAAAAATAAAAATAAATTAGTCAGGCATGGTAGCATATGTCTGTAGTCCCAGCCACTTGGGAGGATCAGATGAGAGGATCACTTGAGCCCAGGAGGTTAAGGTTGCAATGAGCTAAGATCGTGCCACTGTACTCCAGCCTGGGTGACAGAGTGAGACCTGTCTCCAGAAAACAAACATACAAAAACAGTTAAATTGAGCATTACCTCACCCCATATACAAAAATTAATTCAAAATAAATCAAATAGCTAAAACCATGAAACACTTAGAAGAAAACAGAAGTATATAACTCTGCGACCTTGGATTAAGCAATGTTTTCTTAGACATGACACCAAAAGCACATGAAACAAAAGAAAATAGATAAATGGGGCATCATTAGAATTAAAACTTTTGTGCTACAAAGGATACTATCAAGAAAGTGAGAATGGCCGGGTGCAGTGACTCATGCCTGTAATCCCAGCACTTTGGGAGGCCGAGGCAGGCAGATCACCTGAGGTCAGGAGTTCGAGACCAGCCTGGCTAACATGGTGAAACCCTGTTTCTACTAAAAATACAAAAAATTAGCCAGGCGTGGTAGTGTGCAACTGTAATCCCAGCTACTCAGGAGGCTGAGGCAGGAGAATCACTTGAACCTGGGAAGCAGAGGTTGCAGTGAGCCGAGATTACGCCATCACACTCCAGCCTGGGCAACAGAGTGAGACTCTATCTCCAAAAAAAAAAAAAAAAAAAAAAAGGGGGTGGACTCATGCAATGGAATATTATTCAGCTATAAAAAGGGGTGTGTATTGATTTATGCCATAACATGTATGAACTTTAAAAACATTAAGTGAAAGCAGCCAAACACAAAAAGCCACTTATTGTACGACTGTATTTACATAAATGTCCAGATTAAACAAATCCATAAAGACAGAGAGTAGGTTTGTAGTTGTCAGAGGCTGGAGGGCGGGAAACGTAGGAAATATCTGCTAATAGGCATGGGGTTTCTTAGTGGGGTGAAGAAAATGACTGCAAAAGAGTGAACAGTGTGGCTCGTTTCATTTCTCTATCTATAATGTATAATCCAGAACACCGTTAATACTCACAGTAGCAATGTATACTACAAACCCTAAGCCTGCCATGTTATCATTTCTTTTTTGTTTTATTTTTATGTATGTATGTATGTATGTATTTATTTATTTTGAGACAGAGTCTCACTCTGTCATCCAGGCTGGAGTGCAGTGGCACAATCTTGGCTCACTGCAGCCTCTGCCTTCAGGGTTCAAGCAATTCTCCTGCCTCAGCCTTCTGAGTAGCTGGGATTACAGGCGCCCACCACCACACTCAGCTAATTTTTGTATTTTTAGTAGAGACAGAGTTTCACCATGTTGGCCAGGCTGGTCTCGAACTCCTGACCTCAAGTGATCCGCCCGCCTCGGCCTCTCAAAGTGCTGGAATTACAGGCGTGAGCCACGGCGCCCAGCCATGTCATCATTTCATAAAAGATTTGGTGACTGATGTTGAGTGAAAATTATCTTCAATGCCATTAAATATCAACAATCTCTTCTTATTGCTGTAGTACATACAATCACATAATGATCAGACATAATAACAGTGAATGCATAATGATAAAAATAATAGCTTAGTTTATAAAGCACTGTTATGTAAATGATTTTTACCTTATGAAATGAGTTCCTACAATATTCTTGTAAGATAAGTTAAAGTTCATGTCACAGGTGAGGTGCACAAACACCAATCGAGATATGTCCCTGAGTAACTTGAAATCTCTTGGAAATGGCTAAAATGGGACTTGGGTGTTGTATTAGTCAAGTTTCTACAGAGAAACAGAAATATATATAAATATCTATAGAGAGAGAGAATGGAATTTGTTAGGCAGTCCCATGATCTGCCATCTGTAAGCTGGAGACCCAGAAAAGCTGATGAGGTAGTTCAAAGGCCTGCAAGTAGGAGAGCCAATGGTATAGATTTGAACCCAGGTCTGAAGGTCTGAGAAACAGTAGCACTGAGGGTGGAAGACAAATGTTCCAACTCAGAGAGTCAGGCCAAGAGACTGACCCACACCGGGCTACCTGCTCTCCTCAGTTCACTCATTCACATACTCATCTCTTCCAGAGAGACCCTCACAACCACACCCAGAAACATGTTTAACTAGCTTCCTGGCATCCTGTGGCCCAGTCAAGTCGACGCATAAAATTAATCATCACAGGGCCTGGCATGGTAGCTCACACTTATAATCCCAGCACTTTGAGATGCCAAGGTGGGCGGATCACCTGAGGTCAGGAGTTAGAGACCAGCCTGGCCAACATGGCGAAACCCTGTCTCTACTAAAAATACAAAAATTAGCTGGGTGTGGGGGCAGACACCTGTGGTCCCAGCTACTTGGGAGGCTCAGGCACAAGAATCACTTGAACCCCAGAGGCAGAGGTTGCAGTGAGCCAAGATCACACCACTGCACTCCAGCCTGGGCAACAGAGCAGGACTCTGTTTCAAAAAAAACCCCATCACAGATAAGAAGGCTATGTCTGAGGAAGTAACTAAAGCTTTCTTCTCAATTATTTCCACTGTAGATACATCTTTTCATTGAGCCAATACAGCAGAAATTGGGCAAAAATTCCACATGATTTTAAAACAAATGTCTTCCTAAGTTGACTGGGTGAAACAGGAGTCAAAACCAGTTTCCTTTGGAAAATATTTATTTAACAAAACTCACACAATTTTTTCCAGAAAACACGGTAATAAAAATAAAAATATAAAGTTTCAATAGATGGGGGCTATCTTCAACAGTTCAAGAAATAAGAATCAGAAAAAAAATTGAACAGTCATAAAAAGACAAATACTATGTAATTCCACTTTACAGGATGCCTAGAATAGTCGAATTCATAGAGACAGAAAGCAGCATGGTGGTTTCCAGGGGCTGGAGGGAGAGGAGAATGGAGACTTGTTGTTTAATGGGTACAGAGCTTCGGTTTTACAAGATGAAAATAGTTGTGTGGATGGATGGTGGTGACGGTTCCAAAATAGTGTGAATGTACTTAATGCCACTAACTACACACTAAAAAAAAATAGTTAAGGTTGCAAATTGTATGTGTATTGGCCACAATTAAAAATTATAAAACTAGGCCGGGCACGGTGGCTCACGCCTGTAACCCCAGCACTTTGGGAGGCCGAGACGGGCGGATCACAAGGTCAGGAGATCGAGACCATCCTGGCTAACATGGTAAAACCCCGTCTTTACTGAAAAAAAAAAAAAAAAAAAATTAGCTGGGCGTAGTGGTGGGCGCCTGTAGTCCCAGCTACTCGGGAAGCTGAGGCAGGAGAATGGCGTGAACCTGGGAGGCGGAGCTTGCAGTGAGCCGAGATCGCACCACTGCACTCCAGCCTGGGCGACAGAGCGAGACTCCGTCTCAAAAAAAAAAAAAAAAAGAAAAATTATAAAACTATATATATAAATATATATACATCTCCAAGAAGGGAATAGCAGAAAAGCTGGGAGCATGAAAGTCACTTGAGTGTGAAGAGGGGCTGTTCCTAAGGCAGGACACCTAGAAATTTACAAGAATGGGCAAATCCTGTGTCAAGTGGTCTGAATCATATGCAATTTCTAGGGGTCCTCTTGAAAAAATACAGAGTTTTAAATATCAACTAGAGTACAAAAGGAGATATTTAGTATAAGAAAAATCATGTAAATTATAATTTTTAAGCTACTTAATACCACAAACATCACATAATCCTAAAAAATAGTATTTTTATAAACAAATTTTCTCATGCATCTCTAAAAGGCTTTTTTTCTTATAATTTTTGTCTGCAGACACTCTGATAGCCTCTTAAAAAGACAGTGATTTTGTAATATTTTGTTTGGCAAGAATAGAAAGAAAATTATCTTAAGCGTTGGTAATTGACATTTGAAAATGATTGATAGTTTAGAAATGCTTCTTTCTACTTCTATCAAAGCAACTAGTTGTTGGTAACATCTCGTAACTTTCTTGGATTTTGTCAAATTTCAGGAAAATTGTTAGTAAATAAATTTATGTATGAGCCGTAATATTTTAGGATACTTTCAGTTTTTCTGTGTCTGAGTCCTCAAGTTGACAATATTCATTACCTAGTTTGTCATCAATGTCCTCATTGTATTGGAAAATTAAGAGTTTTATGGAGGCCGGGCACAATGGCTCACACCTGTAATCCCAGCACTTTAGGAAGCCAAGGCAGAAGGATTGCTAGAGGCCAGGAGTTTGAGACCAGCCGGAGCAACAAAAAATTAGCTAGGCATGGTGGTGCATGCCAGTGGTCCCAGCTACTTTGGAGGGTGAGATGTGAAGATCCCCTGAGCCCAGGAGTTTGAGACTATGGTGAGTAATGAACTGGACACTGCTCTCCAACCTGGGCAACTGTATTAGTCCATTCTCACGCCGCTAATAAAGACATACCCAAGACTGGGTAATTTATAAAGGAAAGAGGTTTAATTGACTCATAGTTCAGCATGGCTGGGGAGGCCTCAGGAAATTTACGGTCATGGCAGAAGGAAAAGCAAACACATCCTTCTTCATGTGGCGGCAGCAAGGAGAAGAATGAGAGCCGAGCAAAGGAGGAAGTCCCTTATAAAACCATCAGATCTCATGAGCACTCACTCACTATCACGAGAACAGCATGAGGGAAACCACCCCCATGATTCAATTACCTCCACAGGTCCCTCCCACAACACGTGGGGATTATGGTAACTACAATTCAAGATGAGATTTGGATGGGGACACAGCCAAACCATATCAGCAACAGAGCAAGACCCTGTGTCTTAACAAAAAAAAATATTTTTAGAGTTTTATGTTCTCCTTACCAAAGTCAATATTTCATGTTTAACCCACATAGATTTTAAATTATTTTTCTTTATTTTTTTTAAGACAGGGCCTCGTGCTGTTGCCCAGGCTGCAGTGCAGTAGCATGATCATGGCTCACTGCAGCCTCAGCCTCCTGCACTCAAGACATCCTCCCTCCTCAGCCTCCTGGTTAGATGGGACTACAGGCACATGCCACCACACATGACTAATTTTTTATTTTTTGTAGAAACAGGGTCTTGCTGTGTTGCCCAGGCTGATCTCAAACTCCTAAGCTCAAGCAATCCTCCCACCTTGGCCTGCCAAAGTGCTGGGATTACAGGCATAAGCCACCACGCCAGGCTTAATTCTATGTGAGTTCATATAATTCACAACTCTTTATTACTCAGATTTCAAATAATCTAAATATAGAATCATTTGTTTCTCCTAACAGAATATCCCTTCCTCCTAATGCACGATTGGTTTTGGTATGATCTGGAAGTTTTGTGTTATACTTTCCTTCTCAGTGTCGGAATAACTCCTATTGACTTAATCACTCATCTTAACTGTTTTGTTTCATATCTCACTAATTTTTACCTAATTTTTCTCTCCCTTCTTTAATAAATAAATATAAGGATTGTAAAATAAGCTATCTTTGTGTATGTCTAAATAGGACTTTATCAGCTGGGCGTAGTGGCTAATGCCTGTAATCCCAGCACTTTTGGAGGCCGAGGCGGATGGATCACCTGAGGATGGAGTTTGAGACAGCCTGACCAACGTGGTGAAACCCTGTCTGTACTAAAAATACAAAAAATTAGCTGGGCGTGGTGGCGGGCACCTGTAATCCCAGCTACTTGGGAGGCTGAAGCAGGAGGTGGAGGTTGCAGTGAGCCAAGATTGCGCCACTCCACTCCAGCCTGGGCGACAGAGCGAGACTCTGTATCAAAAGAAAAGAAAAAAAAATAGGACTTTATGGTTTCTCATGTGCTTTTATTGAAATGTCCCAAAACATCTTTGTAAAATGCAGTTAATATGGTGCCTTCCTAACTCAGCTTCCCTTTAGCTAACCCCAAAACTCTCCATGAGGGAAGCCGAGGTGGAAAGACACAGTAGGCTTAACTGACGGCAGTTATGATATTTTCCTTCCGCAGAATTTGTAAACACTTCAGACCATCTGAACCCATTGCCAGTGCTCCTCCCAGGGTGAAGAGGGACCCTAAGGCTTAGGCACATCGACCTCTACCACCGCCCCAGCAGAAGCTGCTCCCTAGGAGAAATGTTCAGAGAACAAAGTCAGCACTTTGCCAATTGTTGAACCATACTTTAATTGTTTTCTTTTGTTTCATGACCACCCCTCCTGCCAAACTCCTCCTACTCCTGCTATAATTGGTATAATTATGAATTCTTTGTTTCTTCCTCCTCCCCTCCTCCCTCCTTTCTTCTTGGCTGCTCTTCCGCTCCTCTTGCATTCTGGGAGGACGGGCTCTGGATCCCCTGCTGTTGCTGACAGGTTTCATTAGCCTGATGGAAACGTTTCTCCTTCTCAGCCCCTCCTTTGGCAGCTGCTGAATTTCTCCCATCCTCTCAACGTGCTGAGTCTCAGCTCAGATCTACACCAACAACCCTCAGCTGCTGCAGCTGATGTTGTCCGTGTGACACGGATTAGCGGGTGGCAATCAGTGGAAATCCAATCACAGATCTCCCTTTCATTCATACAAAGAAGGAATAGAGTTTAACCGATGAAAATAATAATATAACTTTTAATGCCCCAACTTTGATCTCTGTTCTTTGATCACTCTTTGCCTTTTCACATGTCTTTGATAGTACATGAGTGAACTGAAGACTCAGGGGCCTGCGGGCTTTAAAATAAGGTGATATCCAACTGTCAGGTGCATTGTCAACGCCGCATAATCACAGTTTTTAGCACACGCAAAAGAGAATTCTACTGTCAATGCCAGAAAATAAGAGTTTCCGTAGACAGTCTGCTCTTAGCAAAGCTCCGATTTTCTTGATAGGCTTCAAGTTGAGTGTCCTGAGTAGGGCATGGGAATATTCTCTGAACAGAGACGACAAACTGATGGGAACTCACTCTAGAAAATAATAAAATATTATCTGTTACCAGTGCAGGGTGTCCAGGTTCTTGGCGTTTTGAACAAAGAATTGGACAAAATGCACAAACAAAGCAAGGAAAGAACGAAGCAACAAAAGCAGATTTATTGAAAACAAAAGTACACTCCAAAGGGTGGGAGCGGCCTGAGCATAGATTCTCAAGAGCCCCTTTACAGAATTTTCTGGGGTTTAAATACCCTCCAGAGGTTTCCCATTGGTTACTTGGTGTACACCTATGTAAATAAACTAGCGGCCCATCATCAGTCTGATTGGTTGTCGAAAGCAACCAATCAGAGGCTGAAGTGAAGTTACAAAGTTACCCTTCTATGCAAACGTCTGATTGGTTGCAAAAAGCAACCAATCAGAGATACGTACAATTTTCCATCTGCCACGCAGAAAAAAAGGGTGGGGGGTTTTGCAAAAGGGGTAGCCTCAGGTCCTTTCGTTACTTAGGTGTGGAACGTTGGGGTTTTCCTTTTGATTTAGTTCTAGGAAGTCAGCCTGAATCAGCCTTAGGTTCCCTGCTTCAAGACCCGGTTCTCCTGCCTCATTATCTATTGGAGTATGAGTGTATATGTCATATAACTGTCTAAAGATAGGCAAGGTTGTCAAAAACTGCAAGACGAGAATCAGATGTTATGTAATTTCTGAGAAGACTTCCTGAATCACACTTTCCTCACCTGTAAAAATGAAAAGATTGTTAAGCTCCCTTCACCTCTGATATTTGAACTCTATACTGTTCTATTAATGCCCACAGAGTTTATCTTTTCCCTCTTCATCTTCCTTCTTCTTGCCACATGCATGTCCAGCCACTCTCTTTCTACATTTACATATCACACTAGAAAAAAATTTAAAAACCAAGTTCCATCAGGTCTAAACATAGCACAACAAGAACCCCTTGAATAGGAGGAAAAATTCCAGCCCAAGATTATAGTCCTAGGGTTTGATTTTGCTTGGACTTTCAGGCAATGATTATTCAGTCTTTGCCATTGTCTAGAGCAAGGGTCAGCAAACTTTCTGGAAAGGACCAGTTAGTAAATATTGTAGGCTTTGCTGGCCAAAACGTCTCTGTTGCAACTGCTCCTCTCTGTCACTGTGGTGCTGAAGCCGCCATAGGTAATACAAAAATTGACAAGCATGGCTGTGTTCCAGTGAAACTCTATACGCATGGAAATTTGAACTTTGTATAATTTTCACTTGACATGAAATATTATTCTTCTTTTGACTTTTTTTCAATAATTTCAAAACGTAAACCATTCTGAGTTTATGGCCAATGCAAAAACAGGTAGCAGTAGAGATTCAACACAATGCCTATCAAAATTTCAACTACATTTTTTGTGGAAATTGACAAACTGACCCTAAAATTCATATGGAAATCCAAGGGCCCCAGAATAGCCAAACTAATCTTGAAAACAGCAAAGCTGGCGATTCACATTTTCTGATTTCAAAAATAACTATACAGCTTCAGTAATCAAGACTGTGGTGTTGGCATAAGGATAGACATATAAATCAGTGGAGTAGAATTAAAACTCTAGAAATAAGCCCATGAATTTATGGTCAATTGATTTTTGACAAGTGTGCAGATAAAATTAATGCGGAAAAATAGTTCTTTCAAAAAATTGTCCTGGGACACCTTGATATCTTCATGAAAAAGAATAATGTTGGAACCTTACCTTATACCATGTGTAAAAATTAACTCAAAATAAATCAGACCTAAATATAACAGCTAAAACTATAAAACTCTTAGAAGAAAATATAGGCATAAATCTTCACAACCTTGGGTTAGACAATGGTTTCTCAAACACAACACCAAGAGAGCTCAAGCAACCAAAGAAAAATTATATAAATTGGATTTCCTCAAAATGAAAAACATTGGTGCTTCAAAGGACACTATTAATAACATGAAAAGATATCTCATCAAATAGGATAAAATTTTTACAAATCATATAACTGATGAGACTTGTATTTAAGATACATAAAGAACACCTACAATTCAAAGATAAATGACTCAATTAAAAGTGGACAAAGAACCTAATTAGACATGCTCAAAGAAGATATACAAATAGCCAATAAGCACATGCTCAACATTATTAGCCATTAGGAAAATACAACTGAAAGACGTGAAAAACTATTCATAGCTAGGCACAGTGGCAGGCTTGTAATCCCAGCATTTTGGGAGGGCGAGGCAGAAGGATCACTTGACACTAGGAGTTCACAACCAGCCCAGGCAACATAGCAAGACCCCAGTTTCTACAAAAAAAATTTTTTTTAATTAGCCGAGTGTGGTGGGGTATGCATGTGGTTCCAGGCTGAGGCAGGAGGATGACTTGAGCCCAGAAGGCTGAGGCTGCAACAAGCTGTGATCATGCCACTGCACTCCAGCTTGGATGATGTCTCAAAAAAAAAAAAAAAAAAAAAAGTAAAACCATTCATACTCATTAGTATAGCCATAATTTAAGAGAGATAATAAGTATTGGTGAGGATGTGGAGAAATTAAAACCCCCATACACTGCTGATGGGTATATAAAATGGTGCACCTGCCTTGGAAAACCGTTTGGCAACTCCTCAAATGATTGAACATAGAGTTGCCATATGATCAAGCACATCCTCTCCTAATTATATATCCAAGAGAGTTGAAAACATATATTCACACACAAACTTGTGTACAAATGTTTATAGCGGCATTAGTCATAATATCAAAAAAAGGAAGCAACCTAAATGTCCATCAACTGGTAAACAGACAAACAAAATGTATTTTAACCATACAATTGAATGTTATTCAGCCATAAAAAGGAATGAAGTATTAAAACCTGCTACAACATGTATGAGCCTTGAAAACAGTATGCTAAGTGAAAGAAGCCAGTCACAGAAGACCACATATCATATAATTCTATTTTTATGAAATGTCCACAGTAGGCAAAGAGATAGAGACAGAAAGTAGATCAGCAATTGCCTAGGAGAGTGAATAGCGTGGAAAGATTGAGGGCGACAAATAAGAGGTGTAAGATGTCTTTTTAGAATAATGAAAATGACTCAAAATTGATCACGATGACAGATGTGCAAACTGAATTTTAATCAAAAGCCATTGAATTTTTCTAAAAATGAAAAAGATCTCAAATTAGCAACATAATCTTCCGTGTTAAGATACTGGAAAAAGAAGATCATCCAAAACAAACCCAAGAAAGGTAAAAGAATTAAGGCCGGGCATGGTGGCTCGTGCCTGTAATCCTAGCACTTTGGGAGGTCAAGGCAGATGGATCGCTTGAGCCTAGGAGTGCGAGACCAGCTTGGGCAACATAGGGAGACCCCACCTCTCCAAAAAGTACAAAAGTAGCCAAGTGTGGCGGCGCATGTCTGTAGTCCCAGCTACTAAGGGAGCTGAGGTGGGAGAATCGAGCCCAGGAGGTTGCACTCCAGCCTGGGTAACAGAGTGAGAGTCTGAAGAAGGAAGGAAGGAAGGAAGCAAGGGAGGAAGGGAGGAAGGCAGGAAGGGAGGAGGGGAGGAGGGGAGGAAGCGAGGAAGCGAGGAAGGGAGGAGGGGAGGAGGGGAGGAAGGGAGAAAGAGGAAAAGGAGGAAGGGAGGAAGGGAGGAAAGGGAAGGGAGAAAGGAAGGAAGAACGAAGGAAGGGAGGGGAAGGGAAGGGAGGGAAGAAAGGGAAGAGAAGGGGAGGGAAGGGAGAAAGAAAGAGGGAGAGAGGGAGGGAGGGAAAGAGAGAGAGAAAGAAAGAAAGGGAGAGAGAAAGAAAGAAAGAGGGAGGGAGGGAGGGAAAGAAAGAGAGAAAGAAAGAAAGAAAGAAAGAAAGAAAGAAAGAAAGAAAGAAAGAAAGAAAGAAAGATTGATTAAAATCATACGTAGTGTGTTCCCAGATTACAGTGGAATCAAACTAGAAATTAGTCACTTGGAAACTAAACAACACACTTCTAGATAGTTCAGGGGCCAGAGATGAGGTCTCAGGAGAAACTGAAAAAAAAAATACATTAAATTGAATGAAAATGAAAATATAACATATCGCCGGGCGCGGTGGCTCACGCCTGTAATCCCAGCCCTTTGAGAGGCCGAGACGGGCGGATCACGAGGTCAGGAGATCGAGACCATCTTGGCTAACACGGTGAAACCTCATCTCTACTAAAATACAAAAAATCAGCCGGGTGTGGTGGCATGCACCTGTAGTCCCAGCTACTCAGGAGGCTGAGGCAGGAGAATGGCGTGAACCCGCGAGGCGGAGCTTACAGTGAGCCGAGATCGCACCACTGCAGTCCGGCCTGGGCTACAGAGCAAGACTCCATCTCAAAAAAAAAAAAAAAAAAAAAAGAAAATATAACATATCAAAACTTGTAGGACAAAGCAATTCTAAGAGGGAAATATATAAGTACTGTACTAAGTGCATATATTTTTATAGAGAAAAAAACCCTAAAATCAGTAATTTAAAATTCCACCTTAAGAGCTAGAAATAAAAAAGAGAAAAATATAGGCTGGGTGCAGCATACCTGTAATCTGAGCACTTTGGGAGGCCATAGGTCGCTTGAACTCAGGAGTTCAAGACCAGCTGAGTAACATGACAAAACTCTGTCTCTACAAAAACTACAAAAATTAGCCAGGCATGGTGGCACACGCCTGTGGTCCCAGCTACTCAGGAGGCTGAGGTGGGAGGATCACTTGAGCCCATGCAGTCAAGGTTGCCACGAGCCAATATCAGGCCACTGTACTTCAGCCTGAGTGACAGAGCCAGACCCTGTCTAAAAAAAAAAAAAAAGAAAAAAAAATTGTTTTAAAGAGCAAAATAAACTCAAAGCAAGTAGAAGGAAAGAAATAAAGTGCAGAAATCAACAACACTGAAAATAGAAAAACAATAGAGAAAAATTAACGAAACAAAAAGATGGTTCTTTGAAAAGATCAATAAAATTGACAAACCTTTAGCAAGACAGACAAAGAAAAAAGAGACAAGATACAAATTATCAATATCAGGAAGGAAAGAGAAGACATCACTACAGACCCTGCAGACATAAAAAGATAACAAGGAAACACTATTAATAACTCTACATACATACATTTGACAAATTAAAATACATGGACCAATTTCTTGGAAAAAAAAAAAACAAAAAACAAAACAAAAAAAAATGACATGCCAGGCACGGTGGCTCATGCCTGTAATCCCAGCACTTCAGGAGGTTGAGGTGGGTAGATCACAAGGTCAGGAGTTCATGACCAGCCTGGCCAATATGGTGAAACCTTGTCTCTACTAAAAATACAAAAAAAATTAGCCGGGCATGGTGGCATATGCCTGTAATCCCAGCTACTTGGGAGGCTGAGGCAGGAGAACTGCTTGAATCTGGGAGGCAGAGGTTGCAGTGAGCCGAGATGGCGCCACTGCACTCCAGCCTGGGTGACAGAATGAGATTCCGTCTCAAAAAAAAACAAAACAAAACAAAACAAAAAAAACCTACAATTCTTCCAATATGAAAAACATCATTTGAATGGTCCTATGCATAAAGGAAGCTTAATTTACAATTTTAAAATTTCCAAAAGGGAAATCTGCAGGCGCTAATGGTTTTCCTGGACAATTCTCCTAATGTTTAAAGAAGAATTAACACTAATTCTATACACTCTCTTCAGAAGAATAAAAGAGGAAGGAACAATTCTCAGGTTTTTAAATGAAGGCAGTATTCTCGATTTATTTTTACTGAAACTATTTGACGATTACAGGCTCATGCCTGTAATCCCAGCACTTTGGGAGGCCAAGGCAGGAGGATTGCTTGAGGCCAGGAGTTCGAGACCAGACTGGGTAATATAGCAAGACCCTGTTTCTAAAAAAAAAAAAAAAAAAAAAAAATTGTTGGGTGTGGTGATGTGCACCTGCAGTCTGAGCTACTCAGAAGGCTGAGACAGGTGGGTCACTTGAGCCCAAGAGTTGGAGGTTACAGTAAGCTATGGTTGTGCCACTATATTCCAGCCTAGGTGACAGCACTGAGATCCTATCTCTAAAAAGAAGGGAAAAAGAAGGCAGAAAAAAGGGAAAATCTTTGGGGCCTAGGACGGGGCAGAGTTCTTGGACTCTTCATCAAGAGTATGATCCCTAAAAGGAAAATGTAACAAATTGGGTTTTCCTCATCCATTGCTGACACTTTCCTGATATTATCAGAAGGTATCAATGGAATGTTTTCTGACAACACCAGGACTCATACTCTTCCCACGTGTGGATCTTAAATGGTTTATTGATTAAATACCAGGGATGTCCGTTGTCCAGTTATTCAACTATGAATAACAACCAAGGTCATATGTTCACAGGCAATGACCATTATCATGGTCTCTCTGTCAATAATGATTATCATGCTATCACTTTTAAGACAGATCCACATTTCTGTGGTGTAAAAATGCAGGAGGGAAATGTGCAACACAGTTTCTATTGCTATTCGTGTCTAGTGAACCTTTCTTAAAGCATAATGAATGCTATAAAACACATCTGAAGGCACTTTAGGGGATCCTAGGGTAGAATATTTCCTCTCACTCCCATTCAGCCATCCAGGGAGCGTTCCCATCTCACGAATAAAGTATGTAGTTTTCCATAAAACACACATTATCAAATAAAAGGAATACTTAAATCTAAGGTATAATTATATATAATTATATGGAACAAATATAATTATATAAATGTGTATTTTACATACACCTTATTATTATTGATTTACAAGGTTGTGATTACTTCGTTGGGGTTGCCATAGCAATGAACTTATTAAATAGAGAAATACTTTCATTTTTCAGCATTAAAAATGAATAATCAAAATCAACCATTGGACCTAATATATCCAACTCTTAATTATCTGCAATTATCAAAGATTAGTTGACCTTTGAAGATGATATACAATAGCAGCTTCTGGAAGAGAGGAGAAAAAGATTTCCCAAGGTGGTAGGACCACCACTATGGAAGGTGAGGAATGTGATTTGTGGGAGAGTCCAGTGGTTCCTTCCCCACTCCTCTTTTCCTACTCAAAACGATATCTTCTATTGGCCTAAAATTCTGTTTATTCATTAAGGTGATGGCATTTGCCTATAGGAAATCTCAGTTTGCTCCTGCTATAGCTTTTACAAATTCCATATATCAAAAGCACACTATATGCCAGGCCCTGGGCTTGGTGTTTTACACATAAAGCACAAGTTATCTACAAAAAAAAGCTTAAAATGAGTTAATTCAAGGAACAGCTTTCTAACTTAACGAGTTGTGTACAAAACCCTCTGGACCAAGATACTGTTCTCAAGCGGAGATCTTTTTTTTTTTTCTTTTTTTGAGATAGAGTTTCGCTCTTGTCACCCAGGCTGGAGTGCAATGGCGTAATCTTGGCTCACTGCAACCTCCGCCTCCTGGGTTCAAGTAATTCTCTTGCCTCAGCCTCCTGAGTAGCTGGGACTACAGGCGCCCACCAACATGCCCGGCTAATTTTTGTATTTTTTGTAGAAATGGGTTTTCACCATGTTGGCCAGGTTGTTCTCGAACTCCTGACCTCAGATGATCTGCCCGCCTTGGCCTCCCAAAGTGCTGGGATTACAGGCATGAGCCACTGCGCCCGGCCTCAAGGGGAGATCTTAAGGACATATGGGGAAATCGTGGAGTGTCAAATTTATTTGTTTGTTTTGACATAAGGATTGGGGCTGCTGCTGGCATTTTGAAGTCAGGAGCCAGGGTTGCTAGATTTAGGGCTCCCCTCCACGTAGTTGTTAATTTTTGTACCACACAAAGGCACTCAGCAAGGGAGTGAGTGGGGCTGAAAGTTCCACTTGCCAAGAAGAAAGTTGCGTCCATTTTGGTGAAGGGCTCCATGTTGGAAATCTTCCATCCAAAGGGGATGCCTTTTTATGATTTGTCTGCCCAGAGAAGGTGAACTTTTACAATTGAAATACAGCTGCCCATGCATGCTACCTGCAGCCCTGGCTACACATGCTGCAATGAGACAGGAAAGTACAACAATCCCTTAATTCTATCCAACTTTTAAATTTCTCACTGGTCATTCCTGTAAGTAAAAAAAAAAAAAAAAAAAAAAAAAAAAAAAAAAAAAAAAAAAAAAAACAGTTTAAAAATTATCTAAAAATGTAAATAAATAAAAAATTACCTAAGCCTAGACTCTAACCCTGTTTTACATACAAACACAAGGTATCTTTCAATCTTATTTTTTAAATTAACAATAGAATGACATTTTTGGGTTCAGTTTTCACACATGTATAGATATGTGTGTATGTGTAATTACTTACACAGCTAGGCTACAGGACAGTTACCTTACCACCAAACGCCACCTCTGCTTATCTATCTGCAGTCATCCTCCTGTGACCCCAAACCCCAAACCTGGCAATGACTGATCTGCCATCCCTTACGATGGTCTTGTCTTTTTGAGAATATTGTATATATTGAAATCATACAGTATGTAGCCTTTTCAAAGCAGCTTCTTTTACTCAGCATAATGCCTCTGAGTTTCACACAAGTTATTGCAAGAATGAATGCTTCATTTCTATTATTTCTGAGTTACAGTTCATTGCGTGGACGTACCACAGTTGGTTTATCCATTCATCCCTTGAAGGGCATTTGGATTATTTCCAGGTTTTGCCTATTATGAATACAGCTACAGTAAAATGTACATATATCGGTTTTATGAGCCAAAATATTTACTTTTCTAGAGTAAATGCCTAAGAGTGGGACTGCTGGGTCAGATGGTAATTGCGTGTTTAATTTTATAAAAATCTGCTAGACTATTTTCTGGAGTGACTATACCATTTTGCATTCCCACCAGCAACATATGAGGGTTCTAATTGATCCACATATTTGCCAGCACAGGAGTGACAGTATTTTTAAATTTATCCATCCCAATAGGTGTGTAGTGGTATCTCATTGTGCCTTTCCCTTGCATTTCCTTAATGGCTAATGCTGTTGAACATCTTTTCACTTGCTTATTTTCCATCTGCATATCCTCTCTAGTGGAGTGTTAAGTCTTTTATGCATTTTCAAATTGGGTTATTTGTTTTCTTACTCCTCGGTTTGGAAGAGTTTTTTTTTTTAATATTCTGAATATAAGTCCTTTGTTGGATATGCAATTTGAAAATTATTTGCTCTAAGTCTTTAGCCTCGTTTCATTCTCTTAATAGTGTCTTGCTGGGCATGTGGCTCACACCTATAATCCCAGCACTTCGGGAGGCCGAGGTGGGAGGATCGCCTGAACCCAGGAGTTAGAGACCAGCCTGGGACAAAGTGAGACCTCACCTCTACGAAAAATACAAAAATTAACCAGGTGTAGTGGCATGTGCCTGTAGTCCCAGCTACTTCAGTGGCAGAGGTGAGAGAATAACCTGAGCCCAGGAGGTTGAGGCTGCAGTGAGCCAATGTCACACCACTGCACTCCAGTCTGGGTGAAAGAGACCTTGTCTCAAACAAAAAGAAAAAAGAAATGGTGCCTTTTGTAGAGAAAAAAAAAAAAATTTTTTTTGAGACGGAGTTTCGCTCTGTCGCCCAGGCTGGAGTGCAGTGGCGCGATCTTGGTTCACGGCAAGCTCCACCTCCTGGGTTCACGCCATTCTCCTGCCTCAGCCACCCAAGTAGCTGGGACTACAGGCGCCCGCCACTACCCCCGGCTAATTTTTTGTATTTTTAGTAGAGACAGGGTTTCACCGTGTTAGCCAGGATGGTCTCGATCTCCTGACCTCGTGATCCGCCCGATTCGGCCTCCCAAAGTGCTGGGATTACAGGCGCGAGCCACCGCGCCCGGCAGAGCAAAAATTTTTTAATTTTGATGCCACTGCACTCCAGCCTAGGTGACAGAGACCCTGTCTCAAACAAAAAGAAAAAAGAAAAAAGAAATGGTGCCTTTTGCAGAGCAAATTTTTTTAATTTTGATGAAGTCTAATTTACTTTTTCCAGCTGGGCACGGTGGCTCACGCCTGTAATTCCAGCACCTTGGAAGGCCGAGGCGGGCAGATCACCTGAAGTCAGGAGTTCGAGACAGGTCTGGCCAACATAGTGAAACCCATCTCTACTAAAAAGTACAAAAATTAGCCAGGCGTGGTGGCACACGCCTGTAATCCCAGCTACTCGAGAGGCTAAGGCGGGACAATTGCTTCAACCAGGGAGATGGAGCTTGCAGTGAGCCAAGATCGTGTCATTATACCCCAGCCTGGGTGACAGAGCGAGACTCCATCTCAAAGAAAAAAAAATTACTTTGTGTTTTTGATGTCATGGAAAATAAGTCTTTGTGTAACACATCTAAGATTTTCACCATTTTGTGTTTTACATTTAGATCTATAATTTATTTTGAGTTAATTTTGGTACAAATCATAAAGTTTTTTTTGTGTGTTTTTTTTTTTTTTGCATATGGATGACCAAAGTTCCCAACACCAATTACTAAAACTATCCTTTCTCCATTGACTTGGCTTTGCATCTTTGTTGAAAATCAAATGACCATAATTGCCTGAAGGCTTGGAATCCAGAGAATAAAGAAAAGAAGGGGGAAAAAAAAAAGAAAAATGGCAATTTACTCCAAACTCTCTGTTAACAATTCTCCTTTTTTGGATGGAGCTGGAGGCCATTATTCTAAGTGAAGTAACTCAGGAATGGAAAACCAAATACCCTATATTCTTTTTTTTTTCTTTTTTCTTTTTTTTTTTTTTCCTATATTCTCACTGGAAAGTGGGAGCGAAGCTATGGGTCTGCAAAGGCAAACATAGTGATATAAGGAACCATGGAGACTAGGGGTGGGGAGTGAGGATAAAAAACTACATATTGGGTACAGTGTATACTACTCAGGTGATGGTGCACTAAAATTTCAAACTTCATCACTATACAATTTATCCATGTAACCAAAAACCACTTATACCCAAAAGCTATTAAAATACAAAAATATTTTTTAAAAATCAAACAAACTCTGTGAAAGGGCAAAACAAGCTGTCTTATCAGTGGAAGAAATTATAGTGCAACATTTGCCTACTCAACAATGTCAAACGATGTCAGATGGGCAGTGAAACATTGGGGAAATATTTGTAGCAAATGTGCCAAAGGTATTTATTGTATGTTATTAAAGATCTTGTGCCCATGAAAAATAAAGCAAGTTATAGAATAGAAAAGAAAAATCATATTTTACCCTAAACTCTCTGACTGTTAGGAATCCCCTTCTCAGTTGTTATAGCCAGAACTAGAGTGCTTTCCCTGAAGCTCTTTCTCTCCATGAGTGGGGCCCACTTCTGGGTTTAGTACTGCCCTGGGGCCAGGTCTGGGGAATACTGGAAAGGGCAATACTGGAAGGAACAAAACCAGGAAACTCTCCTCTGGTTTGAGCTCCAAGAAAAGCTCTCTAGTCTTGAACTCAAACAAATTTACAAGAAAAAAACAAACAAACCCATCAAAAAGTGGGCAAAGGACATGAACAGACACTTCTCAAAAGAAGACATTTATGCAGCCAAAAAACACATGAAAAAATGCTCATCATCACTGGCCATCAGAGAAATGCAAATCAAAACCACAATGAGATACCATCTCACACCAGTTAGAATGGCAATCATTAAAAAGTCAGGAAACAACAGGTGCTGGAGGGATGTGGAGAAATAGGAACACTTTTACACTGTTGGTGGGACTGTAAACTAGTTCAACCATTGTGGAAGTCAGTGTGGCGATTCCTCAGGGATCTAGAACTAGAAATACCATTTGACCCAGCCATCCCATTACTGGGTATATACCCAAAGGACTGTAAATCATGCTGCTATAAAGACACATGCACACGTATGTTTATTGCGGCACTATTCACGATAGCAAAGACTTGGAACCAACCCAAATGTCCAACAATGATAGACTGGATTAAGAAAATGTGGCACATATACACCACAGAATACTATGCAGCCATAAAAAATGATGAGTTCATGTCCTTTGTAGGGACATGGATGAAATTGGAAATCCATCATTCTCAGTAAACTACCGCAAGAACAAAAAACCAAACACCGCATATTCTCACTCATAGGTGGGAATTAAACAATGAGATCACATGGACACAGAAAGGGGAACATCACACTCTGGGGACTGTTGTGGGGTGGGGGGAGCGGGGAGGGATAGCATTGGGAGATATACCTAATGCTAGATGACGAATTAGTGGGTGCAGCACACCAGCATGGCACATGTATACATATGTAACTAACCTGCACAATGTGCACATGTACCCTAAAACATAAAGTATAATAATAAAAGAAAAAAAAAAAACCTAGAGCTCAATCTAATTGATATTTAATCATCTTCTTGAGATTAGAAAAGTTTTCTACATATTCCATTTTTGTTTTTTATACTTAGGCTTTTTTAAGTGTTAGGGCATCAAGAAGCAAAAGCTTATTTCATAATGCTAAGTAAAGAATAACTATCATAATGCAAGTATTGTGCTCACAAGTTTTTTAAAAATGCTATCAGGTTAACTAATTCAATTATCATTATAAATTTCAATATTTAATTGCAGTGTCAATTTGTCCATCTTATTGTTTATCTTGGCCTTTACATCTGTTATCCCTTCAACATTCTAATTAAAAAACCCACAAAAGAAAAAAAAAAAAGAAAAAAAAAAGCTCTCTAGTTCTGGCTATAGCAACTGAAAGGGGGATTCCTAAATTCTGGCCTTTTTAACCAATCCATCTGCTACTATTTACTTTTTAGAGTCCTCCAACAGCTATTCCATGCAGATTTTATAAATGCATTCAGTGAGTAAGACAGGATAGGATATGCTTTCTCCATCTTACCCACGTCCAGAACTCCTAAACACAGGGCATTTGTTTACACTGTTTTAATATAGACTGAAATTTTCAGAAATGTACCTAACATGTAAAATCAGGAAATATTCTATTTTATTTTGTTATGAACTATACAAAACTGTGGCCTTCATCTTCTAAAGTCACCAAAGGCAGTGTCATCCATGGCATTTGGGTTGCTAGCAAAACACTCCCATTTGAGCCTGCATTTGTAGCTTTGTATTTCTAGAAATTGTAAATATACACCCGTTCTTTTTTATTTATTTATTTTTTTGAGATGGAGTCTCACTCTGTCACCAAGGCTGGAGTGCAGTGGCACGATCTCAGCTCACTGCAACCTCCGCCTCCCAGGTTCAAGCAATTCTCCTGCCTCAACTTCCTGAGTAGCTGGGACTACAGGCGTCCGCCACCATGCCTGGCTAATTTTTTGTATTTTTAGTAGAGACGGGGTTTCACCGTGTTAGCCAAGTTGGTCTTGATCTCCTGATCTCATGATCTGCCCACCTCGGCCTCTCAAGTGCTGGGATTACAGGCGTGAGCCACTATGCCTGGCCAATTTTTGTATTTTTAGTAGAGACAAGGTTTCACCATGTTGGCCAGGCTGGTCTCGAACTCCTGACCTTAAGTGATCCACCCGCCTCAGCCTCCCAAGCCTTTTTTTTTTAAAAGGAGTCTCACTCTTTTGCCTAGGCTGGAGTGCAGTGGTGCCATCTCGGCTTACTGCAACCTCCGCCTCCTAGATTAAAGCAATTCTCCTGCCTCAGCCTCCCGAGTAGCTGGGATTACAGGTGTGTGCTACCACGCCCTGCTAATTTTTGTATTTTTCGTAGAAACAGGGTTTCACCATTTTGGCGAGGCTGGTCTCGAATCCCTGACTTCAGGTGGCAGCCCGCCTCAGCCTCCCAAAGAGCTAGGATTACAGGCGCGATATACCCGAAAAGCTATTAAAATACAAAATATTTTAAAAGAAAATAAATGCAAAAATTTTTTAAAAAATATTCGCCCAGCCAGAATTCTTTATGACTACTACTTTGTGTTTTGCCTGAGGCATCAAAATATTGAAATATGTATTATTATAAATTACTTAACTTTTATTTTCCTTTGTATTATACGTCAGGCATCATCTTGATATTTTTGAAATGATGTGTTTTAGCAGATTAAAGGTGGCTTTAGATCTTTTGACACTCAACCTTCTAGAAGGTGCTCTGGGAGGTGGCCAGGCATCTCATTCTTCACGCAATTTCAGGGACTCTTCATGTGTTTCTTGAGCAGGGTGATCTCAGGGTAGTTGGACTTCCAACTGGCAGCTCAAGGCCGTGAGTGTTCCCAGAACTCCAGATGGCAGCTGCAAGAATTCTTATTGTAGCAGGACGAGCCGCAGACAAAACTCCTCAGACACTGAGTTAAAGAAGGAAGGGGTTTATTCGGCCGGGGGCATCAGCAAGACTCCTGTCTCAAGAGCTGAGCTCTCCGAGTAAGCAATTCCTGTCCCTTTTAAGGGTTTACAACTCTAAGGGGGTGCGCATGAGAGGGTCGTGACAATTGAGCAAGCAGGGGGTACGTGACTGGGGGCTGCATGCACCGGTAATTAGATCAGAACAAAGCAGGATAGGGATTTTCACAGTGCTTTTCTATACAATGTCTGTAATCTGTAGATAGCATAACCGATTAGGTCAGGGGTCCATCTTTAACTACCAGGCCCAGGGTGTGTCGCCGGGCTGTCTGCTTGTGGATTCCATTTCTGCCTTTTAGTTTTTACTTTTTCTTTCTTTGGAGGCAGAAATTGGGCATAAGACAATATGAGAGATGTTCTCCTCCCTTATTATGACCTAGCATTCGAGGTCTCAAAACCACATGATCTTGATCAAGCAAGTCACTAAGGAGCATTCTAGAATTAGGGGAGGTTAAGGACAGTAGCTGCCCAGAAAGGGCTGATACCAGGAATGGCTTGTTGATAGGACAATGACCTGGAGGGCCAAGGCTCCCCAGACTCCAATTAATGAACAAAATGCTTTGCATTGGGTGATTCTTGATAATTCATAAAACAAATGGAGAGGAAGTCCCTTTCATTGGGTGAATCTGCATGCAGTGTCCTTGGTATATTTCTTGACCTGGAGCAGAGCTGCCAGGGATTTCCTTTGAATGCCTATATGCACAGAGCAAATAGATATTTATTCAGTATCGCAGTGCTAAGCATTATGAGTGATGGAGTTATATCTTGTCTCTGCCCTTGAAGGCTACAATGCTATTGTAAAAACAGGTATACCAGTATTTGTAAATCAAGCCATATGCAAAAATTGCCGTGAGAAAGAGTTGAAGAGCTGTATGAACCCAGAAGAAAGAAGTATCTCTTTTCATGTCTGACCATCTCTCTGGGATTTCAACTCTTGTATCCCATTGGAATCACCTGGGGAGTGTTTTAAACATAATAATGGCCCTCTTCAGATTCTGATTTAATTGAGGGGTGGGTTCAAGCATCAGTATTTATGCTCTTCAGATGATTCTCATGGTAAGACAAAATTGTGAACAATGCGCAGCATGCCCCTGCTTTCCTGATGATGAGACTCACCTTAGCACAACTGTGAATGGTATCATTTTCCCTGGAAGACAGCAGATTCAGCAGGTCTGAGAAGGACGAAGTATGTGTTGTTTTAGCAGTTGCCCGGGTGATTCTTATCCTCAGGGAAGTTTAGTTAACACTGCTGATATGGTTTGGCTGTGTCCCCACCCAACTCTCTCCCATAATTCCCATGTGCTGTGGGAGGGACCCGATGAGAGGTAATTGAATCATGGGGGTGGTTCCCCCGTACTGTTCTTATGGTAGTGAATAAGTCTTATGAGAGCTGATGGTTTGATAAGGGGAAACCCCCCTCTCTTGGTTCTCATTTTCTCTCTTGCCTGCTGCCACGTAAGACTTCTGCCTTCTGCCTTCTGCCTTCCGCCATGATTGTGAGGCCTCCCAAACCACGTGGAACTGTGAGTCCATTAAACCTCTCTCTCTCTTTTTTTTTTTTTTTTTTTTTTTTTGAGACGAGTCTCTCTCTGTCCCCCTAGGCTGGAGAGCAGTGGCGCCATCTCGGCTCACTGCAAGCTCTGCCTCCCGGGTTCACGCCATTCTCCTGCTTCAGCCTCCCGAGTAGCTGGGACTACAGGCGCCCGCCACCACGCCCGGCTAATTTTTCGTATTTTTTAGTAGAGACGGGGTTCCACCGTGTTAGCCAGGATGATCTCGATCTCCCGACCTCGTGATCCGCCGGCCTTGGCCTCCCGAAGTGCTGGAATTACAGGCGTGAGCCACCGCGCCCGGCCAAACCTCTCTTTCTTTATAAATTACCCAGTAGTCTCAGGTATATCCTTATGAGCAGTGTAAGAATGGACTAATACAACTGCCTTACTCCAACCCCTCTCAGTACTTAATGCAGACTCCACTCTGAATGAACCTCTATTTTAATCGCAAATATAGAGGTGATCCCTACCCCAAACCTTCAATAAAATCGTAATTCTAATGCCAGCCTTAAATTAAATCTGAACCCAAGTTTTACTTTGATTCCCACCCTAACAACTACTTCCAGTTTTAACTCTCAAGCCCATTCACTCACACCTCTGAGAAAGAGCCTTATTTTAAACCATACTTCTTCCATCCTTTTCTCCATCCTTCTATCTCTATCAGCTTGTTGACTTCAACATGGGAGTTATTTGGTACTTTAGCTTTAGAGACCGGCAGACCTCTGCTTCCATCTCTAGTTCCACTTTTAGCATTGTTTAAGGCTCACCATTCTTATTTGTAAAGTACATGCCTTAAAGAATTTTTTGGAAGAATTAAGAAAGTAATGCCTGAGAGGCAGTTGGGGTTAATAGATGCAATTAACATTCTTGTAACCTCTGTGATGATTCCATGCCAGGCTTCAGTCATGCAAACATCAGTCTAAACTCCTGCTTTAGAAAATCTAAATAAGATGTATTTGGCAGTGTTGTGAAGGTGGAAGAAAAATCTTGCCTTACTCAAAAAAATGAGAAAAATTATGACACAAGAATGATTTGCTGATATTTCTGGTCCTTTTCTCTTCAACCTATCAATGAAAATTCACAAAGCACGTTTGAAAAATTTAGACCTTAATTTGGAAATTAAAAGACTATTATCAAGAGATGTTTCATATTCTCCTCTTTTGACCTCACTTCTAAACCCACCGTTGTTTGCTCTGTTTATTTTTTTGAATAGCTTGTTTTTCCTTTTAATTTGTCATTACCTTTCCTCTAGGCTTTAGATTTCATCATGAATTCACGTTTCTCTACTCCAAAGGAAACAAAATAATGTATATAGATGACTTCAGAAAATAGAGAATAATTTTTTTTAAGTGACAACTCCCTTTCATGTGTTCCTTGTCTCACACAGGCCCTCTTCTAGAAGTAGGACATAACCTACTTTTATGTCCGTTAGTAAGAAGTATTAAAAGAATGGGAAAAAATACCCTTCACCTAACTTTAAAAGGGGTTTCTTTTTTAGTAGGGTAGAAATTAATGCAATGGAGTTCCCGATGAAAATGGGAAAAGATATTAATCATTTAGAAAAGAAATATATTCACATTAAATACACATAGCAGATTCAGGAGCCATAATACTTAGAAAAATAAAGTGTTTTATCAAAACAGATATCTATATCTATTTATCTTGGAGAATATATGTGTAAATTATCCAGATGTAAGTTTTTAAACTATATTATGAATGAAAGTTACGATTAAAAATTCATTACTGAGATATCTCACATTATTAGAACACTAGTGAAATGAATGAGAGCTGGGGACAACCACAAGTGAAAAAGAAAGGGCTATTATTCTCCATGCTGGGAAAGCCCCGTTCTAACTCCTTTATTATAGGCAAGAAAAATAATCTTATTCTTCTTCATGAGCTTCTTTTTTGTGGAATTCTCATTCTTGTTCTTTTCCTCTTTTGGGTGTGGCTTGCTGTTTCTCTCCCTTTGGTGCGGGTGCCAGCTGTAACCAGAACACATGATTTTTAATTTCTCAGGACCTCATAAACATGCAACTAAAATGAAATAGAAAATGTTTCACTTCAAAGGTACAAGCTCTTTTGGCCAAACTTTTCAATTCCCTGCTAGAACTTCTAGGTTCATCTAATTATCTCCACTCGGTGGTTGTGCTTTAACACTGGGGTGGTGCTTCAGAGCAGAGTGAACAATAAAAGGCTTGTTTCCATCTGAGAAAAAGCAGTGTTTCAAATCCTGATTGCAATGTAAGAATATCATTTATACAAATTCACCAAAGTACAAGGGGGCAGACTTGCCAATACATGAGCATCATGTTATTCATTCTTAAAGTTGCTGTTTTGGCTAAACAAGCAAAAGGTTGTTTTCCTTTTGCTTTTGGGTAGAATGCCAGCTTTGTGTTTTGTTATCGTGCTTTGTCACCTAACATGCAGAGCATTTCATTCTAAACCTTTCCTATGCTTTAAGTTTCAGTTAACATAAAATGAATGAAAGTCCTCCTCCTCCTCTTTCTTCTTCTTCAACAAGGTCTGGCCCTCTCACCCAGGCCAGAGTGCAGTGGTGTGATCATAGCCCACTGTAGCCTCTACCTTCTGGACTCAAGCGATCCTCCTGCCTCAGCCTCCCAAGTAGCTGGAAATACAAGCACATGCTATTTTAGTTTTTATTTTGTAGAGACAGGGTTTTGCCACATTTCCCAGGCTGATCTTGAACTCCTGGCCTCAAGCAATCCTCCCGCCTCAGCCTCCCAAAGTTCTGAGATTATAGGGGTGAGTCACCACGACCAGCTGAAAGCTCTTCTTTATTGATATGACAGGTTCACAGTGTGGTAAAATATGGGTATTTCAATGAGAGATAATCCGAATAAACGTTGAGTCCATTTAAAATCCTTTAAGAAGCGTGGACATTACAACACAGGGAAAGCCTGGTGGTGGGTATGGAACGGAAGAGCCAAGGAAAAGGAGAAAGACATTTCTGCTGGAGCCAGTGCCTGGCATTGTGAACCCGAGATGGGAAGTCAAAGGGCAGGGATGAGGAGCGTGGCAGGAACACACTACACACCCTACGTGTATCCACGGCAGAGTTGTTTTCCTGGAAATATATGGACTAGAACAGTCTAGCTTGAAACCAGGGAAACAAAATCATTAGTTACATCATCACAAACCACAAACACCTATCCAAAAGGGAATCTTTATCAGCAGCATGGGCCAGGTGCTGTATTCTCAAAACTTTCCTGGGAATCATCAGGGCATTCCAAAGGGCAGCAGTAGAATGAAGGGAAAGTTCAAGGTAGGTAGACTTCAGTCTGCCCAAAGAACATCCCAACCAACCGCAGCACTGGCCGCGAACTGCCTTACTGAGGAAAGTTGCCTCCACCTGCCCTAGCACACCGCAGACTCCACTAATGATTTCGGACTTTTTCCAGGCTTAGCCCTGCCTAGTTTCATAACCCAAAAAACCTATAGCCAGCGGGGCATGAGCTCCCCCTCCCCACAAGCAAGTGGGCTTAGGCCAGCCTCGGCTGGCTTGGGTGACAGCACTGAACAGTGCCAGGTCTGCTGAAAGCATGGCCGTGAAGCCTTTGCACTTACACACCTCTGGGGTTAGCCTGCCTTGCTGGCTCTCCTGCCAGGCTCCCTACACTCATTTTCAACTAGTTCTCCCCAGGGAAGGAGGAAGAGCTGGCAGCTCTGCCCAGATCACCTGCTTCCTTCCAACCCTTTTGCCCAAGGTTCGACTCTGTACCAGGGTTTCCCATTTCCCTGGGGAGAGCCAGACAGCTGTGGAAAGCTGGTATTTCCATGTCATTCCTGAAAACCTCATGTGGCAACTGATGACTAGTCATGGCCTGATGTCATCTAGAGCCATTTTTCTTCTCTCTGCTCATCTGCACGCTCAGTTAACTCAGGTTTTGTACATCTTCGTTCAAACTCATCACCTCCATTGCTCCAGGGCTTTCCCCTTGGATTCCACTGGATTCAAGGAGCAAATGTCCCCGTTTGCTCCTTCAGATCAAAAGTAGGGAGAAGAGCTTAATTCTCTGTCTTCCTGAATGTAGCAGATGGTATCAGTGGCCCCACCTCCCACTGGCATTCACTTCTACTTATAGCTGACCCCTGAAAATCTCCACTCAAAGCCTTTTTTTTTCTGACCTTGAAAACACACTGTGCCCATGCATGGAGAAGCCAGACATGCTGGAAATTTCATTCCCCTGAAAGCAGCCTGAACCCATGACAGATGGAGAATTGGTGGATTAATACCCCAGATCCCTGGCCCCTTGGTTGGATGAATTCTGAGTCTTGGTTTTCAGAATTCTCTAGTGGGATCGAGCTCTATCTGCCCATGGTGGTAATTTGCTTGATAATGTGCATCCTTTATTGGCTTTCTTGTCTTCTCTGTCTCATGTCCACTATTTCCAGTGTTTTCCGGGACCCTTTCTCAAATTCCTGGCACTTGAATTCTTATCTCAGGGTCTGCCATTGTGTGAGGCTCAGCACAATGCCTAGCTAGCACATAGTAGGCACTCAATTAATTCATCCTTGACAGGTCATTGATCAATATTGCAGATGGGATTTCTGCCTTGGGAGAGAGGTGACACTATATGACCGTGAAGGATTCTTGCAGGTGCAAAAGTCTTCCCACGTAGAAATCAATGTCTTTCCAACTAGGAGACCTAGAAAAGGAGCTGTGAGGTGGAAACATATGAAAAAAAAATTTTCTCCCCTCTGTGCCAACGTGCTTTCATATGTGAAGGAGGAAGCGAGGCTCACAGGTTGGTTATGAAATCATTCAATTTCAATTTCTTGAGCCAGCATATCGCCTTTTATGGACACTGCAGCCCAGGGTAATGTGCAGGGAGTGATTTTCCATCACGTTCTATATAGTTCACAGCAGAACCAAAAATAAGATGTTCAAACCCTAGAGTATTATATTATGAATAAATACGGTCAAATCATATACCAAATACAATTATGATTACTCCATGACCAGAACTCTCGTAACACTCCTTTATGGTTGGTTGACACTGCATTCATATTTCTGTGTCTCAAGTGAGGAAATGAGTCACCAAAACGGTAAAAAAAAAAAGGCGCTGAAAACTGTCTGGCTGCTGTCTGAAGAGAGCTGGAAGAAAATGTTCCTGACCTCCCCCACCATATGCCCGGGCTGATGGGGGCTTCACCACAGTCCCAGACTCTCAAATCTTTCTGACATATTTTCATAAGAGAATAAAACACTGTAGTTAACGAGCTATGTAAGTTCCATTTGTGAATTGGTGTTTGATGAAATGATACATTGTAGAGGTAAAATGGGAATGTGAAAAGCAGGGTTTTTTTTTTTTTTTGTCCTAACAACTGAGTGTTTCATATGGTTGAGCAAAATCACATTTTAATATAGTTGAGCGTATTCCAAATGAGGTCTCTGCCTCCAAGGAGCTGCCTTGCTGGGAAGTCTGTAAAGTTCACATCCTTTTAACAGAACCGGAGTTGATGGAACAGGACAGTCAGGGAGGGGTCTGCACCTGGAGTTGAGACATGCCTGTGGGTGAAAATGGTTGCTTGGAGGGAGGAGACCCCCACACAGGCAGCGGATCACCTGCAGAGAGGACCGTGCCTGGCAGAGGACTGGGTGGTGCCCAGCACTTTGGAAGTCTAGAAAATAAGTAGTATATGGGTGTAGCGCAGACTGAGGCCTGGCAGCAGGGAGCAAGTAATGTGTGATGATCCAAACAGACAAGCACTAAAAACTAAAAGTAGGCCGGGCACAGTGGCTCACGCCTGTAATCTCAGCACTTTGGGAGGCCAAGGCAGGCAGATCACGAGGTCAACAGATCGAGACCATCCTGGCCAACATGGTGAAACCCTGTCTCTACTAAAAATACAAAAATTAACTGGGCATGGTGGTGCACGCCTGTAGTCCCAGCTACTCGGGAGGCTGAGGCAGGAGAATCACTTGAACCTGGGAGGCGGAGGTTGCAGTGAGCCGAGATCGCGCCATTGCACTCCAGCCTGGCGACAGAGCGAGACTGTCTCAAAACAAAAAACAAAACAAAAAAGAAAAACTAAAAGTAGATCTACCATTAAAGAACTAAAAGGAGAACTACCATTTGATCCAGCAATCCCACTACCAGGAATCTACCCAAAGGAATATAAGTCATTATGTGAAAAAGACATATGCACACACATGTTTATAGCAGCACAATTTCCAATTGCAAAGATATGGAACCAACCTAAGTGTCCACCAACAAGTAAGAAAAAGAAAATGTGCTATATATACACCACGGAATACTACTCAGCCATAAAAAGGAATGAAATGTCTTTATGCAGCAACCTGGATGGTGCTGGAGGCCATTATTCTAAGTGAAGTGACTCAGGAATGGAAAACCAAATATCGTATGTTCTCACTCAAAAGTGGGAGCTAAGCTATGAGGATGCAAAAACATATAGAGTGATGTGATGGACTTTGGGGATGCAAGGAAAGAGGTTGGCAGCGAGGTGAGGGATAAAAGACTGCTCAGGTGATGGGTGCATTAAAATCTCAGAATTCACCACTAAAGAACTCATCTATGTAACCAAAAACCACCTGTACTCCCAAAACCATTGAAATTTAAAAAAAAACTGAAAACAAACAAACAAAAAAAAACAGAAGCAATGATGTCTGGAAGCCCCAGTACTGGCTAAAGGAACAGTCACTTGTCAGGCTCCAGAAGTAAGTCTAGAAGACTTTGGAACTGTGTACTTAGTGGCAGTGAGGAATTCAGTCACTAGAACTAGAACTAGAACTGTGGTTCAAGAAAAAACAGCAACACAACAGATTTGGTGAGGACTCACTTCATCTATTGAACTAAACTTTTAAATATCCCTGCAGCTAAAGCCAGAACTGGCCCCAAAGCTAAGCATGGGAAGTTCAAATTGCTGAGCTTGTAGTGGGGCGCATATTAGTCCATTAGGAGGTGGCTGGGCAGGTGCAGGGGCAGGAGATCTGGCAGGTCACACTATGAGTAACCCTGAAGAAGAACATCGATTTCAAGAAGTAAATGGAGGGAGAGACCCCTCTGGTTAAAATTGAGACCCATGATGAAAGGGACACCAAGTTTCCTAAAGCAGAATTGGAACAAAAGTAAATTTAATTTCCTATTTTTAAAAATGGGATCTTAGAAAAATGAGAGACTAAGATAAAAAATTCATTGTATCCTAAACCAAAGAAACAGTTTCTGGGATGTATCCATGGCTCATACTTATTTTATGTGTTTGTCATTTCACTGGGTGAAGATATAAGATGCAAAGTTATCAAAGCAGGGCATGATAAAATTCTGTAAAGAGAACAAAACTCTGGATTATAAAACTGGACTCAAAAAGAATCCAGAGAAACTTAAAATTAAAAACATAAAACCATTTATATTAGCACCAATAAATTAAATACTCAAGTATACATATAACAAAATATGGGCCAGGCGTGGCGGCTCATGCCAGCACTTTGGGAGCCCGAGGCAGGTGGATCACCTGAGGTCAGGAGTTCGAGACCAGTCTTGTCAATATGGTGAAACCCCGTCTTTACTAAAAATACAAAAATTAGGCCGGGCGCGGTGGCTCATGCCTGTAATCCCAGCACTTTGGGAGGCCAAGGTGGGCGGATCACGAGGTCAGGAGTTCGAGACCAGCCTGACCAACATGGTGAAACCCCGTCGCTACTAAAAATACAAAAATTAGCTGGGCGTGATGGTGCGTTGCTTCTAATCCCAGCTACTCAGGAGGCTGAGGCAGGAGAATCGCTTGAACCTGGTTCTAAAGTTTATATGGAGAGGCAAAAGTCCCAGAATAGCCAACAAAATATTGAAGGAGAGGAACAAAGTTGGAGGACTGACATCACCTGACAAGACTTACCATAAAGCTCCAGTAACCAAGACAGTGTGGTATTGACAAAATAATAGACAAATAAATTCCCAGAACAGAATAGAGAGTCCAGAAATAGACCCACATAAAATTGGTCAGCTGATCTTCGAAAAAGGATCAAAGACAATACAATGGAGGAAAGAGTCTTTTTAAACAAATGGTGCTGGAATGACTGGACATCCATATGCCAAAAAATGAATCTAGACACAGACCTTAGACCCTTCACAACAATGAACTCAAAATGGACCACAGACCTTAACGTAAAGCAAAATCCTAGAATATATAAAACTTAGAATGTAACATAGGAGAAAACCCAGGTGACCTTGGGTTTGTGATGTTTGTGATGGCTTTTTAGATACAACACTAAAGACACAATTCATGAAAGAAAGAATTGATAAGCTGGACTTCACTAAAATTAAAAATTTCTGCTCTGTGTGAAACATTGTCAAGAGAATGAAAAGATAAGCCAGAGACTGGGAGAAAATGTTTGCAAAAGGCATCTCTGATAAAGGACTGTGATCAAAAATACACAAAGAACTCTTAAAACTCAACTGTAAGAAAACAACATGAATAAACAATGGGCCAAAGACCTTAACACACATCTCACCACAGAACATATACAGATGGTAAATAAGCATACGTAAAGATGTTCCCACCAGCTGCGGTGGCTGACACCTGTAATCTCAGCACTTGGGAGGCCGAGGCAGGCGGATCACCTGAGGTCATGAGTTCAAGACCAGCCTGGTCAACATGGTGAAACCCTATCTCTAGTGAAAATACAAAAAAGAAAAAAACAATAGCTGGGCATGGTGGCACGTGCCTGCAGTCCCAGCTACTTGGGAGGCTGAGACATAAGAATCACTTGAACCTGGGAGGTGGAGGTTGCAGTGAGCCGAGATGGTGCCACTGCACTCCAGCCTGGCGACAGAGTGAGACTCCATCTCAAAAAAAAAGATTTCCACAACATGTTTCATCAGGGAAATGCAAATTGAAAGAACACTGAGATACCACTGCACACCTATTAGGTTAGCCTTAATCCGGAACACTGCAACACCAAATACTGGCAAAGATGTGGAGCAACAGGATCTCTCAGGCATTGTGGCATTGCTGGTGGGAATGCAAAATTGTACACCTATTTTGGAAGGCAGTTTGGCAGTTTCTTAAAAAACTAAACATACTCTTTACCATACAATCCAGCAATTGCACTATACGATATTTACCCAGAGGAGTTGAAACTTATGTTCACACAGACACCTGCACATGGATATTTATAGCAGTTTTATTTATAATGACAAAACGTGCAAGCAAAGAAGCTGTACTTCAGTAAGTAAATGGGTAAGTAAACTGTGGTACATCCAGGCAATGGCATACTATTAAATGCTGAAAAGAAATGAGCTATCAAACCATGAAAAGACATGGAGGAAACATAAATGTATATTACTGAGTGAAAGAAACAAATCTGAAAAGATTATACACTGTCTAATTCCAACTATATGAAATTTTGGAACTGACAAACAATGGATACAAAAAGAGATCAATATAGTTGATCCTTGAACAACAACAAAGTTAGGAGTGCCAACCTTCCATGCAGTAGAAAATCCATGTATAACTTTTGACTCCCCCAAACTTAACTATGGGTAGCTTACTGTTGGCCAGAAGACTTACTGATAACATAGTCAATTAACACATATTTTGTATGTTATATACTATATTACAATAAAGAAAGCTAGAGAAAAGAAATGTTACTAAGATAATCACAAGGAAGAGACTATATACTTAGTATTCATTAAGTGAAAGTGGGTCATCATAAGGGTCTTCATCTTTGACATCTTCACACTGAGTGGGCTGAGGAGGAGGAGGAAGGGGAGGACTTCTCTTGCTGTCTCAGGAGTAGCAGAGGTGGCAAGGTAGAGGAGGTGGAAGGGAAGGCAGGCATACTTAGTGCAACTTTTATTGAAAAAAAATGCATATCATTGGGCCCATGCTGTTCAAACCCATGTTGTTCAAGAATCAATTCTAGTTTCCAGAGGTTTGAGAGAGGAAGGGGAGCACAGAGGATTTTTAGGGCAGTGAAACTACTCTGTGTGACACTATAATGGCGGATGCATGCCATTGTACGTTTTTCCACACCCATAGAATCCACAGCACCGAGAGTGAATCCTGATGTCAACTACGGGCTTTGGGCGATGACGATGTGTCAATGTAGGCTCATCAATTATGGCAAATGTACCACTCTGGTAGGGGAATGTTAAAAACAGGGAAGGCTATGCATGTGTAGGGGGCAGGGAGCATAGGGGAAATCTCTGTGTCTTTGTCGCAAGTAAACCTAAAACTGCTCTAAAAAATAAAGTCAATTCAAAATAAAAAGAATCTTAAGAGAAACTTTGGGGAAAAGGCATCTTCAATATCCAGATGTTCTGTTTCTTCTGAACTCCAATCAACTCCAGAAGAATCTGGAATACAGAAGGGGGCCTTGGGCTCTGCCACCATTCTGTTAGAGTTGGCCAGGACCTTCCCCCTGCCGGATCGGAGGGGTGAGGCTGGCCAGCAGCAAAGCCCTGGGGTAAGATCAGAGAAGCCTTCTTGGAGAGAGTTTGGTCTGTGGAGATCCATAAACCCCATATTAGTCAGCGTTCTCCAGAAAAACAGAATCAATAGGATGGTTCACTAAGGAATTGGCTCATGCAATTGTCAGGGGCTGGCGAGCCTGAAATGTGCAGGGCAGGCTGGAGACCCAGGGAAGACCTGGTGTTGCCGCTCTGGTCTGAAGACAGCCTGGAGGCAGAATTCCCTCAATGTTTTTCTTAAGGCCTTTCAGTGATTAGATGAGGCCCACCCAGATTATGGTGGATAAGCTGCTTTACTTAGAGTCTACTGATTTAAATGCTAATGCCATCTAAAAAATACATGCATATCACATCTAGACTGGCATTTAACCAAGTGTTTGGGTACCATGGCCAAGGCAAGTTGACATAAAATTAACCATCATAGATCCCCCACCCCGCCAAGAAGAAGAATAATTCTGATCCCTTACAGGCATCTTGGGGAGAGCCTACTGGTATCCATGAATTCCAATGAGCTAGAGAAGAAGGGAAGGAAGGAGATTGATGCAGCTTTCCTGATGAGGCTGAGGACATGAGCCCACATAGCTCAGAAGATGACACAGCATCACAATAGAGAACTGATTTTATGTCACCTGTCACACTGCAGGTCAACAGGGCAGACACTGTCTTGCTTTCATCATTCACAGGATGGCCTCCATTTAAGTACTGGGGTAGACTGATAATACCACCCCAACAATGTCCACATCCTAATCCCTGGAACCCATGAATGTATTACCTTCTATGACAAAAGGCACTTTGCAGATATAACTTTAAATCTTGAGATAAGAGATTGTTCTAAATAATCCAGGTAGGCCCTAAGTGTAATCACAGGGTTCCTATAAGAGAAGACTAGGAAGGTCAGAGTCAAAGAGGGAAATATGACAACAGAAGCAGAGGTTGGAGTGAGTGCTTTGAAGATGGAGGAAGGGACTGCATGCCGAGGAAGGCAGGTAGCCTCTAGAAAGAAGCTGAAGAGAGCATGGAAATGGATTCTCCCCGAGAGCCTCCAGGAGGAATGCAATTCTGCTGACATCTTGATTTTAGGACTTCTGATCTCCAGAATCATGAGACAATGAATTTGTGTCATTTGAAGTCACAAAGTTGTAATCTTTTACAGCAGCCATAGGAAACGAATACAAATAACTTAAGGTGACACAGTAGCAACAGAGAAAACATAATCAGAATACCCATAATAGGCTGGGCATGGTGGCTCACGCCTGTAATCCTAGCATTTTGGGAGGCCAAGGTTTGCAGATCACCTGAGGTCAGGAGTTCAAGACCAGCCTGGCCAGCATGGTGAAACCTCGTCTCTACTAAAAATAGAAAAATTAGCTAGGCATGGTGGTGCATGCCTATAATCCCAGGCACTGGGGAGGTTGAGGCAGGAGAATCACTGGAACCCAGGAGGCGGAGGCTGCAGTGAGCCAAGATTGTGCCACTGCCACTGCACTCCAGTCTTGGTGACAGAGAGAGACTCCATCTCAGAAAAACATCAAAAAAAGAATACCCACAATAGATAGGTTTTAGGGAAATAAAATTGTTAGAGAAGACAGACAAAAACTTCAACTAAAATATAAGAGCTCATAACAGAATTTGACTATGGCACACGCACACACACATACACACAAACTTTCTGGAGCTGAAAAAGGTTTAACTAAAAGATTAAAAGACAAAATGGTGGTATAGAAGACAAATAGAAAAAGGCTTAAAAGACAGAAAATGTACAAAGAGATGCCAATCATGAGGGGAAAAATGAGAAGACATAATGAGGATAAATAACAGGATTCAGAAGCATAAAAAGAGATGGGCTTGCTAGAAAACAGAATCAAATCTGATGCAGTAACAGGTCAATGGGGAGTGTGGTCTCCAGGAAGCAGTTTGAAGGGAGAGGAGTCTGAAGCAGGGAGGAGGGAGAGCAGGCACAGAGGCCCAGCCAGCTGGCTGCAGCTTCCTAAGAAGCACAACTGAATGCTTGGTCTCCTGGGATGTGTTCAGACAGGTGGTGTAGACCACTGGATCTCAGAAAGTCCTTCAGAAGGAGTAGTAGGTGCTCTCCAGCTCCCACTGGTCAAAGGTCAGGTGTTCAGACAGGTGGTGTAGACCACTGGATCTCAGAAAGCCCTTCAGAAGGAGTAGTATGTGCTCTCCAGCTCCCACTGGTCAAAGGTCAGGGATGCCAGTGACATGGATGTCACTGTTACATTTGTTACAGCCCCACTGGTCCCTGAGGCTGTGTTCCTTTTTTGGTTCCAGTCTATTTTCTCTCTGTCTTGCTGTCTGATCTTCAAATGCACATTTTGTGGCTAATGCCCATTGTGCCTGTTATCAAACCATCGTTTGATTATATAACTGTCCTCATTTGTACTTCAGTGTTTTAAAAGAATCTAGCCTTAGAGAAATGAGCCACAGACAAAATACACAAATGCTCAAAACAGCCAGTTCCTAAATAAATAAATATTAGATTGAAAACTAAAGCTGGTCCCTAGGAGGTAGGTGATACATATCCATCATTACAAACCAAATCTTTACTGAGTTGATTAACACAATTAATTGAAATGTTAACAAGAGGAGTAGGAAGGTAACCTAAAAGTCACAGACTGATATAACAAATAATAGCTTGGAAAAATCCATATTTACTGTTGTTTTATCTTCTGTAACACTTTCCAGGGAAGATGGAACAAGTTTGGCTAAGCCGTAATGTCTAAAATATCCCCCAAGAAACTGCACATATTTTTTGCCAGTTTGCTCAGTTTGATCATATGAAGTTCAGTAATAACTGTAGGTCTCCTGGCTGTCAAGCCAGAGGAGGCTTGGAATGTGACATGTGACACACTGACCTGCTGCCACCCCCACTTCCTATAATGCCCTCTCAGAAGACAGTGCTGGAAAACTCAGACAGCAGAATGAAAAGAATAGCACCAGAAGAAGTAAAAGCTTTCACAGCCAAAAGGCAGAGGAGCACTTCTGGCTGAATTAAAAGGGTGATTGGGGCAAAGAGAAATGAAGGGTACCATGTTGTTTAATAAGAAGGAAGAGCTATGAACTGTATTTACTCATTTTTTAAAGTTTATTCGATTTTTTTTTCATTGCTACTTGTCCCTTTGGCCTTATCACCAAAGCAGTGAGGTGGAAGTCTGAGTAAGGAAGGAGAAAAATCAGTGCTGTGAAGAATATGGAATTCAGTCAGGTGGGTTTTAACCAACTTAGAAATTCCCTGGGAAGATTCTATGGGGAGAAGATATAACAGGAAAAGTAACAGATTTTTTTTGTTTTCCAGAAAACTGTCAGCTCTAATTCTCATCATGGGGTCAGGGCCAGCACATAATTTTCAAGCCTTAGAGCTCGCCAGGCACCAACAGCTCCTGAGCACGGAGCTGGAGGAGCTGTGATGAGCCCCCTGGGCTTAGGCAAGGGGCAGGGAAGAGGCAACAATGGCACCCAGCTGAGGACCGGGCCATGGTGATAAATGGGAAGCCCAGGCCATTTCAACCAGAACCATGCTTGGAAAATCAAGCAAGTAAGATGATGTGTTACAGAGGATAATGTGTGTGCAAAAGGGCATGTGTGTGTGTTTGTAGATGCATGAAGGTTTTTGTGTGAATGTAGAAAGCAGGCTTGGCCATGGTTGGAGGTCACCAAGGTATAAAAATCCTTCATGGGCATCAGTCTAAGATTTTAAAAAATGAGACTGGAGAAGAGGCCAGGCAGTGGAAAACAGGCTCCAAAATAAGGGGGAAAACAGGCTCCAAAATAAGGGAGAAAGCAGATTCCACCCCTCTGGCTGAGACACAGGGGACAATGCCCCTCAGCGTACTGCAACGCTGAGGGCACATTAGCTAAGCTCCAATGTGAGACATATACTCTGATAAGAATGCTTGGAAATGTGTCCATTCCAGAAAATCCGGGACCTACGGTTGCTGTATCAGCAACTTGCCTTGGCCAAGTATCGGTGAGTGCATTTGATTCTACTTCTGTGGTGTCCCCAGATCTATGCCTCCTTCCCACACCACCAGTGCTGGCCAGATCCTCTTTCTCTTTCATCGGGGTGCCTTTCTCTCCACCCACCTCTGTCTTCTCCCAATACCCGTCTTTCCTACACACTGATGTTAGTCCATCCTCCATTTTCATCCTCCATTGCTCAAAAGTAGCTTCACTGACTGTAGTAAAACGTCCAAACTCTTTATTTTGGTGTTCAAGACTTTCTGCACTTAGACTTTGTGGCCAACAGACCATCGGGTGGCACTCATGTTTGTGCCCTGTATAGTCCTCTCCACATGGGCATGAGTGGGACTTGAGACTTCCTTCTGATAGATTATGGCAAAGGTGAAGGGATGTCATTCCTGTGAGTTTATATGTACAGGGTGTGTGTATCGCCAAATAAATATATAATGTTTTTGACTTGCTAGCACGTGCTAGATACTCTTTCCACTGCTGGTTTAGAAGAAGCAAAGTAGGCCGGGTGTGGTGGCCTACTGTAATCCCAGCACTTTGGGAGGCCGAGGCAGGCGGATCACCTGAGGTCAGGAGTGCGAGACCAGCCTGGCCAACATGGTAAAACCCTGTCTCTACTAAAAATGCAAAAATTAGCCAGGCATGGTGGTGGATGCCTGTGATCCCACCTACTTGGGAGGCTGAGGCATGAGAACTGCTTGAACCTGGGAGGTGGAGGTTGCAGTGAGCCGAGATCATGCCACTGCACTCCAGCCTGGGCAATAGAGCGAGACTCAGTCTCAAAAAAAAAAAAGAAGCAAAGTAGCATGGCATGGTGGCACGTGCCTGTACTCCCAGCTACTCGGGAGGCTGCAGCAGGGGGATTGCTTGAGCCCAGGGATTTGAGGCTACACTGAATTATGATTGGGCCACTGTACTCCAGCATGGGCAACAGAGTGAGATCCTGTCTCTAAGCATAAAAAATAAAACAAATAAAAGAAAAAGCAGCAGCTGCCATGCTATGAGTGGCACATGGAGGAGGCCAGTGGCAAGGGACTGCCAGAGGGCTGCAGGAGCTGAGAGCAACACCCGACCAACAGCCAGCAAGAAAACCTCCTTCCTGTGGAAGTGGGACTCCTTGGGAAGATGAAGTCTTTCAACAACCTGAGGAAGCTTGGAAAAAGATCTTCCTCCAGTCATGCCTCTGAGGGCCTGTAGTCCTGGCCAACACCTGGATTGCAGCCTGGTGAGATCTTAAGCAAGAACTCACATATGCTGTTCCCAGACTTCGGACACATACAGGCTGTGAGAAGATACATCTGTGTTGTTTCGAGCAGTTCAGTTTGTGCAACTACACAGCAACCCAAAGTTCACACATGGCTCAATATCTGTCAGACCTCAGCTCGTAAATTTGTATTAAGTGGAAAAAATTAATGGATGAATGAAAGTGGCCTGGGGTCAGTGCTATGTTCCAGAAGTTGCAGGACAAGCAGAAGTTAGCACCTGAGAATGAACAATTGTCCAGAGGCTTGGGAACCAGTGGAAAGGCTGCTGACCAGGGAAGCCCGTCTCCATGGGCCACATTGCACATTATGTTGCCAGGAATGGGCTCTGTGCTGGGAAGGGAGGCCTGGCAGGGTCACCACAGTGCTCAAGATACCTGTGTCAGCAAAGCTGCAGGAGCCAGGCACATAATGAAAGCACAAAGCCGCCTGGAATACAGTGCAAAGCCTGAAAGTGAGCCTGAAGCAGACACCGTAGAAAGGCGCCAGTTGAGTCGGAAGGGTAGATCCAAAGGCATGATCGCATCAGCATCACAGGTGAGGAGGGACATCCAGAGTCTCTGGGAGTCCGTCACAGTGAAAACTGCTCCAGCATCAGCAAGGCGAGCCTTGCATTCCCTCATTCAACCATTCACTCGTGTATTCAGCCAGACGACATTAGTGGTTGAGCCCTTCCTATATGCCAGACACTCCCTAGTGCTACAGATCAAAAGCCCCGTTGAACCCTGCCGGGCTCTGCAGGCAGCTCACAGGTACCCAAACTCCTCATAGTCATTGGGCTAGACAGCTGCCCTGAAGGTCCCCTGCAGGCCAGGGCACGCTGCTCAGAGCACTCCAGGACACAGTGGCCACCCCTTCTGCAGCCTTCCTGTCCCCATAGCCTGCCTGACTTCAGGTCTTTCCCAGACTTGACCTGCCCCTGGGGATGTGACGACCGAGGGGCTCTGCACATTGGCCCTCTGACCTGCACAGTCTCACCCTGCAGGCATGAGGCTTGGCACTGCCCCTCTCCAGCTGGATCATAGTGGTCTGCTATGGCTGGGCTGGGAATGGTCCAGGGGCCAGCCCCATATATGTCCCCTAATTTCCTAAACCCTGGAGTCCAATTACAGAGTGAGTACAGGGGATTTTGAAGGATCATGGCTTCATACGTTTGCTTTTGGCATATATTGTCCAACAAGTCCTTGACCAGCAAGAGAACCTACAGTTATAGCATTGTTTCTAAAGATAAACACCATGCCTTTTTTGGGGGATGCAGTATCCAGGAAGGTGTCATGTTAAAATGCAGGGTTTCTGTATACACACAGGAGTGAAGGAATCTGACTCAGTCTTTGGCCTTATAGTCTTGCCCTACACATACTGAAAGGATTCTTTTTTGTTTTTTATAGAGACGAGGTCTCACTATGTTGCCCAGGCTGGTCTTGAACTCCTGTGGGCTCAAGTGATCCTCCCACCTCGACCTCCCAAAGTGCTAAGATTACAGGTAAGAGCCACCACACCTGGCCAGAAAGGACCCTTGAAAGCAGCATTCTTCAAATTGGGTTATCTGTCTTTGAGGGACACATGGGTAAGCTGTGGCTCAAACACATGGGCTAAGTGTAGAGGGAATCACTTCCCAGGATCTCAGCTTCCTTTCTGAGGTCAGGGTCTCCTTTCCCAGCTCTTCGCTCTCAGTCCCTTCTCCACTTACTGAAGAACGGGAGCCTCTCACCATCCTGAACCGTCCTATGGTGCATTGCAGGGGTGAAATAACTTCCGGGGCATTAAATAAAGGGATTTTTGAAATGCTAATTGGTGTTAAAAGAGGGATGATTCTATTGATGTGGTTGAAAAAAATCATTACGTCAGGTAGTTGCTTTTTCTTTGCATACAACCAAATTAAAGGAAGACCAAAGTTTCAGCTGATAAATCATTACAAATTATTTTAGATGATAAATATTTGTGTGGTGGGGGACATAACTCAGAAGGGGTTCAAAGAATTGAAGGTCAAGGCTATGGCAAAATGCTTCCTTCCCCATCTACTTAATTAATGTCTGTATGTTTTCTCGGTGCTTACATTTAAAAAATAATCGGCATGTAATTGGTGCTAAACCTAGTGTTAAGTCTACCAAGAATTAATATTCTCTGGATACATGAACTGGTTGAGAAATTCCCACTCATCTCAGTAAGAGATGCATTTTCTTTCTCTTTTTTTTTTTGAGACGGAGGCTCATTCTGTCGCCCAGGCTGGAGTGCAGTGGCGCGATCTTGGTTCGCTGCAAGCTCCGCCTCCTGGGTTCACGCCATTCTCCTGCCTCAGCCTCCCGAGTAGCTGGGACTACAGGCGCCCGCCACCACGCCGGGCTAATTTTTTGTACTTTTAGTAGAGACGGGGCTTCACCGTGTTAGCCTGGATGGTCTCCATCTCCTGACCTCGTGATCCACCCGCCTCGGCCTCCCAAAGTGCTGGGATTACAGGCGTGAGCCACCGCGCCCGGCCTGGAGACCAAAGTTTTAACATGCAGGTGAAGCCTCCAGGTATCAGGCTTCAGAGACGGTAGATTATAAATATTTCTTATCAGACTTAAAGAGTCTGTTCTGTCAGTAATTCCAAAAGGGAGGAGGGAATAATGAGGCATGTCCGATTCCCTCTTCCCATCGTGGCCTGAACTCATTTTTCAGGTTAACTTTGGAATATCTTTGCCGAAATGAGGTGTCCATTCAGATGGGTGGGGGCTTAGAATTTTATTTTTGGTTTGCATTCTCCCCCTTCTGGCCAAGATTTGCCAGAGGCAACATTAATGGCCACCAAGCTTTTATTTTGTCCCATAGAGTTGCTGGGGTGGCATGGCTGCCTGACCCAAGTCCATCCTGTTCTTCTGTGTGATGCCCTCATCCATGGCCAATGGACTTAGAGCCAGGAGACTTATAGCCAATTATACGTTCTAGGCCATATAGGAAAGGACGTGGACAGGCATTCATTACCTCTTAACAATTTTAAAGTAATACAAAAGCCAACAAACAAAAAGCCAAAAGTGAGGTTACAAAATTGACTTTATCTGTCTTTAACTTCCATGCATTGAGCTACTGTAATCTTGGTTTTTGTTATGGACTCGTAGCAGTTAGCTATTCAACACATAAGCATTGTTAAAACCTTTTAGGCTAAGGAATTTAGAGACTTTGTTGTGTCACAATGCTTTTTGGGGTCTTTTAGTAATTTGTCCTAAGGTGGCTGAAATTTTTTATTTTTTATTTTTTGAGATGGAGTCTCGCTCTGTCGCCCAGGCTGGAGTGAAGTGGTGCGATCTTGGCTCCCTGCAACCTCCGCCTCCTGGGTTCAAGCGATACTCAGCCTCCGGAGTAGCTGGGACTACAGGCGCATGCCACCAGGCCCGGCTAATTTTTTGTAATTTTAGTAGAGATGGGGTTTCACCATATTGGCAGGCTGGTCCCTGGCCTCAGGTGATCCACCCACCTCGGCCTCCCAAAGTGCTGGGATTATAGGCGTGAGCCACTGAGCCCTGCTGAAAAAAAATTTTTTAAATACATATCTATCTTCATAAATCTCATAAGTAGGAGTATTATTCCCGGGAGGTTTTGTCATGAGGTATCCTTATATCCTCTCAGTAATAATTTTATTTTAATTCTATGTGAAGCAGAAAATTCTTCATGGTTGGGACGAGTGAAAAGGTGCCACACCATAAAAATCCAGGAGGTAAAGTCCCTTATTTCACCAGCTGTTTAGACATCTGTGTACCCATCCTTGATTTGGAGGGTCTGAACTAATTCTGTCCCTCAAAACCAGCCCTTACAATCTCATGCACCCACCTCTTCCATGATAGTCCCCGGGCCCAGAGGGAGGGTGCCTGTACGGTTTTAGTAGCTGGGTATTTGCAGTGAAAAACAGATCAGGCCAAGTGGGATTCCAAGTACAGGAGACGCACAGGCTTTGTCAAATCATCTCTAGTCTTCAGAAGACCATGATTCTGGTGTTCTTGCATGAAGTAAAACTATGAGAGATAAGTAATGTTAACAATTTGACAATTAAAAGAGAACGTGTGTGTCAGAACAGAAGAAGGAATCTATTCCATTAGGGTGCCAACTAAAAACATGAAGAAAATTATAACCTGGATTCTTGCAGCCAGAAATAACTCATGATTCAATCTGTACGCAAAAACAAAACCCAGGGCTGGAATCTAGTAATAGGTGTTATAGTTTTCCTTTGAAACAATTTCTCTCTCTTTCCAGCCCTCCTTTTCTACTAAAGAAAAATTATTGGAAGACCAGCATTTACTATGGCCTGAGTAATAGTCATATTCAGTGGGAGAATATCTGAAGTTTATTTAAAGGTTATATATAAATGGTGAAATGTTCACATCTTAAGTGGGCCATTTAGACAACTTCAGTCATCTGTGTAACCCAAATTCTGGGTGCAGAGGTGACACGCAGCACATTACCATCACCCAAAAAGTTCCCTGATCCCCCTTTTTTTCTTGGAGACGGAGTTTCACTCTTGTTGCCCAGGCTGGAGTGTAATGGCATGATCTTGGCTCACTGCAACCTCTGTCCCCCAGGTTCAAGAGATTCTCCTGCCTTAGCCTCCCAAGTAGCTGGGATTACAGGCAGGTGCCACCACACCTGTGTTGCAGGAAGTCAGGGACCCCGAACGGAGGGACCGGCTGAAGCCACGGCAGAAGAACATAAATTGTGAAGATTTCATGGACATTTATTAGTTCCCAAAATTAATACTTTTATAATTTCTTACACCTGTCTTTACTGCAATCTCTGAACATAAATTGTGAAGATTTCATGGACATTTGTTAGTTCCCCAAATTAATACTCTTATAATTTCTTATGCCTGTCTTACTTTAATCTCTTAACCCCGTCATCTTCATAAGCTGAGGATGTATGTCACCTCAGGACCCTGTGATGATTGCATTAACTGTACAAATTGTTTGTGAAACATGTGTGTTTGAACAATATGAAATCAGTGCACCCTGAAAAAGAACAGGATAACAGCGATTTTCAGGGAACAAGGAAAGATAACCATAAGGTCTGACTGCCTGCAGGGTCGGGCAGAATAGAGCCATATTTTTCTTCTTGCAGAAAGCTTATAGACGATGTACAAGTAGGAGAGATATCGCTGAATTCTTTTCCTAGCAGGGAATATTAATCATTGAGACCCTGGGGAAGGACTGCATTCCTGGGGGTAGGTCTATGAACGGCTGCTCTGGGAGCGTCTGTCTTATGCGATTGAGCTAAGGACTGAAATACTGGTCTCCTGCAGTGCCCTGAGGCTTACTAGATTGGGAAATTCCAGCCCGGTGAATTCTAGTCAGACCAGTTGTCCGCTCTTGAACCCTGTTTCCTGTTAAGATGTTTATCAAGACAATGCATGCACAGTGGGACACAGACCCTCATCAGTAATTCTAATTTTGCCTTCGCCTTGTGATCTTTATGGGCTTTTGAAACATGTGATCCTTGTGACCTACTTCCTGTTCGTACACCCCTCCCCTTTTAAAATCCCTAATAAAAACTTGCTGATTTTGCAGCTCTGGGTCACCATCACGGTCCTACCAATATGTGATGACACCCCTGGAGGCCCAGCTGTAAAATTTCTCCCTTTGTACTCTTTCTCTTGAAATATTGGGAGCTGGTTCCCCCGATAACCTGGCTAATTTTTGTATTTTTAATAGAGACGGGATTTCACCATCTTGGCCAGGCAGGTCTCAAACTCCTGACTTCAGGTGATCCACCTGCTTCAGGCTCCCAAAGTGCTGGGATTACAGGTTGGAGCCTCGGCGCCCAGCCTCTGATGCCATTTTTGAATTACTCCTGGCTCCTACTCCTCCCCAGAGGCAACCACTATCTGATGTTCTTACCCCTTAGATTATTAGTTCACCTGTTTTTGAACTTCATATACATGGAATCATACCATATGTACTCTCTTGTATCTGGATGCTTTTGATCAGAATAATGTTTCTAAGATTCATCTGTGTTGTTTCATGTAGAAGTAATTTGTTCCTTTCTAACACTGAGTAGAATTCTACTGTATGAATATACCACAATTCTTTTATCCATTCTCCTATTGATGGACACCTAGGCTGTTTCAGTTTTGTGCTACATTTTCAATCAAATTATGCTTTTAAAAATTATCATTTATCGGCCAGGTGTGGTGGCTCACACCTGTAATCCCAGCACTTTGGGCGGCTGAGGCAGGTGGATCACCCAAGGTCATGAGTTCGAGACCAGCCTGGGCAACATGGTGAAACCCCATTTCTACTAAACATACAAAAAAATTAGCCAGGCGTGGTGGTGGGTGCCTGTAATCCCAGCTACTCAGGAGGCTGAGGCAGGAGAATCGCTTGAACCTGGGAGGCGGAGGTTGCGGTGAGCTGAGATCATGCAACTGTGCTCCAGCCCAGGGAACAAGAGCAAAACTCCATCTCAAAAACAAACAAACAAACAATTATCATTTATCAAGGTTTGTAATATATTTTTGTAAGTTTAATCAATGTTGGACTAAGAATAATTATAACAGCAGCTTCATCCAAGGGAAATGTTTAACACTTTTAATTTTATACTCATGGAAAGTTAAATTCATATACATATTTTTATTGCAAACTATCAAGAAAGAGTAAGCAATAAAACACATCCAAGCATAAAAAACTTTAGGATAAACTTCTAAGTGGGAGGTGGAAGGAAATAAGAATTCAAAAGGAAAAAAGAAACAACATGAACTGTCCAAATGTTAATGATGATCTATATTTTTTAAATGGATGATGTGAGTTTTAAATTGATACAGCAATTGCATTCCAGTGGGTATATCTGAAAAAGTTACATAAACAGCTTAAGCATCAAACCATCAATATTTATAATACTCCAGAAATGGCCAACGTAGGATGAAAAAAATTAGATGTCAACATAAAAATATGTGAAGAGGTTCATAGTTTTCCTAAATTATTTTAAGGAATAGATAAGAAAAATTGTTTGAACACTGCTGAAGATGATTTTTTGGAGCCTCTAGTCCTACTTTTTCTGTTACAATTGTTGTGTAACAAATTACCCCAGGATTTGTGGCTTAAAACAACACCACTTTATTTATGCTCAGATACTGGGGGCCAGGAATTCAGACAGTGAGAGTAACTTGTCTCTGCTCCACAACATCTGGAACCTTGACTGGGAAGACTCAAATGCGGGGCGACCTGAAGGCAGGGCTGGAATCACCTGAAGGCTCCTTCACGCCCATGTGTCACCCAGGCCTGGCAGGACTCGAGGGCCTGGACTGCTGACCCCAGGCAACCAGGTGGCCTCTCTCACTGGCTGAACTCCATGTGTGGCCGCTCGAGTCTCTGAGTGAGAAGGTGGCAGTGGGCAAGGACAAAGAGGCATCACCTTTTTGACCTGCCCTCGGGAGTCACCCAGTGCCACTTTTGCTCATTCTACGGGTTGAAGCAGTCTCAGGTTGTTAAGGGATGAATTATGTCCCCTACAAAGACATGTTGAAGTCCTAACCCCTGGTCCCTGTGAATGTGATTTCTTTGGAAATAGCCTTTGTAGGTGCAATCAAGTGAAGATGAATGCACTCAGATGAATCCACCCCCTAACCCGGTATGACTGATGGCCTTATAAGAGAAGGAAATTTGGACACACAGACAAAGACACAGGGAGGACGCCATGTGAAGACAGATCAGAGATCAGAGACAGAGATCACAGGCAGAGATTAGAGTGAGGAGTCTATAAGCGAAGGGGTGGGGAATGAGATTTTCCCCCAGAGCCTCCAGAAGGAACCAATCCTGCTCTTAACCTGACTTTGGACTTCCAGAACTATGAGAAGATATGTTTTCATTGTGTAAAGCCACCCCTAGTTTGTGGTCACTTGCTGAGGTAGGCCTAGGAAACTAATACACATCCCACTGAGATATAAGGAGAGAGGCTCTAGACCCCACCTCCCCATGAGAGCAATGTCAAAGAGTTGTAAACTCTACAGTTTCTGTAGAAAAAAAATGAGCTGCTGTATTTCAAGCACTTATATTGCTACTCATTGGATAACTCATAATTAAATATAGGTGAAAACAAATCTTTTGTACATAAAACAATTCAAAAGTCCATTTAAAATACCAGGAAGAGGCCAGGCACTGTGGCTCATGCCTGTAATCCCAATACTTTGGGAGACGGAGGCTGGAGAACCACTTGAGGCCAGGAGTTTAAGACTAGCCTAGGCAACATAGTAAGACCCCTGTCTCTACGAAACAACTAACCAATTAGCTGGGTGTGGTGGCACACACTTGTAATCCCAACTAATGAGAAGGCTGAGGTGGGAGGATCACTTGAGCCCAGGAGGTCGAGGTGGCAGTGAGCCATGATTGTGCCACTGCATTCCAGCCTGGGCAACAGCGTGAGACCATGTCTCACAAAAAAAAAAAAAAAAAAAAAAGAAAGAAAAAAAAATCAGGAAAAGAAAAATAGGAATCTCTCTCCCAATAGCTATTATTTATTATCCTAAATCTAGTCTTAGGCTCTAATTAATTATTCTGTAGCGGCAATTGTCATCCATGGATCTCAGTATGTTTTGAGAACACCATCAATTAGGCGATCATCTTTGGTAGGTTTGGGTCATATTTTGTATCTCAGAAAATTGAAACTGAGGTAAGCAGTTTGGGCCAACTGCAACCCAGATGGTCAATCAGTGTGGTTTCATTAAAATGTCATCGTCTTCTTGTCTGTGGTCAAGCTCTAACCCCAAAGCGGAACTGAATTGACTTTTCAAAGCCTTCCTTGGGGAAGATTGCCTGTCTCACACCAACGTCTCTTCCCTTTTTCCACCAATGTGGCTTGGAACACACCTAAGAAAATCGTGAGTGCCTTCACATTGGTTCATTGATTTTTCCTTTGAAAAAGTCTCTTTTTGCTGAAAACTAACATGCCACAGATCCTGTTACAGAAAATAGACAGTACAGAATTTTACAAGTTCCTGGCATATTATCAAAAGAGCTCATTAATTTGTGAAAAAGATGGTAAAAGTGGGGAGTCTTGCAGAACAAAACAACTGACTGATGAATTTTTCTTTTTCTTTTTTCTTTTTTTTTTTTTTTGAGACAGAGTCTCGCTCTGTTGTCCAGGCTGGAGTGCAATGGTGTGATCTCAGCTCACTGCAACGTCTGCCTCCTGTGTTCAAGCGATTCTCCTGCCTCAGCCTCCTGAGTAGCTGGGACTACAGGCACACACCACCATACCCAGCTAATTTTTGTATTTTTAGTAGAGAAGGGGTTTCGCCATGTTGGCCAGGCTGGTCTTAAACTCCTGACCTCGTGATTTATCTGCCTCAGCCTCCCAAAGTGCTGGGATTACAGGCATGAGCCACCGCTCCCAGCCTGATTTTTAAATTTGGATATCCTGGAGCCTTACCAAAACCTAAGGGTCATGGGTGAACCCAACCATTTGGGAAAGGGGGAGGTAAGTACCATACCCTTGTGTAATGTTTTTATAATTGTTCTTCCAGAAAACGTTCACTTTTTACATGTCAGGACAGCAGAGTGTAGCACATAATTATTCCTAGTTATTTAATCTGTATTTGTTTCCTCCTCAATTAAGTTATAAGCCTCTTGAAGGCAGGAAATGTTTTTTTTTTTTTCCTGTTGCTCACAGTTCCATCACGACTAGGTACATAACAGGTGCTTAACCTGGGGACGACAGTCAAAATCTTTAGCAACTGACCAATTAGAAAGAGCACTGGCCATAGCATTGAAAAGCACCCCCAGCTGTGCCAGGCACTCTAGTTACTGGATTATAGGAAAGTCCAAGGAAATTCCAGGGAAGGAACCAAAGCAGTGGAAAATATCTGGGGCCCCCAGGGTGGTGGCTGTTTACCACTCAGTACAGGACTATTTATATAGTTCGACAATCAATGTTTAGCTATAGCCATAAATACAAGCTGAATATCAGCCCAGAAAAGTGAACGTTTTCTTTAAAAAAAAAAGAAGAAGAAGAAGAAAAATGCAGGCCGGGTGCAGTGGCTTATGCCTGTAATCCCAGCACTTTTGGGAGGCTGAAGGGGGAAAATAACTTGAGGTCAGGAGTTTGAGATCAATCTGACCAATATGGCAAAACTCTCTCTACTAAAAATACAAAAATTAGCCAGGCATAGTGGCCAGCACCTGTAGTCCCAGCTACTCAGGAGGCTGAGGCAGGAGAATCACTTTGAGCCCCAGAGGTAGAGGTTGCAGTGAGCCAAGATCGAGCCACTGCACTCCAGCCTGAGCGACAGAGTGAGACTCCGTCTCAAAAAAAAAAAAAATTGCGAAACTATTATTATTATCTCCTTTTACCAGAAGAGTTCACTGAGGCCCGAGACGCAAAGTTATGCTTTCAAAATTACACCAATAAGTTAACCACGGGACAGGAAACCAGCAGCCAGTGTTCTTGGCTCCAAATTTCACTGACCAGACAATCGGATGTATTGGGTGATATTATGGCTTTGCCTCTGTTCCCTCGGATCCCTTTCTACTGTTTTTGTAGATTCCCTTCGGGATTTCTTTGATTTTCAAAAGTGACGTCTGCTGCTTTTCTGTGGAGAACCACCATCTAGCACTGGGGGGTAGTCTAAAACCTGTGACCTGACCAATGGGGTGCTGGGGCAGGAAGCCCAGCGCCCTCGCCTGGGACGCCCACTCTATGTTGCCGGCTGTGGGACTTGGCCTAGCTCGCCCCTTTTGAGGCTCCCGCGGCTGCTCTGTCCACCTCCCTAGTCCCTTGGTGGCTTCAATAGTGGGCACCCCCTTAGCAAGTCACTCCCACGCCAATCAAATTCTAGGGAATCCACTGCACATACTGGGTGGTTTCAAACCACAGAAATGTATTCTCTCCCAGTTCTACAGGCTTGGAGTCCCGCAGGAAGGTGTACGGCAGGCCAGGCTCCCTCTGAAGGCTCGAGGGGAGAAGCCGTTCCAGGCCTTTCTCTTGCTTCTGGTGTTGCCATCAGTCCTTCTGTTCCTTGGCTTCTAGACGCGTCCCTCCCGCCTCTGCGTCTGTCTTCCCATGGTATTCTTCCTGTGTCCTGATCCCTCTTTTCATAAGGACACCTGCCATCTTGGATTCATGGCCCACCCTAACTCTAATAAGTATGACCTCATCTTAGCTTGATGACATCTGCAAAGACCCTGGTTCCAAATAAGGCCACAGTCACAGGTGCGGGGGCAGGTATTGGCTAGGGCTGGGAGGGGAAAATCTGTTCCAGGTCTCTCTCCCCTTGGCCATCTTCTCTCTATGTCTCTTCACATCGTCTTCCCTCTATGCATGTCTGTCTCTGTGTCCAAATGTCTCCTTTTTATAAGGACACCAGTCATAGTGGATTAGGGCCCACTCTAATGACCTCACTTTAATTTGCCTCTGTAAAGAGTATTTACAAATAAGGTGACATTCTGAGGTATTGGGGGTTCAACATATGAATGGGAGGGCACAATTCAACCCATAACAGCAACCTGAGACATTTTATGTATTAATATTTCATGAAGATCAAGAATATAAACACAAAAAATAGCATGCACTGTATATAACACAGTAGTCATAGTTGCCAATTGTTATTCAAATATCTTAAAATAATTTTTGGTTTTTTTTGAGATGGAGTCTCGTTCTGTCACCCAGGCTGGAGTGCGGTGACACGATCTCGGCTCACTGCAATCTCTGCCTTCTGGGTTCAAGTGATTCTCCTGATTCAGCCTTCCGAGTAGCTGAGACTACAGGCATATGCTACCACACCCAGCTAATTTTTGTATTTTTAGTAGAGACGGGGTTTCACCATGTTGGCCAGGCTGGTCTCAAACTCCTGACCTCAGGTGTCCATCCACCTTGGCCTCCCAAAGTGCTGGAATTACAGGCGTGAGCCACGATGCTTGGCCTAAATATCTTAAAATAATTTTTTAATTTCTCTGAATCATTGGCCATAAAATCAGAAATATTATTACAACTTTATATATGGGACTTATGGATTTTACAACATTTGCACTTTTATTTTCTATAGTTAAGGTTAGATTCTATTTCTGCTACGTACCTGTTTTGAATTGGAAATTATATGCCCTTAAGTATTGTTTTGCAAGAAACAAATGACTCATTAATAACACCATAAATAACCCATACGGTGGGTAAGCATGTGGGCTCTGATGTCAGAGTGCTTAGATGTGCATCCTGGCTCTATAACTTACTAGCTGTGTGGCCTTAAGGTAAGCCCATTAAATTCTGACCTTTCGTTTCTTCATCTTTAATGAAGAGATGAGGGCAGTACTGTTGTTATTACTATTATTATTATTTAGAAACAAGGTCTCTCTCGCTCTGTTGCCCAAGCTGGAGTGCAGTAGCTCGATAATAACTCACTGCAACCTGAATTCCTGGGCTGGAGCAACCTGCCTGCTTCAGCCTCCTGAGTAGCTAAGACTATAGACGTGTACCACCATGACTGGCTAATTTTGAATTTTTTTTAAGAGACAAGGTCTCACTATGTTACCCAGGTTGGCTTCAAACTCTTGGGCTCAAGTGATCCTCTTGCCTCAGCCTCCCAAGGTACTGAAATTACAGGCATCAGCCACTGTGCCTGGGCTAGTACTGTTATTTTGAAGCACTTTGCACAGTGTTTATTCAGAATAAACACCCACCAAATGTTAGCTATTATTTTGTCTGCAGTATTGGTATATATGTATTTGTTTAGTAAGAGATGGAGTCTCGCTCTGTCGCCCAGGCTGGAGTGCAGTGACGTGATATTGGCTCACTGCAACCTCCACCTCCCGGGTTCACGCAGTTCTCTTGCTTCAGTCTCCCGGGTAGCTGGGATTACAGGTGCCCACCACCACACCCGGCTAATTTTGGTATTTTTAGTAGAGACAGGGTTTCTCCATGTTGGCTAGACTTGAAGTATTAGTTTATACACAATAATTCTGAAAAGGAAAAGATGTAATAGAAGTGGAATTTTTACAATCTAAGTAAAACCTCACATTTTCTAGAAAAGTATTACTAATATTTTCCTTTAAAATGACTGCATATAATCAGTTCCTTTCTTTTCTTTTCTTTTTTGAGATGGAGTCCCACTCTCTGGCCCAGGCTGGAGTGCAGTGGTGTGATCTTGGCTCACTGCAAACTCCGCTTCCTGGGTTCAAGTGATTCTCCTGCCTCAGCCTCCTGAGTAGCTGGGATTACAGGTGCACCCCACTACACCTGACTAATTTTTGTACTTTTAATAGAGAGAAGGTTTCACCATGTTGGCCAGGCTGGTCTTGAACTCCTGACCTCAAGTGATCCACCCGCCTCAGCCTCCCATGGTGCTGGAATTACAGGCGTTCAGCCACTGCGCCTGGCCTACCAGTTCTTTTCTCTTTGTCTTAACAGTTTTGTAAAAATAGGTCATTCTTAAATATGGTACAAATTAAAACATCATAAAAGGAAATACAGGAAAAAGTAGATTTCTTCTCCTTTACTCCAAATTCTCACATCACCTTTCCAGAGACAACCACTGTTAAATTTCTTACATATCTTCCCAGAAACAATCTATGCATATGCAAGCGATAGATGTAATGTATGTGTGTACATCCCTACCCACATTTGTATACGATAGCATCTTGTATCTTCTGCATCTTGCTTTTTATAATTTAATGATACCTCTAGAAAATTTATCTTATCCATGCCAAGTAATATTGTTTCATTCTTTTCACTGTTGGATTGTCTACTCTATGGACGTACCAGAATTAACTTACCCAGCCCCTACCAATGGGCATTTGGCTGGTTTCTTTTGTTGCTGCAACGTGCATTTGCATCTTCATGTTCATGTGCAAATATATCTGTAAGACACATTCCTAAATGTAGAACTGCCAAGTCAAAGAGCATATGCCTGTTAAAATTTGGTTGGTGCTTTTTAAATTGCCCTCCAAAGAGAATGAACCAATGGTACCAGGCCCCCTCATCACCATCCAGGCATTTTTACACTTTTTGAATTTTTCCAATTTTCTAAGTGTCAACTGCATCTCATTCAACTTTGAATTTGTATTTTTGTTATTAGAGTGAGACTGAGTATCCTTTCATTTGTTTAGAAAGGCTTGGCTGGGCACAGTGGCTCACACCTATAATCCCCGCACTTTGGGAGGCCGAGGCAGGTGGATCACCTGAGGTCAGGAGTTCAAGATCAGCCTGGCCAACACGGCAAAACCCCGTCTCTACTAAAAATACAAAAATTAGCCAGGTGTGGTGGCAGGAGCCTGTAATCCCAGCCTCTCGGGAGGCTGAGGCAGGAGAATTGCTTGAACCCAGGAGGTGGAGGTTGCAGTGAGCTGAGCTTGCACCACTGCACTCCAGCCTGGGTGACAGAGCGAGACTCAGTCTCAAAAAGCAAACAAATAAACAGAAAACAATGAAATGCTTTATACTTTATTATGAACTATTCAAAATTGGCCCATTTTCTCTTTGAATATTAATTTTTCTAATCATCTTTATTAGCTTTTTTTATACTAAGGAGTCTAACCTTGAGCATGTCTGTTGTGACATTTTTCCTGTTTAATAATTGTTGTTGATTTTGCTATTGTCTTTTTTGTCTGGTAGACATTTTTAATTCTTTTTTTCTTCTTTGGTTAAATGTATTAGTAAGCCAGGAGATCATTGCAGTTCTTTAGGTGGGAGAGTGAGTTGGCTTGGGCTGGAGTGAGGCTGGTGTGTACAGAGAGAAATGGTAGGTTTGAGAATATAGGTATTGTGTTCCTGGAACCAACAAGCTTAGCTGATGTATTAAATATGGCGGTACGGAGAGGGGGGCAGATGAGGTGGGAGAAAGAGAGATTGACTCTGAGGCTTCAGGGCTGAGTAACCATGTGGACAATGATACAACTGACAGATGGGCAAGACTTTAGGAAGAGCCAGTCTCCAACCTGTTTTGGAAACCTGCTTCCACATGCCTGGTTTCATGACACCATACACGTTCGGGTCTTGTCCATTCATTGTCGACTGAGGTTCTTTCCATCAAAGTGAGATGTTGAGTCAGACTATGCATTGAGAGTGTCTGAAACCATCATTACTATGTTGCATATATTCCTAAGTAATGACTTAGAGATCAAGAGCGCTGACATAATGCCTGCCATGTTGTGGCCTCACCCTGTGTCTGCTTTTGATCTCTTCTGGGGACTTCAGCACACCATGCAATAAATGGGGACACACTGACCCACCTCTGTGTCTGGGCCTGAATTAAATAAATTTGTTTAGATTTCCCTGAGCTCACAAGTATTTGATGAATCAAGTACATTTAGCAACCTGGCCTGGCAAGCCAGTAACAAACAAAAACAGACTCGTCTGTGCATGCCCTCAGGGCCATGGTCTGTGAGCACCGTGGGGGAAGGCAGAGGAGAGGGTTGATTTTTTTAAGAGGCTTTGAAAATATAAAATTCCACATGGATGATTAATACTTCTATGCAGCATAATGGGTGTTGGCAACCAATGTGAAGAAATTCTTGTTGAAAGAGAAAAGACGATGTTATGGAATAATCTCCTCTGGGAACTAAAGCCACTTACAAGGAAATATTTGAAAGTCTATTTTAATTCCTATCTTATTCATGTCTTCCTTTGACAGTAAGTGAAGTGCATAGCACTATGGGACATGTCTAAAATCAGCTGCTAACTATTCATTTGGCTCAACTGCTGAGGCCAATGATCAATTCCTTGTGCTATATTGTATTGCCTGGAACCTAGTTGTGCTCATGTGTATTGTATTGTATTGTATTGTATTGTATTGTATTGTATTGTATTGTATTGTATTGTATTGTATTGATCTATTTGCTTATTTCTGTAGAGCTGGAGTCTTACCACTTTGCCCAAGCTTGTCTCAAACTCCTGGGCTCAAGCAATCCTCCCACCTCAGCCTCTGAAAGTTCTGAGGTTACAGGCATGAGTCACTGCACCGGGCCATGTCTATTTTATTCTTGACACATGGCCATATTTGCAGTGAGATTAAGTATGGGAGTAGCCATGTGACTCAGCAGAGTGAGGAGACCAGAGCAGCAAGACCTACCCAAGGTGGACAGAGCAAGTGGTCCCCTGCAGGTGCAGCGTTGTCTTGGTGGCTTCTAAGACTTTCTTTCCCTGGGCTGAACGGTCACATCACTGGCATTATTCTCCGGCATGACAGTGTTATATCTTGATGGCTACTGTTCAAATGCTTTCTTTTAAACTAGAAGTTAAAAAGACCTGTTAAATCACAATATCCACATAAATGGACTGGCTAGAGTTGACTCACCTTACCAAACAGGTGTATAGGACTCTAAAGGGGCCCAGGAGACATATAGAACCGCTAACTGCCAGTTCCAGGTGGGGAATTCTAGCCAGCAAAGTGGGAAGTGCACAGGGCCTCGCCAGACTCAAGGGCCCCAAGGAGAGGGCCCATGACTACTTTGTCCATCCAGATACCCTTGCCAGTTAAAGCCATATGTGGAACACACCAGTGGCCATTCTTGAAGCCTTTGTTGATGAAGGAACATGTGAACTGGCTACAGGGAGGGGAATCAGGCTCCATAAAGAGGCAGGGATGCAAGGGGCTGCTTGACATCAGCTCCCCTATCCCAAATCTTCCCTGAGACCCAGCTCAGGCACAGTGATAGCTCCTGAGAAGATGAAAACAAACAAAAAGACATATTCTGCAAACAATTTTTTGTTTAATTTTTTAAAATTTAAAACATCAGGAAAAAATCATGTGCAAGAAAAAAACTATTATAACAGTCTTAAAAAAATTTTTTTTTACTTTCAGAGATAAGATATATACACACAGCAATACACACCAATCTCAACTGAACAGCTCTATGAAAATTATTTCAAGTGACTCTGCATGCTTTCTTACTTGCTTCCTAAACTTTATAAAATTTCAAGTGAAACACTTGACTTGCTTTGTCCAAGAGAATGTGCTGGAAGTGACACTCTGGGACTTCTGAGGACAGGTCACAATATGCCTTGCAGCTTCTGCCTGGGAATCTTGGATCCCTTGCCCTTGGAATGCTCCCTCTGTGAGCCCAGATATCAGGCTGTGAAAGCTGCAAGGTGAGGTTGAGTGGGAGTGCTGTGAGGCACAGACCCAGCGGAGCTTCCAGCCAATAGCCAACTTCAATGCACATCATGAGAGTGAGCACCCATGGGTATTCAGCCCCGCCAAGTCTTCAGAGGACTGAAGCCCCAGTTGACATTTCATTGCGACTGCATGACAGACCCCAAGGGAGAACTTCCCAACTGAGCCCAGCCAACCCACAGGACTGTGGGTGGCTTGGTATATAGGAAGAGATAATGGAACTGCCTGCCATTCTGGGTGAAATCAGGGTCAGGAAAAATAAAATCAACAAACATATATTGAGCGTAAGACTCTGGAAGATACAAAGAGTATGTATATAGTTGAGATGGGGGGAAGGGACATTTATATAAGAGAGTAACAGAAGGTTCAAGGTAGCACATGACTCCTAAATACAGGTGTGCAGGGGGCAAAAAGATCAGCGAAGTCTAGAAAGTCTCTTTGGAGAGGAGAGATTTGAAATGAGAATGAAAAGCTAGGGGAGTAGACTCAGGCAGAGAGGAAGCATGAGGCATAGGTTCAGGCATGGTTTTGGAAAAGGGCCTAAGTTGAAAGATCAAAGAGATCAACTTGGCTGGAACACAGAATTTGCAAACTCATGTAGAGGATGATAAAGTTGGATGGACCTTGAATAACAAGGAAAACTGCTTTTCAAGAGAAAGGTTAGGGCAAGAGTTTTAGATTGAAGGCTGTCTGTGCTTAAGTGAGGGTAAGGCCATGGAGGAGAAGGTCTCTGAAGAAATGAGCTTCAAAATAACTTTGTAGGAAGAATATAATCATTTAAACCCATCACTTCTTTTTTATAAAATCCAGTTTCCTCAAAAGCAACTCCACACTGAATAGCAGGAAAAAGGGGGGCCATGCAAAAAGGGACCCGCTCAAAATTCTCACTATTAAAGAGGACAGTTGCAATCATGAGCAGTTCCACCCCAACAAAGGAGAAATGTGGGGATCAAAAGCAATCTAATTGGGCTGGGTGTGGTGGCTCATGCCTGTAATCCCAGCACTTTGGGAGGCCAAGACAAGTGGATCACCTGAGGTCAGCAGTTCGAGACCAGGCTGGCCAACACAGTGTAACCCTGTCTCTACTAAAAATACAAAAATTAGCAGGGTGTGGTCGCACACGCTTGTAGTCCCAGGTACTCAGGAGGCTGAGGCAAGAGAATCGCTTGAACCCAGGAGGCAGAGGTTGCAGTGAGCCGAGGTCACGCCACTGCACTCCAGCCTGGGTGACAGAGTGAGACTTGATCTCAAAAACAAAACAACACAACAACAACAACAACAACAACAAAATGCCAAAAGGAATCTAATTGAAGCTGAGGCCACTGATACCAGAGGGTAAGGACAGGGCCATTGCAGATATCTCAGTTACTCTTGAAGTCAGTTTCAGGAAGGGGCCACATCCTCTTTAGCCAAATACTCTAGGCTTAGGGTTTTGCAAAGTCATCATAGGGTAGGTGCTCTGAAAGCAGACGCTGCGATGGAATTTGGAGTGTAAGATACTTATCAGGGGCCAGGAGTGGTGGCTCACACCTGTAATACCAGCAATTTGGGAGGCTGAGGTGGGCAGATCACTTGAGATCAGGAGTTCAAGACCAGCCTGGCCAGCAGGCTTTACTAAAAATACAAAAATTAGCTCGGTGTGGTGGTGCACACGTGTAATCCCAGCTACTGTGGTGGCTTAGGCAAAAGAATTGCTTGAACTCTGGGGGCGGAGGTTGCAGTGAGCCGAGATCACACCACTGCACTCTAGCCTGGGTGACAGAGTGAGACCCTGTCTCAAAAAAAAAAAAAAAGAAAAAGAAAAGATATCAGGGGTCAACATCCTTAAAGAAAAGTGGTTCCTTGGCACTTTGAGAAGCCAAAGCGGGAGGATCACTTGAGCCCGGGAGTTTGTGACCAGCATGGGCAATAGTGCGAGACCCTTTCTCTACAAAAAACAAACAAACAAACAGCAAAAAAAAACCCATAGTCTTAGCTATTCAAGAGGCTGAGGCGAGAGGGTTGCTTGAAGCCAGGAGTTCGAGGTTGCAGTGAGCTGATTGCACCACTGCATTCCAGCTAGGTTACAGAGTGAGACTCTGCTTCTAAAAAATAATAAAGGACAGTGGGAGAAATTAAGAATAGGTACAGGCCGGGCGTGGTGGCTCACGCCTGTAATCCCAGCACTTTGGGAGGCCGAGACGGGCAGATCATAAGGTCAAGAGATCGAGGCCATCCTGGCTAACACGGTGAAACCCCATCTCTACCGAAAATACAAAAAATTAGCCGGGCGTGGTGGCAGACCCCTGCAGTCCCAGCTACTCCAGAGGCTGAGGCAGGAGAATGGCTGTGAACCTGGGAGGTGGAGCTTGCAGTGAGCCAAGATCGTGCCAGTGCACTCCAGCCTGGGCGACTGAGCAAGACTCCGTCTCAGAAAAAAGAAAAAAGAAAAAAAAAAAAAAACAATAGGTAGAGGTGGGCCGGACATGGTGGCTCACACCTGTAATCCCAGCACTTTGGGAAGCTGAGGCAGGTGGATCATGAGGTCAGGGGATCGAGGCCATCCTGGCTAACACGGTGAAACCCTGTCTCTACTAAAAATACAAAAAATTAGCCGGGTGTGGTGGCGGGCGCCTGTAGTTCCAGCTACTCAGGAGGCTGAGGCAGGAGAATCGCTTGAACCCAGGAGGCAGAGGTCACAGTGAGTCGAGCTCGCATCACAGCACTCCAGCCTGGGTGACAGAGCGAGACTCTGTCTCAGAAAAAAAAAAAAAGAATAGGTAGAGGTGAAGACGTTGAAATGCAATGCAGACCCAACAAAGTCTTGGCCAACCCAGTGAGGAGCTTTGGAGTGAATATTGCCCATTGGAGGTGTATTGCCTTGGCCTGCAATGACTGGGTCTTTATACCCACATCTCACTCACCAGATGTGAGCTGCTCCAAGAAGGGCATGACCCCAGGTGGGGTGACCCCCTGTGTTTGAGGCAGGCCCTAACAAAGCTGCTGGGTGGAGGCTGCCTGCTCACCATGCCCCACCACAGCCGGGCGTCAAGTGCTTCTCAGAAGCAGAGTCCTCCGTCCCCACCCACCAGTCCATATTGGACTGTGGCTCTTTTGGACAAGCCAATGAGATTTGGGTATTATATGTTACAGTAGTAAGCCTCTCCTGACTGACACACACCATACCTCTTAGATTCTGATGAAATTGCCAATGACTCAATAAGTGACGCCTGTCCTGTGTCTGAACCCTGGGTCTGTAGAGCACAGGACACGACTGCTGCTCTTGGATATCTAACACTGGGGCTACTCTTTTTTAAAAATTAGCAAGTAAAACATCATATATATTTATGATGCATAACATGGTGTTTTGATATATGTATATATTGTGGAATGGCTAAATCAAGCTATTTAAATAAAATATGCTTTACTTCATACACTTATCTTTTTTTATAATGAGAACATTTCAAATCCATTCTCTTAGCCAGTTTTGGTAAACAATATATTATTCTCAACTGTGGTCATCACAATGTATAATAGATCTCAAGGCCAGGCGTGGTGGCTTATGCTTGTAATCCTTGCACTTTGGGAGGCCTAGGCAGGAGGATTGATTGAGGCCAGGAGTTCAAGACCAGTCAGGGCAACATAGCCAGAAGTCGTCTCCACAAAAAAAAAAAAAAAAAAAAAAATTAGCCAGGCATAGTGGCACATGCCTATAGTCCTAGCTGAGGCAAGAAGATTGCTTGAACTCAGGAGTTCAAGTCTGCAGTGAGCCAAGTTTGTGCCACTGCACTCCAGTCTGGATGACAGAGCAAGACCCTGTCTCTGAAAAATAAAAAAGAGATGTATTGAACTTATTCCTCCTGTTTAGCTGATAGTATGTGTCGTTTGGCCAACATTTCCCCAATATCCCCAAGCCCAGCCTCTGGTAATCACAGTTTTATTCTCTGTTTCTGTAAGTTGTGACTTCTTTAGATTCCATGTAAGTGAGATTATGTGGCATGTGTTTTTCTGTGCCTGGCTTATTTCACTGAACACAGTGGTCCCCAACCTTTTTGGCACCAGGGACTGGTTTTGTGGAAGATAATTCTTCCACAGACGGGGCAGGCAGGGTGGTTTGGGAATGATTCGAGCACTTTACATTTATTGTGCACTTTATTTCTATTATTACTATATCATAATATACAATGAAATAATTATACAACTCACCATAATGTAGAATCAGTGGGAGCCCTGAGCTTTTTTTCATGCAACTAGATGGTCCCATCTTGGGGTGTTGGAAGACAGTGAGAGATGATCAGGCACTGGATTCTCATAAAGAGTGCACAACCTAGATCACTTGTGTGCGCAGTTCCCAGTAGGGTTTGTGCTCCTGTGAGAATCGAATGCTGCCGCTGATCTGACAGGAGGCGGGGCTTAGGCAAGTAATGAGAGTGATGGGGAGCAGCTGTAAATACAGATGAAGCTTCACTGGCTTGCCCACGGCTCACCTCCTACTGTGTGGCCCAATTCCTAACAGGCAACACAGATCACTACTGATTTGTAGCTCAGGAATTAGGGACCTGACCTAACACAATGTCCTCCAGGTTCATCCATGTTGTCATAAATGACAGAATTTCCTTCTTTTTAAAGGCTGAATAGTATTCCATTGTGTATATATACCATGTTTTATCAGTTATCTTTGTGTTGTGTGTGTGTGTGTGTGTGTGTGTGTGTGTGTGTGTTTTTGAGAGAGAGGGCCTCACTCTGCTGCCCAGGCTGGAGTGCAGTGGCACTATCACAGCTCATTGCAGGCTCAACCTCCTGGGCTTAAGAGGATCCTCCCACCTCAGCCTCCCAAGTAGCTGGGACTACAAATGTGCACCACCACACCTGGCTAAGTTTTGAATTTTTCTGTAGAGATGGGGTCTCACTACATTGCTCAGGCTGGCCTCGATCTTCTGGCTCAAGCCATCCTCCTGCCTCATCTTCCCAAGTGCTGGGATTGCAGGTGTGAGCCACTGCACCCAGTCTCATTTATCTGTTGATGGATACTTAGTTTGATTCCATATCTCAACTACTGTGAATAGTGATGCAATAAAGATGGGAATGCAAATATCTCTTTGACATACTGATTTCATGTCCTGCAGATATACCCAGAAGTGGGATTGCTGAATCTATTTTTTATTTTTTTGAGGGGACCTCCATACTGTTTTCCGTAATGGTTGTACTAATTTACATTCCCACAAACAAGGATTCCCTGTTCTCCACATTCTCAACAACACTTGTTATCTTTTGTCTTTTTTATAATAACCATCCTAACAGGTTTGAGACGATACCCTGCTGTGGTTTTAATTTTAATTTCCCTGATGATTAGTGATACTGAGCATTTTCTTATATACCATTTGGATACTTACATGTCTTATTTTCAGAAGTATCTATTTAGGTCCTTTGACTACTTTTAAATTGGGTGATTTGTTTTCTTTCTATTTTTTTTTTCTTTTTGAGACGAGTCTCACGCTATTGCCCAGGCTGGAGTGCAGTGGCGCAATCTCGGCTCACTGCAACCTCCGTCTCTCGGGTTCAAGCGATTCTCCTGCCTCTGCCTCCCAAGTAGCTGGGATTACAGGCGCCCACCACCATGCCTGGCTACTTTTTGTATTTTTAGTAGAGACAGGGTTTCACCATGTTGGCCAGGCTGGTCTCGAACTCAAGTGATCCACCCGCCTTGGCCTCCCAAAGTGCTGGGATTGCAGGCGTGAGCCACCATGCCTGGTCTGTTTTCTTTCTATTGAGTTGTTTAATTCCTTATATATTTTAGAGATATTATTCTTATCAGATCTATGATTTGCAAATACTTTCTCCCGTGCTGTAGGCTGTCTCAGTCTATTGATTGTGTCCTTTGCTGTGCAGATTTTTAGTTTGATCTAATCCCATTTGTCTATTTTTGCTTTTGTTGCCTGTGCCCTTGGAGTCATATCCAAAGAAATGCCCAGACCAGTATCATGGAGCTTTTCCCCTGCTTTCTTCTAGTAGTTTTGCAGTTTCAGGTCTCCGGTTTGTCTTTAGTCCACTTGGAGTTGATTTTGTATATGGTCTGTGCTATGCTCCTGTGGGCCCCAGGCAAGCCCCTCCAGATGCCGTTGTTATTTCACTGTTCATCAGCGTCCATCAGCCAAGCTGCCTTAACAAGCAATTTCCCCGAGGGCAGTTAGTCCTGTCTCTGAGAAGAGACTCTGACGTTCAGCGCTCCCTGCTTTACTGATGCATCACCTCTGCCTCCTACAACTCTGTTAACACGCCTTTGAGCTTCACTGCCCCCTGGAAAGTGCTCAGAATCTCTCCCACATTTTCTTGAATGTGTACTTTGAGATTAGGAGCTGTCTCTACACAACAGAGCCTGACCCACAGTGCGGAAGCTTTCAATGACATGACCAGCCCACTGGGTTCCCAGAGAAGTAGAAATCGATTTTCATATTCCCCTCAAGTTGTCTTTTGTGTTCCCAGAGAGAGAGATGCACAGATTCATTCCATTTTTGCTGTAGAATGAGTCAGAATATAAACCAATCATTTGAACACAACTGACCAAATTTTCATGTATTAAGCTCAGAAGCCCTCAGTAGATTTAGTAAATGAATGGATTTCTCTGGCTTCTCATACTTTCCAAATGTGTGTTTCAATTGACTTGGCTTCACAGATTTTACTGACTCGGCAATACAAGGTGGAGAGAGGTCTGGATATTGTTGTCTGTCTCCTGGAGGCACCTTGATGCTAGATGACCCCATGTGTAAATGTGGGCTGTGATTCGAGGAGTTAGCTGCTGACAGTGCTGTTGAATGAAAATGTTTTGTAGTATTTTGCTTCTGGAAAAAAATGTTTATGGTGGTATGAAAATCAGCCTGGGCCCATGGGCGTGTATTTTTGCTGAAAAGAAACAATTGAGAATCACTGATCTAAATAGCGCTGGATTTCTTGAGGCTTAGCACGCAAACACCTTTGTCCTTTGTATTAATCTCAATTGCTTGTCATGTTATCAGAACTACATTCCTTTTATGTGAAACATCGAGTGACAGATGGCATGGCTCGAAGTCATCATAGAGACATTATAGTTCAATCTCCTCAAGTGACCGCCACAGATCTAATAATGCACAGAACTGGGAAGAAAATCAAAGGTTCTGAGGCAGAAATTTCTAAAAGCTTCCAAAGGAGATGTCATTGCTCTGACATTCACAAATGTAGGCAAATTCATGCCTCTGAGGAGTAAATTGATGCTAGAAGGAATATGATTACATGTAAAAGAACTCCATATGCTATAAAGCACTGTATTAAATGAACGTTATCGTTGCCTCTTTCGTTATAAACATTTATTGAGCATCTGTAATATGCCAGGCACTGTTCTTAGCCATTTAGATTCATCAGGAATCAATTCAAAGTCTGTGAAGCATGAGCTCTAGTGCAGGACACATAATTTAGAATCGATTTCTAATATAAGATCAGGAGGTGACTACGATACTTTGCTATAGAATAAAGCAAGTCAGTGTGTAGAGAGGGACAGGTGCTGCTATTTTACATGATGTGGTCAGGGAAGGCCTCGCCAAGAAGGCAACACTGGAGCGGAGGACTGAGTGGTGGGAAGCAGTGAGCCATGAGGAGACCCAAAGGGATAGGGGAAAGAAGGGGAAAGACATGAACATGGTGTGCTCAGCATACAGCTGTGGCTTCCAGCCATGGGCTGGGACGAGGGTACCTAGAGAGAGAAGGTTGAGAGGATCTGGACAGATAAGAGAGGAAGGGCACTCCCAGGACACTCCATCACTCAGACAGTGCAAAGAGAAGAAAAGCCATCAATGGAAGTCAAGAAGTAGCAACAGGTCAGGTGGGGGCAAAACCTGGAGTCAGATGGGAGACGTTCCTGAAGTCAAGTAAAGAAGCTGTCTCAGAAGGAGACGAGCAAGTGCTTATCCACATAGCAACAAACATTACCATTAGATCCTCACCTTCCCTGACACTCAAAACAGGGCCCCCTTGGATGAAAAACCTAACTGTAAAGGGCAAAACAAAAAACAACTTTTTGAAGGAAATATAGAGGCAGATATTTTTGTGACCTCAACGAATGAAAGCGTGTCTTTAAAAAGACATAAATAGCTCATACCACAAAGGAGGAAAAGTAATACATTTTAAAATTCTGCTCAACCATAAACACCATTACCCATGTGTGGTGGTGTGTGCCTATTCGGGAGGTTGAGGGAGCAGGATTGCTTGGTCCCAGGAGTTCTGAGCTGTAGTGTGCTGTGCTGATGGACTGTACACACCAAGTTCAGCATTAATATGGTGACTTTTCAGGAGCAGGGGGCCACCAGGATGTTGAAGGAGGGGTGTATTAGTACATTCTCACACTGCTAATAAAGACACCTGAGACTGGGTAATTTATAAAGGAGAGAGGTTTAATGGACTCACAGTTCCACATGGCTGGGGAGGCCTCACAATCATGATGGAAGGCGAATGAGGCGTAAAATCATGTTTTACATGGTGGCAGGCGAGACAGCTTGTGCAGGGGAACTGCCCTTTATAAAACCATCAGATCTCGTGAGACTTATTCACTATCATGAGAACAGCATGGGAAAAACCCACCCCCATGATTCAATTACCTCCCACTGGGTCCCTACCACAACACATGGGAATCACAGGCGCTACAATTCAAAATGAGATTTGGATGGGGACACAGACAAACTATATCAAGGAGTGAACTGGCTCAGGTTAGAACCAGAGAAGGTCAAAACTCCCATTCTAATTAGTAGTGGAATCACACCTGTGAATAGCCACTGCACTCCAGCCTGGACAACATAGTGAGACCCTGTCTCTTAGCAAACAAACAAACAAACCAAAACACCATTGAAAAAGCAAAATGAGGCCAAGCATATTGGCTGACACCTGTAATCCCAGCATTTTGGGAGGCCAAGGCAGGAGGATTGCTTGAGCTCAAAAGTTCCAGACCAGCCTGGGCAACATAGTGAGACCCTGTCCCTACGAAAAAATATTTTAAATTAGCCAAGCATGGTAGCACATGCCTGTAATCCTGGCTACTCAGGAGGCTGAGATAGGAGGATCAATTGATCCTGGGAGGTTGAGGCTGCAGTGAGCTGCAAGTGAGACCCTGTCACAAAAAAAAAAAAAAAAAAAAAGAAGAAAAGAAAATATACTCAAAAACAATGAGAAGTGCTACTAAAAACAACAGATATAGGAAACAATAGAGATAGGATATTAAAGAAAGGAGTGCATTACACATACATACGTAGAAAAAGCATTATCCTCCTAACAGCATTAAGGGTTTGAAATTACATATTGGTAGCCTGATTCTTTTATTTTTAATGCCTAATCCACTGTCCTTAGATCTAGCTTGGAAGTAAGTAGCCTCTTCTTTTACATCAAGAGCCTCTACTTTATACAAATCATTCTACATTCTCCAAATCAATTTTGAGGCACTAGAAATATTTTGCTGGTTCTATGGTATTTCAAAAGGATTTTCTTATTATTGTTCCCATACTTTGCTCTTTTATCTATGTTGCTTCCAATTTCATCTGACTAGAATGTGTTCCAGTGTCCTAAAGTAAAACAAGGTCAGTCCACACAAAGTTTTTGTTCTAAAAATTTCTACTCTTGTTCTATTGTGGGAGGGGGAGTTGCAAGTGTGGAGATCTGTGACCTGGTGTTTTTTTTGTTTTTTTTTTTTCTGATCTTGTTTTTATGTCATAGGTCAGGAACTCTAGCATTTTTCTGCCTCTGAGCCAGAGAGAAGAAAGAAAAATGTAACATGAGTTTGGTGCAAACTGCCTCCAGTGAGGGACAGGGTCATTTCTTGACCCCAAAGTGTATCGGGTCATATTCCTTCAAAGTGTCCTCTGGTCGTCACTGCTTTGAAATAGAGAAGAGATAACCATGGACAGGTCTGAGGGTGGTGGTGACGTTCGGCAGCAGAGCGGAGGGAGGTGGGAGCAGAATTCCAAGCAGAAAACCTGGACTGGCCACCCGTGCTGCAGCCTGCACCCAGCAGGGCCAAGGCACTTCTGTGTGAATTCAGGTTAATTGCTGCTAAAATTATACTGGATTTTTTTTCACTTTATTGTCATAAGAAAAAAATCTAGGAAATTCTGTAATTAACTGCTCAGTGGAAGAAATACAATTAGGAAGGCTTTAGCGCTTGTCCGAAGCCAGCCCTGTGAAAGTGAATTCTCTTTCCTTGAAGACTCAGGCCTGCCCCGTTTTGGAGCTGATGTTTATGAGCGCATGTGTGCATCTGTGTATCTTTCCTCACTTCCAACACCATCACCACCAATTCAGGCAAAAACTTGTTGTGAGGCCAGACATCGTGGCTCATGCCTATAATCCCCGTAGCTTAGGAGGCTGAGGTGAGAGGATCACTTGAGGCCAAGAGTTCAAGACCAGCCTGGGCAACATAGCAAGACCCTGTATCTACAAAAAAATTTAAAAATGAGCCAGGTGTGGTGACTACTTTGGGAGGCTGAGGTGGGAGGAGTTCGAGGCTGCAGTGAGCTATGATTGCACCACTATACTCCAGCCTGGGTAACAGAGTGAGACCCCATCTCAAAAACATTTTTTAATTAAAAAAAAAAAAGTGGCCGGGCGCGGTGGCTCACGCCTGTAATCCCAGCACTTTAGGAGGCTGAGGTGGGTGGATCATGAGGTCAGGAGATCGAGACCATCCTGGCTAACATGGCGAAACCCTGTCTCTACTAAAAATACAAAAATTAGCCAGGCGTGGTGGTGGGTGCCTGTAGTCCCAGCTACTCGGGAGGCTGAGGCAGGAGAATGGCCTGAACCCGGGAGGTGGAGCTTGCAGTGAGCCGAGATTGCGCCACTGCACTCCAGCCTGGGCGACAGAGGGAGACTCCGTCTCAAAAAAAAAAAAAAAAAAAAAAGTGCTGTTGAAGGCGTGGCATTTCCTATGTGGAGTACAGACCTTCTTATGGCTGAATTGTATCTCCTTAAAATTCATATGTTGTCAGGTATGGTGGCTCCCGCCTGTAATCCCAGCACTTTGGGAGGCTGAGGCGGGAGGATCACTTGAGCTTAGGAGTGAGAGAACAGCCTGGGCAGCATGACCCCATCTCTACAAAAAAACTTTATAAATTAGCCAGGCATGGTGGCATATGCCTGTGGTCCCAGCTACTTGGGAGGCTGAGGTGGAGGATTGCTTGACTCCAAAAGTTGGAGGCTGCAGTGAGCCAAGATCATGCCACTGCACTCCAGCCTGGGCGACACAGAGAGACCCTGTCTCAAAAAAAAAAAAAAATCGTATGTTGATGCTCTAACCCTCAGTACTTCAGAATGTGACTGTTTTTGGAGACAGGGTCATTAAAGAGGTAATTAAGGTTAAATGAGGACATTGGGGTGAGCCATGATCCAATATGACTGGTGTCCTAATAAGAAGAGATTTTGACACAGACACACACACAGACAAAGCTTGTGAAGACACAGGGAGAAGACAGCCTTGGTCAGGCAAGGAGAAAGGCCTCGGAGGAAACCAGCCCTGCCAGTACCTGATCGCAGACTTCGGCCTCCAGAACTGTGAGGAAACAAATTTCTGTTGTTGAAACCACTCAGTCTGTGGTCCTTTGTTATGGCAGCCCTAACAATCCAACATAGGTCCCAAACATTCGGTCCCACCAAGTAACAGCTTTTCCTCTCTCCTCCCCATTCACCAGCCCATGAATGGGCTTCTGTTTGGAGCTGTCCTAAACCCATCCCTTAATGAAGAGCCAATAAACGTTTTCTGTAGACAGTAAATATTTTAGGCTCTGAATGCCAAGAGGCAAGAGAAGAATGTTCTGTCAGCATTTCTGTGAGCATTTAGAATGGTTACCTGCGTATTCTTGTGCTCCCATGTTCGTTACAGCACTATTTACAATAGCCGGAGGTGCAAACACTCTAAGTGTCCATCAACAGATGGATGAGAAGAGCAAAAAGCGGTAGAGGCATACTATGGAATAGTATTCAGCCTTAAAAAGGAAGGAAAGGAAATTCTGCCAGGTGCAGTGGCTCACACCTGTAATCCCAGCACTTGGGGAGGCTGAGGTGGATGGATCACCTGATGTTGGGAGTTTGAGACCAGCCTGACCAATAGAGTGAAACCCCATCTCTACTAAAAATACAAAAATTAACTGGGCTGTGGTGGTGCACACCTGTAATCCCAGCTACTCAGGAGGCTGAGGAGGGAAAATCGTTTGAACCTGGGAGGCGGAGTTTGCAGTGAGCCCACATTGCACCACCACACTCCAGCCTGGGAGACAGAGTGAGACCCTGTCTCAAAAAAAAGTAAAGAAATTCTGGCACACGCCACCATATGGATGAACCTTGAAAACATTAAGCAAAATGTTTGACTAAGCAAAGTGAAAAAAGCCAGACACAAAAGAACAAATACTGGGTAATTCCACTTATATGAGGTTCCTAGAATAGGCAAATTGTAGAGACAGAAAGTAGAATAGTGGTTAGCAAGGGCCAGGTAGAGAAGGAATTATTGTTTAATGGGTACAGAGTCTTAGTTTGGGATGATGAAAAAGTTCTGGAAATAGTGGTGATGGTTGCACAACATTATGAATGTACTTAATGCCACTAAACGGTACACTTTGAAATGGTCAAAATGGTAAATTTTATGTTATGTATAGTTTACCACAATAAAAAAATGCTATTTGTAAGAGTGTATCCATTAAAAAAATATAAAACCATGGGAGGCCGAGGCAGGCAGATCACTTAAGGTTAGGTGTGCAAGACCAGCCTGGCCATCATGGTGAAACCCCATCTCTACTAAAAATACAAAAATTAGCCAGGTGTGGTGGCACGTACTTGTAGTCCCAGCTACTCAGGAGGCTGAGGCAGGAGAATCGCTTGAACCCAGGAGGCAGAGGTTGCAGTGAGCTGAGATCACGCCACTGTACTCCAGCCTGGATGACATTGGCCCATGGACTTCAGTTTGTCACCCCTGCCCTAAATAGGGACTTAATTTTCCTTTAGCAAAGACTGAGAGAACTTCCTCAAAACAGAACACCCATGACTGCAACACTGTCGTCGAGCATTGTAACAACTGTAACTACTGACTGGAATGACCTCTCACTTTGCCCCTTCTAGCTTGCATGCTTTGGGTATTAAATCAAGCCTGAATTTCTTAGCTTCCCCAGACCTTCTTGGTTGTTCACTTCTGGGGATAACCCTGCACCTGGGTGGTTGCCCAACAGCAGGACTTCTGGGCCTGTTTTGTCTCTTTCCCCATTAGCTTGCAAGGGTGAGGTCTCTGTGTGCATTGGGGCCTAATCCATGGAGGCTATGCATGGAGATGGTTGAAGGCTTTGCTGGGGAAATGACTCATTCAAGGAAGATACAAACAAGTTAAAGAATATGATTTTGGTTTGATTGTAACAGAATAACCACTTAATACCTGAAATAAGGAAACAAAGCTGAATGTATTGTTTCCCACAGGAAGGGAGAGCTATGCTGGTTACGCTCCATCTCTCTGAGCAGAGTATTAACTTATATAGGGTTTTGGAGGGTGTGGAGCTCAGGAGTTGGAGGCCTTCCAGAGGCATAAGTTGGGTGGCAGCCTCCCTGGAAGGGTGGTTGCTGCCTGAGCTATTGTTGATTGGTTGGCTCCCACGGATGTGTTTAAGTGAGCCAGTCACATCAGAAGATGATTGGTTAGCTTGTGAAAGGTAACCAAGTCCTCACGGATGGATTGAACAGATGGGAAACTGGTTCTGGTGGCTGCTTGTTACCATGGCTAGGGACTAATCCATTTTTTTTATTATACTTTAAGTTCTAGGGTACATGTGCACAACGTGCAGGTTTGATATGTAGGTATACACGTGCCATATTGGTTTGCTGCACCCATCAACTTGTCATTTACATTAGGTATTTCTCCTAATGCTATCCCTCCCTCTGCCCCCCACCTTCTGACAGGCCCTGGTGTGTGATGTTCCCTGCCCTGTGTCCAAGTGATCTCATTGTTCAATTCCCACCTATGAGTGAGAACATGTGGTGTTTGGTTTTCTGTCCTTGTGATAGTTTGCTCAGAATGATGGTTTCCAGCTTCATCCATGTCCCTGCAAAGGACATGAACTCATCCTCTTTTATGGCCGCATAGTATTCCATGGTGTATATGTGCCACATTTTCTTAATCCAGTCTATCATTGATAGACATTTGGGTTGGTTCCAAGTCTTTGCTATTGTGAATAGTGCTGCAATAAACATACGTGTGCATGTGTCTTTATAGTAGCATGATTTATAATCCTTTGGGTGTATGCCCAGTAATGGGATGGCTGGATCAAATGGTATTTCTAGTTCTAGATCCTTGAGGAATCGCCACACTGTCTTCCACAATGGTTGAACTGGTTTACAGTCCCACCAACAGTGTAAAAGCATTCCTATTTCTCCACATCCTCTCCAGCACCTGCTGTTTCCTGACTTTTTAATGATCATCATTCTAATTGGTGTGAGATGGTATCTCATTGTGGATTTGATTTGCATTTCTCTGATGGCCAGTGATGATGAGCATTTTTTCATGCATCTGTTGGCTGCATAAACGTCTTCTTTTGAGAAGTGTCTGTTCATATCCTTTGCCCACTTTTTGATGGGGTTGATTTTTTCTTGTAAATTTGTTTAAGTTCTTTGTAGATTCTGGATATGTAATAGGTAGATTGTAAAAAATTTTCTCCCATTCTGTAGGTTGCCTGTTCACTCTGATGGTAGTTTCTTTTGCTGTGCAGAAGCTCTTTAGTTTATTTAGATCCCATTTGTCAATGTTGGCTTTTGTTGCCATTGCTTTTGGTGTTTTAGTCATGAAGTCCTTGCCCATGCCTATGGCCTAAATAGTGTTACCTAGGTTTTCTTCTAGGGTTTTTATGGTTTTAAGTCTAACATTTAAGTCTTTAATCCATCTTGAATTAATTTTTGTGTAAGGTGTAAGGAAGGGATCCAGTTTCAGCTTTCTACATATGGCTAGCCAGTTTTCCCAGCACCATTTATTAAATAGGGAATCCTTTCCCTATTTCTTGTTTTTGTCATGTTTGTCAAAGATCAGATGGTTGTAGATGTGTGGTGTTATTTCTGAGGCCTCTGTTCTGTTCCACTGGTCTCTCTGTTTTGGTACCAGTACCATGCTGTTTTGGTTACTGTAGTCTTGTAGTATAGTTTGAAGTCAGATAGCGTGATGCCTCCAGCTTTGTTCTTTTTGCTTAGGATTGTCTTGGCAATGTGGGCTCTTTTTTGGTTCCATATGAACTTTAAAGTAGTTTTTTCCAATTCTGTGAAGAAAGTTGTTGGTAGCTTGATGGGGATAGCACTGAATCTATAAATTACCTTGGGCAGTATGGCCATTTTCATGATATTGATTCTTCCTATCCATGAGCATGGAATGTTCTTCCATTTGTTTGTGTCCTCTTTTATTTCGTTGAGCAGTGGTTTGTAGTTCTCCTTGAAGAGGTCCTTCACATCCCTTGTAAGTTGGATTCCTAGGTATTTTACTCTTTTTAGCAATTGTGAGTGGGAGTTGACTCATGATTTGGCTCTCCGTTTGTCTATTAGTGGTGTATAGGATTGCTTGTAATTTTTGCACATTGATTTTGTTTAAAAAACAAAACCTCTTTTTTTTGTGAAAAAAAGAGAAAAAAAATTCTCTTTCTTTGTTGTGTCTCTGCCAGTTGATTGATTGTATCCTGAGACTTCGCTGAAGTTGCTTATCAGCTTAAGGAGATTTTGGGCTGAGATGATGAGGTTTTCTAAATACACAATCATGTCATCTGCAAACAGGTACAATTTGACTCCCTCTTTTCCTAATTGAATACCCCTTATTTCTTCTTTTTGCCTGATTGCTCTGGCCAGAACTTCCAACACTATGGTGAATAGGAGTGGTGAGAGAGGGCATCCTTGTCTTGTGCTAGTTTTCAAAGGGAATGCTTCCAGTTTTTGCCCATTCAATATGATATTGGCTGTGGGTTTGTCATAAATAGCTCTTATTATTTGGAGATACGTCCTATCAATACCTAGTTTATTGAGAGTTTTTAGCATGAAGGGCTGTTGAATTTTGTTGAAGGCCTTTTCTGCATCTATCGAGATAATCATGTGGTTTTTGTTGTTGGTTCTGTTTATGTGATGGATTATGCTTATTGATTTGCATATGTTGAACCAGCCTTGCATCCCAGGGATGAAGCCAACCTGATCGTGGTGGATAAGCTTTTTGATGTGCTGCTGGATTCGGTTTGCCAGCATTTTACTGAGGATTTTTGCATCGATGTACATCAGGGATATTGGTCTAAAATTCTCTTTTTTTGTTGTGTCTCTGCCAGACTTTGGTATCAGGATGATGTTGGCCTCATAAAATGAATTAGGGAGGATTCCCTCTTTTTCTATTGATTGGAATAGTTTCAGAAGGAATAGTACCAGCTCCTCTTTGTACCTCTGGTAGAATTCAGCTGTGAATCCGTCTGGTCCTGGACTTTTTTTGGTTGGTAGGCTATTAATTATTGCCTCAATTTGAGAGCCTGTTATTGGTCTACTCAGGGATTCAACTTCTTCCTGGTTTAGTCTTGGGAGCCTGTATGTGTCGAGGAATTTATCCATTTCTTCTAGATTTTCTAGTTTATTTGCATAGAGGTGTTTATAGTATTCTCTGATGGTAGTTTGTATTTCTGTGGGATCAGTGGTGATAACCCTTTTATCATTTTTTATTGCGTCTGTTTGATTCTTCTCTCTTATCTTCTTTATTAGTCTTGCTAGCAGTCTATCAATTTTGTTGATCTTTTCAAAAAACCAGCTCGTGGATTCATTGATTTTTTGAAAAGTTTTTGTGTTTCCATCTCTTTCAGTTCTGCTCTGATCTTAGTTATTTCTTGCCTTCTGCTAGCTTTTGAGTTTGTTTGCTCTTGCTTCTCTAGTTATTTTAACTGTGATGTTAGGGTGTCGATTTTAGATCTTTCCTGCTTTCTCTTGTGGGCATTTAGTGCTATAAATTTCCCTCTACATACTGCTTTAAATGTGTCCCAGAGATTCTGGTATGCTGTGTCTTTGTTCTCATTGGTTTCAAAGAACACCTTTATTTCTGCCTTCATTTCGTTATTTACCCAGTAGTCATTCAGGAGCAAGTTGTTTAGTTTCCACGTAGTTGTGTGGTTTTGAGTGAGTTTCCTTTTTTTTTAGACAGAGACACTGTCCCCCAGGCTGGAGTGCAGTGGCGCGATCTCAGCTCACTGCAAGCTCTGCTTCCCGGGTTCACGCCGTTCTCCTGCTTCAGGCTCTCAAGTAGCTGGGACTACAGGTGCCTGCCACCACGCCCAGCTAATTTTTTTTTTTGTATTTTTAGTAGAGATGGGGTTTCACCATGTTAGCCAGGATGGTCTCGATCTCCTGACCTCATGATCCACTCGCCTTGGCCTCCCAAAGTGCTGGGATTATAGGCATGAGCCACCGCCCCTGGTTTGAGTGAGTTTCTTAATCCTGAGTTCTAATTTGATCACACTGTGGTCTGAGAGACAGTTTGTTGTGATTTCTGTTTCTTTACATTTGCTGAGGAGTGCTTTACTTCCAATTATGTGGTCAATTTTGGAATAAGTGTGATGTGGTGCTGAGAAGAATATATATTCTGTTGATTTGGGGTGGAGAGTTCTGTAGATATCTATTAGTCTGCTTGGTGCAGAGCTGAGTTCAAGTCCTGGATATCCTTGTTAACCTTCTCTCTCGTTGATCTGTCTAATATTGACAGTGGGGTGTTAAAGTCTCCCAATATTATTGTGTGGGAGTCTAAGTCTCTTTGTAGGTCTCTAAGGACTTGCTTTATGCATCTGGGTGCTCCTGTATTTGGTGCATACATATTTAGGAAAGTTAGCTCTTCTTGTTGAATTGATCCCTTTACCATTATGTAATGGCCTTCTTTGTCTCTTTTGATCTTTGTTGGTTTAAAGTCTGTTTTATCAGAGACTAGGATTGCAACCCCTGTTTTTTTTGGTTGTTTTTTTTTTTTTTTGCTTTCCATTTCCTTGGTAGATCTTCCTCTATCCCTTTCTTTTGAGCCTATGTGCATCTTTGCACGTGAGATGGGTCTCCTGAATACAGCACACTGATGGGTCTTGACTCTATCCAATTTGCCAGTCTGTGTCTTTTAATTGGGGCATTTAGCCCATTTACATTTAAGGTTAATATTGTTATGTGTGAATTTGATCCCGTCATTATGATGTTAGCTGGTTATTTTGCCCATTAATTGATGCAGTTTCTTCACAGCATTGATGGTCTTTACAATTTGGCTTTTTTTTTTTTTTTTTTTTTTTTTTTTTTGAGATGGAGTCTCACTCTGTTGCCTAGGCTGGGGAGCAGTGGCACAATCTCGGCTCACTGCAAGCTCCGCCTCCTGGGTTCACACCATTCTCCTGCCTCAGCCTCCCGAGTAGCTGGGACTACAGGCACCCGCCACCACGCCCGGCTAATTTTTTTGTATTTTTTAGTAGAGATGGGGTTTCACTGTGTTAGCCAGGATGGTCTCGATCTCCTGACCTCATGATCCACCTGCCTTGGCCTCCCAAAGTGCTGGGATTACAGGCATGAGCCACCACACCTGACCCCAATTTGGCATGTTTTTGCAGTGGCTGGTACTGGTTGTTTCTTTCCATGTTTAGTGCTTCCTTCAGGAGCTCTTGTTAAGGCAGGCCTGGTGGTGACAAAATCTCTCAGCATTTGCTTGTCTGTAAAGGATTTGGTTTCTCCTTCACTTATGAGGCTTAGTTTTGTGAGATATGACATTCTGGGTTGAAAATTCTTTTCTTTAAGAATGTTGAATAGTGGCCCCCATTCTCTTCTGGCTTGTAGGGTTTCTGCTGAGAGATCCGCTATTAGTCTGATGGACTTCCTTTGTGGGTAACTCAACCTTTCTCTCTGGCTGCCCTTAACATTTTTTCCTTCATTTGAACCTTGGTGAATCTGACAATTATGTGTCTTGGGGTTGCTCTTCTCGAGGAGTATCTTTGTGGTGTTCTCTGTATTTCCTGAATTTGAATGTTGGCTTGCTTTGCTAGCTTGGGGAAGTTCTGCTGGGTAATATCCTGAAGAGTGTTTTCCAACTTGGTTCCATTCTCCCCATCACTTTTAGGTACACCAGTCAAATGTAGATTTGGTCTTTTCACATAGTCCCATGTTTCTTGGAGGCTTTGTTCATTTCTTTTTACTCTTTTTTCTCTAACCTTGTCTTCTCGCTGTATTTCATTAATTTGATCTTCAATCCCTGTTACCCTTTCTTCCACTTGATCGAATCAGCTATTGAAGCTTGTGCATGCGTCATGAAGTTCTCGTGCCATGGTTTTCAGCTCCATCAGGTCATTTAAGGTCTTCTCTACACTGTTTATTCTAGTTAGTCATTCACCTAACCTTTTTTCAAGGTTTTTAGCCTCCTTGCGATGGGTTCAAACATACTCCTTTAGCTCAGAGAAGTTTGTTATTACCAACCTTCTAAAGCCTACTTCTGTCAAGTCGTCAAAGTCATTCTCCATCTGGCTTTGTTCCATTGCTAGCGAGGATCTGCAATCCTTTGGAGGAGAAGAGGCACTCCGATTTTTAGAATTTTCAGCTTTTCTGCTCTGGTTTCTCCCTATCTTTGTGGTTTTATCTACCTTTGGTCTTTGGTGTTGGTGACCTACACATGGGGTTTTGGTGTGGATGTCTTTTTTGTTAATGTTGATGCTATTGCTTTCTGTTTGTTAGTTTTTCTTCTAACAGTCAGGTCCCTCAGCTACAGGTCTATTGGAGTTTGCTGGAGGTCCACTCCAGACCCTGTTTGCCTGGGTATCACCAGTGGAGGCTGCAGAACAGCAAATATTTCAGAACAGCAAATATTGCTGCCTGATCCTTCTTCTGGAAGCTTCGTCCCAGAGGGGCACCCACCTGTCGGCTCCTACTGGGAGGTGTCTCCGAGTCAGGATACACGGGGGTCAGGGACCCACTTGAGGAGGCAGTCTGTCCGTTCTCAAACGCTGTGTTGGGGAGAACCACTGCTCTCTTCAGAGCTGTCAGACAGGGATGTTTAAGTCTACAGAAGTTGTCTACTGCCTTTTGTTCAGCTAAGCCCTGACCACAGAGGTGGAGTCTAGAGGCAGTAGGCCTTATTGAGCTGTGGTGGGCTGCACCCAGTTTGAGCTTCCCGGTCGCTTTGTTTACCTACTCAAGCCTCAGCAATGGCAGACGCCCTCCCCGAGCCAGGCTGCAACCTCGCTGTTCAATCTCAGACTGCCGCTCTAGCAGTGAGCAAGGCTCCATGGACGTGGGACCCGCCCAGCCAGGCACGGGAGAGAATCTCCTTGTCTGCCGGTTGCTAAGACCTTGGGAAATGCACAGTATTTGGGTGGGAGTGTCTCGTTTTTCCAGGTACAGTCTGTCACAGCTTCCCTTGGCTAGGAAAGGGAAATTCCCCGACCGCTTGCGCTTCCTGGGTGAGGCGACACACCGCCCTGCTTCAGCTCGCCCTCCGTGGGCTGTACCCACTGTCCAACCAGTCCCAGTGAGATGAACCAGGTACCTCAGTTGGAAATGCAGAAATCACCCATCTTCTGCGTCAATCACACTGGGAGCTCCAGACCGGAGCTGTTCCTATTTGGCCATCTTGGAAAGGATCTCAGGAATAATCCATTTTTTAATGGCTTGTGGGAACTTTTAAACCCTGATATAATCTGTGTAGCTGTCTCACTAGCCATCAAAAATCTGTCTTTTCTTTTTCGTGGGGACTTGGAGGTGATCAGCTGCTTCAAGATGAAGCTGATCTTCCCAGCCACAGGCTGCCAGGAGCTCATTGAAGTGGATGATGAACACGAACTTTGGACCAATTTTGAGAAGTGTATTCTGATGCTCTGGGTGAAAAGAACAGAAGGGTTATGTGGTCCAAGACAGTGAGGGGAACAACAAGCAAGTCTCCCCCAAGAAGCAAGATGTCCTGACCATGGCCGTGCCCATGTGCCATTGCGTAAGGGGCATTCTTGTTAGAGACCAAGGAGAACTGGAGAAAGGAGGCACAAGTCTGCTGGGTGTGGTGGCTCTTGCCTGTGATCCCAGCTACTAGGGAAACTGAGGTAAGAGGATTGCTTGAACCCAGGAGTTCAAGGCTGCAATGAGCTGTGATCACACTACTGCACTCTATCTTGGGTGACAGAGTGAGACCTTTTATCTTAAAAAAATTTTTAAAGAAAATTCAAGTCTGTTCTGGATTGCACTACGGATGCCAATCTGAGTGTTCTCAATTTAACTATCAGCTAAAAAGGAAAGAAGAATATTCCTGGACTGACTGATGCTACTGGGCCTCTATCCTGGGGCTCAGAACAGATAGCAGAATCCACAAACATTTCCATCTTCCTTAAGAAGATCATGAACACCAGTGTTTTGTGAGAAAGCCCCTAAACAAAGAAAGTAAGAGACCTGGGAGTAAAGCACCCAAGATTCAGTCTTGTTATTCCATGTGTCCAGCAACACAAATGTACGTCTATTGCTCTGAAAAAACAGCATATTTAGGAAAATAAGAGGTTGCAGAGCAGAACATGCTGAACTTTTGGTCAAGAGAATGCAGGAGGTCAAACAAATTGCCAAGAACAGATAGCCAAGAGACAGAGCTGTCCTCTTTGATAAATTCTACCTCCAAGTTTAAGTCTTGTCAAAACAAACAAACAAAAAAGAGATTTTTCTAAGAATAACAAACAATAAAATCACACATCAAGAAACAAAACAAACCCCAGCCTGCCTTATTCTTCAGGGCAAAGACTCCCAATTGCCTACCTAATATCCATTCTCTCCTTCTTCCTTTCTAAAAGAACCATGTTTTTGCTCAGGATCGCAAGGCTCCTGACAACTGCATTTCCCAATCGTGCATGTTGGGTTCAGCATGTGACTCAGTTCCAACCAATGAGGTGTGAGTAGAATCATTGGGTGCCACCCCAGGAAAGCTTCTTAAAAGGAGATCAGGGCAGTTGGCATGCCCCTTTCCTCCTCCCTGCCTGGAAGGGGTCCCAATGTCTGGGGGGCAGAAGCCATCTTGGATTCATGAGACCCAAGGCCACACCCCAGTGATGGCAGAGTGAAAGAGAGCAAGATCCTGAATTAGGTGGAGCTGTTGCATCAGCTCTGGGCTGCCTGCCTCCTGACTTGTATTTGGATGGACTATTGTGAGTTGAATTTTCTGTTAAGTGCACCTATTGCCAACCCACAAACCTGCCCTTTGGTTTTCATTATCTCTGCATGTCCCAATCATATCAATGGCTCCCATTGTGTGTTCATTGTATAGCAGGGGACTCAGCGCACCACACAACGTAATATATTGTTAAGACGCATTTATTGACTGTGTGATTCCCAGGTCAGGTTTTATGTTCCTCCTGATATGAGGCAGTGAGAAGTACAAACCATCACCTACAAAGTATATTTGATCTGAATCCAAACATGAAGCAACTATTATACGAATTCAGCATGGAGCGGGGGACAATCTAGTAAACTCACCTGAACCCCAAAAGTTCCATGTGACCAAAAAAACCCAAGAAGGTAGTAGTAAGGGGGTACTATTCTAGATTAAAAGAGGCTAAAGAAAAATAATTAATGAGTAATTAATACCTGGGTGACAAAAGAATCTGTACAACAAAATCCCATGACACAAGTTTACCTATACAATAAACCTACAGGCTGGGTGCAGTGGCTCACGCCTGTAATCCCAGCACTTTGGGAGCCCAAGGCAGATGGATAACGAGGTCAGGAGATCGAGACCATCCTGGCTAACATGGTGAAATCATGTCTCTATTAAAAATACGAAAAATTAGCTGGGCATGGTGGCACGTGCCTGTAAGTCCCAGCTACTCAGGAGGCTGAGGCAGGAGAATCACTTGAACCTGGGAGGTGGAGGTTGCAGTGAGCTGAGATCACACCACTGCACTGCAGCCTGGGCGACAGAGCCCGAATCTCTCTCAAAAAAAATTAAAACATAAAAAATAAAAAATAAACCTACACATGTAACCCTGAGAGACTGGAGGATCACCTGAGGGCAGGAGTTCAAGACCAGCTTCGCCAACATGGTGAAACCCTGTCTCTACTAATAATACAAAAACTAGCTGGGTGTGGTGGGTGCCTGTAGTCCCAGCTACTCAGGAGGCTGAGGCAGGAGCATCACTTGAATCCGGGAGGCAGAGGTTGCGGTGAGCCGAGATCACGCCATTGCACTCCAGCCTGGGTGACAAGAGTGAAACTCCATCTAAAAAAAAAAGAAAAGAAAAGAGAAGTTAAAATTTAAAAGGAAACATAACAATTAAACGCAATATGTGTACCTCAGATGGATCCTGCATCAAAAAACAAAAGCCATCAGTATCACCCAGGATACCCAGATTCACCTGCCAGAATCCCAGAGGCATCCACGGTGCCTGCATGGTGTGGAAAAGGCTCTTCTCAATGGATGCCTCCCCCATTCAGAATCCCACGCAGACCCCTCCGATCAAGGGAGAAACCTGGAGGGTAGTTGACTCCACAAAGTACTTTACATAGCTGGGCTATAGAAAGAAATCCGGAAGTCTCTTTACCATTCCAAGGATCTCCACAGCCACAGAAGCTTAAGAAGATTCTTAAATCTCCCAGGGTTGCTTCTGCGGGAATTGACGGACCATGGTAAGGAACACCTGGTAATCCTGCCACAAGCCTCTGAAGCCCGCAGGGGTGCTCCTGGCAGGTGAGAGTCTGGGGTGCCTCGCTGGGTGTGCAGCAAAACTCAGCACTGCTGCCACTTGTTGGAACACAGCCAGCGTGGAGCTAGGGCAAGAGAAAGGGGCATGCTTGTGGAACAGCAAACAGCGAATGCGAAGTTACCTCTCATGAGTGGAGACAGCTGGGTATCCCACCTGTGTAGAAACTGGATGTGAGACCATGCAAGGCTAGATGGTCCACTAGGGGGAGGTAGAGTCCCGCGGTGAAGGGCACGAGATCCCGGACGGAGAGCCCGGTTCTACCTCGGCTTCTGCACTTGGCAGGTGGGTGACCGGAGGCTGGACACAACCCCTCTGAGCTTCAGGTTTCTCATCGTAAAATGGAGGTGATAACAGGCTCTACAACACAGGTGTGCTGCGGATCACACACGTGCCTGGCATGCTGAACACACTCCATATTAGCTGTTATATTATCATCTGCTGGAATCAATTCTTTATTCCCGGGACCACCAGAGGGGCAGACCGTCCCTGTTCATATACACCTGTAGTGGGTGTGCAGCAGGGCCGACGAAGACAGTTGCACATCAGAACTCACTAAGCAAAGCCTGGAAAATGCTGCTCACCCAAGGTGGGAGGATGAAGGCATGTGACACATCAGGCTCAGGGCGCCCACCCATGTCCTCCAGCTCTAACCTCTGTCTAGTTTCTTTTCTTTCCTTTCCTTTTCCCTTTCCCTTTCCCCCTTCCCTTTTCTTTCTTTCTTTTTTTTTTTTTTTTTTTTTTTTGAGACTCTCGCTCTTTCACCCAGGCCGGACTGCAGTGGCGCGATCTCGGCTCACTGCAAGCTCTGCCTCCCGGGTTCACGCCATTCTCCTGCCTCAGGCCCCAGAGTAGCTGGGACTACAGGCGCCCGCCACCGCGCCCGGCTAGTTTTTTGTATTTTTAGTAGAGACGGGGTTTCACCGTGTTAACCAGGATGGTCTCGATCTCCTGACCTCGTGATCCGCCCGCCTCGGCCTCCCAAAGTGCTGGGATTACAGGCGTGAGCCACCGCGCCCGGCCTTTTCTTGCCTTTCTTTCCTTTTCTTTTCTCTTCTCTTCTTTTTTCTTTTTCTTTCTTTCTTTCTTTCTTTCTTTTTCTTTCTTTCTTTCTTTTCTTTTTCTCTTACTTCTTTCTTTCTTTCCTTCTTTCTTTTTTTTTTTTTTTTTTGAGATGGAGTCTCACTCTGTCACCCAGGCTGGAGTGCAGTGGCGCAATCTTGGCTCACTGCAATCTCTGCCTCCCAAGTTCAAGTGATTCTCCTGCCTCAGCCTCCTGAGTAGCTGGAACTACAGGCACGCACCACCATGCCCGACTAATTTTTTGTATTTTTAGTAGAGACAGGGTTTCACCATGTTGGCCAGGCTTGTCTCCGGACCTCAAGTGATCCACCTGCCTTGGCCTCCCGAAGTGCTGGGATTACAGGCATGAGCAACTGCAGCCAGCCTAGTTCCTTTCTAAAAATATGTGACTGTGGGCAAATCCACATCAGGTAAAACGTCCCGCCTTAGCCATTTCTCAGTGTGCAGTCACACGCATTCAATGCATTCACACTGTTGTGCAGCCACCACCACCACCATCCGCGGAACATTTTCCATCCTGCAGAACTGAAGCTCTGGACCCACCGAACAACAACTGCCCATTCCCTCCTCCTTCAGGCCTGGCAACCACCACTCTCCTTCCCCTCTCCAGGCATCTGCCTATTCTGGGCACCTCATATAAGTGGAATCACTCGGTATTTGTCCTTCTGAGACTGGCGTATTTCCCTTAGCAGATGATCTTCCAGGTTCTTCCATGTTAGAGCACAGGTCAGGATTTCCTTCCTTTTCAAGGCCAATATTCCATTGTATGTTTCTGCTGCATTTTGCTTATTTATTCATCTGTTGATAGACACTTGTAATCGTTGGTCAGTTCCTTTTGAACCAGGAGACCCATTAAGGATTTTCTGATATTTCTCCAATATGGCAAGGGCCTAGGAGAATACGAAATGATTTGCAGAAGGCAAAGGAAAGAAATTCAGCCAATATACAGACTCATGTGCCTGCACAGTCCCTAAATGTCACTCATACAGTGAGGGATGGCTTTGTGCGTTCCCCATGACAGTTACTAAGTTATTGCCTCTCACTCCAAACCCAGGCTTCTCTGCTTGGCTTTGTGATGTTGGGCTGAGACTCTGCAAACCACAAGTTGGGTTCTACCATTTTGGGGTGCTACAGGAAGCTGAGGAAGAAGGAGGGGCTCGTGACCTCCTTGCTGCTTGGGGCCCCTTTGAGCAATACCCCAGGGACACTCCACCCAGCAAATGCAGCTGCTTTCTGCAGCAGCAGCTGAATCCAGATGCCAGTGCTTGCAACACCAGCAGAGCCAGTTTCACCACTCCCAGCCCGCCACCAGCTGGCCAGCGCGTCCTTCTCAGAGGTCTGGTCCCAGTCCCCTGGGACCACTCCTCTAAGTTTCAAGGTTTTGTTTTTGTTTTTGTTTGAGACAGAGTCTCACTTTTTTTGCCCATGCTGGAGTGCAGTGGCATGATCTTGGCTCACTGCAACCTCCACCTCCCAGATTCAAGCGATTCTCCTGCCTCAGCCTCCCAGGTAGCTGGGATTAGAGGCATGCACCGCCACATCCTGCTAATTTTTGTATTTTTAGTAGAGATTAGGTATCACCATGTTGGCCAGGCTGGTCTCGAACTCCTGACCTCAAGTGATCCATCATCCCCCACCTCGGCCTCCCAGAGTGCTGGGATTACAGGCTGAGCCACCACACTTGGCCAAGTTTCAAGGTTTTAATCATTGGACCTGCTTCCCTCCGTTTGCCCAGCCTGAGAGGTGGTAGCTGCTTCCTCTGTGATATCTCAGACTTATTCCTTACACCTTCAGTTACCTGGTGAATATTATATGTAGTTAACAAGTCTTTGTATTTAGTTCTCTCTTTTCATATTACTGGTGTTTCTGCTGGTCCCCTGATGGAACCCTAACTGATGTAATCCTGCTATGGTCTGAATGTGTACCCCCGTATTCATGGGCTGGAAACTTAATCCCCAATGCAACAGTGTCGGGAGGTGGGGCATTTTGGGAAGTGTTTAGGTCACGTGGGCTCCACCCCCATGAATGGATTGATGCCTCTATGCAAAGGGCTTGTGGGAAGGGGTTCACTCTCTCCCACTCTTCTGCCAAGTGAGGACACAGCAAGAAAGCCCTCACCAGAAGCCAGTGCCTCTGTCTTGGGCCTCCCAGCCTCCCTAACAATGAGAAATGCATTTCTGATCTTTATAAATTACCCAGTCTCAGGTATCCTGTTTTATAGCAGCACAAAATGGGCTAAGACAGCCACCTAGCCACTATCTCAAACCTCTAATGCCCTTGCCAGGTCCTGGGTTTAGCCCCAGACCCCTCATTCTAGGAAGAATGAGCTGGTCTTTCGTTTCATCCAGAAAATTGAAGCTGTTATAGGTGACCTCAAACATCGTCCTACCCCCACCACAATCTACAAACATTTCTGCAGCCAATTTCCTTTTGGTCAGCCTCAGAGGATAAAACATTTTTTTCCTCTTCAATTCCAAAACTTCCACAGGTCCTTTTGACTCCACCCCATTCCCATGTCCTGTGGAGCCCAGCTCTGAGCTCTCTGAGCTCATATCCTATCCCAATTTTTTTTAGAGACAGGGTCTTGCTCAGTCACCCAGTCACCCAGGCTGGAGTGCAGTGGTGTGATCATGGCTCACTGCATTCTCCACCACCTGGGCTCAAGTGATCCTCCCACCTCAGCCTCCAGAGTAGCTGGGACCACAGGCACACACCACCATGCCCAGCTGATTTTTTTATTTTTTGTAGAAATGGGGGTTTCACCATGTTGCCCAGGCTTGTCTCAAACTCCTGGGCTCAAAGAGTCCACCCACCTTGGCCTCCCAAAGTGCTGGGATTACAGGCGTGAGCCACTGGGGCCAGCCCTCTCCCAATTCTTAACACGCTTCTCTCCGTCATTTCCAGGAGAAGTGACTAAGGGCAGGTCAAACCATTGGTGGATACTTCTCCCGCTCTGTCCTGCTAACTGTGTTCACACTTGTCCCATGCACATCCACCCATGAAAGCTCTGCAATCCTAGCATCTGGCTTCATGCCCCGCAGGAGGGAGGCAGGGAATTCCTATTCAGTGTGTGTCTGTTGAATGCCGAAGACATGCAGAGGAGTTACTCATGTGAACCTGGAACATCTGAGACAGGCCTCAGTTAATTTAGAAAGTTTATCTTGCCAAGGTTGAGGACACACCCATGACGCAGCCTCAGGAAGTCCTGAGGACATGTACCCAAGGTGGTCGGAGGACAGCTTAGTTTTATACATTTAGGGAGACATGAGACATCAATCAATATATGTAAGAAGTACATTGGTTTGGTCTGGAAAGGCGGGGCAACTTAAAGCAAAGGCAGGAAGACTCAGGTAACAGACAGGTGAGACACAAAGGGTTACATTCTTTAGAGTTTCTGATGAGCCTTTCCAAAGGAGGCAAATCAGATATGCATCTATCTCAGTGAGCAGAGGAGTGGCTTTGAATAGAATGGGAGGCAGGTTTGCCCTAAGCAGTTTCCAGCTTGAGTTTTCCTTAGTGATTTTAGGGGCCCAAGAGATTTTCCTTTCACATTTCTGACCTTTTTTTTTTTTTTTTTGAGATGGAGTCTTGTTCCATCGCCCAGGCTGGACTGAAGTGGCGTGATCTCAGCTCACTGCAACCTCCGCCTCTTGGGTTCAAGCAATTCTCTTGTCTCAGCCTCCCGAGTAGCTGGGACTACAGGTGCCCACCACCATGCCTGGCTAATTTTTGTATTTTTCATAGAGACGGGGTTTCACCATGTTGGTCAGGTTGGTCTTAAACTCCTGACCTCAGGTAATCCACCCACCTCGGCCTCCCAAAGTGCTGGGATTACAGGTGTGAGCCACTGTGCCTGCCCCCCACCACTTTTCTTTTGTAAAATCTGTCGGAGAAAGCATTTTGCAAAAAAATGAGTCTCTGGTCTCAGGCTTCATCTGATTTCTCATAGCTATGATGGTTTATTCCTAGATGGGTAAGTCCCAAAAGCTCATTTTTAGTAGGTTGTGAAGTCTCACATTCTGTGAAGAGAAAATAGCAGGGAGGAAGGGAGAAAAAACAACAACAAACAAAAGAACAATCCTAGAAAAATCGATATAAGCCACATTACTCTGAAGTCCATACATTAGTAGGCAGGTATGAAAGTGGCTTATGTACGTAAATAGGTTGCTGTTATTTTCTTCTGAAGTTCAAGTTGTCTGGCTTCAGTTTGCAGGGTTTTAAGAAAACACAGCTTAGTTTTCAGTGACTCTAAATTAGGAAAAATGGAAAAAAAGAAGGAAAAGAAATTGAAAACATTATTTTATGGACTTGTAGCCAAGAAAAATTAGAATTCAGTCTAAACTGTAGAAAATAATACAAATTGAAAAAAACATTAGGCAGACTAGAATCTAACAACAGGTCTACTGTAGTTTTGAAACATAATTATTCTCTCTCCAGTTTCCCATTTTTACTAAAGACAAAACATGGTGGGACTGGCTTGCTTTATTATACTTGGCCTAATTATTTGTATACAGTGCAGCAAGAATAATTATCTTTTACATAGGCTTTCAAATTGGCTTTGATGGAACTTTGTTCCATAGGAGGAATAGCAGATAAGACATTTTAAAAGCGAAGCCCAGCCATAGATTTGTGCCATCAAATATCTATGAGTTGGGTGAATTTCCCCTTCTCTTGAGGTCCCAACATAAACCTGGGGCTTCTGTGCCTGTCAGAAAGTGAATTCTGTACTTACACAGGTCAGAAAACCTGTACAGGGACTGTGTACACAAAATATGAGGCCAGTTTTTCCAAGGGCTTTATTAGCTCCACAAGTCGATTCCTTAAAGGAAAGCACACCATCCCAGTCAAAGCCTTAGTAAAATAACCAATTTCTCCAATTGTGTCCTATTGCAAAAGAAAACAGATTCTTATGGCACTTATGCAAATAACTATACTGCCATAAATTAAGAATACTCACAAATAGTTTCCAAATTCTGGAGAAACCAGGTAGAGAGAAACAAATATGCTCCCAATTCTGGTAACAGTATACTTTACTCAATTGTTAAAAGCTGTAAATAGCTTTAGTTTTCATAATTCTAAAAAACAAAACAAAGTATTAGCAATGTTTTAAGCAAAAAGGTCAAAAAGATTAGTTTTCTATTGGTTCAGTTAATTCAGTTAACTCCTGTTCTGTTTGATAGTCATAAACATTTCAGCTCTCCATGAGAGTTCTGAAAGTTTATTCCTTTATTCCAATGTCACAGTTTCCAAAGTTATCAGCAAAACTGCATTTAAGTGCACCTGTTAGAGTCCTATAACTGATTATAAACCCACCTTTTAAAGGGGTTTAAAACAAGATAAACAAGAGAATTGTCTGTGGATGAAAAAAGTTTTAAGGCAGCCACAGTTAAAAGACACAATTGACAAGGAAATGTGTTACCTCTGTGACACACAATAATTTTAACAACACTTATGACTATTACTGATAATGTACACTAAGTTATATCAGAAATACAGGAGTTTCCCATAATTTTGGAACACATACCAGTAACATATTTATACAAATACAGCCCAAAGAAAACCAAACACCATTTCATATTTGACACTTCCTGTATAATTTTTATACCAAAATAAGCCAAATTTTGTCATTTTTGGACTTAGGGAAACTCATTTCTTAAAGGATTAATTAGGTTAGAAAAAGACATAATTTATAATTTGATTTTGGAAAGTTTGTCAAATATAAAGGGTTTAAAACACTTGGTATTACAAAATAGGATTACAGGTCATTGTGAGGTCATTTATTTAACCAAAGTGATAATTCAAGCATTTCAGAAAAAGCAAAAACCTTCATTCTTTGAGAGAGGAGATCTAATTTTCTTTTCTTTTTCTTTTTTTTTTTTTTTTGAGACAGAGTCTCGCTCTGTCACCCAGGCTGGAGTGCAGTGGCATAACCTCAGCTCACTGCAAGCTCCACCTCCTGGGTTCACGCCATTCTCCTGCCTCAGCCTCCTGAGTTGGGACTACAGGCGCATGCCACCATGCCCAGCTAGTTTTTGTATTTTTAGTAGAGATGGGGTTTCACCATGTTAGCCAGGATGGTCTCGATCTCCTGACCTTGTGATCCACCCGCCTCGGCCTCCCAAAGTGCTGGGATTACAGGCGTGAGCCACCAAGCCCGGTGAGGAGATTTAATTTTCTAAAGGAGAAGCTCTAATAAAAACAGCATGAAGCAAATTACATTTGTTTTTCGAATTTTGTAAGCAATCTACAAGATTTAACCTTGATTATAAAATATAACTTCTGTAAGCCTTTTATAAACTTTATTAAGAAGTTGGTTAATGCTTCAAGAAAACCTTGCTAATCTGACACAGGAGTCCATGTACTGGTTTTGCATTAGTGTGCCCTTGACATTAATAATTAATTTATAGAGAAACAGAACTTATTTTATCTTTCAAAATCAGCCCTTACAATCTTAGGCGCCCACCTCTTCTGTGATAGTCCCTGGGCCCTGAGGAGTTGAATAGCTTTAATTTCTTGCCCTGTGTCTCAGGAATGCAATTTGTTTTGATTGGCATCTTCTATGGGGCCTGAAGATGAGGCTTTTATTGCTGTCAATGTTTAAGATTTAGCAGGACTTGGTGTCCTTTTTAGACCCAGGAGTTACAGCCTTGAAACTCAATGTAACAATGTACATACAGGAAGATACATGCATGTAATAACCTTAATTAAAAAAAAATTTTATCTCTGTTTTTTTCCTAAGCAAACCAAAACTTAATAATAACATGATAACTTGATTATATAAAAGTTTTTGTTTTTCTTTTTAATATAAATCCTCTTATTGTGACTTACACTGACTGTTAATGACATGATCAGACTTTCTGATTTGTTCTCAACATCCCTCCTTTTTAGATAACCAGTTATTTTATTTTAGGACTAAATTTACCATACAAGATTCTTTCTTATATAAAATTATTTCTCTTTAAGCTTTTTTACCTCAAAAAAGAAAACCTCCTTATTTTTATAACTTTCTTTACATCTCTTTTTATTCCTGGTGCCTTTCACCTTGTTTTATATATAACCTTTAAATAAGCTTTGAATTAGACAAAACTTGTTCACTTTTTTTTTTTTTAAAGGACACACTTTTTTATTTAGCAAGAATGTTTTCCCACAATATATATTTATTGGAAAATACCCAAATAATGAAATAGCTATTATTTAATTTAATATAACTTTATATTATAAATTATGATCAGTTTATCTACAAGTATTTATTCCATTACATTTATCTAAGTGTTTTATTTGTTTACCTAGATTATTTATGAAAACTGTGATAGTCATGATTTAAAGTTATGAAATCGCCATTGCAAAATTATAACTGAGACAGTGAAAAGATTTGACCTCACTGATTCCATATTGCTCTTAACCTCCAAGCTGTCCTTGTTCATTCCTGGGCGTAGGCCGAACTAACTTTGGGAGGAACTTAGTTTATAGTTTAGCTTTGAAACAAAGAGGGTAACAGTCCTTTCCCCAAAACAACCCTCCTTATTGTCTGCAGATCAGACTGCCTAAAGCCACAGGATTAGAAGTTATGGTAATCTTACTAAATTCAAGATAAAGCTATTTTCATTAAACTCATATCAATGTCTTCTTCATTAAAAATTACACAAGCAAAGATCATTCTGTTTTGGGCGGGGTTTATAGTTTTGTAACCCCTATGCCAAATTTGGCAGGGATAAGTATAAAATTGCTTGATTAATAAATGCAAACAAAAATGTATGCTGGGCAATTCTTAAGACATTTCTAATATTACTTTACCAATAATTTTAAAGCTAGCGTATTTATTAAAGATTTTACTTAAGTTACATAAACCTGAAAAACAATTTGACTAGTTTTTTCTTTTTTAGTATCTAATTCAAGCGCTTTTTTAAAAGCCAATTAATTAGAGCTCTCTTATATATTTTTAGTAGTGAAACATTCTGTACACAACACATAAATACATATAAAAACATATTAGGCATGCCGATGGAAGTACATTTTATAGATTTATAAAGTCCCCCCCCCCCCCCACCGCTTTCTTTCCTACCTTAGACTTTCAAATTCTTGATAACCTCTTTCACAGCCCTAGGCAGTTGTTAGCTAAATAACCTTAAATTTGCACATTAAAGGAAACAACTCAGGTGAAAAGCAAATAGCAAAATTTACATCATAAAGTACAAAGAGAAAAAGTCTGGTGATGCTAGAGAGAGGCACTTTTATTTTTCTTTGACCCAAGTTAAACATAAAAATTAGGGCCGGGCACGGTGGCTCACGCCTATAATCCCAGCACTTTGGGAAGCCGAGGCGGGTGGATCACAAAGTCAGGAGTTTGAGAACAGCCTGGCCAATATGGTGAAACGTCATCTCTACTAAAAATACAAAAATTAGCTGGGCGTGGTGGTGCGCGCCTGTAGTCCCAGCTACTCAGGAGGCTGGGCAGAAGAATCGCTTGAACCCAGGAGGTAGAGGTTGCAATGAGCCGAGATCATGCCACTGCACTCCAGTCTAGGAAAGAGTGAGACTCCGTTTCAAAAAAAAATTAAACTACACTGTTCCTTAAAAACCCAAGAGCAGCCTCTGATACAATAACTATTTTAGTTAAAAAAAAAAAAATCAGATGAAAACAAAATTCAGTCAAATAAGAAGAAAAAGAAAAAAAAAACTTTTGCTCAAAAAAAAGACAATGTCTTAGGAGACAAAAACAAACAAAAAAACCCAAAAACATGAAGGCCTTTTAAATACAAACATGCACACATGCACACACACACATGTTGGATGTTAGCCTTTTAATTAAGCTGACTTTTAACCATTGAGTTCCTTTACAAAAATTTTTTTAATCTTATTACCATATTTCAGCTAGGACAAAATGCTGCTAAACTAACATTGATCACACAAATTATATAATTTCTGAGTGTTCTTTGTGAAAGCAGAAATTAACACCAGCTGGTTGTTAAGTGCTAACTTTAGTCTTTTAAAAGGAAATTGCAAGACAATCTCAAACCAGTTTCTTTTTTTCTTTTTTTTTTTTTTTTTTTGAGACAGTCTGGCTCTGTCCCCCAGGCTGGAGTGCAGTGGCACCATCTCGGCTCACTGCAAGCTCTGCCTCCCGGGTTCATGCCATTCTCCTGCCTCAGCCTCCCGAGTAGCTAGGACTACAGGCGCCCACCACCACGCCCTGCTAATTTTTTTGTATTTTTAGTAGAGACAGGGTTTCACCATGTTGGCCAGGATGGTCTCGAACTCCTGACCTCGTGATCCGCCCATGTCGGCCTCCCAAAGTGCTAGGATTCCAGGCTTGAGCCACCGTGCCCGGCCTCAAACCAGTTTCTTACCTAGTGATGGGTCTCAGGCTGTAGACTACTCTCTGCCATCCTAGGAGCAGGAAAAAAAAAAACTCATCTTCCCTGTTGGAAGCGAGCTCAAACTACATAAAGGAGTTACCTGCCTTCTATCATCATGGAAGCAGAAAAACTTGCCTTCCTATTAGAAGCAAGTAAAACTAAAAATAAAAAAAAAAAAAAAGAGGAGTTGTACAGCAAAATAAACTTTAGATCTTGACCAAATTTTAAGAGATCAGGGATTCTCTGGAGGGGGTGCTCTCAAACCTCAGCAAATTGTCCTATTGGCTTGAGCCATAAAGTTAGCTCATGCTGCTACCAAGAACCAATAGATTTGTCAAAGGTCAGGGGCACCTCCACTCAGAATCCCCTCGTGGTTACCATAATGTGAACCCATAAAATCTGAGACAGGTCTCAGTTAACTTAGAAAGTTTATTTTGCCAACGTTGAGGAAGCCCCTGTGACACAGCCTCAGGGAGTCCTAACGACATGTGCCCAAGGTGGTCAAGGCACAGCTTAGTTTTATACACTTAGGGAGACATGAGGCATCAACTGATATATGTAAGAAGTACATTGGTTCCATCTGTAAAGGCGGGACAACTTGAAGCGAAGGCAGGAATACTCAAAGAGGGGACGGAGCTCCCAGGTCACAGATGGGTGATACACAAACGGTACGTTCTTTAGAGTTTCTGATGAGCCTTTCCAAAGGAGGCAACTCAGATATGCATCTATCTCAGTGAGCAGAGGAGTGACTTTGAATAGAATAGGAGGCTGGTGGCCAGGTGCAGTGGCTCGCGCCTGTAATCCCAGCACTTTGGGAGGCCGAGGTGGGCAGATCATGAGGTCAAGAGTTCGAGACCAGCCTGACCAACATGGTGGAACCCTCTCTGTACTAAAAATACAAAAATTAGCCGGGCATGGTGGCACACACCTGTTATCCCAGCTACTCAGGAGGCTGAGGCAGGAGAATCGCTTGAACCCGGGAGGCGGAGGTTGCAGTGAGCCAAGATCACGCCACCTCACACCAGCCTGGGCCACAGAGCAACATTCTTTCTAAAAATAATAATAATAATAATAATAATAGATCAATACTGATTCCTTAATTGTCACAAATATACCATACTAATGTAAGATGTTAATAAAAGGGGAAACTTAGTATGGGGTTTATGGAAAAATCTTCAAACTGTCTCTTCAATTTTTCTGTGAATCTAAAACTGCTTTAAAAGTAAAGCCTATTACCTATTAAAAAAATTTTTTTAGCCGGGTGTGGTGGCTCATGCCTCTAATCCTAGCACTTTGTGAGGCTGAGGTGGGTGGATCACATGAGGTCGGGAGTTCAAGACCAGCCTGACCAACATGGAGAAACCCTGTCTCTACTAAAAATACAAAATTAGCCGAGCATGGTGGCGCATGCCTGTAATCCCAGCTAGTCGGGAGGCTGAGGCAGGAGAATCACTTGAACCCAGGAGGCAAAGGTTGTGGTGAGCCAAGATCGCGCCATTGCACTCCAGCCTGGGCAACAAGAGCAAAACTCCATCTCAAAAAAAAAAAAAAAAAAAAGAAAAATTTTTTTAAAGTAGACTCCTGGGCCTCCGCTTCAGAATCTCAGGTAATGAGCCCCAGGACTGCACTTTAAACAAGTGTCTCCGAAGGTTCTTGCACACCCTAAAGTTTGAACACCATTTTAAGAATCTCAGCTGGGTGCCGTGGCTCACGCCTGTAATCCCAGCACTTTGAGAAGCTGAGGCGGGTGGATTGCCTGAGGTCAGGAGTTCGAGATCAGCCTGACCAACATGGTGGAACCCTGTCTCTACTAAAATTACAAAAATTAGGTGGGCGTGGTGGCGCACGCCTGTAATACCAGCTACTCGGAAGGCTGAGGCAGGAGAAACACTTGAACCCGGGAGGCAGAGGTTGCAGTGAGCTGAGATCACGCCATTGCACTCCAGCCTGGACAAGAGCCAAACTCCATCTCAAAAAAAAAAAAAAAAAAAAAAAAGAATCTCTGCACACTCTGCACAGAGTTAAGTTAGAAAGAATTGTTGCTGGCTGGGCGCGGTGGCTCATGCCTGTAATCCCAGCACTTCTGGAGACCGAGCCAGGCAGATCACAAGGTCAAAAGATCAAGACCATCCTGGCCAACATGGTGAAACCCCGTCTCTACTAAAAATACAAAAATTAGCTGGGCGTGGTGGCACATGCCTGTAGTCCCAGCTACTCAGGAGGCTGAGATAGGAGAATTACTTGAATCTGGGAGTGGGAGGCTGCAGTGAGACGAGATTACACCACTGCACCACTCCAGCCTGGCAACAGAGTGAGCCTCTGTCACAAAAAAAAAAAAAAAAAGGAAAAGAAAAAGAAAAGAATTGTTGCTTACAGAGTGGATGTGTGCCTATCCGTCTGCTGCAGGCCTTCCCATGGCATTGTTTTGATTGCCCTATGTATGTATCCACAGGAGCCAGCACTGAAGAATTGGGAGGTTCTTCAGCACAGTCCACACTCTGGGCTGCCTTTCTACAGCCTTCCATTCCCTGTGTTCCAGCATAAGGCTCTGGTGTGGCTCACCTCCAGGGGCAGTTATGTGCCCGTCAGTTTAGCACAGCCTGCATTCTTCCCCGTTGCTCCTAACACTTAGGGACTGTCATGACCATGTCTGTATTGTTAAAGTGTTGAACAAACCTGTTCTCTGTATCTGTGTCACCGTCAAAAGTGGAAAAATGCAAGGTAAATCAAGTGAGCCTGGGCCGGGCACAGTGGCTCATGCCTGTAATCCCAGCACATTGGGAGGCTGAGGTGGGCGGATCACTTGAGGTCAGGAGTTTTAGACCAGCCTGACTAACATGGTGAAACCCCGTCTCTACCCAAAATACAAAAATTAGCCAGGCATAGTAGCGCATGCCTGTAATCCCAGCTACTAGGGAGGGTGAGGCAGGACAATTGCTTGAACCCAGGGGGCAGAGGTTGCAGTGAGCTGAGATCGTGCCACTGCACACCAGCCTGGGTGACAGAGTGAGACTCTGTCTCAAAAAAAGTCAAGGGAGGCTGTGTTTCTAGAATCTGGGAGACGGCACACCTTTAGTTGTGTAGGTGGAGACTATCACTAGGTGACGAGCATGAAAGCGAAGTTCATGTGTTGATCGTTTGCACCAGCCTGCTTCCCTCCTCGATGGCGCCTGTGGGCATCTGAGTGCGCCAGCTCCCATTTGGACCTCAGGGCAGTGAGGGGTGCTGCACCCCCATTTGGACCTCAGGGCAGTGAGGGGTGCTGCAGTGATGATCAGGCCATAGGTGTATGCGGAAGGAAGAAGGTGGGAGAATGACTTCTTCCCCTCTGTTTTATCACCCCCTGGGAACGCCATGGAGAGTACCTCGACTCCGTAGAGAATTGGGATCCTGATGGAGCTAAGCCAGAAGCTGACTTTTTGGATGATCACACTGTTCTGGTTCTTTACTCCTAATTGCTGCTTTAGGAACAAACTGTCTCATGAGTATTCTGGCAGAAACAGACAGACTTGATTTTCAGAACCGTCTTTTCTTTTTTGCCAAGATTCAGAGTATGATTACTAAAATGATGATATTAATAGTAGCAAGCTCTTACTGCAGGCAGTACTTCTCATAGCTTTCACTCATCACACACATGGGGCCATCAGCAGAGGGGGCAGTGATGATGACCCTTTTGGCTCCCCCATCTAGGTGATCCCCAGCCTTCTCCATGCTGGCAAAGATGCTGGTGGCCGCCACAATATAATCAGTGCTGGCATGACCCCACTTGATTTGGGTGGGATCTCACTCCTGCGAGATGGTGATGGGATTGTCATTGATGGCAGGCTTCCCGTTCTCAGCCTTGATGGTGCCGTGGAACTTGCCATGAGCGGAATCATACTGGAACATGGAGACCATGTAGTTGAGGTCATTGATAGTGACAATATCCACTTTGCCAGAGTTGGCATCCCTGGTGACCAGGCCCCCAATATGGCCAAATCTGTTTTTTCTGGCCTTCACCTTCACCATGTTGTCTCAGGGACACAGCTGGCACTGCTCAAGAAGATGCGGCTGTCTTGTCAAACAGGAGAAGCAGAGACCCAGAATAATTATTTAAATGATACATTTTATCTTAAGAATTCAGGTGGATTTTTTTCCTTCTCAATCCAACCTGTGGGTTAATTAGCAGATTGTGTTAGAGTCTCTTTTCCTTTCCATTAGAAGTCTGCAGTCAGGGGCCAGACCCTGTAAGTTGTCATCACAAAAAGTTCATGATCAATGAATGCTATACCTCTATTTTAGGGGTAGAGTCTCACATACCATTTAAACTCCATGATGTAAAGATAATATGGAAAATTGGGGAGGATTCAAAAACATTAGAATGACCAAAGGGTTGGAAAGTTACAGAAATATTTAGTCTGGAGTAGAAAAGGCTGAAAGGTGTTTGCAAAATTCACTTCAAATAGATGAATAAAGGAATCAAGAGGATATTGAGCAGATGTTTTGGTTTTGTGGCTGATGGAGCAGATTTGGTTAAGGCCATTGCACAGAGCAGCTGCAAGGGACTAAAACTGAAGATCCTCTGTACCAGGGATCAGGGCTGCACCCAACAGTGGGCAGGTTTTAGTTGGAAGAATGGATGGCGCACAAAGGGAGTGGTTTATTAAAGGAAACCCACCCAGATGGACACGTGGACATCAGAACTATTTAAAATTAGTGTCAGGATTCCACCATTCCTGGGCACATTCCTCCCTCCTTGGAGTCAAGTTTCCTCGTGCAGGGTCCACCTGAGTCTCACTCTGTCTCCCTGTTGTGTTTGCACAGGGCAAACCCTCCTAAACCTGCTGGCTCAGAAAACCCAAGAGGTTATTATGTTGTGTCTTTTTGGACACTGGTGGGGGTACTCATTACTGAATAAATTCCCTTCTAAACAAATACTCCATCCCTAGCAGGCAGAAGGATATAAACATTTGGCAGATCAGCGCAATGATCTCACTTTAACATCTTAACCAACCCCAGCTTCTACAAATAGATGATATCATTGTAGCAATATAGGGCAGACTCTGCCAGCAGACTTTCTGAGACTCTCCTGGAACATAATTTGTCTTACAACACTTTTGGCAATCCCTTGGCCATGCTAGGGGGAGGGGTAGAGGGGAAGGAGAAGGGTGGGGTCCAGGGGTAAGAGGATAAGGAGATTAGGCAGCCTCATTTCCTTCTTTCCACTAGAAGGAGCCTCTGTAAAAGCTGAGGCTGCACCCACAACCTGGGAAAGGTGCAACCGGTCACACACCCGGTGACAGGCGTGTCAGCAAACCACAGAGCGTGGCGGAGGGGGAGGGCAGCCAGGCTAAGTGTCCAGTGTTTGTAAAGTCTACACTTCTGCACAGTAACATCCTAAGCCTTCACATTCACTCACCAATCACTCGCCTACTCACCCAGAGCAACTTCCAGTCCTGCAAGCTCCATCCATGGTGATGGACGGTGATGGGCTATTTCCCCAATGTAGAAAGCAGATTCAAAAACAGATTCAACAAAACATAGCAAGGCACCTGCCCTCTGCAGGTGGACCATTTTTAATCTTTTATATCATATTTTTACTGCACCTTTTCTGTGTTTAGATACACACATACTTACCATTGTGTTACAATTGCCTACAGCATTCAGTACAGGCCCATGTTGTACAGGTTTATGGCCTGGAAGCAATGGGTTATATCATATAGCCTAGGTGTGTGGTAGGCTACACCCTCCAGGTTTGTGTAAATACACTCTGATGTTTACATGGTAACAAAAATGTCTTGCCTGGGACTAGAGGTAGGAGAATAGGGAGATTAGGAAATTCAGGCTTACTGCCTTCTTTTCACCTGTAGGAGATGCTACTGGTGTCCCAACTGCATTCTCTTTGCCCACCCTGGAAGTAGTACCTAGCACTTCAGTGGCAATTCTCATATAAGCACCCATGTCTCTCTGCCTGAGGGCTTTCTCTGGATACAGGGGTGTGCTTGGCCCATGCATAGAGCAGGCTGAAAGTGCCCAGGGGCTTATAACCCCCAGGAGAATCTCCTACTTGTATCTGAAACTTTTGTCTCAGAGTCTGCTTTTGGAGAGACCCAAATTGAAACAGATGGCAATAATATGAAATATTTTTAAGAATCTGAGTGATGAAGTTTAATGAAGTTCTAATTCTTTTAAAGTGTCTCAAATGTTCTGTTACATTTTGTTACTTTGCAGTAATTGTTCCACTGCACTGAAATCCTTTTCACCCAAATATGCAGCTGGAAATACTATAATAAATAACACAGCTCCCATTTTAAAGGAGGGCAAAGCTGGGCACGGTGACTCACGCCTGTAGTCCCAGCCTTTAATCCCAGCACTCTGGGGGGCCTCAGCAGGAGGATCACTAAGCTCAGGAGTTTGAGACCAGCGTGGGCAAAATAGTGAGACCCTGTCTCTACAACAAATAAGATAATTAGCTAGGTGTGGGAGCATGCACCCTGTAGTCCCAGCTACTTGGGAGGCTGAGGCATGAGGATTGCTTGAGCCCAGCAGGTCGGGCTGCAGTGAACCATGATCATGCCCCTGCATTCCAGCCTAGGTGACGGAGCGAGACCCTGTCTAAATATATATATGTATATATCCCACAGTTCTGGAGGCTGGGAAGTCCAAGATCAAGGCACCAGCAAAGTCGGTGTCTGGTGAGGGCTGGCTCTGTTTCCAGCTGTGCCTTCACATGGTGGGAGCGCAGAACAAGTGCCCTCAGGCCTCTTTTATAAGGGCACTGATCCTGTTCATGAGAGCTCTGTCCTCATGACCTAATCACCTTCCAGATGACCCACCTACCAGCACCACTGTACTGTGGGTTCCCTTTCAACATATGCATTCTGAGGGACACAAGCATTCAGACCAGAGCAACATGTAAAATGGAATAGGCTCCAGACCTGAAAGAATACAAACAGGCTTTTCACCCACATAATAAGCATGTGGCAAGATAGTCAAAGGTGGTTAGAATCGAGAACAATCTGGTTTTTGTGCAGCATTGTCTGCCACTATTGGACCTCATGTGATATCTCCCAATTCATTGTCGACAACCAAAAATACCCTATGAATTTCCAAACTACTCCCTGCTGAGTAAACATCCAAAGTGAAAACTACTGGATCATTGAAAAGATTTAACTACTCTTTTCAAAGATTCCAGACCCACTTTCTTTCTTTTTTATCTTTTTCTTAGAGAAGGGGGTCTCACTCTATGCCCAGGTTGGAGTGCAGTGGTGTGATTATGGCTCACTGCAGCTTTGAATTCCTGGGCTCAAGCAATCCTCCTGCCTCAGCCACCCAAGTAGCTGAGACTACAGGTGCACACAACCATGCCTGGCCAGTTTTTGAAATTTTTTATCTGTAGAGGTGAGGCCTTCCTATGGTTTCCCAGGCTGGTCTCAAACTCCTGGCCTCAAGGGATCCTCCTACCTCAGCCTCCAAAATTGTGGGATTACAGGTGTTAGCCACTGTGCCCAGCCCTGTTTTCTAGTATTAGTTTATATGTATTATATGTTGAAAGTGGATTTGAAGCAGTGCAAAGTGCATCTGAAGCCTATTTTATCCAAGGATTGACCACCAACCCTAGTGATTATCTACTGATTTCCCAGAAGGCTGCTGCCGAGAATCTCTGGAGATTCGGAGATGGATTTCTCAGCCACAAAGTGGAACAGGATATCACCTCTATGCTGGGGGGACAGGAGATACCGTTTGTACACAGCTCGATACTTTGGAAGTTTGTGATTGTTTGTTGTTTTCGGCCTTCTCCACTACTTAGTAATTTTTAGGAAGAATTTCAGTCTATCTCAGCTATTCAGAAGGAGCACTGTACTAAAGGCAGGTGAAAGCAAGGGGAAGGTGGTTGTTCGGGATGCTTGGCCAACCATCTTCCCTCCTGCCTGAAAAAGACTCTCTCCTTTGACCAAAACTCCAGTCAGGCTTCTCTGAGTCCTCTGCTTGACTAGGCCCAATCTTGGACTTTTCTCTCTGTCCTTGCAGAGCCCAGTGTGAGCAAGAATCCTGCTAAGTGGGTCTAGTGAAAAGCCTCTACTCTTGGTTGACCACCCTTGTTATCTGATCTCCCTGGCCTGCCTTCAGCAGGAATCCTATCAGGTCTGTTTAGACAGAAACCCCCTTATCCTTGGGGCTTCCTCTTAGTAATTTTCCATGCGCTGCTTTCCACCCTGCTCCTTGATTATAAATCCCCACCTGTCCTTGGTAGAGTTGGTGCTGAGTTCAATTTCTCCCCACTGCAAAGCCCTGCAGTGCCCCTCTACCTATCACCATGGCCCCCTGGAATAAAGTCTGCTTTACCATCTGATATGGTTTGGCTGTGTCCTCACCCAAATCTCATCTTGAAGTGTAATCCCGAGGTGTCTAGGGAGAGACCTGGTGGGAGGTGACTGGAGCATGGGAACAACCATGCTGTTCCCATGATAGTGAGTTCTCATGAGATCTGATGGTTTTACAAGGGGCTCTTCCCCCTTCACTCGGCACTTCTCTCTCCTGACACCTTGTGAAGGACGTGTTTGCTTCCCTTTCTGCCATGGTCGTAAGTTTCCTCAGGCCTCCGCAGCCATGTGGAACTGTGAGTCAATTAAAACTCTTTCCTTTATAAATTACTCAGTCTTGGCCGGGTGTGGTGGCTCACACCTGTAATCCCAGCACTTTGGGGGGCCGAGGCGGGTGGATCACCTGAGGTCAGGAGTTCGAGACCAGCCTGGTCAAAATAGTGAAACCCTGTCTCTACAAAAAATACAAAATTAGCCAGATGTGGTGGCGGGCGCCTGTAATCCCAGTTACTAGGGAGGCTGAGGCAGGAGAATCACTTGAACCCGGAAGGCGGAGGTTGCAGTGAGCCGAGATAGCGCCAGTGTACTCCAGCCTGGGCAACAAGAGTGAGACTCCATCTCAAAAAAATGAAAAATAGGCCGGGCGCGGTGGCTCACACCTGTAATCCCAGCACTTTGGGAGGCTGAGGCGGGTGGATCACGAGGTCAGGAGATCGAGACCATCCTGGCTAACATGGTGAAACCCCGTCTCTACTAAAAAATACAAAAAAGAATTAGCCGAGCGTGATGGCAGGCGCCTGTAGTCCCAGCTACTTGGGAGGCTGAGGCAGGAGAATGGCGTGAACCTGGGAGGCGAAGCTTGCAGTGAGCCGAGATTGCGCCACTGCACTCCAGCCTGGGCAACAGAGCCAGACTCCGTCTCAAAAAAAAAAAAAAAATTAATTAAAAAATAAATCAATAAAAAAATTACCCAGTCTTGGGTATTTATAGCAGTGTGAGAAGAGACTATTGCACCACACTGAACAAGTGTCATGAATAATTTTTTCTTTAACCTTACCCACCTGGAGATTTTCCTGATGCTAAGACCTCAGAAATGCTGTTTTATTTTATTGAAGGAGGACAATGGCTTCACATCAGAATGAGCAGGATACAACATTTTGAAAGACACATTCCCTGTTTTTTATGGGCTCACCCTTTCACAGTAGAAGACAGAAACCCAATAACAGAGACAATGGCATAAGTATTATAAAGTAGGCATGCATCAAGTGTGATGACAGCACGAAAGAGGGGATAACTACTTCTGCCATTACAGTCTGGAAGAGGTATCATTTCAGCTGATATTGTGGCAAAGTATTTTACCCAGCAGAGGGAGTATCCACTCAATGATGTTCTTAAAGTACCTAGGTAGGAGTGCTAGGCAGCAAATGATTCTCTTAATGTGTATGTCCACACATTGTTATGTGTAAGTAGCCTTATTAATTTGGTTGTAAATAAAAGGTTGAGTAATAATAAAAATGAAATCACCAAATTCTACAATTTGACCTCAAAATATGCTGTAAGTTCTGATATTATTCCTACTTTACCTGGGAAGGCAGAGCGGTTACCTAGGAAGGTGAACTGTGGAAGTCCGCTGTGGATTGGGGATACCTGATCTCATGATGAGTCAGGCTTACCCTGACTCCTTCTGGGTCTCTCTGGTGGAGACAGCCCTTCACCTCTGCAAAGCTTATCCACGTGTCTGGTGATTTCCTTATAGCATACAGAGCTTTTAAGGTTTACAAACGTATACCTATTTCCCCAATGTAGAAAGCAGATTCAAAAACAGGTTCAACAAAACATAGCAAGGCAATAGGTGATTCCTAGAGACCAACAGATTGAGTTCTTGTAATAAAATCTAGAAAAGAGAAAAGGTGGAAATGTCAGCCAGGGCAACAGAAATGATATGCACCAGGAGATCCAGGAATTCATAGTAAAGGTCAGATGAGTTTCACAGGTGTAGGGTTTCCTCTACCTCTGCACTACTGACAATCCAGGCGGGGTAATTCTTTACTGTGGGCAGGAGGAGGGGGGAGGTTGGCCCGGTATTGCCAGATGTTTAGCAGCACCCTTGGCCTCAGCCCATTAGATGCCAGTAGCACCCTCTCCCCAGCACGTTGTGACACCCAAAAATGTCTCCAGATATTGTCCCCTGGAGGTCAAAATTGTCCCCCTGCGAATCACTACACTAGTGCATCTCAGACTCTAAGGTGCACACAAATTACCTGGGGTGTCTTGTTAAACGCCAGTTCTGCTTTAATAGGTCTAGGGTAGGGCTTGGCACTTTCTAGTGCAAACAAAATCCCAGGTGAGGCTGAAGCTGCCTGTCCACAGACCACACTTGCTCCTTAGAAGACAAATCTGCAGCCACCAGTTAGCATGTTCAGGTCCTCAGGATGCAGAGTAGATGTACAATCAAGGTATGGATCACTGCAGATACTTATGAGCAGAGTCTGGATGCCATACCATCTTGCATTTAGCTGCAAAGAATGTTTATAGAATTGAACGTAAGTGAAGGGTTTATGTTTTTTAAGCTTTAAAGCACTTTTTAATGTCGGTTCTCAAACTTTTTGGAATCCCTTTATTCTTAGAAATTATTAAGAACTACAGATCTTTAGTTTATGTGGGTTTATACCTATGAGTATTTACCATAGTAGAAATTGAAACTGAGAAATGTAAAAGATATATATGAAGTTCATTAAAAAAAATACCCATTACATATTAACATATCTAACACTTTTTAATGCAAAATTACTATACTGTCCCAAGCAAAAAAATATTGGAAGAATAGCACGGTTTAACATTTTGGCAAATGCATGCACGTATGTATGTATGTATGTATGTATTTATTTATTTATTTTGAGATGGGGTCTCTCTCTGTCCCCCAGGTTGGAGTGCAGTGGCACAACCTTGGCTCACTGCAACCTCTGCCTTTGGGTTCAAGCGATTCTCATGCTTCAGCTTCCTGAGAAGCTGGAACTTCAGGTGTGCACCACCACACCCAGCTATTTTTTGTACTTTTTGTAGAGACAGGGTTTCGCCACGTTGGCTAGGCTGGTCTCAAACTCTTGACCTCAAGTGAACCGTCTGCCTCAGCCTCCCAAAGTGCTGGAATTACAGGCCTAAGCCACTGTGTCTGGCGGGCAAATGTCTTTAATGTCTGGTTCAATAGAAAACAGCTGGGTCCTCATATATGCTTCTGCTTTCAGTTTGTTGGGATACATTGCTTTGGTTGAAGCATATGAGGAAAACCTGGCTTCACCTAGATACACCCCCACGGTTGGAAAAGGAAGCATTTTAATAGCCTTTCAGGTGATACATTATTTTTTGATACTATACGATAACTTAGCAAGTGGTAGTTTCTTAAAGGTTAATTGCAGTGAGGAATCTGAAACCATATGAATGAACATTTTGGACTGTTACACTAAAGTTTACTGGTGTATTTTATGGTTCAAATTAATCTTTTACCCACATAAGATTTCATAACATTATGCATCGGTCAACTGGAAAATCCAGTTATGTAGCTCTGTACAGTGGAAAATCCAGTTACGTAGCTCTGTACAGTTGTCCAATTGTACAATGGAAAACTCCACTATATACTTGAGAGAGTAGAAAATAAAACTAATGTCTTAGCATTATTATGAAAATAGTTTTGGACTTTGCATCCCCTTAATGGGTCAGGGTGTAGTCCATCAACAGCTTCTGCAAACATAAAGGACCTTTTGACTGTCGTTTTCCTGAAAAATAACTCGAACGAACCTAAAGGTAAATGTAAAATGTACTTCAAGACTGTGAAAATGGGCTGGGCCCAGAGGCTCACGCCTGTAATCCCAACACTTTGGGAGGCCAAGGCGGGCGGATCACGAGGTCAGGAGTTCGAGACCAGCCTGACCAACATGGTGAAACCTCATCTCTACTAAAAATACAAAAAATAGCCAGGGTGGTGTCAGGTGCCTGTAGTCCCAGCTACTTGGGAGGCTGAGGCAGGAGAATCGCTTGAACCGGGGAGGCAGAGGTATCAGTGAGCCGAGATCGCGCCACTGCACTCCAGCTGGGGAGAGCGAGACTCCGTCTCAAAACAAACGAACAAAACAAGACTGTGAAAATGAACTTTACGAATAAAGCCTAAAGAAGCAAATAAAAGTCATACTTTTGCCTTCTATAATCAGTGTTAACATTTTGGCCCACTGGAACCTCTCTTTGAGGGTAGGGACTGTGTTGATCTACGAATCACAGATTTAGCACACTGGCTGGCACTTATGAGCACTGAAAATGCTTTTTTTTTTTTAGTACTCCATAGCCTATCCCTTTCATTTAGCTGGGTAGTGTGGTCAATTTTCCCCATAACATGCGTTCTCACATAATTGCATGTATTTCTGGGGTACAGTGTGATGGTTCCATACATATACACATTGTGCAACCATCTAATCAGGGTAATTAGCACATCCATCACCAAAACACTTGTCATTTCTTTGTGGTGAGAATATTCAAAATCCTCTCTTCTAGCTATTTTGAAGTTAACATTATCGTTGAGTATAGTCATCCAAACGTGCAAGAGAATACCAAAACTTATTCCTTCTAACTATAACTTTGTGTCTGTTGACCAACCTCTCCCCATCTTCCTCCCCACTAACTCTCCTCTGTACAAGAATAACCACTCTTTTACTCCCTACTTTCACGAGATCAACTTAAAAAAAAACTTTTTAAAACGACTGCATGATATGTTTTCAGGCTCACACATTTAAAAACCGTGACTTTGGCAAAGAGTAACTTCATTCTGCTGGGGAAAAAAATTTAAATGGCCTGAGTCCGGAAGCTCGCCAGGGCAGAAGCGCAGGGTCGCTCCGCCGGGCTCGCCGGGCCGGGGACCCCCCAGCCACCCGCCACCACGGCGGGGAGGGCAGGGTGCTGACTCCAGGGACCACGACAGTCGGCCCCGGTGGTGGGGATTCCGCGCGGGACCCACGCGGGAACAAAGAGGCGGCTGGACGGCCCAGCTCTCCGCACCCGGAAGGACCTGTTCCACCTCTCCGGCTCCCGTACCCCTCTATCCGCATCTGAGTGACCAGATCCCACTGCAGTCAACAGCCCGCGGGGTAGCCAGCTTCGAGGGACCGCCCGGAAAGACACAACGCGCGTGGAAGGCGCCGGGCGTCCAGTCTCGGGAGAGATTAGAAGTGGCGCTCCTGCCCAGCGCCGGCAATCCAGGGGAATCCGCGGCCATCGCGGATCCACCAGGGGTGAGGCGGCACTGAGCACAAGTGTGAGGCTCTCGGGAGCTACGCCTCCGCTTCCCCAGTGCCACCCGTTTTTACCTCAGGCGGTTCTGACCGCCATCGTTTCAACCTGGAGAGGTGAGCCCTCCCCTACCGACGCACTTCCCTTCCCCGGCAGGAAGGAGGGCGCTGACCCAGCGGGCGCACGCCCCTGACTGCGCATGCGCCGGGTGCGCCGTTCGTCAGCGGCGAGTGGCCTCGCGGCGCCGGATTCGTCGCTCCGCCAAGAGTGCGCCTGCGCGGTCGCTGGGGCTCGCACTTCAGCTTCCCCTCCCCCGGCGCCCTCTGGGGCTCCGAGCCCGGCGGGACCATGTTCACCAGCACCGGCTCCAGTGGGCTCTGTGAGTACCGGCCTCCGCCATCCTGGCTGCCCCCTACACGCCACCCTAGGCACCTCTTTGAGGAGGCTGGGGCAGCGGGGACCCTCGGGTTTGCCGGAGGTGGTGGGGCCGACCCTCCAGACCCGCGTCCGAACCCTGCTAGTTCCCGGTCTTGGGGGTCAGCGGAAACCGCCCCCATTTCGGCCTGGAGGGGCGAATGGGGACAAAGCCCCGCCGCCCGCCCCGACCCCACCTGGTATCCCCAGGTGCTCTGCCCAGGAGTCTCTTGGGGCCGCTGCAAGTGGGCAGGTGCCCTGGTGTTCTCGTGGGCCGGCCCCAGGCCCTTTGCGGAGCGTGTGCCGCGCTGAAGGAAGGGGCCGTCCCCCTTACCATGCCCCATTCTTTTAGGCTTGGGGGACCGAACTAACTCCCCCCGCCCCCACTTGCAAAGTTCAGCCTCCGCTTTAGAAGCTGACCTCTCAGTTTCACTTGGATGTGTTTCTTCTTCAGTCTCCAAGAAGAGTTTTTAGACAAACACACACTGATGAGAGTGCTTTCAAGTGGAGGGAAGTTAGGAAGTCGTGGCGAGGGAGCGCAGCTGTGCTGCTGGATGTTGCTGTTTTCCTGGCGTGTTAGCGGTGGTCAGCAGGTAGGGGGCGGAGTATTTTTACAGCCAGTTAAACGGCTTTTCTCACTGAGTGTGTGGAATTGACTTTCGGTAAGGTAGACTGCGTGTTAACAGTTAGGCACGGGTACAGCAACGGAGAACAGCTCTAATTTTGCAATTGCTTGTCACTGTTCATACTCCATGTGAAGTTAATGCTGCTGGAGGACAGAAACATCTGACATTTCCAAATATTAAAGATCTGTTGGCCGGGCGCGGTGGCTCACGCCTGTAATCCCAGCACTTTGGGAGGCCGAGGTGGGCGGATCACGAGGTCAGGAGATCGAGACCATCCTGGCTAACACGGTGAAACCCCGTCTCTCTACTAAAAACACAAAAAATTAGCTGGGCGTGGTGGCGGGTGCCTGTATTCCCAGCTACTCGGGAGGCTGAGGCAGGAGAATGGCGTGAACCCGGGAGGCGGAGCTTGCAGCGAGCCGAGATTGCGCCACTGCACTTTGGCCTGGGCGACAAAGCGAGACTCCATCTCAAAAAAAAAAAAAAAAAAAAAAGATCTGTTGGGAATGTCATGAATCTTCTGAGAATGTGTGTCTCGTCTTATAGTCTGACAGTGAGTTAGTATCAGCGCCACAGGCATAATTTTAAATCTTCCTCACTTCTCAACTTCTCAGGTTTTGAAGTGGTTTCAATATTTATGATTTCCTTTGTTTCATAATTAATTTGATTTATGGCATCTTTCATGGATTGGTCCCGGAGTATGTTACAACTACTAAGTAATCTTCCCCAAACTACCCTTTAGATAAAGAGCATTAGGACTGTAGCTGAAGCTGACAGTTCAAGAAGGCAATGTGGTTTTCCTGGGATCACACAGTGAGCCAGGAACTACTGGTTATGAAATTAATGGTGGAATTCTTCAATTTCAATTGTTCTTTAGCATTTTGATCTATCCTTGCTGGCCAAAGTACATATAAAAAAATAAAGGGCAAGAGAAATCTTATTGGTTGCTGTACTGTATTAGCCATGAGATTATATTGGCCAAGTGTATTCAAATTTGATACAGGGCAACTGTGGGGAAGATAATATTTTGTTATCTATGGCACATGGTGGTGAGTGTTGAATTCTAGGAACCAAACTGTTGCCCAGGGAGAGGCGTAGGTCTGGAGCCCCTCTGCAGCTGTCTTGGCCTGTTTCTAAAATTAAGTGCTTCTGCAGTGTAAGAGTTGTTGGGATGGCCGTTCCTCAGAAGGCTGTGTCTTACATGCTCATTTTACAAACATTTTGGGCATCTCCTCTGGGCGATGAACTGGGCTAGGTGCTGGGAATGCAGCAACGAACAGGTCCTGGTCTCAGTGCTTACAGTGCTGACGGAGCTTAGGCACAGTTTTCCAGGACTGGTCATTAGAAAAGGCTGTGTGTCAGCTTTAACATTTTTCTCTGGAGAAGCTACCCACTGAGGGAGAAGTGATTTCCTTTGTTTTATTTTATTTATTTATTTATTTATTTATTTATTTATTGAGATGGAGTCTCACTGTTGCCCAGGCTGGAGTGCAGTGGTGGATCTCCGCTCACTGCAACCTCCGCCTCCCGAGTTCAAGCGATTCTCCCGCCTCAGCCTCCCAAGTAGCTGGGATTACAGGTGCCCACCATCACACCTGGCTATTTTTGTATTTTTAGTAGAGACGGGGTTTTGCCATGTTGACCAGGCTGGTCTTGAGCTCCTGACCTCAAGTGGTCCTCCCGCCTCGGCCTCCAAAAGTGCTGGGATTACAGGCGTGAGCCACTGCCTATGATTTCCTTTAGATAAGTTGAGGGACCCTTTAGCAAATCAAAATTCTGATCCTGAGCAAGAATCTGAAAGAAGGACGACACGTGTACCTAGCCCTACCCCCATGGGTGGTGAATAACAGTCCCTTTCCAGGGATAAATCCCTGCCATTTTCTACCACCTGCATGTTTCCCACGTTTTGTGGTTAGTAGATAATAGTATTTTAGTGTTAAACTTGCCTTTCTCTCTCATCCATTCAATAAGTGTCTGTTGGGTACCCATATCAGCCACACACTGTTGATATACAGAGGATAAAGTAATAAGCAGGATCAAGGAGACCAGCATCAAACAGGCTAACAAGTCAGTATGATTCACATAGTGATAAGTGACATGAAGACAATGAGAGGGTAACTGCAAAGACCGAAGTTATGGTGGAGGACCACTTTAGCATGCATGGTCACGGAGGGTAGCCGGGAAGGTGACATTGAGCTGAGGCTCAGATGGTGTGAAGGAGCAAGCCATATCAGAGTTTGTTGAAAACTCTTCATTTTGAAGAAAGGGGACAGCAATACAGTTTCAGACACAATGCAGTTGAAAACACCCTGCCATGCCTGTTTCAAGTGCTTGAAACTATATTGCTGTCTGCAATTATGACCGGGTAAAAGTGCGTAGGATTAGTGATCATGACTTATTTTAGGTTCCTTACTTGTAGACCAATGCTGTCACTCAGCTCTACGTTGAGTAATATGTGTATCATTCACTGCATTTATTAATAAGCTCCTATTTACCTCACAGTATGTTTACTGTGTAATGATGGACTCAGTCAACATTAATTGCATGCCTAATATTTTCCAGGTATAGTTCCCACCCTCAAGGAGTTCACTGTCTATTGGGGCAAAACTTTTTAAAAAAGAACGTTTGTCCTCGGTGCTGTGGGTTTATTGCAGGGGGTAGGCTGGTTGTGGGGAGGCACAGTTAAGGAAGACTTCCCAATGTAGCAATATTTGGGCTGACTTTTGAGAGTTTGGCAGGCATCATAGTGTGGAGAAGGCCTCTGGGAGGGACAGAGCCTGGACAGGGCTTGGCAGAGAGGCAGGAAGCAATGAATTAGGGGTGGTTATGGCTGGAGTGAGCAGTTCGTAAGAGATGTGTGGTGAAGTCTTTCAGAGGACAGTGGAAGGTGAGACAAGAACTAGGGACAGAACTTGTGAACATTTTAAACTTTAAAGAGGGAGAAGAGTAGGTGCCAGGGAAGAAAACTGAGGAATGGCCAAGGAAGTAGGGGGACACCCGGGAGGAGACAATTTCAGGGGAGAGTGGCTGATGGCATTACACGCTGCAGAGATTTTCAAAACGGGCCTGAAGCGCGACCTGTGGGAAAGAAAGAGGCCCCCCCAGAACCTTTCCAGAAAAGCTCATCCAGTAGTTGGGGAGAGAAGTGAGATTATAATTAGCTGAGGAATGAGTGAGGAGTGAGTGGGACATAAATGGAGACAGTGAGCTTGGAAAGTGCTTTCAAGATCTCGGTTCTGAGAATCAAGAGAGTGAGTTGTGGTTAGAGGTGGCCGCAGGTGTAAGGGGGAGTTTCGTTTCCTTTTTTTTTTTTTTTTTTTTTGCGACGGAGTCTTGCTCTGTCGCCAGGCTGGAGTGCAGCGGTGTGATCTCAGCTCACTGCAACCTCTGCCTCCTGGGTTCAAGCAATTCTTCTGCCTCAGCATCCTGAGTAGCAGGGACTATAGGTGTGTGATGCCACACCCGGCTAATTTTTGTATTTTTGCTAGAGACAGGGTTTCACCATATTGGCCAGGTTGGTCTTGATCTCCTGACCTCGTGATCCGCCCGCCTCGGCCTCCCAGAGTGCTGGGATTATAGGCGTGAGCCACTGTGCCCGGTTGGGGGAGTTTCTTTAAGTGGAGAGGAGGCTTAGCTTGTTTAAAAGGTGTTGGGAAAAACCCAGTGGGAAGGGTGTGGTTGAAGATACAGACAGGAATGAGTGATAGGACTGAGTTGTGAGGAGGTGAGGATCCGGGGCCCAGGGCAGGTATGCTTCTCATTGCTGTAGGAGGGAAGAGGAGGGGTTACTCTTGGTCACGGAGCGGTGGTTGTCAAACGCTGCTCCTGTCCCAGCTGCAAAAAAATCAATCACGGTGTTTTCTGAATGTACACCTTCCTGGGTCTCCTCCCCAGAGGGTCAGATTCAGAAGAGCTAGCATGAGTGTCAGAAACCTGTTATTTTTTGTTTTAAGAAATGTGTATTTTTAAAGTCTCCACATCCCCCCACCCCAGGACATTTTAATGGACAAACAGATTGAGATGGAGGCAGGAGGGCAGCCACAGGCAGGGCAGAGAGAACGGAGTCTGGTGCGCTGATGAGAGAAGATAGAAGATAGAAGGATTCTTGGATGTGAGGGCGATCTGGCTGTGACATCTGTCACCCCATTGATCGCCAGAGTTGATTCGGCTGATCTGGCTGGCTAGGCGGGTGTCCCCTTCCTCCCTCACCGTTCCATGTGCGTCCCTCCCGAAGCTGCGTGCTCGGTCGAAGAGGACGACCATCCCCGATAGAGGAGGACCGGTCTTTGGTCAAGGGTATACGAGTAGCTGCGCTCCCCTGCTAGAACCTCCAAACAAGCTCTCAAGATAGAAGGATTCTAAAGATGTGTATTCTGGTAGGTTGTGTCAATAAAGCTGATTGGATCTGCGGCGAGGGAGGAGTTGAAGCTGACTCTGCTTTACTGCCTGGGCAGCTGGGTGGATAGGTAACGTTCCCAGTCACTAGAGAGGGAATGCAGAGAAGCAGGAGCTCATTTCAGGAGAAGATGAGTTCAGCTTTGGACCTGTGCAGTGTTGAGGGGTTTGCAGAGTCCGGTCAGAGGTACTCGGGACACTTGGGGAAAGAAATCCAGAGCTGGACTGGATTGGACATGAGTAGGTGAGAGTTAGGTTGTGGGTGTGAGTGAGGACTCCAGAGGTGGGGGGACAGTTGGAAGCTGAGGACAGACCTTCAGCCCATTCCAGCATGTAAGGGATGGATAGAGAAAGAGGAGGCAGAAAGTAGGCAGAGCTGGGGGCTTCTGTAGGAGGAGTTGCGTCTCTTCCCCTAGTCCAGCGGATGGATGTGCCTTCTTCCACGGAATCACGCGTCCCGCAGCCGCTTCCCTGGCTTTGCTCACCACCATGGCTATGCTCACCAGCCTCTGATCCCTCCTTGTCTCCAGTGTATCAGCCCATTTGTGGCATCTCTTTCTTCATATCCAGTCTGGAACCTGTAGTTCATTACTGGAGCCATGGTCTCATCCAGACTCTCGGAGACCTGGCACGTCTGTTCTGTGGTGCTCATCGAGCAAAACCCTAACTTTGCATTGATTTATGGGGTCAAGTCTGGGCCCTTGGCACCGTTTCTCAGCTAAGTTTCTGGTATTCATTTCTCAGCTAAGTTTCTGGGATTCAGTCATCTCCCTATGCTACCTCTATTTTGTCTTCGGCTCAAGGCTATTCTCAGTCTCTCCCCATCTCTTCACCCACCATCTCACTCTTCACCCATCCAAAAAATCGGGGCCATCACCTGGGTGCTCCTTCCGCTTCCTGCTCCCTCTCTCTGACTTGTTTCTGTCCACACTCAGCTTTGTTCCTTTCCTCCAATCCAGAAGAATGAAGCAGCCTTCTCCTGAGGCCCACCCTCCACCGATTCTGAACTCTTTCTTCCCTGTCTTTTCTAGCACCACTCTTGCTTTTTCTTTACCTTCATTCTCTCTCCTGCAGGAATGAGCCTGGCACGTGGTTACAGCTGATGCTTTCTCCTGCGGGTGCCTTAGTGGCACCCCTCCCTGAGTTGGGAGTCTTTACCTGCTGCTGCGTTGACCTGGGGGTTGCATCCTTATTTGGTGAGAGGGCAGAGTATAGAGGTGTAGCACACAGGCCTGGAAGTGAGACTACCTGTACTTCAGATGCTTTCTTGATGGGAAGGAAGATCAGAAAAGTTAGTATGTGTGGAGCTCCTAGAATTTTGCCATAGTAACTACTCAGGTTTAAGTAGTATTAACTGGATCCTTCTTCTGAGCCTATTCTTAAAAATGCAAAAGTATAACCCATCCAACAACTCTATCATGTACCTTCCCAACTGCTGACCACCTTCTTTCCAGCTCTTAAAAGGTGATCTTCCCTTATTTTTTCCCTGTTCTCATCTCCCTTCACTTTTTAGCCTTGTGCAATTAGTCTGCTACTCTTCGATGGCGGGGCCCTGTTCTGGGCTCATTGTGGCCTGCTTCCGTCCCGCTATACCATTGAGCTACTCTGAGTGAAACTCTTGTTTGATCCAAAACATTTGGTAGGGAGCCTTGGGCCAGATGCAGTTAGAGAAGTTTGATGAGCCTAAGGTCCACTGGTGTCAGCCTGTGGTGTGGACATTTGTCTCACTGTAGAGCTGGGTGAGCCCTCAGGACTGGTGGGGTCATTTGAGGCCTGCACTCTCCACCTTCGTTCCAGCTTAGGATCCTGCCTTCGGAACCTGAATACCCTGTCCCCTGCATACTGCTAAAATGGACACCAACATTGACTCCTGAGGCTCTTTTTTTTGTGTTCTCATGAAGGAGCAAACCGTGTTCCTACTGACATTCTTTCTTAAGTATGCATTCAGTGTGTGGGAGATGATGCAAATAAATCTTTATTTTTGCCTCTCATCGTCTCTTTTTTTTTTTTTTTTTTTTTGAGGTGGAGTTTCGCTCTTGTTGCCCAGGCTGGAGTGCAATGGCGTGATCTTGGCTCACTGCAGCCTCTGCCTCCTGGGTTTGAGCAATTCTCCTGCCTCAGCCCCCCAAGTAGCTGGGATTACAGGCGTGTACCACCACGCCTGGCTAATTTTGTATTTTTAGTAGAGACGGGGTTTCTCCATGTTGGTCAGGCTGGTCTTGAACTCCTGACCTCAGGTGATCCGCCCTCCTCTGCCTCCCAAAGTCTTGGGATTACAGGCATGAGCCACCATGCCCCACCTTCACTGTCTCTTTAAAATACACTCAGTTGGGGAGCTGTTTGCTTTTATGAAAAGCTGTCAGGCCTTGTGACTTACCCTTTATGCTTTAATTAACTGATTCAGCAGATACTTACTGAGCACTCCTGTGGGCCAGCCGGTCTCCTAGGTTCTCAGGATTCAATAGGAAGTAAAAGGCCACATAAGGTGATGATCTTAGGTGATAGAAGTCTTGAAATGTAGGCTCCATTTAAAAATTAAAAGTGTCCAGTTCAATATATTAACACTTCAGTCTTCATTCAAAGATTAGACTTTCCCCCCTTTTTTTCCCAGTTAAGACTTGTAGTTGGCAACCATCTCTGTCCGAAAAAGCGGTGTGACAGGCTTCTGGTGCGTTCGGCTCCTCTCTGTCCCTCAGATTTCTTGTGTCTGACTTCACTAGTTTCTGGATTGAGTGGAATAGGAGGAGGAAGGAGAGGTGAGGCTCTCAGATTGTTCTTCTGTGGCTCCCTGAGCCTCGCACGTAGTTAAAGCTGACCCTGTGTCCTGCAGGTGCTTCAGTGGGCTCTTCAGAGACTCCCGACTTCTATCCCTTTTGCCTCCTTGACCTGGGGGTTTGCATCTTTATTTTGGTCGATTTATTTTGGCCAGTTTATTTTGGTGACTCCTCAGCACCTAGGAACTTAGATCCCCCTATAGTTTCCTCCTGCTGGAGTCCTTTTGGCCTGCCTGGGGGCACTGTTGTTTGAACCTAAGACCCTCTGCTGGCTCTCGCGCACAGCCTGGCTGGGACTGCGTGTTCCTTGCCCTGGCTGTGCATGTGGGTCCCAGTGCTCAGCACGGCTTTTCCAGCTCTCTAGATTTCCCAGGTTGGAGATCCACTGTACCCTTGCTGGTCACAGATTTAGCACATGAAATAGGCCATCGAGCCCCTACCTCAGCTTGGTATGAAGGTGTGGCTGTACTCACAGCCCCTCAAGGATTCACTTCACAAAGCCCCCTCCTCCTGTCCTGTCTTCACGGGAGGGAACCCTCACATTCCACTGTCTGTAGCCCTGACCTGGCTGAGAGGACTGTGGGAATCAGGGGACTGCCTTGCAATCACTCTTGGAAAGTTCTGCATTCTGCTATGGAGCCTCCCTTTGGTGGCAGCAGCCCTTCTCTTTTGGTACCTTAGTGGAAATTCCTGTTTGATCATCTTGTTTTGGTTGGTTTTCTGTTTGTGGGCCAGGAACTGTTTGGCTCTCTTCTTTAAGGCAGGCTTTAGTGTTTATACTTTTCTGCTGTAACCAGGCCTGGGTTGCCCAAACCTGAACAGCTCGTTTACTCTTGGGGACACACTCTTCCCCACCAGTCTTAAGTTTTTGGGGGCTGTATTATTGAAACTTCCAAGGAATATACTCTTCATAAATTTTAGCGGCTGGGCATAGTGGCTCACGCCTGTAATCCCAGCACTTTGGGAGGCCAAGGCGGGTGGATCATCTGAGGCCAGGAGTTCGAGACCAGCCTGGCCAACATGGTGAAACCCTATCTCTACTAAAAATACAAAATTAACTGGGCGTGGTGGTTGGCGCCTGTAATCCCAGCTACTCGGGAGGCTGAGGCAGGGAGAATCAGTTGAACCCAGGAGGCGGAGGTTGCAGTGAGCCGAGATCATGCCATTCCACTGCACTCCAGCCTGGGTGCGAGACTGTCTCAAAAAACAAAACAAAAAACAAATTTAGCTAAAAAGGAAAGCTAGGCATTAACTAGGGAGGGACAAGCTTAAGAGAGGATGCTTTTAGAAAATGTTTCTTTTCATCGTAAAAGTAACGTTAACCACACTATAGGAAGTTTGGAAAATAGAAAAAAAACGGTCCTAGCATTTCATTTAATTTATTCGTCTTTTCTTTTTCTATACACTTATGTTCTTGTTTTGAAATAACTGACTTTGTTATAAAATGAGTACGTGTTCATCAGAGACAATTCTGTGATGCAGGAAAGGAGTTCAGTGCAATGTAGGAAAGCACTAGGAAGAAATAAAATGGCATTTATTGATATTTTGGTGTTTCTGCTGTTTTTCCAGTACAAAAATGAATATCTAAATAATAGGTAAAAATAAATTTATCTCAATACTATTTTCTTGCCTTTTTTCCACCCAAGAGAATCTTTTAAAATGTAATCATAATGAGCATGTATATGCTCCGCTTTTTTCTTTTTCTTTTCTTTTTTTTTTTTTTTTGAGATGGAGTTTCGCTCTTGTTGCCCATGCTGGAGTGCAATGGTGTGATCTCGGCTTGCTGCAACCTCCGCCTCCTGGGTTCAAGTGATTCTTCTGCCTCAGCCTCCTGAGTAGCTGGGATTATAGGCATGCACCACCACGTCCGGCTAATTTTGTGTTTTTAGTAGAGACGGGGTTTCTCCATTTTGGTCAGGCTGGTCTCAAACTCCCGACCTCTGGTGATCTGCCTGCCTTGGCCTCCTAAAGTGCTGGGATTACAGGCTTGAACCACCACGCCTGACCTATTTTTATACTTGTAGTAGAGACGGGGTTTCACCGTGTTGGCCAGGCTGGTCTTGAACTCTTGACCTCAGGTGATCCACCCACCTCGGCCTCACAAAGTGCTGGGATTACAGGTGTGAGCCACCATGCTGGGCCCCGCTTTTTCCCTTTGTCATAAGCATTCCCCTAGGATGCTGCAGAATTAGGTTGTTTCTCCCCTCCTTTATTTTAGTAATGCCAAGAGCATCTTAACTTTCAGATATTCATAGAAGTGAAAGAAGGTTAAATGAAGTGTATTCTCGTATAACTTTTAGTACGTACTGCCAAATTCCAATCCCAAAGGGTAGTACCAATTTAAACTCCACCAGCAATTTAAGGGAGAAAAGATTGCTTTTCTTAAGTTATTACATTTCGTATTCACAGCAGCCCTATGAGGATAGGTATTGTTATTTTTCCCCTCCACAAACGAGTCTTTTCACGCTCAGAAAATGATTTGTCGAAGACCACATAGCTAGTAGTATGTGGAAGAGCTGAGATTTGACTCCGATTTGCCTGCGTCCAAAGCCTGTACTTTCTACTGTATCATACAATGAAAATTTAGTCCCTTTAGTGGAAAATGGCAATGGCAATATGACTTGTTAAGTGCTAGGACAAACATCTGGGAAAAAGAATCATTATTTAAACAAGGGTGCTACATGTCTATATGGTTCTTACACCTTTTCAATCAACGACTAATAAGTGTGAGTTATTATTGGTTTTAATGATAAAATACTACGTGTTAGGCACTGTTCTAAGCAGTTTACCTATATTGACTCACTTAATTCTCATAACAGCCCTGTTAGGTAGGCACAGTTACTCTTCCCAATTTGCAGATGAGGAGACTGAGGCACAGACACTTAAGTAACTTTCCTGCTGAGGAGCAGGTCTAGGATTTGAACCCAGATGGTCTGGCTGCCTGTTCTGTGTTGCTCACTACTGCTTCTCAGCCTTAAAGAAGTTTATCTCCGTGTGTCTCCCAACCACTGGGATCGTCTCAGGCGAGTGATGTTAGTAGCTCAGGTTAGTGTAGAGCTTGAGCCCTGGTCATTGGAAACTGCATCATTGTGTCCTGGCAGTGTGCTTTTCCCTCATCCCCTTGGGACCATGGCAGCCTCCTTCCTGGGTTCTACCATGCTCCTTCTCCTGGCTGCCAGTGCACAAGTCTGCCTCTCCCCACATCAGAACCAAGATCCAGTTTACCTTTGGTAGACATGTTTTATGTCCTGATTAGGATCTTTTGTAGCAGTTAGTGCTCTACAGTTGTTTTTATTTGTGTATCCTCTGTTTTTCTCTTCCCTTACCAAGTCATCTTCCTTTTCCAACTTTTTCCGTTCTCAACCTGTCTCAATATCAGTTTTAGTAATATAGGTGGAACCTATCTTACATCAAGCAATTTTAAAATTGGCATTTTTATAGCATTTTAATAAGCAAAACTTGCTAAAGCATATCTCATCAATAATTTAGCATTTTTGAAGTGTGCTTTGTGAAATGGTACTATGAGGAGCTCCTGAAGTTTTAACCCTCATTTAAATTATGAGTGTAAATGAGAATTATAAAGTAATCCTTATTTAAATCATGATTTTCCCCCCAGATTTTTCCCTAAGGCTTTCTAAGTTACATTGCCATTGTTTCAGTCATTTCCCAGAATTTAGTCCCTTCAGTGGACGTGATACAATGGGAAGAGCATGACACTAATCTTTGGAAAGGGTTCTGTAGCCAAGTTAGGTTGGGAATGTTGTTGGCCATATTGTTTTTTGACATTGACGATGCAGATTAACACTTCAAAGATCCTTTGCAGCCGTACAACAGAGAAATCTGTTTGACTTTATTAACTCTGTTTCTAAGATTTATTGGGGGACATAAAATATAGGGAAAAAAACATAAATTTCCATTTCATTATACTGCCCAGATTTGATCATTATTTCTATATTGCTCTTGTATAAATTTTTTTCTCCTTTATGTGTGCATATAAATACACATTTTTAAAGGAAAGGTCAGCCTATCTACAGTTTCATATTCTGCTTTTTTCATTTACTCTTCTTGAATGAATTCACTCCATGTCATTAAGTAATCTTCAAAGCCAACTTTTACCATTATCTTTGTTTTGCCTTATTACAAAACTGAAACATGCTGAAAAAGTTCAAAAATTATACAAATATTTTATGTAGTGTAGAAGGGATTAGTCCCACATAATGATTCCCACGCCCACGTAACCATTGTTGGTAGTCTAGTGGTCATTCTTTTAGACTTTTTCTGTGTACCTGCTTATCTATGCATTCTTTTTTTTTCTGACGCATGTATATACATATACATATACCTATACATTTGATTTTATACAGAAATGGCATTCAAATACACATTTGATGTTCTTCCAACATCTCAGATATTAAAAAACGTGAGTTAGAATGATTATAACTTTTTTTTTCAATTTTTTTTTTTTATTTAAGATGGGATTTCGCCATTTGGGCCAGGCTGGTCTCGAACTCCTAACCTCAGGTGATCTGCCTTTCTTGGCCTCCCAAGTTGCTGGGATTATAGGCATGAGCCACCACGCCCTATCCATAACTTTTTTTTTGTTTTTTTTGAGACAAGGTCTTGCTCTGTCGTCCAGCCTGGAGTGCAATGGTGTGATCTCGGCTTACTGCAACTGCTGCCTCCCGGGTTCAAGTGATTCTCCTGCCTCAGCCTCCCGAGTAGTTGGGATTACAGGCACCTGCCATCATGCCCAGCTAATTTTTGTATTTTTGTAGAGACAGGGTTTTACCATGTTGGCCAGGCTGGTCTTGAACTTCTGACCTCAGGTGATCCGCACGACTCAGCCTCCCAGAGTGCTGGGATTACAGGCATTAGTCACTGCACCCGGTCGATTATAACATTTTATCGTACTAAAATAAGTTTTTTTTGCAGTATTTTCCCGTTAGAAACACTTAGAACATCTTTGTAACTAAGTTATTGATTGCATCTTTAACCCCATTTTAAAGAAATAATCATAAATGTTGAATTATAGAATCAAAAGATAAGAATATTTTATTTTATTTTATTGTAGACAGAGTCTTGCTTTGTCGCTCAGGCTGGAGTATAGTGGCGTGATCTCAGCTCACTGCAAGCTCTGCCTCCCAGGTTCAAGCGATTCTCCTGTCTCAGCCTTCTAGTAGCTGGGATTACAGGTGTGCACCACCACACCTGGCTAATTTTTGTATTTTTAATAGAGATGGGGTTTCACCATGTTGGCCAGGCTGGTCTCGAACTCCCAACCTCAAGTGATCTGCCTGCCTCATCCTCCCAAAGTGCTGGGATTACAGGCGTGAGCCACCGCACCTGGCCTGATTGTGTATTTATTGTAGAGCCAGGGTTAGAACTTAGGTCAGAAAACCTGTCCTGCTGTTTCTTCAATCTTGTATCATTTTTTGCCTTGGCATCTTTGGTTTGTTTTTTTTTTTTTTTTTCCTGGAATCCCTCCTGGAGTAAATTTTTTTCGTGTAAGGACACGAGTGGTGAACTTCTGGATCTTGCTTGGCCGTTCTTGTGCAGTCCTGAATGACTGGATTCCTAAGTACCTAGTGTGGGTTTCCTCTTTGTTTGTGGGTACAGCCTTTTCCCGCAAGAGGCTCAAACTTGAAATGGCAGGGCTGACTCTAGGTTCTCTTCTAGTATGCAAGGAATATGAATAGGCTGGTTTGCATATAGGTTGCAGAGGTGGGGAGTAGGTGGTGGTGGGGGAAGCAGGACTGTGAGAACCCCCTGCAGTCGTCAAAGGGTGGCTCATTGCTTTCTGTGGCTTTTACTCCTGAGTGAAGCTGCCTTTCTTATTACCCTCCTTGTCCGTTCCCCGTCACCTGTGCTGTGATCTGGTTTGGAAGTTTGAAGTTACCCCAAGCTCTCTTCTACTTTTTTGCAGACCTCCAACCCCCTCATTGTTCTCCTTAAGCAGATTGTCCCCCACCCCACCCTTTTTGGAGAGTTTCTAGGATTTTATTTTGGGGGAATAAATAAATTTCTTTCCAACTGGGATGGTGGTGAAAAGGCTGTTTGTAGACTGTGGGTGGGGAAGGGTTTGAGGCCCCACTGCTGTCATGCTTGTTCGGTGGCATTTGCACCACTGGAGATGATTTTAGACAGGGTGTCAGCCCAGCAGTAAACATCATTGAAATAGAAGTCAGGTCATGACTCCCTTTTCAGTTCTTTTCTTTTTGTTTTTTTTTTTTCTTGGGGGATATGACCTTTATTGAGCTTATCCACCACAGTGGAAATAATGTCTGTACAAAGCCAAATGTTTGTTACTATAACTTCTGCATTACAATTAAAATCCAAACAGTTTTTTAAAAACAGTCAGCTCAATCAAAGCCCAGTACTTCAGAATCAATAGCTTCCTTGAAGCCACAGTATCACTTAAATATGGTTAAGACTCAAATGCAGAAATTTGGTTGGAAAGCTAATTAAACTTCCAACTTGCCCAAATAGAATTACAAAAAGACAAAATTGTGTTTTTCACAGAAATATAGTCCACTGGCATCACCAACACTGGACAGCTGTTCTTTTATTTAGAGTCCTGAGATAACAAGGAATCCAGGCATACATTAGACAGTCTTCTGTTGTCCTTTCTTCCCAATCAGAGATTTGTGGATGTGTGGAATGACACCACCACCAGCAATTGTAGCCTTGATGAGAATCCAATTCTTCATCTGCACGAATAGCAAGTTGCAAGTGACGAGGGGTAATATACACTTTACCTTTAAGTCTTTTGATGCATTTCCTGCCAGTTCAAGTCCCTCTGCGGTGAGGTACTCCAGGATGGCTGCGCTGTACACAGCGGCAGTTGCACCCACATGTCTGTGACCCGTCGTCCTAGATTTCAGGTGTTGATGAATACAGCCCTCTGGGAACTGCAAGCCGGCTCTCTGCGAGCGGGAAACCGCCTTTGTCTTGGCCTTTCCGGAGTCCTTCCCAGCCTTACCGTCAGCCATTTCGAGTTCTGCTGAAGCTCAAGCAAGGCAGAGAAAGGGCTAATCAGACCCGTGGTGAGATCCCACCATCTACTCCTTCATCGCACCGTGATTCAAACTGCCCTTTTCAGTTCTTACTATTCCTGATCGGATCAAAGAGAAAATCTTGATGTGGTGCTAGTCTGAAAGACCTCTCTAATAAAGGCTATTTTCCTATTGTAACAAAAAGAGCAGGAAGTAATATTAGTCTTTAATAACTTTGTTTTGTTATAGGTTGGTGCAAAAGTAATTGCGGTTTTTGCCATTAAAGGTAAAATGGCAATTACTTTTGTACCAACCTATATTTGTGTGTGTGTGTGTGTGTGTGTGTGTGTGTATTTTTGAGACACAGTCTCACTCTGACGCCTCAGCTGGAGTGCAGTGGTGCAATCTCGGCTCACTGCAACCTCTGCCTCCCTGGTTCAAGGGGTTCTCATTCCTCAGCCTCCGAAGTAGTAGCTAGGATTATAGATGCCCGCCACCACACCTGGCTAATTTTTGTATTTTTAGTAGAAACAGGTTTTCACCATGTTGGCCAGGCTGGTCTCAAACTCCTGAACTCAGGTGATCCGCTCACCTTGGCCTCCCAAAGTGCTGGGATTACAGGTGTGAGCCACCGTGCCCGGCCCAGTGTGTTTATTTTTATAGTTACCACCTATTAATGAGAAAGCAACACTTGTTTTCCATTTACCGTAGTGATATCAAATTTCGTTTAAAATATTTATGTAAATCATAGGTGATTTAAAGAAAAATATTAATAACAGGATCAGGGCAGGCAGAAACTGGTGCTGTAGTGGTAATGCCTGCAGTTTGAGAAATGCCCTCAATTCTCCCGAAGATTGTTCATATTCCTCCCCAGGTCTTGGTATTTGTTGATTCTTTCTCTGGACTCAGTTGAAAGGACACATTTCGCTGGTGTTTTGAGGGTTCTTTTATTTTGAAACAACTTTGGAAGGGCGGGAACGTGGACAGGTGTCCTGGGTCTGCTGTCTTAGACTGGAATTTTACCTGGTGGTCTTCTTGGTTTTGTCGTTTTTGTTGGACTCTTTTCTTTTTTCTTTTTTTTTTTTTGAGACGAAGTCTTGCCCTTGTCCCCCAGGCTGGAGTGCAGTGGTGCGATCTTGGCTCACTGCAAACTCTGCCTCTTGGGTTCAAGTGATTCTCCTGCCTCAGCCTCCCGAGTAGCTGGGATTACAGGCGCCTGCCACCATGACCGGCTAATTTTTGTATTTTTAGTAGAAACGGGGTTTCACCATGTTGGCCAGGCTGGTCTCGAACACCTGACCTTGGGTGATCTGCCTGCCTCGGCCTCCCAAAGTGCTGGGATCACAGGCGTGAGCCACGGCGCCTGGCCTCTTTCCTCGTTTTCGAATTAATTTTAGTGTTTGGGGTTTTAGTGGGGCTTGTTCCCCACTTCAGCTAGGCCGTTGCTCAGCGTCAGTGGCTGGAGATGTTGGCAGAGTCAGTCCCTCCATCCATTAGGTGCTGAAGGGCCACTCAGAAGCCCAAACTTGCAAGGGTTTTTCTGCTCGGATCTCTTACGCTTTTCTCCCAGGGAGAGGTCCCGTGGCTCATCAGAGCTTTAAAAACCAGACTTGGGTTTCTCCACCATGCAGGCGTGTGTTCTGCCTGCCCTCTTTCTCCAACCCAGACCCACGTAGGCTATGCTGAAACTCTGTGGAGGCAGACCCTCTTGTGTGGCCTGGGGACGTTCCAGCACCATCTTTGTAGCTCGGGCAGCCTTACTTGTCACCCTGTTTGGTTGAGTCCGACTTCTTGGGTCCTTGAACACAGGGAGGCACCCCGGCTTGGGGCCAGCTGTTACCCGCGCTCGCCCTGGCATGCAGCCCTCTGGTGTCTCAGCTGCGCTGATGGGTGCCCACCCCGCGGTGCTTCTCCAGGCCCCAGGCGTTTCCTTTGGTCTCTGTGGAGGTTGTGGGGGGCAGGTTGGAGAGGAGAGTTACTTGCCAGCACTTTAAAATTGGCTTATTTCAGACCTAAATTCAAGGTGTCTGTGATGTCCTGAGGCGGATGATCTGGCAGCCTCAGGGCCGAGTTGTTAGGTGGGTGGCAGCGTCCACCGAGCTCGTGCCCACCTTCTTGCCATCGACTCCCCCATTTCACTGCCTGCCTGGCCTCTGTAGGCACTTGAATTTACAACACGTTTTCTTGCCACTAACCACGCATTTCCCCACTTGAAAAGTATTATTTCTTCTCTCTTACAGTTTATCACATGGTCCAGAACTTTCTGTAAGCGTCCTGATTTACTTTATTTAGAGTTATTCCAACTGTTAACTGATTTATCCCATATTTGTGTGTTACAGTCATAATTTTTTAAACTTATTTTGGCTTTTAAAATTATTATTTCATTATAATTACATTTCTTGTCTAATTAGTACTTTTAGTAATTACTGCTTTTTACATTTAATCATAGTGTTAATGTTTGTATAAAATCTCCCTAAGAAGTATAAACCCAACTGGTGGCCACCACAGTGGTGGGACCAAAATGAACATTTAGGTGCCCAGTGCCTTTGCTGACTTGCAGATTTGAAACACTTTTCTCTGGCATGCAGGCCTCTGTGTTTGGTGCTGTTTCAGGACTAGGATTTTAAATTTTACAGCTCACTCTTTCCTCCCCTCTAATTCACACTGTTTAAGTATTTTAGATGTGGAGCACATTTTTTGTATCTAGAGGGTAAGTCCTTCTCTTTCCTGACCTTTTTTTTTTTTTCCCTGGAAACTTCTTAGCACTTTCTCCTGCTTATTTTCCTGATAAACTGTATAACTCTTGCTTCGATAACAAGTGTTTATTGGCTGCTGTCCTGAGCCAGGCACTCTGCCCGGTTGTCTGGGGACCTGTATGAGGAGCGGTCAGTGTGGCAGGTGTCCAGTGTCATTGAATTCTCCTCAATGCATTAGGGACAGGAGCTGATTGATGGATGGCTTCCAGTGTTTTACTTCTAAACACTGTAGGGAAACAGCTGTAACAAAAATAAACCTGGAACCTTTTGATCCCTGGACAGTCTTTGTTGAGACGATCACCAGGAGGCACTCATTCCTCCTTAACGTGGTCACCGAATCTAAGTTTCATTAAGTTTTCTTTTAGGAAGTCCAGAGACTTGAGGAATAAATCATAGTGGAAGTGCAAGGTGTCTCTTGCAAGGCATGGGTTTACTGTGCTTTTGTGGATTTCTGCCCTTAGTTTTGGTTTAGCTCCTTTCTGATGAAAAACTTTATGAGAAAGTTACTTTATGAGACACCAAGTCACCCCATTCTTGTGAGAACCCTGAGAAGTTTACCAAATAGTTAAGTAGTCAGACATAGGAAAACCAATGTTGTGGTAGGATATGGCGGCTCCTCCTCTCAAGGGTGTGAACCATACAGGGCTTTTTGATGTGTGTATTTTTACATGCGTGACTTGTGGAGGCAGGCAGAGTTTCTGGGTTGCTCCCCTACCTGTCTGTCTTCAGCTAGAATGCTTCTGTAACAGCCCACAGGACTAAGCTTTGCAAGGCCTGTGGTTAGTGTCTCCAGTACCCAAAAGATACATATTTTTATTCAGTTAAAATTGGCCATTTTAACCATTTAAAAATGTTCACTTATTGACTTCCAGTACATTTACATTGTTGTGCAATTAACAGCAACCACAATTTAATTGCAGAACATTTTATCACGCCAGAAAGAAACGGAGTGCCCATTAAGCCAGGCTTGTCCACCCTGCAGCCCATGGGCCATATGCGACCCAAGACAGCTTTGAATGCAGCCCAACACAAATTTGTAAACTTTCTTAAAACATTCTGAGATTTTTTTCAATTTTTTTAAGCTTATCAACTATTGTTAGTGTTAGTGTACTTTATGTGTGGCCCAAGATAATTCTTCTTTTCCAGTGTGGCCCAGGGAAACCAAAAGATTAGACATCCCTGTATTAAGCCGTCATGCCCTATTACCTTCTCCCAACTGTCCCTGACAAACACTAATCTGCTTTCAGTCTGTATGGATTTTTAAATTCTGGACATTTCATATAAGTGGAGTCATATAGTACATAACTTTATATGACTGGCTTTTTTTCACTTAGCATAATGTTTTTGAGGTTCATCTATGTTGTAGCATGTATCAGGATCCATTCCTCTTATGACTGAATAATATTCTATTGTATGGATATACATTTTGTTCATTTGTTGATGGACATTGGTTTGTATCCACTTTTTGTGTTATGATAATGCTACTATGAACATTTGTATGTAGGTTTTTGTGGAAAAAAAAATCCTGTGTTTTCAGTTTTCTTGGGTATATTCCTCAGAGTGGAATTGCTAGGTCATGTCATAATTCTGTGCTTGACGTTTTGTGGAACCAAAAAGATATATCTTAAGTATTAAAATAGTACACATATAAAGTTATCATAGTTCCTTCTTATATATTAGAAAGAAATGGTTTCTTTATAGTCAGGCAGAACCAAGTTCAAATCCCAGCCCCTCTACTAACTAGCTGTGACCTTCAGTGAGTTATTTAGCCTTTCTTAGTTTATTTCTTCACCTAGAGAATGCTGATAATTAATTCGTGCTTCAGGGCTATTATAGTAATTCACTGAGATGGTATTACATGTAAAGTGCTTTTATTAGCACAGTGCCTGGCATAAAATAATCCACATATACTGTAATATTTATTTTAGGATAATACGTAGTCACCCAAGCCTGATTAGTATTTATTGCCTCAAAGAAATGACTATGTACTTAGGTCAAACCAAAGAGAAATCAGACCCAAAAGGAATTCTTAAACTTTATATTTTTATATTATCTTTGCCAGAGAGGTATTTTGCATTTTTACTTTTAGATTAATGCGTTGTCTGTTATTCTCAAAATTTGTAGCATCCCTGTTTTCAAAGGTAAAAGGATCTCCTGCAGAGAAGTGACTTTTTCTTAACCTTCTGTTTGATCTCTGCTTGGGTTCTGTGCGTATGAACCACTTCCTGGCTCTGCTCACAGAGAGGCCGAAGATTACTAGTGACTTGCCCCATCTCAGTGCATAAGGATTCACCATATGGATCTTTTTCTTGAATTAGTAACTAGTTACAAATTATTTTTTCTAATTGTCAAAATCGATTTTTTTTTGGTAAAAAATTAAGATCTCCCATGAACAGACCAGAGATTATCTCTGTTAATATTTTGGTAGATGCTTTTTTAAAAAAAGTATTTATATATTATTTTTGTATAATAATACCACTAGAATATTTTGCGCTTACTATTTAGGAACATCTTTCCAAGGTACAAAATATTTTTCTACAACCTATTGCTTAATGTTGAATATTATCCCATTTTTATGGATAGAACATAATTTACCCATTTCCCAATTAGATATTCATATTGTTTCTGGTCTTTTCACTATTATAAACAGTGCTGCGATGAACATTGTTGTAGCAGAATCTTTGTGCACATTTATGATAATTACTTTGGGCTAAATTCCTAGAAATGGATTTCTTGGATCTGTGTTGCAACCTCCACAAACTGCAGTCTTTTTATATTTCGTTCACAATTACATTTACTTTTGTTACACAGGGCACTACTTTGATTTCTATTAGTGCTGTTTGTGATTGTGTATGTCTTTCACTTGAAATCCACCATGAAGGTGAAAATTTGTTTGAACCGTGGCACTATATGGCAGTGCAGTGTAGTCAGTTGTGTTTGTAGTCCGGATTATCAGAGCTTGAATTCTGGTTCTGCTGCTCACTAGCTTCTTCTTGCACACTGTTTCAGTGTACTCAGCCTCACCTTTTATTTTATTTCTACAGAGTCCCATTTGGTGTGTAAGCTGGTTTTTTGTTCCTATTTCTGTGTTCCTCCCATGGGGCTTCTTTTCTATGGCCACTCTAGACCATTGAGGATGGAAGCTGATGGATAAAAATGCTGCCCTGTTCCACCTGGGATGGTAGTTGAGACACATTCACAAGGCTTCTCGGAAAGTCCTGCAGGTTCCAGCACCTGTCAGAAACATCTGTCACTCATGGTGATCGCCTACTTGACAGTGCCCTTCTTTGGACTCTTCCTCTGTTTCGCTCCCCGTGTCCTTCACTACTGCTCCCTGGGATCACATTCCAAAATAAAGTCCCTGCCTGGAAGCCTTTGTCTCACCTTTTACTCTTAGAGGAACCCCGGCTAAGACATTTTCTAGTCATGGATAGGTAATGTACTCTCCGAGTCACAGTTTTGTCTTCTGTATAAATCTGAGAAGAGTGATGTCTGCCTCATAGGGTTATTTTGAGGTTTAAACCGTGTAAGTAATTCATTCACCACATAGTTACTGAAAGGCAACTGTGTGCTAAGTGGTGGCATTCTGGCTATGGGGATATGGCAGTGAGCAAGACAACTAGGACCCTGTCTTCACAGGGTTTACATTCTGATGAAGGAGACGGACAAAGAAGCAAACAAAGAATTTCAAGTAGTAAAGAATGCCACAGAGTAAATTAACCAGGATGATGCACTCAAAAGCAAAAAATCACGATGGAAGGCCACTCTGAGGAGGTGCTCTTAGAAATGAGGACTCAATGGTGAGAATAAGCTGGACGTGGGAAGAACATTTTGGGTAGAGAGAGTAACAGGCACATAGGCCCTGTAGTGGGAGTGGCAGGAGCAAAGTAGCACACATAAAGTGTGATGCTAATACCTCCACTTCCTAAGTGCTTAATAAATGTTGGTTGGTATTAGTAGTTACTAGTTGGTTATATTAGTAATTAATAATTGAGGTTAGATCAAAGGGGTAGCCCATTGGTAATTACATAGCAGTAAGTGGTCAGTTTAGCCTTATGGATTGATGACAAATTGGTTTCATAGAATAAGCAGTAATTGGGCAGGATGAGAATGGTTTCATAGTATACTTTAACTTGTTGATATGGTAAATTACATTGATTTGCTTTGCATTCCCAGGATAAGCATTATTTGGTCATGATGTATTCTTTTTATATAATGCTAGGTTTGATTTACTGATGTTTTGTTGAGAATTTTGCATCTGTTAATACGTTCATAAAGTATATTGGTCTATTTTTTGCCTTTTAATATCTTTGCATGGCTTTGCTAACAGTGTAACACTGGCTTCATAACATGAGTTGGAAAGTGTTCTCTATTTTTCTGTGTTGTAACAGAGTTTGTATAGAATTGGTATTTAAATGCTTGGTAGAATTCTCCCCTGAAGCCATCAGACTTGGAGTTTTCTTTGTTGGAAGTCTTTTAACTATAAATTCAATTTCATAATATCTGTAGGACTATTTAAGTTACCCATTTCTTCTTGAATGAGCTTTGGTAGGTTGTGTCTTCCAAGGAGTTTGCCTGTTTCATCTAAGTTATCAAATTTATGGGCGTAAAGTATTTCCTAACATTCCCTTTCAAAAAAAAATTTAGTTGTGATAAGACATTTTAGTAGTGATAAGAAATACATAACATAAAACTTACTGTTTTAACTATTTTTAAGTGTACAGTTCAGTGACATTAAGTACATTCACATTGTTGTGCAACTTCTTACTATCCTTTTAATGTCTCTGGGGTCAGTAGTGATGCCTCCTCTTTATTCCTGATACTGATAATTGTGTCTTCTCTCTTTTTGTCCTGATCATTTCTGCTAGAAGTGTATCAGTTTTATTGATCTCAAGAACCAGCTTTGAGTTTCATTGATTTGTCTCTATTATAGTTTGTTTTTTCCATTTCATTGATTTCTACTCTTAATTATTTCTTTATATCTGCTTGCTTAGGTTTTAATTTGCTCTTCTTTCTCTTTTTCTGTTTTTTTTTTTTTTTTTTTTTTTTAAGATTGTAACCTACACCATTATGTGAGACCTTTTTTCTTCCTAATATAAGCATTTTTATGCTACATTTTCCCCTCTAAGCATTGCTCTATCTGCAGTCCACAAATTTTGCTTGGTTGTGCTTCATTTTTTTATTCTGTTTTAAATATACTCTAATTTCCTTTGTGACTTCCTCTTTGACCCAGATATTGTTTAGAAATGTGTTGTTGAGTTTTCACATATTTGGGGGATTTTCCATCTTTCTGCTGTTGGCTTCTGATTTTTTTGTGGCCAAGGAACATGCTTTATATGATTTTAATTCCTTTAAATTTTTTTGAGGACTCTTTTATGCCCAGAATATAGTCTATTTTGGTGAATGCTCCATATGCACTTGAAAAAATGTGTAACTTGCCGTTGTTGGGTGGAGTGTTCTATAAATGTCAATCAGGCCAAATTGGTTGATAATGTTTTTCAGGTCTTGTGTATCCTTACTGATTTTACTGGTCAGCTTGGGCTGCCATAACAAAATACCACAGACTGGGTGGCTTAAGGAACAGAAATTAATTTTCTTACAGACCCAGAAGCTAGAAGTCCAAGCTCAGGGTTTTGGCGGGTTTGGTTTCTCCTGGGGCCTTGCAGGAGCCTGCTGGCTTCTAGCTGTGTCATCACATGGTCTTTCCTTTGTGTGTGCAAGCATCCCTGGGTCCCTCCCTTTTCTTAAAAGACATGTCACATTGAATTAGGGCTCCATCTATCCTTATGACCTCACTTAACCTTAATTACCTCTTTAAAGGGCCTATCTCCAAACTTAGTCAGCATAGAGCTTCAACATACAAATTTTAGGAGGAAACGTTCAGTCCATAACAGTGATTTTCTGTTTGCTTGTATTATCGATTACTGTGAGAAGAGTGCTGAATTCTCCAACTATATTTGTGGATTTATCTACGTCCCATTTCAGTTCTATTAATTTTTGCTTCATTGAAATCCTTTCTCAGCTCTCAGATTCTATGATTCACTGTGCACCTCCCACCCAATGTTTTAATTATGAAAAATTTCAAACATGCCACAAAGTAGAAAGAGGGGTACACTGAACACCCATATACCCACCACCTAGATTCTACACAATTAACATTTTACTATGTTGGCTTTAGCAAATATCAATCCCTTTATTTATTTGATCAGTACCATATGATTTTTAAAAATGCATTTCAAAGTAGATTATAGTCACATTTTCTCTAAACACTTAAATGTGCATTGTTATTCCCTAGAGTTTAATAATAACTATTTAAAGGTTTTTGAGTTAAAATTTTTACGTAGTAAAAGTACAAATCTTGAGTTGATGAGCGAATCTTGTTGTCTATAATGATACTATATACTTATCCTGTGATGTGCAACTGTTTGGATATTTGTGTATTATTGCTTTCCACATAGGTTTCTGAGATGTGATTTTTGCTCATTTTGAGAGGAATACTTAATGGTAATTATCAGATCTGTATTTTTAGGGGTTTGTTTGGTCCTGGACAGAATTAAAATGGCTGTGTAAATAGGGTCAGTTATTAGTTCAGTAAATATTTGCTTATATTTAGTTTTAATTTTTAATTGTGGTAAAATGTACATAATATAAAATGTACAATCTTAACTATTTTTGTGTATAGTCCAGTAGTATTAAGTACGTTCATATTGTGCAACCGATGTCTATAACTCTTCTCATCTTGCAGAAATGAAACTCTGTATCCATTAAACAACTTCCCATTTCCCCCTTCCTCCGCCCACTGTACCCTGCCTCTGGCAACCACTTTTCTACTTTCTGCCTCTGTGAATTTTACTACTCTAGGTACTGCAAATAAGTGGAATCATATAATATTTATCTTTTTGTGACCGGCTTATTTCACATAGCATAATGTCCTCAAGGTTCATGCATGTTGTTCCATGTGCCAGTTTCCTTCCTTTTTAAGGCTGAATTAAATTCCATTATATGTGTATGCCACATTTTGTTTACCCGTTTATGCATTCATCTGCCAGTGGACACTTGGGTTCCTCCCGCCAGTATGTGAGCACCTCCTTCACATCACTCCCCTTTTGTTTAACAAACACTCTTGACTGCCTTTATGTGTCAGGTCCTATTGGAGGCATGAGGGATGCTGCAACAAGGAATGTACCAGACAAAGCTGATGCCCTAAGTAAGCTTGTGTTCTAGTGGAGACTGAAGATGGGCGGATGGACAATAGACCAATAAACATATTTCCTTGATTCTAAAATGCATTAGGTCCCACGTTTTAATGATTCTAAAATTGGAACGTGCCTTGTAATTGATGACGTCTTAGAATTATATTTGGCAGCGTTTATTTTTTAGTGGCACTAAAAATAATGGTGTATCAGTTTGAATCATAGAGTTGATGGATCACTATTAAATCCACTGTTAAGTGCTATGAAAAAAGCAGGACAAAGGATAAGGTAACATTTGAGCACAGCACATGTTTAGTTGATATGTTTTCATAGCAGGACTTCATCCCTGAAGGAGGCAGTATGTTGATTCACATTTGGCACAAACTCTGACCCCACTGTGAGCTGGTAGCACTTTGCAGACTGGTTATTTTGAGTGGCACTGGTAGAGAGGAGAGAGAGACCTGGCAGGTGAAGGCTTGGGGGAGCATATTGCAAGATGGGCCCAGATCTTGTAGGTAGGAAAGACAACATGTCAGTAAACTTAGTCAGGGCCATCTCAGTAACTGCCAACAGTTCTTCCAGTTGTCCAGAACAAAACTTAATTTTATTCTTGACTTCTCCATCTGCCCATGCACCCGGTTAGTCAGCATATCCTGCCTGCAGTACCTTCACAACATATCCCAGTTTCAACCTCCCTCTTCATCTACACCTCCACCCTGCTGGTTTGAACATCCTCCTTTCTTCCCTGGATTCCCTAACAGCCTTCTAACTGGTTTACTATCTTCCACCATTGCCTTACTGTAATTTCTTCTCAATTTAGCAACCAAAGTGATCATTCAAAAACATGTCCAATCATGTTATTCCTCTACTTAGACCTCCCCAAAGCACCCTGTCACATCCAGAGGAAAGGTTAAAGTCCTCATAATGGCCTGTAGGGCTCTGGACCATTCCCCTCATCACCACTTGTTTGACGTTAGCTCCCTCCCTGTCTGCCTTGTGCTCATTCTGCTTTTGCCAGTTGGCAGCCTTATCATCTCTTAATCATGTTGAGCATGTTTTCATCTCAAAGCATGTGTACTTGCTTTTTTTTCCTCCAGAATCACCCTTCCCTCAGATATCTGCAAGGCCTACATCTTCAGGTCTCTGCTCAAATCCACATTACAAGAAGGTTTTCCCTAACCAGGTTGGATAAGACCGGCACCCCTTGGCTGGGCGCGGTGGCTCATGCCTGTAATCCCAGCACTTTGGGAGGCCAAGGAGGGTGGATCACCTGAGGCCAGGAGTTCAAGACCAGCCTGACCAACATGGAGAAACTCAGTCTCTAATAAAAATACAAAATTAGCCAGTTGTGGTGGTGCATGCCTGTAATCCCAGCTACTCGGGAGGCTGAGACAGGAGAATCGCTTGAACCCAGGAGGCAGAGGTTGCAATGAGCCGAGATTGTGCCATTGCACTCCAGCCCGGACAACAAGAGCGAAACTCCATCTCAAAAAAAAAAAAACAACAAAAAAAGACGGCACCCCTCCTTCCCCGGTTATGCTGCAGTAGCAAACAACTCTGAAATATCAGGAACCCGAGACAAGGCTTGCATCTCACTGGTGTTCCATCTCCACTGCAAGTTACCTAGGAGGGGTCCACTCCACACTGTCGTCAGCCCCGGGAGCTGGCTGATAGAGTAACCACCATCTTGCACGTTGGCAGGTGAAAAGAACAAGAATGATTCCCTGGCTCTTAAAGGGTCCTCCTGGAAGTGACATAGCTTTCATTTACTTGGCCAGAGCAAGTCACACTGCCATGCCTCACTTCATTTGGGAGTGGGGGTGGGGAGCAGTCCTACCATGTGTTTGGGAAGAGACGGGAAATATGTGGTGAATAACAAAGCCACAGGTTTTATTTTCCCTAGTTCATTTCTCATAGGATTTATTTCCATCTGACATAATGTATATCTACCTTGTTTTGTTTGTTGTTGTTTTTCTGTCCTGTCTACACTCCAAACCACAAGGCTAGGGACTTTGTCCACAGTTTATTGCTGTGCCTCAGGACCTAGAATAATGCATGGTACAGCGTGGATGCCTACTCATATTTAGAGAATGATTGAGAATACCAAAGCAAACCGTTCATTTATTCATTTGGTGCATGTGTTGGGAGTTTGGTATTCAAGTTGGGAGTGTGAATTAGGGAGGTTTGAGGAGAGAGGAAGAGATAGTGTGAGGTAAGAAGTTGTAGAGCAGATATACTAGAGAAAATCAGTGGAAATGCTGGTCAGTGGAGAGTGTCACCTTGAGACTTGAGACCAAGAATTTATGGTGAAATCTTGTAGCTCAGATGGGTGACTTTTTTGAGTCATGTTGAGTTGCTCAGAAGCTGGCAAGGAAGAGGAAGGACTGACGGGGCCCATTGCACAAGGACAGGTGGAAACCCAAGTTGAAGGAAACATGGATCAAGCTGCCCGTTGCACTTACATCACCCCTGCTCCATCTGCAGTCCTGTCAGAGTCACAAAGGAGCTTGCCTTTAATGGGGGAAGCCCGGGGTGTTGTGATGGTGCTGGTGGTAGGAGCAATATTCTCTATATTCATTCATTTTTTTTTTTTTTGATACGGAATCTCGCTTTGTTGCCCAGGCTGGAGTGCAATGGCACAATCTCGGCTCACTGCAACCTCCACCTCCTGGGTTCAAGCGATTCTCCTGCCTCAGCCTCCTGAATAGCTGGGATTACAGGCTCCCCCGCACCCCACCACGCCCGGCTAATTTTTGTATTTTTAGTAGTGACGGGGCTTCACGATGTTGGCCAGGCTAGTCTCAAACTCCTGACCTCAAGCGATCTGCCCGACTTGGCCTCTCAAAGTGCTGGGATTATAGGCATGAGCCACTGTGCCCAGCCCCTATATTTATTCTTTTATTTCATTTTCTTCTCGTAACACTTTTGAGGTAGGTTCTCATCTCCATTTTACAGGTGAGGAAAATTGAGGCTGAAATGGCTCGAGAAAGGATTTAGGTTGGTTAGGCTTATAGTCATGGTGCTCTCCTCTACTTTTGAATTACGAGGCAATGAGGAACTCGGTTAGATTTTAGATTCCGTGGAGCCTTGTTTGCATTTTGGTCATGAAGAAAGTATGCAACCACTTTACTAATGGTTCTAGTTTAGATGCTCACAAGACCTTACCAGAGAGGAAATAGTTGGGCTATTTTTATATGCTTAGACAAGTACAATAACCACAGTGTCAACTGTAACTGGTAAATTCGCCCCCAGGGAATTTCTTATGAATAAGATGAAGGTGCATCTCACAGAATCTGAGAATGTCCCCATCAGTGAGGCTTTTCTGTGATCTTGGCTGTTAATGATCTGGACGTTTCATCTGTGCAAGGGACGGTGCTAGGCTTTATGGTGGATGTAGCGAAGGGTAAGGCATGTGGCCTCCCTTCAGGAATCTTTATTGTGGTTGGGATAGCAAAACTGTACAAACCCTGGCTGCTCATAGTAGTGTGTGGGAACGAGGGTGCAGAGTGGGGGAAAAGCCCTTCAGGCTAAAATGGTTCACTCAGGCTGATGGAGGAAAGTAGAAACAACTGTAATTTGAAGGCTGCATAAGATTTAGATAAGGGAGTATCTGTGCTAATAAGGAAGGCATTGATGATATTTGGGGATTTAAGTCTGGAAAAATTTTCCAAAGGCATTGAAACAGAAAGCAACATGTTCAGGAGGTAGTGAGCTGTGCGGTTTGATTGCAGCAAAGGCTCCTGAGAACAAAGCAATGGATGTTGTGCTGGAGAGGCAGGAGGCCCAGAATGTAGGGAGGTCTGGACAACCAGGGACAGTGACTTGTCATTTGAGCTTGAAGGTCATACCAAAGTGACCACATTGCAGCCTCGTTTTAGGAAAGAGTATATACAAACACACACAGATAGTCCTTGCTTTGCAAGGTGATGCAGGACCGTAAAAATGACCGTGCAAGTTGAAACCGGGCAAAGCTATTTTAATAATCAATGGGGAAAATTTGGATTGTTCTGTGACTTTTAAAAATCTTCGTTGAAAGAATGCTTTGTTAAAACTTTAGACTTTCTCTTATAAATGTATAGTTATAAATGCATAGGGAAATGAAAAAATAGTAAAACAGTATACTGTAATTTATTAAAAACTTCAGCGACATTGAGAATTAAAGGGTTTTATTTCTTTGTAAGAAACTTACCAGGAGCAGTTTGAACAGTGTTTGCCTTCTTCCTGTTGTGTAACTTATGGGGAGTATCTATCTTAAACCTTGTGAATTGTCATACACCTTTCTGAGTTTGGCTGAGTTTCCATTATTTTATTCTCTCTGCTTTCAATGTGACAAAATATCCCTGAGAGTTTCCTTAATATGTAGATTTTTGCCAGCATCACTTCCTCAGGGACATGATAATCACTATTTTAGTGTACTGTTGCTTCTCTAACAAATTATCACAAACGTGGTGGTTTAAAACAAAAGAAATATGGCCAGGCACAGTGGCTCATGCCTGTAATCATAGCACTTTGGGAGGCTGAGGTGGGCAGATTGCCTGATCTCAGGAGTTCGAGACCAGCCTGGGCAACATGGCAAAACCCTGTCTTTACTAAAAATACAAAAACATGAGCTGGGCATGGTGGCAAGCGCCTGTAGTCCCAGCTGCTTGGGAGGCTGAGGGACGAGAATTGCTTGAACCTGGGAGGCGTCAGAGGTTGCAGTGAGCTGAGATCACGCCACTGCACTCCAGCCTGGGCAACAGAGCAAGACTCTGTCTCCTCAATAAATAAATAAATAAAACAAAATAAATTTATTATCCTACAGTTTGGAGGCCAGAAGTCCAAAATGGATCTCACTGGGATAAAATCAAGGTGTCAGCAGGGCTGCATTTCTTTTGGAAGCTCTGAGAAGGAATCTGTTTCTTCGCCTTTTGTAGCTTTCTGAGGCAGCTCACATTTCTTGACTCATGACCCAATTTTATCTTCGAAGCCAAGGGTGACTGGTGGACTCTTTCTTACACATTGTCACTCTGAAACTTACTCTCCTGCCTCCCTCTTGCACTTAAAAGGACTCTTGTGGGCCGGTTGCAGCGGCTCACGCTTGTAATCCTAGCGCTTTGGGAGGCCGAGGCGGGTGGATCATGAGGTCAGGAGTCTGAGACCAGCCTGGCCAATATGGTGAAATCCCATTTCTAGTAAAAATACAAAAATTAGCTGGATGTGGTGGCACGTGCCTGTAGTCCCAGCTACTCAGGGGGCTGAGGCAGGAGAATCGCTAAACCCGGTAGGCGGAGGTTGCAGTGAGCTGAGATTGTGCCACTGTACTCCAGCCTGGGCGACAGAGGGAGACTCCGTCTCAAAAAAAAAAGGACTCTTGTGATTGCATAGAATCCAGCTGGATATCTTAGGTAGTCTCATCTCAAGGACATCTGATTAGCAACCTCAATTCTGTCTGCAACCTTAACTCCCCCTTGCTGTGTAACCCAACATAGTCACAGGTTCTGGGGATTAGGACGTGGACCTCCTTGGGGAGCCAGTATTCTATCACAGTCACCTTCCTGTTGATAAGTTCACCTTCACTGAGTTTCTCTAGCTGCCCACCTTGAATGGTGGCAGTGTCAACATTCCTGTGGTTTGATATTTCTTTTATAACCTGATAACATTTGATTCACATTTCACTTCCAGCACTATTACTTTTTGTTGCTTTGCTGTATACATTTTTTTTTTTTTTTTTTTTTTTTGAGATGGAGTTTCTCCCTGTCGTCCAGGCTGGAGTACAATGGTGTGATCTCGGCTCACTGCAGTCTCTGTCTCCTGGGTTCAAGTGAGTCTCCCACCTCAGCCTCCCGAGTAGCTGGGACTACAGGCGTGCCACCACGCCCAGCTACTTTTTATATTTTTAGTAGAGACGGGGTTTTGCCATGTTGACCAGGCTGGTCTCAAACTCCTGACCTTAAGTGATCTACCCGTCTCGGCCTCCCAAAGTGCTGGGATTATAGATGTGAGCCACCACGCCTGGCTCTCTTTTTGTATACTTTCATGTGTATTGACTAGTTCCCTCTTTTGATGATCTATTTTTGTAAAATGTCACATGAATTTATCATTGGAAGATGAGGCAACACAACTACATACTTTACTGTCTGTGCATGAATGGAATAACAGCTGCCCAGTGACCAGTCACTGACAGACTTAGAAAGAAGTGACATACATGATTGGTTGCTGATCATAATGCACGTCTTACTGACATAATGATCTATGTACTGAAGAGCTGGTGTTGTTTTACCAAATCATGGTAACTGAAGTCTGTGCCTATCAGAGCTATGCAGAAATGAGGAACTGCCAGTGTGTGTATTTTTGTACCATGTCTACATGTGTATTTATATAGGTTAATGTGTGTTACTTGTTTTTTAAAAAAGAAAATTGGGAGTTAAGCTAGAAACTATTAGAAGTGTGTATCTATGGGAGTGGGTTTGGGGGTATGGGATAGAGGGGATAAATAACTGAAGTGAAAGTAAACCTTTGTTTTTCCTGGTTTTGGTTTTTGAACAATGTAAATATTTAACATATTCAAAAATTTTAACTGAGAAAGGAGCAAACTTTAATATTGAATGTAAACAGAAATAAACAAATCTCTGTGTTATAACCACTAGGGAAAATAATTCTTTCAAGTAGCTTTTGAACACAAGACCCTGTCCATCCTTAGTTGAGAGATATAGATATATATATATATATTCACACACACATACTCTAAGGACCAAAAGAAAAAAAAAAATCTTCAAAGGTATCTTAAACTTCGCCCAGTGGGCTTAATAAGTAGTTTATTGTTTGTAATGATACTGATACTGTAATATTAAAATTTTATGTATAACCTAGGATAAAGCAAGCAGCTAACTATTAATATTTAAGAGAGAAACGACAGAAATGCAAAGTCCTTAGGAAAAAGCACTGTAGGCCAGGCATGGTGGCTCACAGCTGTAATCCCAGCACTTTGGGAGGCCGAGGCGGGCAGATCGCTTGAGCTCAGGAGTTCAAGACCAGCCTGGGCCACATGGCAAAACCCTGTCTCTACACACACAAAAAAACAAAAACAACGAAAAAAAAACCTGGCCGGTCATGGGGCCTTGCCCCTGTAATCCCAGCTACTTGGGAGGCTGAAGCAGGAGGATTGCTTGAGCCTAGGAGGTGGAGGTTGCAGTCAGCTGAGATCACGCCACTGCACTCTAGCCTGGGCAACACAAGGAGACCCTGTCTCAAAAAAAGAAAAGAAAAATAGCACTGTAGTGTTAAATTGTTAAATTTGAATTGGAAATATCATTATGAATCATGATTTCAAAAATATATTTTCTAGCTCTGATTACTGAAAGAGCTAGAAGCATTGGGACCCAGAAAATTACAGTGAGCACATCTAATGCCCAGATTTGGTTTCTTTTTTTTTTTTTCTGAGACGAAGTCTTACTCTGTTGCCCCAGCTGGAGTGCAGTGGCGTGATCTCGGCTCACTGCAACCTCCACTACCCGGGTTCAAGTGATTCTCCTGCCTCAGCCTCCCAAGTAGCTGGGACTGCAGGCACGCACCACCATGCCCAGCTAATTTTTGTATTTTTAGTAGAGACAGGGTTTCACTATGTTGGCCAGGCTGGTCTTGAACTCCTGACCTCATGATCTGCTCTCCTCGGTCTCCCAAAGTGCTGGGATTATAGGCATGAGCCACTGCACCCGGCCTCAGATTTGGTTTCTAAAGACCATTTCCCAACATTCCCTAACAGGGATCCTTAGAGAAATTCTAGGTCTTGGGCAGGGCGGGTATAGGTGAGCCTAAAGCAAGGAAGATGAGTGGGTAGGTGGAGCAGCCAGAGCAGGCGTTGAGGGCCCTGGTTGAAAGGCCGCAGGAGCTGGTCAGAGGGCTTCCACCTGGACCATCTGAACGTTGGAAAAAGAATGCAACTGATTGTGACACATTGACTAAGTAAAAATCCATGAGTGTAGAGTGATACCGAGATACAAGGAGAATGAAGACAGAAGGCCAGCTAAGAAATAGAAAAGTAATGACAGAATTATCAAAATTATCATTATGTAAACCCTAGTGTAAGTCTTAATTGTAAACTTTTTCACGGTAAAAGGATGGGAGAAAAAAAAAGGCAGTGTTTTTGGTTCCCGATGAAGCGTAAGTATTTCATTATTTGATGGAAATCTCAGCCATGTTTTTGTAACCAAATCTGCTGGTACCACTTGAGTTCTCAAGACTAGTCTTTTGATACTATGAATATTACAGGGTTATTATTTTATTATTATTATTATTCTTATTTTCAGTTGCAAGATTTAATAGAGTGAAAACAGAGCTCCCATACAAAGGGAGGTACAGGGTTATTATATAAAGTAATTATTTCCAAGGAAAGCATGTTATTTCAGCGGTTTTCCTAGATTGAGATGCACTTTATTTTTCTGAGTCTCCATCATGGGCCGGACATTGTGCTAGCCGTTTCTTTTTTTTTTTTTTTTTTTTTTTTTTTTTGAGATGGAGTCTCACTCTGTCGCCCAGGCTGGAGTGCAGTGGCACAATCTCGGCTCACTGCAACCACCACCTTCCAGGTTCAAGCGATTCAAGTGATTCTCCCGCCTCAGCTTCCCAAGTGGGATTATAGGCGCTTGCCACCACGCCCGGGTAATTTTTTTGTATTTTTAGTAGAGATGGGGTTTCGCCATGTTGGCCAGGCTGGTCTCAAACTCCTGACCTCAGGTGATCCGCCCGCCTCAGCCTCCCAAAGTGCTGGGATTACAGGCGTGAGCCACTGCGCCCTGCCTGTGCTAGCCATTTCTACATGCATTACCTCACTTCATTCTTAGCATAACCCTGAGAATTAGGTCAGATGAAGTGACTGAAGCTCAGAGAGGTCAGATACTGTGTCCAATGACAAGCATCAGTAAGTGTGAAAATGAAGGTTCAAGGCCAAGTCTTCTGGGCCCCAGGTCCTTTCCCTTCTCATAGCTCTTGTTCTTTCCCATGGATTAGCTCAGCAAGTAGCTTCAGGGGCTTGTTTTCAGGATCTATGAGAGAGGAAGGCATGAAAACACAAAGGTGGAACCAAGGAAGACCAGAGGGAGAGAAGAGGCTACCTAGATGTCTCACAATAGTGTGCATTTTGATTAAATGACATACTTGGGGGAAATGTTCCTGAGTAGGTGAAAGCTGATATTTTGTTCTATTGGGAAAAAAAGTGAGCTTGAAGAAAACATAATTTGCTTCTTTTTTTCTCTCATATCAGAGGGAAGAGAGAAGACATTTATAGTTTCTAAAATACCCTCAGTAGTATAATTCTGTCATACTTAATATGTAAATGACTAGATCAAGGAGGAAGAGGGGCGTGACTGCTTTTAGTACAAGGCAGAGGTCACACTAGTCTCTCCTGGAAAACTGACCTGGGCTCCAGTTGTACTCATGGTGGAAAATCTCAGGGGGCCACTACAGTCAGCAGTGTTAACACTTTTAGCCTCTTTTAATTTTTTAAAAACAAAACACCCAGGAATCAATTAACCAAAGATGTGCAATATATGTGCAAGGAAAACTATCAAACACTGATGAAAGAACTTGAAGAGGACATAAAAAAATGAAAGGGTATTCCATGCTTATGGTTTGGAAGAATCAGTATTGTTAAAATGGCAATACTACCCAAAGCAATTTACAGATTCAATGCAATCCTCTCAAAATATCAATGACATTCTTCACAGAAATAGAAAAAAAAATCCTAAGATTTATATGGAAACACAAAAGATTCTGAGTAGCCAAAATAATCCTGAGCAAAAAGAACAAGGTGAAGTATCATACTGCCTGACTTCAAAATATACTACAGAGTAACCAAATCAGCAGGATACTCACATAAAAACAGACACATAGACCAGTGGAGCAGATTAGAAGACCAAGATACAAATCCATGCATTTGCAGCCAAAAAAGGTGGCAAGAACATACAATGGAGAAACGACAGTCCCTTCAAAAAAATTGTGCTGGGGCCGGGTGCAGTGGCTCATGCCTATCATCCTAACCCTTTGGGAGGCTGAGGCGAGAGGATCACTTGAGGCTAGGAGTTTGAGACCAGCCTGATCAACATGGCAAGACTATTTCTCCAAAAAAAAATTAGCCAGGTGTGGTGGCTTGTGCCTGTAGTCCCAGCTACTAGGGAGGCTGAGGTGGGAGGATCACTTGAGCCCAGGAGTTCAAGGCTGCAGTGAGCTGTGATCATGCTGCTGGACTCCAGCTTGGGCAATAGAGTGAGACCCTGTCTCAAAAAAAAAATTGTGCTGGTAAAACGGGTTAACCATATGCACAAAAATGAAAGACCCATATTTCTTACTATACATAAAAATCAAATCGAAATGGATTAAAGACTTAAGTCTAAGACCTGAAACTATGAAACTACTAGCAGAAAATGTTGGAGAAATGCTCCAGGACGTTGGTCTGGGCAAAGACTTTTTGTGTAAGATCTCAAAAGCACAGACAGCCAAAGGAAAAATAGACAAGTGGGATTAAATCAAACTAAAAAGCTCCAGTTGCACAGCAAAAGAAACAGTCAACAAAGAGATAACCCACAGAATGGGAGAAAATACTTGCAATACTTGCAGATTAATCCATCTGACAAGGGATTAGTAACCAGAATTTGTAAGGAGCTCAAACAACTCAATAGCAAAAACCCAAATAGTCCATTTTAAAAGTGGGCAAAAGATCTGAATAGACATTCTCAAAAGAAGACATACAAATGGCCAACAGGCATATGAAAATGTGCTCAACATTATTGATCATCAGAGAAATGCAAATCAAAACCACAATGAGATACTTCACCCGAGTTAGAATGGCTTTTATCAAAAAGACAGGAATAACAGAGGCTGGCTGCTGGGCACGGTGGCTCATGCCTGTAATCCTAGTACTTTGGGAGGCCGAGGTGGGTATCACCTGAGGTCAGGAGTTCAAGACCAGCCTGGCCAACTTGGTGAAACCCCGTCTCTACTAAAAATACAGAAATTAGCTGGGCATGGTGGTGGGTGCCTGTAATCCCAGGTACTTGGTAGGCTGAGGCAGGAGAATCACTTGAATCCGGGGGGCAGAGGTTGCAGTGAGCCGAGATGGCACCACTTCACTCCAGCCTGGGCGAAAGAGCAAAACTCTGTCTCAAAAACGGCAACAACTACCAAACAAAACAGAGGCTGGCCAGGATGTGGAGAAAGGAGAACCCTGGTACACTGTTGGTGGGAATGTAAATTAGTACAGTCACGATGGAAAACAGTATGGAGGTTCTTAAAAAAAAAAAATAAAACTACCATATGATCCACTACTGGATATATATTCAAAAGAAAGGAAATCAGTATTTCAAGGACATATCTGCACTTCCATGCTTATTGCAGCACTATTCACAATAGCCAAAATGTGGAATCAACTGAAGTGTCCATCAATGCAGATGTGAGCCATCAGGCCCGGCCTTCTTTGTTGTATACTTCCATCTTTATTGACTAGTTCCCTCTTTTGAGTTTCCAATGAATGGGAAAAAAATGGATGATAGATAAAGAAAATTTTATGCGTATATATATATATATATACACACACACACACACACACACACACAGTGGAATATTATTCAGCTATAAAAAGAATGAAATCCTGTCATTTGCAGCCACATGGATGGAACTAGAAGACATGTAAGTGAAATAAGAACAAAAAGACAAAGATTGCATGTTCTCACACGTGGAAGCTAAAATAGTGGATCTCATGAAGACAGAGAGTAGGTTGGTGGTTATCAGAGGCTGGGAAGGGTAGGAGGGAGAGGGGGATAAAAAGAGGTTGATTAATGGGTACAAATATACACTTAGAAGAAATAAGACGGTGTTCAGTAGGTCAGGAGCGTGTCTGTAGTTGACACTAATCTATCGTACGTTTCAAAATAGCTAGAAGAGAATAATTCAGCCTAAAGAAAAGAGAGATATTTAAGATAATTACCCGGGCTGGGTGCCGTGGCCCATGCCTGTAATCCCAGCACTTTGGGAGGCCAAGGCAGAAGGATCGCTTGAGCCCAGGAGTTTGAGACCAGTCTGGCCAACATGGTGAAACATGGTCTCTACTAAGAATACAAAAATTAGCCAGGCATGGTGGCACGTGCCTGTAATCCCAGCTACTCAGGAGGCTGAGGCAGGAGAATCGCTTGAACCTGGGAGGTGGAGGTTGCAGTGAGCCGAGATTGCGCCACTGCACTCCAGTTTGGGCGACAAAGTGAGACTCTCTCTGGATATGATTATATGAATGTATCAGATTATCATATGTACTCCCAAAATGTGTTCCCTAATATGTATCAATTAAAAAATGAAATTAAAAATGTATTTTTATATATGTATGAGTTTTGTGCATGCTCAGGAGCTAACTGGCTGATTTGATAGAAACACACTTCTCTATTTCTTTACACTTGGGTAGCCATTTTCTGAAAGGTGTTCTATGGAAGTTCTGGCTGTAAACTTGGTCTCATTTAAGAGCCAACTGGCAATGAAGCCCTGCTAGGGCATTCTGCTTGTTTCCAGTGTCTTTTGATCACTTACATCCCCAGGTCGATGTTTTGAAAGTGGATATTAGAACCAAATTTCAGAGTTTCTGGACTTTGTCTTCATTCTGATTTAAAAGAAGTGAATTCTCTTGCTTTTCACGCATGTGGTTTTTTAAATCTTAGGAACAATCATTCTGAAAGTGCTTTCCTTTTTCCCTCCAGACAAGGCGCCTCTGTCGAAGAGCCTTCTGCTGGTCCCCAGTGCCCTCTCCCTCCTGCTCGCCCTCCTCCTGCCTCACTGCCAGAAGCTCTTTGTGTATGACCTTCACGCAGTCAAGAACGACTTCCAGGTAAGCTCTGCCTCATTGGCCCCTGAGAGGAGAGCGGACAGTTTTTTTTTTTTCTTTCTAGATTTGCTTTTTCTTCCTGCTGTTAGTCCCTCAAAGCCCCCAATTTGTAAGAAATATTTATTATTAATATTTCATTAAGTAACTTTTCTAGTTATTGATTTTTCAGCAAAACAGATAATAATGAAGCAATGGCAGTATTTCCTTTTATTAGGCACATTTGTTTTCAGTTTCACTTTTTACTCAGAGAAGTGTAATTTATAACTTCAAGGGAATTAAAAACAATGTTTAATCTTTTTTTAATGCCCAGTAGGCATACTTAGCTTTGCCAAAACCTTGTCTCAATTTGAATATTTGATTAGAGGAGCTAGGCTCTGTCAGCTGTATCAGATTATGAATTTTTGATAACTTTTACAGTGGTGGTTAAACGAAGTAAGAAATTTCTCTTGAGTTTCTGCTGTGGGAAAGAGCAGAAGTGCTTTTCAAGGTTTCTGGACTGATCTTGTTGAAAATGCTAGTACTGGGTTCTTGTCTATGAATTGGAGTGTTCATGCAAATTCTGGTATATGACTGCTACCCTTTCTTTGCTAAGCACTTGGTTAGCCCATTTTAAGCATAATAATCCATTTCTTGAACACTGACACCTTTTCTTCATAGTGATATAATTAATACCATTGCTCAGATTGGCTTCACCAACTTACTGTGCAGGTCTTTTAGTTATTTATCCGTATTACTGATTTGTCAGAAGATAGTGTAGCTTCTGTATTATTTCAGTTGCTATAATGCAGTCCTTCTCAACCCCGGACACACATTAGAATCACCTGAAAAAACTTCAAAGATCTGTCTCCATATCTATACTTACGTGAAGGTATAATTTATACCTAGATTTATATAAACACAGTATCTCGCCCCAGAACAACTGAGTCACAGAGTCTGGTGGTGGCGCCTGGGCATTGCTGTACATTTAAAAACAACCCCTAGGGGATTCTAGTGTATGGCTGGCTTTGAGGACCACTAATGTAAGGGCCCCCGGGCCTTGGGTTGATACCTTCCTAATTTCTGGAGTTAATTTGGTTCGTTTGGCTAAGCCCACTCTGTGGGCATCTGTGCTTTAAAGGTGGTGACCTGCTTGGATGGAAGAAGACCACTCTTCTGTCCAGGAATGGGAATAGCCACATCCAGATTAACACTTAAAACACCTAAGAGGCTCTCAGTGTGTATTCATGAGAGATATGGGAGTTGCAGTTCTGCCTTGGGAAATCTAAACACACGCATACACATAAGAACGTGATCTGTAGGTCACAGGTGTACATGACATCCTTGGGGGGTGATCAAGGAAATAGGGACCAGTATTGGGGGCCTACCTCTGGAGAGTCTTAGGGGTGTGAGCCTTCAGTTTGGTCCAAAAAGAAGGGATGACTGTTAATTAGCAATGAAGAGAGGGAAGGGCATTTTACTTCAGGAAGTAACATGAATTTCAGACCCTTAGGAGTGTGGTACAGGAAGCGTGCTTTGAGGCAAACCCAGGCTTAGATTGGAGAAGTCCAGGAGGGCTCAGTTGATGAAGGGCTTTATTTTGTAAGTTCTGAACCTCCAGATTTTGGCAGTGAATGCAGAGGTACAGTCAGTTTTCTTTAGGTTGAGTTGCAGAAGCAGTGCTTTGCTGAGTGCAAGCCGGTAGCCAGTTACCAGTCTTTAGGGGACATTCACCTGTATAATAATATGCAGTGGTTTATTCTTATACCAGCTCTCATAGTTTTGTGTCCTTGAGTATGATTGCAACACATAAATTATTTAAAACTGTAGCTAGCAGCTTTATTTTCATTAACTGAAAAAATGGGGTTCTAGAAATGCAGTTTGTTATATCTTAGTAATTACAAACTCTCCATTTCCTTAATCCTCAGATTTTCTTAGTGGCTCTCAGAGCTTATCCCTGAGTAGAGTATTTTCATTGTAATATTAAATGTGGGGATAGAGGACTTGGAGCTGCCTCTTATGGTTTTTGAATCTGGTGTTCTGAGGAGATGACAGTCATCATCATCGGACATTGGTAAAGTCCTTGGCAGTTTCCTATGTGCTCTCGTGTACTGCCTCATTGATCATATTGATGGAGGTATATGCTGCCTAAAGTTTCAGTGTGACTCCGGTACTGTTTCTCCTTGAGCCCAGCTATGGCCTCAACACAGCCTTAGAGGCAGCCATCCCAGTTCAGCTGGGCTGGCAGGTGAGGTGAACTCTGGTGGCCAGTACAGTCATGACAAAGACTCTGCCTGGTGTCTTGCTTGGAGTAGAGACATATGTGACAGGTTTTGACAGTTGATATGCTCAGACTTCTCATTTGTATTCTTATTTCTGTTGGCAAGAGCACAGGTTGTATGACTTTACAAACTTTAGTTTCTCTGTGCCTCTTTTTCCTTAAGACAGTTGGCTGGGTGTGGTGGCTCACACCTGTCATTTCAGCACCTTGGGAGGCCAACGTTTGTGGATGGATTGCTTGAGCCCAGGAGTTCAAGACCAGCCTGGGCAACATGGCAAAACACCATCTCTACAAAAAATACAAAAATTAGACGGGTGTGGTGGTGCACACCTGTAGTCCCAGCTACTCAGGAGGCTGAGCTGCGAGTATTGATTCAGTCTCAGAGGGTTGAGCCTGCAGTGAGATGTGATCACATCACTGCACTACAGCCTGGGCAACAGAGTGAGACCCTGTCTCAAAAAAAAAAAAAAAAAAAGAAAAGAGTTACTATTACCAATGTTCGCAGCAGCATTATTCACAATAGCAAAAAGGCAGAAACCCAAATGTCTATTAACAGATACATGGATAAACAAAATGTGGTGTATACATACCATAGAATATTATTCAACTATAAATGAGAATGAGATTGATACATGCTTTACCATGAACCTTGAAAATATTATGCAAAGTGAAATGAGCAAATGCAAAAGGACAAATAAATGATCTTACTTACATGAGGTATCTAATATAAGCAAATTCATAGAGACATTAAGTAGAATAGTGTTTCCTGGGGCTAAGGGGAGAGGGAACAGGAAGTTAGCATGGCATTTCTGTCTAGGATGATGAAGAGTTCTGGAAATAGATAGTGGTGATGGGTGTACAATATTGTGAATTTGCTTAATACCACTGAATTGTATACTCAATAGTTAAAATTTTAACTTTTTTTTTTTTTCAACTTTTTTTTTTTTTATTGATCATTCTTGGGTGTTTCTCGCACAGGGGGATTTGGCAGGGTCATAGGACAATAGTGGAGGGAAGGTCAGCAGATAAACAAGTGAACAAAGGTCTCTGGTTTTCCTAGGCAGAGGACCCTGCGGCCTTCCGCAGTGTTTGTGTCCCTGGGTACTTGAGATTAGGGAGTGGTGATGACTCTTAAGGAGCATGCTGCCTTCAAGCATCTGTTTAACAAAGCACATCTTGCACCGCCCTTAATCCATTTAACCCTGAGTGGACACAGCACATGTTTCAGAGAGCACAGGGTTGGGGGTAAGGTCACAGATCAACAGGATCCCAAGGCAGAAGAATTTTTCTTAGTACAGAACAAAATGAAAAGTCTCCCATGTCTACTTCTTTCTACACAGAGACGGCAACCATCCGATTTCTCAATCTTTTCCCCACCTTTCCCCCCCTTCTATTCCACAAAACCGCCATTGTCATCATGGCCCGTTCTCAATGAGCTGCTGGGCACACCTCCCAGACGGGGTGGTGGCCGGGCAGAGGTGCCCCTCACCTCCCGGACGGGGCGGCTGGCCGGGCGGGGGGCTGACCCCCCCACCTCCCTCCCGGACGGGGCGGCTGTCCGGGCAGAGGGGCTCCTCACTTCCCAGTAGGGGCGGCCGGGCAGAGGCGCCCCTCACCTCCCAGACGGGGCGGCTGGCCGGGCGGGGGGCTGACCCCCCCACCTCCCTCCCCGACGGGGCGGCTGGCCGGGCGGGGGGCTGCCCCCCCCACCTCCCTCCCGGACGGGGCGGCTGTCCGGGCAGAGGGGCTCCTCACTTCCCAGTAGGGGCGGCCGGGCAGAGGCGCCCCTCACCTCCCAGACGGGGTGGCTGGCCAGGCGGGGGGCTGACCCCCCCACCTCCCTCCCGGACGGGGCGGCTGGCCGGGCGGGGGGCTGACCCCCCCCACCTCCCTCCCCGACGGGGCGGCTGGCCTGGCCGGGGCTGACCCCCACCTCTCTCCCGGACGGGGTGGCTGCCGGGCGGAGACGCTCCTCACTTCCCAGACGGGGTGGCTGCCGGGCGGAGGGGCTCCTCACTTCTCAGACGGGGCGGCCGGGCAGAGACGCTCCTCACCTCCCAGACGGGGCGGCGGGGCAGAGGTGCTCCCCACATCTCAGACGATGGGCGGCCGGGTAGAGACGCTCCTCACTTCCTAGATGGGATGGCGGCCGGGAAGAGGCGCTCCTCACTTCCTAGATGGGATGGCGGCCGGGCAGAGACGCTCCTCACTTTCCAGACTGGGCAGCCAGCAAAATTTTAACTTTTATATCTGTTTTACCACAATAAAAATACAAAGAAAAGTTGGAATTAATATTTGTTTTACCTATCTCATAAGGTCATTGTGAAGGGGAAATAAGATTAGGATGTTTGAGATGTCATTGGGATTATCTTTAAAAATCTGAAAAATGTTTAAGCAGACTCAAAAATAGGCCTTTGAGTAGCTCTTTTTTTTTTTTTTTTTTTTTTGTATGTCCCCTTATATGTTTTTTATGCAGCCAGAAGTTGGGTGAAACAATGATTTAAATAAACTAATATTTCAAACCTAGTCATATTTAGCAGCAGTTGCCATAAATTACTTTGCATAGTTGCTATGAAGTAAGTTGATGATTAAAATTAAGCTCAGAAATGCATATTTTTGAGTTTATACCTAAGTTGTTTTTCAGTTACAACTTTGTCTTATTCAATAACATAAAAATGAACATTTGTTAGCCTTTCATTCTAGTTTACGTATATAATTTTAAAAAATCTTACTAAACGTGATCCTGAAATTTCTTATAGGCAGTTTTCTGTTATCTTAATGAGAATATGTTTTCTTATAAGCACAAAAAAATTCAAGTACCTTTCGTGCCACTGTTGGGAGGAATTTTTACTATGAGAGACTTGAGCTCAGAGAACATACATATATAGTTTTCCTTTGGTGTGTGCATTATGATTTTGTTTAGGACATTAAAAATAGGCAGTGTAAACATAACAAATTTGCTAAGGAAGAGACCCGAACAAATTTTACTCTTGTTTATTGTTCTTTTTTAAATCCCCATCTAGATTTGGAGGTTGATATGTGGAAGAATAATTTGCCTTGATTTGAAAGATACTTTCTGCAGTAGTCTGCTTATTTATAATTTTAGGATATTTGAAAGAAGATATGGAAGCAGAAAATTTGCAGTAAGTTTTTATGTATTTTGTCTTTGCTACTTAGGCTGTAGAAAAAAATTTTGTTTAAATGGATTTTATTTTGTTAAACTTGGTGTTGTTATTTACAGTTATCTTTTTAATTACACTATTCTGTATCTGATTTGAGGCACATGGACATTAACCAAAGAAAATTTTAAAATGTAAGACATTAGCATAATAATAATAGTGATAATGATAATATGTAGTATTAGTTGTGAACACTAATACAAATTTTAATACTTTGACTTTAATAAAATTATAATTTATTTTGCTTAGTGGTTTGTGTTTTACTTGTTAAAAATATATCTTCAACATACTTAAAAATTATGGCTGTTAATACATTTGAGCAATATGGGTTTACCCCGCCCATTTTCTAAAGTCTATTTTAATAAAAACAAATAATTTCAAATATATATACACACATATGCATGTGTGTATATACACACACACACATACATATGAATACACACCTCTGAGCTGATTCTAGCTGAATAAATGTTAGTTTATTTTTAGGAGACTCATCTCTATCATTTTTCTGCTGTTTTATTTTGTAGTCCTTTTTGCTGGGTTCCTGGGTTTTGTCAGCCTTATTTGACTTTCTCCTCATTGAAGCTATGCAGTATTTCTTTGGCATCACTGCAGCTAGTAATTTGCCTTCTGGATTGTAAGTAGCACTTAAAGATTGACTTAATTTAGAACTACTTGAATCTGATTTAAAGTGTTATTATTATTATGTGAAAGTCAGTAAAATAATATTTTAAACTTCTAGATATAGTTAAATTGATTTTATATGTAAAAAGTCTAATCTATGCCTACATTTTTATTATGTTCTTGAAATAGAATCAATTTTATATTCTTTCTTTAAAATTTATTTTACTTTTTTTTTTTTTGAGACGGAGTCTCGCTCTGTCACCCAGGCTGGAGTGCATTGGCACGATCTCGGCTCACTACAACCTCCGCCTCCCGGGTTCAAGCGATTCTCCTGCCTCAGCCTCCCAAGTAGCTGGGACTACAGGCACGTGCCACCATGCCTGGCTAATTTTTGTATTTTTTAGTAGAGACAGGGTTTCACCATGTTGGCCAGGCTGGTCTTGAACTCCTGACCTCAGGTGATCCACCCGCCTCGGCCTCCCAAAGTGCTTGAGCCACTGTGTGAGCCACCTTGCCCAGGCACCTTCTTTTTTTAGCTTTGAAAGTTTGTGTTTTAGAGAATTTTAAGTGAATTTCCTATTCTGATCCTGATAGAATTAGTTTTGTGTGTTTTTATAGTGAAATTTGTCTTTGTAATTTTATGAACTAAACACAAAAATATAGTTTAATTAGATTAGGAAACAAAATTAATTTGTACGAAGTTAAGCTTCTGAAGAATAATTTTTTAAAAGCTGATAATGTTTAAACACTTCCATCAAACATAAAACAAAGCCGGTGTATAGGTTATAACTTTGTAGACAACCTGCCGTGGCCAACCCCACTCAGAATTTGTATGCTTTCATATTGCGTTGATCTTCTTTAAAAAAAACAAAAACCATGTATTAGTGTGTGAAATAACTAGAATCTAGGAGTAGAGTTGACAGAACGAGACTCCATCTCAAACAAACAAACAAAAAAACAGGCCGGGCGCGGTGGCTCATGCCACCTTTGGGAGGCCGAGGTGGGCGGATCACGAGGTCAGGAGTTCAAGACCAGCCTGGTCAATATGGTGAAACCCCATCTCTACTAGAAATACAAAAATTAGTTGGGCGTGGTGGCACGTAGTCCCAGCTGCTCAGGAGGCTGAGGCAGAAGAATCACTTGAACCCGGGAGGCAGAGGTTGCAGTGAGCGGAGATCGCTCCACTGCACTTCAGCCTGGGTGACAGAGTGAGACTCCGCCTCAAAAAACAAACAAAATACCCCCAAAAAACCATGTATTAGTGTGTGAAATAATTAGAATCTAGGAGCAGAGTTGTTAGCACATGTAAATGACCTCCAAGCATCTGAATGAAGTATCTGAGACACTATTTGGGAAATGAGATAGTATGAAATATAGATACCAGATATTTAAAATTCTGTGTGTACTATCTTCAGTCTCCTTTTAATTTTAAATATATGTTTTGAGAACTATTAAGCTACTGTATGTATCTTGATTCAAATTCACTTTGGATCCCTATTTTAAAATTATAGTTAGTGTTCTAATAGCTTTCGTACCTGCATTGTTAATGTTTACAGTGTAGCTGCCTTTTGTGAATTATAGTTGGTGTGAATATCCATGAATGTTGACCTTTAGCTCTTTTAATAATGTATGATTCTGAATAATGTTTGAATGGAGGCATAAAGTTCTGTGTCATAATTAGCATGCAGTTTGAATTCCACAGGTGGTCATTGTAATTAGACTGAGAAGTTAAAGTTGAGTATTCTGTTATTGGGGAAAATAGTGTAGTCATCAGGAATGATTCCACATTGACTCAGGAAAGCAGCAGCATTGCCAAATCATCAGTTTTCCCCAAAACATCTCCTATCAGGCCAGTTCTTTTTGGTTCCTGTATAGCCTACTGAGTGATGGGAGGTATGTGTGTCTGTGTTAGAATGAACTTTGGAGATGGATAGTAACTTAGCATTATTCTTATTTACACTGTCTCCTTGTCTTCTTTTTCCTGCTGCACATGGAATCGAATGACAGTAGAACTTTCATATTCATTTATTTAATTTTGGAATCCCATTAACTAGTACATAAAAAGATTGATTCAATTTTGAAGTTGGTGGGAATACTTTTGCTTACTCTCAGAAGAGGGAAGGGATTTACCTATTTAAATCTCAGTTTGTAGCAAGAGTTACAAACTTGAATAAATTGAAAAGTTGTAGCATCCCCTTTGAAAGACACTATAAATGTTAATTCAGCCATCTCCTGAATGAAAATATATTTCTCTTCCTTTTCAAGTCACAAAACATTATATAGTATGACTTTTTTAAATCTTCAGGCTTTCTCAAACATAGACTTTTTGGAACACAATTAGTTCAACAAGTAAACTTTGTGTAATGTAAATATATCTCTTAAAAACATTTTTATTATTATTTTTGGTAGAGAAAAGGTTTTGCTATGTTGTCTAGGCTGGTCTTGAATTCCTGGGCTCAAGTGATCCTCCTTTCTTGGCCTCCCAAAGTGCTGGAATTGCAGGTGTGAGCCACTGCACCCAGCCACAAATATATCTTTTATTGATGGTAGCAAAGCTTCAAAAACTAAAGAGAGAAAACTACTGTTTTTTTTTTTTTGTTTTGTTTTGTTTTGTTTTTCTTGAGACGGAGTCTCGCTCTGTCGCCCAGGCTGGAGTGCAGTGGCGCGATCTCGGCTCACTGCAAGCTCCGCCTCCCCGGTTCACGCCATTCTCCTGCCTCAGCCTCCCGAGTAGCTGGGACTACAGGCGCCCGCTACCACGCCCGGCTAATTTTTTGTATTTTTAGTAGAGACGGGGTTTCACCGTGTTAGCCAGGATGGTCTCGATCTCCTGACCTCGTGATCCGCCCGCCTCGGCCTCCCAAAGTGCTGGGATTACAGGCGTGAGCCACCGCGCCCGGCCTGTGTTGTTTTTTTTTAAATCAATGTACTTCATGGACACAGGGAGGGGAACGTCACACACTGGGGCTGTCTATGGGTAAGGGGCAAGGGGAGGGAGAGCATTAGGACAAATACCTAATGCATATGAGGCTTAAAACCTAGATGATGGGTCGATACGTGCAGCAAACCACCATGGCACATATATACCTCTGTAACAAACCTGCACGTTCTGCACATGTATCCCCGGAACTTAAAATAAAAATATGTGCTTTACAGCTTTCAGTGTTTTGCACCTAACATCTAATATTTTTCTTTCCCATCAGTACCAAATTTATCTGCACTCTCTATAGTTCTTTACTTCCTATTTAATTCTCTCTCTCTCTTTTTTTTTTTACCTCACCACTATATAGGAACTTCTCTTATAAAGGTCACCAGTGGCCACCTAATTTCTAAAGCCACTGGCCATCCTCTTTAACCTTTCAGTAGCAAATTAAATGCTTTTAACCTCTCGTTGTTTCATGAAACCACCTGCTCTCTTGAGTCCCACACACTACTCCCTCCTAATTCTTTCTGACTTAGTTACTGCGTGCAGCTCTTTTCTCAAGCTTTTTGGGCTATCTTGCCCACTTTCTTGATTTCAACTACAGTGAACGTGTATTGTTTGCTTCCCAGCTGTCTATTTCCAACCCACACTACTCTCCTGATATTTCTTGAGTCTTATTTCCTTTCTTTCTTTTATTTTATTTTTAGAAATGAGGTCTTATTCAGTTGCCCAGGCCTAGAGTACAGTGGTGAGATCATAGCTCACTGTCACCTCAAACTCCTGGGTTCAAGCAGTCCTCCCAGCTCAGCCTCCTGAGTAGCTGTGACTATAGATGTGCCACCATGCCCACCTAATTTTTTTTTTTTTTTTTTTTGAGACAGATTTTCACTCTTGCCGCCCAGGCTGCAGTGCAATGGCGTGATTTCTGCTCACTGCAACCTCTGCCTCCCTGGTTCAAGCGATTCTTCTGCCTTAGTCTCCTAAGTGGCTGGGTTTGCCACCATGCCTGGCTATTTTTTTTGTATTTTTAATAGGACAGGGTTTCACCGTATTGGTCAGGCTGGTCACAAACTCCTGACCTCAGGTGATCGACCTGCCTTGGCCTCCCAAAGTGCTGGGATTACAGGCGTGAGCCACTGTATCCGGCCATTTTTTGTTTGTTTGTTTGTTTTTGTAGAGATGGGGTCTTGTTATTTTGCCCAGGCTGGTCTCAAACTCCTGGCCTCCAGCGATCCTCCTGCCTTGGCCTCCCAAAGGGCTGGGATTATAGGCGTGACCACCATGTCTGGTCCAGAGTCTCATTTCCTGATGATTTATAGACTCAAAGAAAACTCATGTTCAGAAGCTCTCTTCTCTTCTGGCCTCCTCTCTGTCTTCTTTCCCTCTTTCTTCTTATTTTAATTAGTAGCATCTACTCAGAGTCATGCAAGCTGGAAATCTTTCATTTTGCTTGTCAGTGGGGTAGGTCACTGAGTCTTAGTTTTTATTTTTTGAAATTTCAACTTTCAGATTCAGGGGGTACATGTGAAGGTTTGTTTTATGAGTATATTGCATGATGCTGAGGTTTGGGGTACAGATGATCCTGTCACCCAGGTAGTGAGCGTGGTATCCAGTAGTTAGTTTTTCAACCCTTGCTCCCCTCCGTCCTTCCCCCTCCCTTCTTCCCCCTCTAATAGTCTTCCGTGTCTGTTGCTGCCATCTTTATGTCCATGTGTACCCAGTGTTTAGCTCCCACTTTTAAGTGAGTTCATGTGGCATTTGATTTTCTGTTCCTGCATTAATTTATTTAGGATAATGGCCTCCAGCTGCATCCATGTTCCTGCAAAGGACATGATTTCATTCTTTTTTATGGCTGCATAATATTCCATGGTGTGTATGTACCATATTTTCTTTATCCAGTCCATTGCTGATGGGCACTTAGGTTGATTCCATGTCTTTGCTATTGTGAATAGTTCTGGAATGAACATGTGAGTGCGTGTGTCTTTTTGGTAGAATGATTTATTTTCTTTTGGCTACGTACTCAGTAGTGGGATTGCTGAGTGGAATGGTAGTCCTGTTTTAAGTTCTTTGAGAAATCTCCAAACTGCTTTCTATAGTGGCTGAACTAATTTACATTCCCACCAACAGTGTATAAGTGTTCCCTTTTCTCACTTATATACAACAGTGTATAAGTTTCCCTTTTCTTCCCAGATCTCACCAGCATCTGTTGTTTTTTGGCTTTTTAGTAGCCATTCTGACTGGTGTGAGATGGTATCTCATTGTGGTTTTGATTTGCATTTCTTGATGATTACCTTTGAGCATTTTTTCTTGTGTGTTGGCCGCTTGCGTGTCTTCTTTTGAAAAGTATCTGTTCATGTCTTTTGCCCACTTTTTAATGGGGTTGTTTTGTGCTTGTTGAATCAAGTTCCTTACAGATTCTGGACATTAGACCTTTGTCAGATGCAGTTTGTGAGTATTTTCTCCCATTTTATAGGTTGTTTGTTTACTCTGTTGATAGTTTATTTTGCTGTGCAGAAGCTCTTTAGTTTAAATGGGTCCCATTTGTCAATTTTTGTTTTCATTGCAATTGCTTTTGAGGACTTAGTCACAAATTCTTCCCCAAGGCCGATGTCCAGAATGGTGTTTCCTAGGTTTTCTTCTAGGATTCTTATAGTTTGAAGTCTTACATTTATATCTTTAATCCATCTTGAATTAATTTTTGTATGTGGTGCAAGGTAGGGGTACAGTTTCATTTTCTGCATATGACTAGCCAGCTATCCTAGCACCATTTATTGAATAAGGAATCCTTTCACCACTGTTTAGTTTTGTGAACTTTGTTGAATATCAGATGGCTGTAGTTATGAGGCTTTATTTCTGGGTTCTCTATTCTGTTCCACTGGTCTGTATGTCTGTTTTTGTACCAGTACCATGCTGTTTTGCTTACTGTAGCCTTATAATCTGAAGTCAGGTAATGTGATGCCTCTGGCTTTGTTTTTTCCTTTTCTTTTTTTTCCCTTAGGATTGCTTTGGCTATTTGGGGCTCTTTTTTTGGTTCTATATGAATTTTAGAATAATTTTTTCTAATTCTGTGAAAAATGACATTGTGGTTTGCTAGGAATAGCCTTAAATCTGTAGATTGCTTTGGTCAGTATGGCCATTTTAATGATATTGATTGTTTCAGACCATGAGAATGGAATGCTTTTTCCATTTGTTTGTATCATCTTTGATTTTTTTCTTTTTTCTTTTTTTTTGAGACGGAGTCTCACTCTGTCACCCAGGCTGGAGTGAAGTGGTGTGATCTTGGCTCACTGCAGCCTCCGCCTCCCAGGTTCAAGCAATTCTCCTGCCTCAGCCTCCCGAGTAGCTGGGATTACAGGCGCCCACCACCATGCCTGGCTACTTTCTTTTGTATTTTTTAGTAGAGACGGGGTTTCACTGCATTAGCCAGGATGGTCTCGATCTCCTGACCTCGTGATCAGCCTGCCTCGGCCTCCCAAAGTGCTGGCTGGGATTATAGGCATGAGCCACCAAGCCTGGCCATCTTTGATTTTTTTCAGCAGTGTTTTGTAGTTCTTGTAGAGATCTTTTACCTTCGTGGTTAGATGTATTCCTAGGTATCTTTTTGTGTGTGTTGTGTTCTTGGTTTGACTCTCAGCTTGAACTAAGTTATTGGTGTATAGAAATGCTACTACTGATCTTTCTACATTGATTTGGCATCCCGAAACTCTAGTGAAGTTGTTTCTCGATTCCTGGAGCCTTTTGGCAGAGTCTTTAGGGTTTTCTAGGTATAGAATCATATTGTCAGTAAAGAGAGATAGTTTGGGCTTTCCTATTTGAATACCTTTTCTTTCTTTCTCTTGCCTAGTTGCTCTGGCTAGGACTTCTGGCACTGAGTCTTAGTAATTCAAAGTCCTAAATGAATATTCATCCCTTCTTCTCTACTTCTACTGTCATTATTATCCCAGTCTAAACTCTTAAATCTTTTCTTGTCTACTTTTTTACAGTAATTCTCTTAACTAGTTTCCCTGTGAATTTGAAAGCATTCCATACAATGCTGTCAGAAGTTATCTTTCTAAAATGCAGGCTTAACCACACTAGTTCTTTTAAAAACCCTCAAATTCTCATTTCCATCAGAATAAAAGTCAGATTCCTCCAAGATGCTATCTAGGCAGTCTGGAATAGTGGAAATAGCATGGTCTTTGCCATCAGACCAGATTTGAGATTCCAGCTCTGCCTCTTACTAGTTATGTGAAATCTTGAGCAAGTTGCTTCTCTCAAGCTCCATTTCCTGAGCTCAGTTTCTAGATGACCCTCACATGTCAACTGTGGGTATTCTGTGCTTCAAAGGGTAGCACCGAGAATTAAAGAAGGTCTCTTACGCCAAGCTTCTAGGAGCAAGCGTATACCCCTTCCATGTATTGCTTTTCTTAAGAGACAAGGTCTTGCCATGTTATCCAGGCTGGCCTTGAACTCCTAAGCTCAAGCCCAGTCCTCCCACCTCAGCCTCCTGAGTAGCTGGGATTATAGGCACGTGCTACCATGCCCAACTCTTCTTTCCTTTCAGAGTCCTCCTCATCTGACCACCAGCTAGTCTCTCAAACCACTTCCCAACTGGTCATCCAGCTTTCTTCGCTTGCTACGCATTTGCATTCTCATGCCTACTTGGCTTGCTTTCTGCTTCCTCTTGCCCTTTGGCAGGATTAATTGTCCTTATATGTGTATTACAACACATGTGTTAATTATCTCTGTTAGTATTTATTATATTACGTTGTCATGGTCTGTGCCTTCTAGGCTACCCACTGGCTGTTTGAGGGGGAACCAAGTTTTACTTTATGTACTCTTTGCCCTACATTTAGTAATGTTGAAGAGCAAGCAAGCCTTGATTACAGTGTAGCCCCAGTAAGACTGTAAGGGAAGGCCTTTGAACCACAGACCTGTTCATTTCTTTTTCTAGTGCTTTGCTTAGAAATTGTAGCTGACATGATAGATGCTCATGACTATGATTTAAACTCAGAAAATGTAACCATTAGGTTTTGAAAGTAGAAATAACTCCATTATTAAAAGCCATATGTGTTAGGCATTTCTAGTAACTCATTCCTGCCACACATCTGGCCTTATATACCTATTATTTTTTGTTAGTATTTATATGTGGATGTTACATCGTTTTCCAGAATACAGTGAAATTTTGAATTTTTACATATTATGTTTAAATGTATTTGGTTATAATGCTAAGTAAATTATTTAAAAAATAACTTTTAAGTGATCTACAATTAAATTATAATTTAAATTATTTACAGTTTTACTGTGAGAATCACAGCATACATTTTCACTTTCTTGATTTTGTATCAATAGAATCTTTTGTTGTGCTTTTTGCTCTGAGACTAAACTCTTCTTATCAAGACAAGCTATGGCAGAGAACTTTTCCATCTAATAAATTTAAGAGTAGATTCATCTGTATGGTTGAGAGTAGGCTCTGACTATGTATATGTGTATAATAAACCTACATATCCAATACAAGAGTTGTTTTTCTTGTTTTAGAAATAATTATATGTTAAATATATGTAAGATATACAAATAATATATAAAGATATAATATCTATAAAGGTACTTTATGTATATAAAATATAAAAATATATATATTTTACTCATTTGACTATTGAAACTAAAAACTGTGTTTTTCTCTTTATTGAGAAACTGCATCTCAGTACCACCTTATGTAGCTCTGAGAATGTTTACATTCTTTAAGCATGTTTGCTTTTTATTATTGAAAAATTGGTGTTTGACATGAAAGAACTGACCTTGGTTTCTAGGTGTGGTTCTTGAGCTGAGCAAGTCACATAACCTCTTCAGACCTCAGTTTTTTATATTTCGAACAGAAGAATTGTACTAAGAAGATTGTCTAAGGGACCTTCTAGTGCAAAAATGCCATTTTATTATTAGACTTTTTGTGTTTATCTTTTTTTTTAAGGAATATGAATTTACCTATGTTATTTCCAGAAATTAATTTCTTTTTTTTTTGAGACGGAGTCTCGCTTTGTCACCCAGGCTGGAGTGCAATGGCGCAATCTCGGCTCACTGCAGCCTCCGCCTCCTGGGTTCAAGCTATTCTCCTGCCTCAGCTTCCCGAGTAGCTGGGATTACAGGAACCTGCCATCATGCCTGGCTAATTTTTGTATTTTTAGTAGAGATGAGGTTTCACCATATTGGCCAGGCTGGTCTCGAACTCCTGACCTCAAGTGATCCGTCCACCTCAGCCTCCCAAAGTGCTGGGATTACAGGCGTGAGCCACCACGCCCAGCCAGAAATAAATTTCTAACCAATGCATGTATTTGGTTCTAAGCCCCAGTAGGATATGATCATGTTAAGAGTGATAAAGGTAATTTAGCAGAGAGGAAGTTATAGTTGAATCATTTATTTTACTTCCATAAGTATTCAGGATAATAGGGGCTTTACAGATTATAGTTCAGTTTTTTTCTTTTAGATGGATAAGTTACTTGGTTTGTTACTTTATTAGGAGAAATTAAATGGCAAGGCTAAGAAATCCAAGGTTCCTACTAGTACTATTTATACTGTGACATATGGCCTGGGAAAAAAAATCAATTAACTTCTTTTGTAAAAATGGTATCTTCAACCACATAAGAAGAGCAAACTGTTTGTATTGGAGAATGGCATTTCACCATATAGTAGAAACCTCAAATGATAGAAATGAACTTGGATTATTGGATAGAAATAGCATCTCAGGTTAGATTTTCATCATTAGTCCTAAATAGGGTTTGGTGCATAGTAGGCTCTCAGTGTTTGTTGAATGACTATTCTCTGTTTTTAAAAGAATGAATTCAGAGTAGGGAAGGGCTGATGGGGATGGCTGTAACAGGCCCCTTGGGTTCTTGTTGCTATTAATTTTGCCTTGTAGTAAGTAACAGTAATGAGTTCAACATAATTTCTTATATAGGAATTCTGGAAGTCAGTGTTTGGGACATAAAGTATTGGATTTATAATTCCATTCCTAGTGCAAATTAGACCTAAGGGAGCTGCATCTAGATAGAAAATAATTTAATCAAATTATTTTGTATGGTAGCTCGATTTCCCCCCTACTGACTTGATTAACACACATGTGTCGCTTGCACATAGAAATGCAAAAAGTTAATTATCTGTGTGAACAAGGCTTGACTAGGAAAGAAAAATCAGATGCTTTTCTCTGAATAATTCACAAAAATGTTTTATATAAGTTTTTAAAATGAAGATAATGAATTTATTTTTTCAAGAGAAAAGGGACTTGATAGTATTATACAGAATATCCATTGACGCCAGAGTAGTTAGTGAAGTGAATTTTGATGGGATTGAAATGAAAGAACCTTATTATTCATAACATTTCACTGTTTATATTGCTTAGTGACCGTAGACTACCAGATCGGAAACTTTTTCTGCGCATGCTTCGAAGGTAATTACGGTATAGCATGACACTAATGACTCGAGCCTGAAATTGTTTTGAAACGATGTAGTAGAGAATCACATCCAGACACGTGCTGAGGTTCATGAGGAAGGTGGTAAAGGCTCCCCAGGGATTGTAACTGTTCTCCCCCGTTCCCAGCATCAGGAAAGCGAAACAGATGTGGAAGGGCATAAAGCAGACGAGCACCTGCACCAGCAGCGTGATGATGATCCTTATGGACTTCTCCTTGACTTTGGGTTTCAGCTTAGACGTCCTGCCGTGAAGGAGATTATGAATAATGACCAAGTAGCACCCAATCATGATGAACAAAGGAATCAAGAAAAAAAATGTCAGTCGAGTGAGGTTCAGCACGTTCACAGCTTTTAGATAGATGATGTCAGAAATCTTGAGGCAGGTGGCGGGAGTGGAGTCTTTATCTGGGTCTTTATAGAGCAGTAGCAGAGGGGTGGTCGTGGTCAGGGTCATTATCCAGACTCCCACACACGCCAGCACGGCTTTGCACGTGTTTTTAAGTTCTTTGGCGTACTTCGGCTGTACAATGGCCATGTATCTGTCAGCACTAATAAAGGCAAGAAGCCATAAAGCAATGCTTGGGTAAAACACTGTGAGAGCTCCAAGAATCTGGCAGAAGTACTCTCCAAATGGCCATTCATCTTTTGCATAATAAAACATTCGAAAGGGTAAAGTCATTATAAATATCAAGTCCACTAATGCCACATTCATCATATAGATGGTTACCGTGGTTCTCTTCTTGGTGGTACAACTGAAAACCCATAATGCAGTGATGTTAACAAATAATCCAATTATGAAGATACAGCTATAGAAGACAAGGGCTGCAATTTTGTATTCATCTGGATGTGAGCTGTTAAAAGGGACAGGTTGATCTTGATTGTTCAGGGTGATCATTTTACAGCTTGTTGGTAGGCATGATACTTAGAAACTGTAAAAATAGTTAAGAAAAATAAGAATAAAATCGTTGGTTAAAAAATAAATGCTTAACATTCTCCCACTCAGCTTGACTGCCAGTGAATTTTAAGTTCGAGAGCATTTAATCAAGGAACGATTCAACTGGTTAACTACTGAACATTCACAGTAATTCTCATTTGAGAGAGAATGGGAACTTTTCCTTTGTTACAGCTATAGCCCCACTGTCTATTGAGCATGTAATAGGTACTCAATAAATAAATATTTACTGAATTGATGAATAAATGAAGGAACTTTTGATGAGATGATTCACAGCAACTCTACTTTGCTAAAAAACTCTAGTTTGTAATTCTCTAGTTTGAAAATGAAGACTTGTGTAGCTGGCTATTAAACTTTTTGTTTTTTTTAAAGTGGAAACACTTCATAATATTTATTACCTTATGTTCTCTTTAAATTATCATAGGTTGAGAAACAGCAATGTTTTGTGTCATGGTCAGCAGATCAAGAACTAGACTGTTAGAGCAATAGATGAGCTGTTTTCTAGTGCACAATTGGGAGTACGTAAAGCCAAGTCTTCCAGGTTTTGTGATTTCAGCTGCTCTACTTCAGTGGTTCACAGAAAGCAGCACCTTGAAAAAAGCTAGTGCCGTTAGTAACTTTCATATCCTCATTCCATCTAGATTCAGAAGCTTCAATATTATTTAAATTTTAACAATTTTCAAAGTAAATCCAAAAAAGGAGTATCTAAGACAAGTAGATATTAATAAGAAGTCATTCAGTAACTTGATGTGTATGTAGAAACTTATAAATTTCCATCACCAAAAAAAAAAAAACCGTCCATTTTAAATGGAAAGGAGGTTATTTGGGGTTGCAAATATCATTGACTCCTCAGTGTGAAACTTCATTCCCCCATGATGCAACACCAACAACAGACTTCAAAAATAGACTTTGCTGCAATGAGATGGAATCTGTGGCATCCCCTTGTAATATGGAGGTGGATGAAAAGTTTCCTTCAAAAATGTCACTTTGCAGAGTGGGCTGTCTTGAAATCAGCCCAGAATTTCTCTTTAAGGAAAACTATGGGGGAGATTTGCTGTCTGTGGTCAGTGGCATCACGGGCTATTGATAATTAAGAATTAACTTGAGCAATTGCTGTGGTTAAACACAAGAAACGTGCCTGTCTGCCTTCCTTCCTTTCCCTTCCCTTCCCTTCCCTTTCTTCCCTTCTTCTCCTTCTTTCCTTCTCAAATATTTAGGTTAAATATGATTTAGGAGCATAATTCTATATATTTAAAAACATATTAAATTTTCCAAATATTGGTGTGACTAGAATATTAATTTCTATCAAATGAGGAAAGTGCTACAGAGAAAAATTATATCTCTAGTGTCATTCAAAGGAGAGTAATCTTGGAGGCTTAAATCTTATTTTTAACTGGAATGCATTCTTATTAAATAGTAGCAATTATAATATAAATGAAATTTTGTATTTGTTTTTCTTTTTTTAGTATTGCATCAGGACTCCCTTCACCTATCCTCATCCTTCAATTTTGTGACATAAGTCCTGTACTTACAAACCATCTTGAGTCTTTTTTCCCACGTTATGCTCAAGCTGTTTTTATGTAGCTTGTCACCAATACTTATATTCATTTGCTGACGTTTGAAAAAAAATGAGTGATGCATGTGTTTTAAAGGCATTATAGTATTGATTGTGCTCTGCAAACACAGAAATTTTTGGATAAATATTGAAAAGTGATTGACTTTAAAGTCAGCTTTTTAAAAGCTATAGATACCATGATTATCTGTAGCTTTTCTTTTCTTAAAAACCATTAAGTTATTTCATGAAACAATGTAATTGAAAACATGTGATGAACATTCCTAAATATACATATGATTTACCATAAACATTTTCTTTCCTTAAGTTGAAAAAAATTACATTTAGTATTAATGTAAAGCAATATTGAAAATAAATGTAAAATCATATTAATGTGGAAAGATGATTATATAGCCTATTTCAAGGTCTTTCACCAACATAGTTTGTTATGTTTATTTTTTTAATTAAATATATTTTTTTAATAGAGACGGGGTCTCACTATGGTGCTCCTGGGCACAACTGATCCTCCTGCCTTGGCCTCCCAAAGTGTTGGAGTTACAGGCGTGGGCCATTGCGCCCAGCCTGTATTATTAAAATGAAATGATTTTTGAAATGCAGTACATAAAGCATTACTTTTGACAATAATCATGAAGTTAATTAAATGCTGCTTACCTCCTGTCCATCAAAAGTCTGTGTGAGAGATGAGCATTTTTCAGCACTTCCACTTCTGTCGAAGGGATATCTTTGAGTTGCTTCTGTTAAAATAGCTCTTTCTGGAAACAGTGTATTTAAGAAATGTTGTATTTTGTTTTAGACTCTTTTGTTGCTTTAAAAAGTAGTTTCCAGTGTAACGCTTGGCGTCGGAGTTGGTGCTGGGCTGACTTTAATTGCTGCTTTGTCTCTTTCAGGAAGTGCTCTCTGAAATAGGCTTTTTCACCTTATGACTTTACCCTGGATGTGGTTTTTCTCTTTCACAAATGATTTGTTTATGAAGTCACACTTAGCATAAGCTCCCCTTGAAATGATGGCATATATTTAAGATAATTATATACAAAGGATAAAGTTTCTTCAGTTTGTGTACTTTGATGCTTGAAGTCTGCATCATCTATGGAAAGAGAAGATTTGATATTGAGTAAAAGGGGGTTTAAAGTCTAGCTTCTTTGCTTTATAAGCTATGTGACTTTGTCTAGTTACCTACCCACTCTGACTAACCCTTTGTTCCTACTTCATTTCTGTACAGTTGAAATAGAGATAATACTATATCCAGTAGGATTGTAGGGGCCCTAAACCAGAAAGATCCCAAGTGCTTAATAGTACCTGGCACTTAGTAGGTACTCCTAAATGGAGTCTCACTTTTTACTACCAAGTTATTAAAAATCATAGAATATCCACATTTCCACTTTTTACTATTTAAACATTTCTAAATGCTTAAAAGTAGGATCCTTGATTAATTGCTTCTGCTTTGCCACATACATTTATCCACTTTAGTTTGCTGTATTTTGTAAGTCTGCTTTTCTAGTGCGTGGAAGTCTAGAAATAATTTCTTTTGCATAAAAATTTCTGCAAATCTTAGCAGAAAGGACTCTGAAGTCTTTAGTGGACTGATTTACATATTAAGAGTGTTTTCACCTAAGAAGGGAAATGAAACCAGCAGAAAGGGAAGTGAGCAACGAATCGCTGCCTGCCTTGTTAGGTTAATTTTGTTTTACTTTCTCATTTCTTAAAAAAAATTATCTCTCATTTGCTTATCCTAAAATTTTAATTATCTTTATGTTTGGTTATGCATGGTTTGTCAACTTTTTAAAGGGTTCATGAACTTAAATGTATTTGTTTTTTTGAATTTTAGACAGTTTGGGGTCCATCCTTTTTTTTTTTTTTCTCAGACAAAACCATAGTAAATCTGTGGCTTAGAAAAGTTACTTAAATCCTTGCCTTTGGTGATAAAATACTTTTGATTGTTACAACCTGCCAGAATGATGGGTTTTAGAAGTGTTGGAGACAACCATAGCAACTATTTCTTGTGTGGATGAAGAAATTGAAGGCCAGTTACTTGCTTAAGAACTCAAGGTAAAGCCAGGTCCAGTTTCTCCCGCTGTAATAACTTCTTATGAGGTAATTATATTGATCTGTCCACTAGATAGGACTTCTTATGGCTGAATCACATTCATCAGTTTTTTATATGTGATGTTATATTTCATTCATCACACAGGAGTTTGATGTTTCAGCTGGACAGAAATCTGCCTGCATGCAGACCTAATCTGTCCTTTGCCTTATTCACATAGCTTAGGACTTTTCTAAAATTAAGTATTGATTAGCTTCCCCATTGCTGCTAAAATCAACAGATACATTGATGGCATGTGTCTAGAAGAGTCCTTTCATCAAGACTTGAATTCTTCACGGTGCACAGGGGCATTCTTGTTTCTGAATTGCCAGACTCTTAGAGGAGGCATCCAGGAGCACCTGAGGGCTCTCCATAGGCCTGGCTTCAGGTTGGGGTGAGCTCTCACTTTTTCCTCATCTTGCTCTCCATTCCAGCCCTCTGGACTGGCTACATTTGCTCTTCCTGCCTCTCACATGCTGTTCCACCCACTGTGGCATTCCTCACCACTGTCTCCCACCTGATGGCATGGCCTGCTGCTCTTTGTTCTTGTAGCTACCTTTTTCAGGAAGCTTTCTCTGCCATCCGAAGCTGGGCTGGTTTCTCTGCCCTCCGAAGCTGGGCTGGTTGTTCATCCCTGCAGGTTTCCTTAGCACTTGGTACCTATCCCTGTAGTGGCACATGTTTGCATTGTTACTGCATATTTACTTGCTTTTTCTCCTCCACTAAATTGCATTCCTTGAGAGTTGGCATGTGTTGCATATGTGTGTAGAGAAGAGGCATTTAATATTGGTTGAATTTCTGACTGAACAAGTAGGTGAAGAAATGGAGAGGTTGGGGGAGGAATGGATAAATGTCTGGGCCTTGAGTCAGCAGGCAGGGACACTTTGACCAGCTTATGAGATGGGGAGACTTAGGCAAGGGCCTGAGGTCTGTCGTCCTCCCCTGCAACCCATGAGCCCTATAGCATTGACCCCCGTTCGCTGTGCTCCTGGATCTTCGCGATGGTTTTGTGTTGGCAGGGAATTATAGTGAAAAGAAACTGCCCAGTCATTTGACAGCAAGTAAACAATGGGTCAAGGATTCAACTTGTATAATGTAGACACAAGTTTCTTTAATACTTGAACCTAATGAATTTTTTTTTTTCCCCAAACAGAGGAACTTATTCAGGGACCATTCATGCAGCTTTAATTTCTTCACTTACTTTGGAATATGAGTGAAGGAGAAATGTTTCACTTGCAAAAGAGGGATTTTACTTATTCCCAGAGACTGCAAGATTCCCTTTGCTTTATCAAATAGTGTGTTTTAGCTGCAGTTTTGGGTTTTGGTTTTGATATTAAAAGCCATAAGTGAATTTTGATTTTAGCCCTATAAACCAGTTTTTGAGTGAATATAATTCAGTTAAGCCAGTTTTTAATGAGAAAGAATGTAGTTAATAGATCTGTATAGCAAATTCCCACTATAAAATATGCTTCTATGTTAGACATTTGTCTATGCCACAGGTAAAATAATATTTCCTGTTCTGTTAGCATAGCAAGTGTGAGGGCAGCTTATCCTTGTTGCCTCCCATCAGTGCGGGGACCAGGGGTCCACTGTTGTTACTGTTCATGTATCCCAGCAGGGGGACAGTCAGCACACAGCCAGTCCCCAGGGAGAAGAGGGTGTGAGGCAGACAAAGAGTCCTCTGAACTAGAGGAGAGGCCTATCCTTTGGCCTTGACATCCTCCAACCTTTGTCCCCTCCTTTCTGTTTCTCAAACTTGTATCTAAACTGACTGCTCTTTGGGTGTGGGTGTAGGGGAGATATGTTGAATAGTAAGAGTTTCTGCATAAAGAAGATTGAGAAACTATTTGTCTAAATGTGTGGTTTTTCTTAAGTCCCAACAATTTACAGCTATAATCTTCTAACCCAGTTAGTATACCTCCTTTCTGTTTGGTTTCCTAAATTGTATTGTAAATTTAATATTCCCAAATTTCTTGTCTTTAGCAATTTTTGTGTGTAGTTTTAAAGATGTATAGACATGTAGACATTCAGACACTTAACCTCACAGCAAACAAGTTGAATCCATATCTAACCATATATAAGTGATGGCAGTGAAATCAGTCCTGGAACCACTGAAGTCCCATGGGACCCCAGGCCCAGAGTTTGCAGTGTGACATTTTACTATTGGAAGAGAGATCCAGAGTCGCCAAGGCAGCAGATTGAGCAGAACTCCATGGTTATTGTGAGGCACACAGCCTTCTGCTGCACATTCTGATCTCACAGTTACCAGAGGTGCAAATGGAGATGGGTATACAGTAGTCCCCTTATCCGCAATTTTGCTGTCTGAGGCTTCAGTTACCTTCAGTTACCTTCAGTCAAATATGGTCTGAAAATATTAAATGGAAAAATTCCAGAAATAAACAATTCATAAGTTTTCTGTTGCATGCCATTCTGAGCAGCAGGATGAAATCTCTCACTGTCCCGCTCCTTCCTCCCCAGGACATGAGTCCTCCCTTTGCCCAGTGTCTCCACACTGTAGACATTCCCACTCATTAGTCACTTTCATAGCCACCTTGGTGATCAGGTTTACTGTCACAGTGTCACAGTGCTTGTGTTCCAGTAACCCTTATTTAATTAATAATGGTCCCAAAACACAAAGGTACTGAGCCTAATGTATAAGTTAAACTTTATCATAGGTATGTATGTACAGGAAAAAAATAGTAAGTATAGGGTTTGGTACTATCTGCAGTTTCAGGCATCCACTGGGGGTCTTGGAATGTATCCTCTGAGAATAAGGGGGAACCACTGTATAGTTAACACCTAGTAATATGAGGAAGTGCATTTCAGAAGAAAGAGGAGGGCTGGGCACGGTGGCTCATGCCTGTAATCCCAGCACTTTGGGAGGCTGAGGCGGGTGGATCACCTGAGGTCAGGAGTTCGAGACTAGCCTGGCCAACATGGCAAAACCCTGTCTCTACTAAAAATACAAAAATTAGCTGGGCATGGTGGTGCGTGCCTATAATCCCAGCTACTCAGGAGGCTGAGGCAGGAGAATCGCTTGAACCCGGGAGATGGAGGTTGCAGTGAGCCAAGAATGCAGTGAGCTGAGGCTGAACTCCAGCCTGGGCAACAGAGCAGAACTCCCTCTCAAAAAAAAAAAAAAAAAAAAAAAAAAAAAAGGACTTGTGGAAGGTAAAGGAACAAGAGATGTGTTATCAGGTTATTTAAACATAAACCTATATAATAGTGTGTGTGGTTGAGGATTTTAGTACACAGCCATTTGTATAGTAAAAGTAAACATGTATCTATAAGGTTGAGGGTTGTTGGTTTAAGACAAGTTACTTAGGATTTTTTATTATATCTGCCATTATTCTTAACTAAATTATGAAAGGTAATCAGAGGTGACTGTCAGGCATGATTCTGAGAGCCTCACATGCTTGAGCTAACTTAACCTTCATGCTGACTGCAAAGTATGTAGTTTACATGGTGTGACCCAGAAATATTTACTCATGACTCTCAGATTGTATGTTCTTTCTGTATTTTGCATTATAATATTATACTTCGTTTTAGTAATTTTTGTTGAAGTTGGCCCTACTTAATAGAGAATCATCATAAATGGTAATTTGACTTATAGCAAACAATCTCCTGAGGGAATAGACCATCTTTTTATCTCCCTGTTTCTTGCTAATGAGTTGATATTCTCAAGGAAAGGTTTTATAGCTGGATCCTGGCAGCTCGTACATGTAATTGTGGTGTCTGGGATCTCTGCCATTCCATGGCCAAAAGACTTGAACAAGCACTTAAGAATGAGTAGATCCAAATGGTCAGCAACATGTAAATCTGCTCAACTTTTTATTAATAATTGGGAAAATGAAAATTAAAACCACAGCAGGGTATTATCCATTCGCCAGAATGCCTACGATGAAAAAGACGGACAGTGCAAAGTGCTGGCAAGGATGTTGAGTGATGAGGGTATCGAGTAACAAGGAACATTGCTGGTGGGAGTTTAAATATGGAAAACAGTTTAAGTATTAAAATGAAGATACCAACACTCCATGACTCAGAGTCCACTCCTAGGTCTATAACCAGTAAAAACACATGCTGCGTACCAGGAGACATGGACAAGAATGTTCACGGTAACATTATTTACAACAACTCCAAATTAGGAACAACCTGAATGTTCAACTATAGCATGAATAAGTCACTTGTGGTGTAGGCATAGAGTGGAGTGCAAGTCACAATCACAATTGATGATACACAGGGCAGATAGAACAACATGGATGAATCTCATGAATCTAGTGTTAAGTTGAAAAAGCCAGACATGAAGGAATTCATATCATATGATTCCATTTGTATAAATTTCAAAAAGCAGATGAAATGAAAATACAGTGCTTAGGATTTCATGCTTAGGTGGTAAACCTTTTGGGTGGGGTGTGGGCATGTGTAATAATAAGGAAGGGTCCCCCATCATCTGTATGGCAGGATCCTGGAGCTGTTGCTTTTCTTACCCTCACCACACTTAGGCCCAAAGAGATCAAGGAAGGGAGAGGTTACTAGAACTTGGAAGGAGAGACCCCAGTCAAGTCAGCTGTCTTGGAGCAGTGCTTTTCTTTTGAGAGACGGTAAGCTTGAGGTTCCCTTACAGGAAGGAACCAGGGAAATGTACACTGTGACCTCAGGTTCCTCTTGGCCTAAATCTCCCCTGAGGCTCCTGTTAGCAGGAAGCCAGGGGCCCATGAGCCTTTGCATAGAGTTTGGACCCACCAGCCTCTGGGACAGAGAACAGGCTAGGGAAGGGAAAAGAAGCAAATGGATTTTCTGGCATGCTGTACTTTTCTGTATATGTGTTACCTTTCCTATTTAAAAACTGCCTTATAGCTTGTGTAAAGTGCATGCTGTAGACACTAAGCACTAGTTCTCTTGGCTTCGTTTGTCCCCTTTTTTTCTTTGTAGCTTATTTAAATTTTTCCTGTCTTTAGACTGGGACTGGATAGCTGTGCAGGAGCCCAGCATGTGCCACTAACTGACCAGGTTGTCTTAACCATGTTAGCTCATTTCTCTGATGGTCACTCTCCCCAGGGGCAGTTGGGTGAGGCCTTCTGTGAGGGGTCATCCACTTCCGGCCTTGTGTGATTTGAAGGCATTCCTCTCCCCAACTCTTTGCATTGCAGAGAGTATTTTACCTTTGGTCTTCCTCTGAATTTCTGTAGGACTGTGGATAGGAGCCGGCAGGATAGGAGCTTGGAGGCTGCATGGAAGCCTGAATGCGTCCAGGATGCATTTCCTAAGTCCTCATCCCAGGGAGGAAAACCAAGAATGTGTCTGCTGAAGTTTGGGCCTACTCTAAATGCAAAGCACTCAGTCCCCTGATGGGGTCACATTAGTTCCTGATCTTTGCCATCGCTGTTTTTTTTTTTTTTTTTAATTGTTCTTCAGTGTGTATGTTTTTTACCATATTTTAAATTTATTTTTAAGTCGACCTCTTGGAGACATTATAATCAACCTTTAGAGGAAGACGTGTTGTTTTTTTCTTGGTAATAAAACTGCATTGATTTTGGTTACTCAGACAAGGTATTTACCAGAACTCTCCCTTGTATGCTTATAAAATAAAACTAGTACTCCATTCAGTTGAATATTTGCAGCAATGTTATCTTCTTATTGCTAATACCATTTGTATGGGTAGACTTTATGAGAAGTTTATGACTTTCAGCTCATACAGCTTCTTGCGCTCAGCAAGCCACAGTCTAAAGAGAGTCTTAACTGAGAAGGGAAGGAAGGAGGCAGGCAGGACCACCCTGAGACCCACAGGCCAGCTGCCGCTGTGCTTCTTTGGAAAAAAGGTTCTCAGACTGTGTTGGCTTACATCTTTCTGCCTCTGGTGTAGGATTTGCTCTTCTAACATGAATGGAACATTTGATTTAGGATCAGTAATTACAGGTTTTAGAACTGGAGTTTGAAGTATCTGTGACACATCTCTCTTTGACAGTCATGTGGGTACTGATCCCTGATTGCACTTTCACCCCTTTTCTTCTTCTTGTTCTCGTTTTGTGTGTGCCTTGTGAACAAGGACCTGGCACGTGCGTCTTCAAACGTTTCAGCGCATCTAGAGTAGTGCTTCACCCAGCAGGCCCTCAGTTAACAGGCATATGGATTCGACTGGTGTTTGTGTTTTTCTGTAAGAAAGGTTATGCCATGTCTCAAAAAATGAATGGCTAATGTTTCTAGGTAGATACAATTACAAAGACGTACCAAATAAAATAATGAGACAAAAAGAAATAGGTAGATTGGGATTGGCTGTGTAGAGGTTTTAAGGTAAAAGTGGGCAAGTTAAAAAGGTTTCGTATCAGAGAAGTTAGTTGCAATTTATTGAATGTAGGAGTACTCACACAGTTTATTTGAATATGAAATAGATCCAGATTTCTTATGTATGGTCTCCGGTTTTCCATACCGATTGATAGTTCAGGGCTGCTTTGACATAAATACTGTGCTTCTACTGCCACCTACAGATGATTAGTGGGTCTTGGAGCTCTTCACCTTTACCCCTTCTAAAGTCTCTTTGAAATTGAAATAATTTTTTTTAAAAGCTATTAATTGGTAGAATATTATAAAATATTTTAATGTTACTTTATGAATATTTCTATATTATATTACATAATACTATATAATATGTAGCTTTATATAATAGATATGAATGTATTCCTCTAAAACAAGGTGGCCAATCTTCTGGCTTCCCTTGGCCACATTGGGAGAACTGTCTTGGGCCACACATAAAATACACTAACACTAATGATAGCTGATGATCAAAAAAAAAATCATGGAAAAAACTCATAATATTTTAAGAAAGTGTACTAATTTGTGTTGGACTGCATTCAAAGCTGTCCTGGGCCCATGTGGCCCATGGGCTGCAGGTTGGACAAGCTTACTCTAAAACATTTTGGCTTGTAGACCATTTCTGCCCTCTTTGGAAGCATCCTCTTTTTTAGGAAACAGTTTTTCTCTGTAGGACTATGTGTATTCCTGGGCTAGGGCCTTGAGAAGATTCCATTTTAACTCTTATTTGTATCTGATATTATACTAAGATATTAAACATAAATGTGGCCTTAGAACAAATTTGACATGTTAAATATATATATATATGTATTAGACAATTTATCGTCTTAACCATGTTTAAATGTGCAGTTCAGTAGTGTTAAGTTCATTCACACTGCTGTGCAGCCAACCTCCAGGACATTTTCATCTTCCCAGACTGAAAGCCTGTACCCATCATACAGCAAATATCTCTTCAGTCCCTACTTTCAGTTCTTTTGGGTTATATCCCTGAAAGTGAAATTGCCGGATCGTGTGGTAATTCTGGTTTTAGTTTGTTGGGGAATGGCTGTATCGTTTTCCCCAGCAGCTGCACCAGCAACACAATGCCCAGTTTCTCCCTATCTTGGCTCGCAGGCACACCTCTCTCACACTCGCCCTTCCCTCCCCTCCCTCCCTTCCTTTCCTGTAGTAGCCATCCTCATGGGCATAAGGTGGTGTCTCATTGTGGTTTCATTTCCATTTCCGATGATGAGTGACTTCAAGAATCTTTTCATGGGCTTCTTGGCCATTTATATATATTTCTTCTTTAGAGAATTGCCTATTCAAGTTCTTTGCCCATTTGTTAATCTTTCTTGGTTGTTGAGCTGTAGGAGCTCTTTATGTAATCTAGATGTTAATCCCTTATCAGATGATTTGCAAATATTTTTTCTCTTACTCCGTAGGGTGCCTCTTTTCTTTGTTGATTGTGTCCTTTGATGCAATTTTTGGAGCATATTTTAGGCTTGCTCATTTATCATATTTTGATGATAAGGATGAATTTCATAGCTTTAGATTTCTAAATGGTGAGGGGAAGGGAGGGGAGGTTATCCTGAGTAAAATCAATGAGTCCTTTTGGAACCTTTCCTCATGACTTAAGCCGAAGCAGTATTTTCCTGCAGTCCTCAGCACCTTTGCCTTGTCCAGGAGGATATAAGTAAGGAAGGAAGAAACTAGCTCTGTTCCAGAGTCTGCTCACTTCAGAGCCTTCCACTTGCTACTGCTGCTTTCTTATGCTCTGAAAGGTATCTGCCTTTATTATTATAGTCATTTGAAATTGAAAGAGTAACATTTATCTTTTTGTAGCATTCTTGGTCCCTGCTGTTCTGATTAATATTTTATCAGTGATAAAAAATACCAAAATATAGTGTGTTTGCTCATCAGATTTGCAAATTACAAAAACTAGGAGGATATTTCAGTAATGGTGGAGGCTAAGCTTCTGTAACAAACCGCTGACACAGTGGCTCAAAGAGCGCAGATGTTCATTTCACTTTTGTAACCACCCTGTGGGGTAGGCAGGCTCTGTACCGGTAAGTCGTCAAGGGCCTGGTCTGGTGGAGCACCTCTGCTTTCCTCAACATGTGCCTTCCAAGGAGGCTCCATGGCTTCTGCTTCCAGCTGGTGTGGAAGAAAGAAGGGGCATGCAGGAGGAGGGATTGCCTTTCCCCAGGTGCCTTCAAGGTTGCAGATGTCACTCCTGCTCCCAAACCATTGGCAAGAACTTGGTCACGTGGCCACACCTAATCACAGGGAGGCTGGGAGATGTAATCTTACCTGGGCAGTTGTGTCCCTGGAGATAAGGGAACAGTGGGTTTTCGGGGAGCTGCTAGCAGTCTTCTCAGAAGAACAATAGCTCTAACACATTAGCTGCCTCAGCAAGCTGGAGTTTTGGGCTTTATAGTCAAAATATGAAACATAGAAGGAGGCCAGGCATGGTGGCTCTCACCTGTAATCTCGGCATTTTGGGAGGCCAAGGCAGGCAGATCGTTTGAGTCCTGGAGACCATCCTGGGCAACATAGCAAAACCTTGTGTTTACATAAAATACAAAAAATTAGCCAGGCGTGGTGGCATGTGCCTGTAGTCTCAGCTACCTAGGAGGCTGAGGTGGGAGGATCACCTGAGCCTGGAGGGCCGAGGCTGCAGTGAGCCATGATCCTGTCACTGCACTCCATTCAGCCTGGGCTACAGAGTGAGACTCTGTCTCAAAAAAAAAAAAAAAAAAAAAAAGAAACACAAAAGGTAAAGAAGGTAAGAGAGAGAACATTAGGTCTTTCTCTTGAGTCTTAAAAATCAGCTGTAGAGGCACTGAATGATAGAGTTGTTTGGCTTGTGAAATGGCATCATGGAGTGACTGCCAGTTGACACTAATATGCCCCTAGATGCCATTTGTAGGATTACAGGGAAACAAGGATGTTGCTGGTGGTCCAGGTTGGCATCAGGATGGGGTGGAGATGGAGATTGGCCATGGGAGAAACAGGTGGAGAACAGGCATTGCTTACCCCAGAGAGAAGAAACTGGGGCAGAACTGTCTTCCACTGTTGAAAGGGCTGCCCAGTGAAAGAGGAGTTAAATAAGGGGGGAATGGCCTGTGGTGAATGAAGACCACGGGGACATGCTACGGGATATAGCTTTGGGCTTGGCATAAGGAGTAACTTTGCAGCACTCACTGTCTCAAGATGAGGTGATCTCCCTTGGGAGCTGCTGAATTTGACACTGAGGATACTCAGGCTGTGGCTGGGAGAGTGCGAGGCAGGGGTGTTGCAGGAAGTCCACTCATTGGTAGGTACCACAAATGGAGTGCCTATGAAATCCCTTTAAACCGTGAGCATTCTGTGGTTTAAATGAGCTATATTCTGATTCTGTGCTCTTCTTTATTGTGAGATTCATAAGTAGGCTTAGAGAACTAGAGAAATTAATTGGAGTCCAGCCAAGGGACCGCATTTCCCAGGATGTTCTGTGCAGCCTAGTACTGGTACAGCAGAACTTGTTCCAGGACATAATTCACTGCAATGTAGAGTTATTATTATATTTCTCAAATTCTGTAATACAAAGAGGTTTGATATTTTTTCTATATAATCTAAGTGATTGATTTTTTGCTTTCTTATAAGCAAGGGGTATTTTTAAATTTTGAAGTACGTACTTCCAGAAAGTCTTTATAAATACTTAAAGAGGAATAGAATGAGAAAATCCTGACACCATTAAGGTAAGAGCTAAATAATGAGTTGGTAGGGTGACATATTTGAAACATTTATAAAATAAAATATTCAAAATAAATTACATTTTTCATATTATTACTACGAATTCTTACAGAACTTCAATCTAGACTGTAAGCTTCCATGTTAAAGCTGTTTTCCCCTTTCTGAAATGAGCATGCTCAGCAGTTCAGTAGGCATTGCCTGCAGTAACACTGCACTAGATGGCAGTGTTACATAGAACTTGATAAAAGCTTTAACTCCTCTAAAATAAGTTATTAAATGGGGATCATATGGTGAAACATTTTTGTAATAAATAACAGAATGGTATTATACTTTATACAAACACCTTTAACAGTTTGATACCCTGTGACTATTTCATAAAGGCGTGTGCTGTAGTTAGAATTAAAAACTGGTATTGTGTATGTGTGTTAATTTTTCCTAAACAACACAATAAAGTATTTTAAACACCACTGGTATAGCAATTGTGAAACTCCTATGATGTAAACCTAAGAATGATTTTTAGTTCTGATTATTCATGGGCTCAGCTCAGCACAGTTCCAAATTTTAACTACGTAAGGTGAGGCAACACACTACTTGGCCCTAATAGTAACATTAAAGAAAAAAATAATCATTATCTGAAAATTATTGAGCTAATCAAAGAGAATTGTAAGCAGATATTTTTATCAAGGGCATATGGTAATATTGTTTGCCATTTTGTGTCTCTTTGAAGTCTTATATGAACCACAGACTGTTTTCACTAGAATGCACATGTATGTAAATGTTAATAAGAAAATAATTGGAATTTAGCAGAGGTGAATATTATGGTCACATTTATAGTCATCAGCTTTTGTCTTCCTAAATAATGCTCCTTAGCTAATTCTTGGGCACAGATCAAGTGTTAGATTTTAATTACTACTTTTTACATTTCTATATCAATGTCCAAGATTATAGTGGTATCAACAACAAGTAGAATATTTTCAAAACCCAGAAAGTAAGTAAGTAGGGAACGAGAGTTTGTACTTAGAAACATAGTTAGATAGAAATTGATGGTTGATGGTGTGGACATGCACATGAGTTCTGAAGAAGAATAAAAATAAGGAACAGGAAGCTGAACTGTAAAAGATGATTTTCAGTACATTGCGTACTTTTATTAACTTAGAAAATATGCTAATCTTTTATGGTAAATTATGGAGGAAGTCAATTTCAGTCATGTTTTAGGAGAAGAAAGAATTTCCAAAGTGAGGAAGAGAATAGCTTGACACTTCCTTGTATAAAGTAGCCACTTAGTAAATGTTTGGGTATTTATGCATGCATGAATGAATGAGAGAATTCTACCTCATATTTTACAAGAGCAATCGGCTCTTTTCTGATTTCCCCAATCTTTTTGCATTCTCTTTTCCTCTTGTTAAATTATTTGTTGAGCACCTACTTTATGATAAGCCTTGTTCTGGGCTCTGAGGATCCTGCACTGATCAAAGCAGACAAAATCTTTGTCCTCATCGACTGTACATTGTAATTGAGGGTAAAAGACAGTAAACAAAATAAAAATTTGTAATATATATATGCCAGATCATGATCTGTGTTGTACAAAACTAAATAAACTAGGGAAGGGAATGCCAGGGTGTGAGTGGGATTGCAGTTTTAATAATTCTAGTAAGGAAAAGCTTCAGAAATCAGGTAATATTTGAGCAAAGACCTGAAGGGGTCAAGGTGTGAGCTATGTGGAGATATTGGGGAAAGTATTCCAGATATCAGAGACTGCCAGTGCCAAGGCCCTCAGGTGGAGATGGGACCATCCCGTACGTGGACAGCTGGAGCAGAGTGATGGGGGGATGGGGTGTGGGAAGATAGCAGGAGATGAGGCCAGGGAGGTAAGAGTGGTCACTGTCCTGTCAGGCCATTGTACTAATTTTGGCCTTTAATCAGGGCATTCGGGAGCCATTGCATGATGCTTTGGGAGATGAAGTCATGTTGGCCTGTGCTTTCTTTTCATTGTTTCCCATTCTTTTTTAAAAAAGCACTTAATCATTTTATACATACTTAGAGTTTTTAAATTGTTTTTCACTTCTGCTTCTCAGGTTATCAAATTCTCCCTCAGGGTAGTCTGTTGTTTCTTAGAGTTTTAATTTTTTATTGTGAACTCATTTTCAGTGGTTTCATTTGCTCTTCGAGTCCCCATGTCCCCCAGCTCACAAAAGTATCTCTGTTGAGGGATTTTGTGTTTACTACTGCTGGGTCCTGAGGGGTTTTTGTTGCCTGGATTAGCTTTTATATTATTTTCTTACCTTAGAGCTCCCAGACCATTCAAGTGGGGGTAAATCTAGGCCACAAATTCAGGTATGATGTTGGCCTTAGATTTTAATTTTTTGTTAGGACTGTTTGATCTTTTTGTTTCCAAGGCTTTTAATGTAAGCTAACTTTCTTTGTTGTTTCAGCAGACTATAAATGGAATATTTTTAGTCTTCTCTCTAAAAGACAGTGATCTTTGATGGTCTGGGCTCAGTCCCAGCTCTCTTTCCTTGAGCTGCTTAAGGTCACCTCTTTTAGCTCTACTAGACCTAAAAATCCCAGCCCTCAACTCCAGGGGCTTGTATCTAGGTCAAGTGCCTTGTGGGCCACTAAAGCAGCCCATATTTTAATTTCTATCTTTGTTTCTGATATCTGGGTTCATTAGAGAAATTTTTAAGCATGTATAAGAAAGGAGAGAACACTGTAATGAACCCCATGTTTCAACATCACCCACTTTCAACACTGATCAACTCATGGCCACCTTGTTTTATCTATATCCTTAATCTTAAGCCATTCTCATGGGCCTGTGACAGACTCTCTTTGGCATATAAACCCAGGAGCAGGAATGTAGGGTCATAGGATATATGAGTGTCTTAGTAAACTCGTGCTGTCATAGAGTGGGTGGCTTACACAGAAATTTATTTTCTCACAGTTTTGGAGGCTAGAAGTCCAAGATCAGGATGTTGGCATGGTCAAGTTCTGGTGAGGGCCTGCCGTCTTCCTGACTTGCAGATGGCCACCCTCTTGCTGTGTCCTTACATGGCTGAGAGAGCTCACTTTGGTCTCTCTTCCTCCTCTTACAAGGGCACTAATCTCATCATGGGGGCCCCACCCTCATGACCTCACCTAAACCTAATTGCCTCCCAAAGGTCCTACCTCCAAATACCACCACATTGGGGGCTAGTGCTTCAACATATGAATTTAGGGGTGGGGGGAGACAAAGTTCAGTGCACAGCAGCATGTATATTGTGTGTGTATGTGTACATTGTGAGTCTGTGTGTGTATCTGCTTTACTCTCTATTCCATTGGTCCGTGTGTCTGTTCATGCTCTAGTATTTTTAGCCATTTTGTTTTTGTAGTATGTATTGATATCTAGTAGAACAGGTTACTCTTTTTTTTTTTTTGGTTCATCTTTTCAAGATTAACCTAACTATTCTTCTGTATAAATTTTAGAGTAAGTTAATCAGTTATCTTTAAAAATTCAGCTGGAATTTGAGATATTAATATTTTCTTTTATCTCTTCTATTAGTATACCTATTAATATATTTTATAACTTGAGGTTCATCTTTTCTAAAAATGTTGCTTTCCTAGTTGGTAATATTATTCAGTTTGTTTCTTTTTTGTTGCGACTGTGTTCTAAGGTTGCCTAGTGATTTTGGCCTCTTAGCTCATGTTTCCCTGAAAGGTGTTAAACCACTTTGGCAGAGTCAGATTAGGTTAAGAGGGGCAGTGAGCACCCAGGATAGAGAATCCACAGCCACTGCAGGACCTTTGTGATCCACTCCTGTTTGGTGAGGTTCCAGAGGTGTCTTGGCTAGTGAGGGATTCATTTTTAAACTCTCAGAAATTAGCAGTATTGAGAGTAAGCGGTTTCTTTATATGGTAGTTTGCCTGTCCTGGGGGAAAGGAAAGATGTAGAGGAAGAAATGATTAAGGAAATGCTATCTCTTGGTAGGTACCTACCTCTTAAGGTAGGTACCTTGCAGTGTGGCTGTTGATGAATTTAGTGTTGATCTGATTATTAATACTTTGTGACAGTTTTGATGAGGTGCTTTGGAGTGATGAATCCAAGCAGATTCATCCATTTGGGTTGTACACTTGGTGTGGGCCCTGTCAAACAGGTGATCCCTGTATTTCTCTTCTTGAATTTTTCCTGAATTATTTTGATCACCTCCTCTTCCATTTTTCTCAGTTCTTTCTGGAAATCCTATTACCTAGATGTTCAGTCTCCTGGACAGGTCCAGTTTTCATCTTTTTTTTTTTTTTTCCTGCTTTCTTTCTCTGTGTTTTTGCTCTCCTTGCTGGGAGGTTTCCTGGGTTCTACCTTGCAATTATTCTAATTAATATTTTAAAATAAATTTTTATTGAGGTATAAATGTATATATCTTGAGTCCAGAGCTCACAGACTTTTTACAAAGTGACACCTTCTAAGCACCATCCAGTTGAAGAACAGAATGTGACCCACTCCCTAAAAGGTCCACTTTTGCTACCTTACAGTTACTCCTTCCTCCCAGAAGTCTACACTGACTTTTAACACCCTGATCTAGTTTTGTCTGTTTTTAAACTTTACATAATAGAGATGTGGACTCTTCTGTATCTTGCTTATTTTTTTCAGTATTCTGTTTAGTTTCACCTGTGTTGCTGTATGTACCTGTAGTTAATTTTTTTTCCATTATTGGTATAGTATTTTGGTGTGTGAATACCACCATCTATCCATTCTACTGCTTTTTTTTTTCTTGAGATAGGGTCTTGCTCTGTTGCCCAGGCTGGAGTGCAGTGGCATGATCACAGCAGCCTCGACCTCCTGGGCTCAAGTAATTCTCCTGCCTCAGCCTCCCCAGTAGCTGAGACTACAGATGCACTCCACCAGGACTGGCTAGTTTTTTTTATTTTTAGTAGAAACAAGGTCTTGCTATGTTGCCCAGGCAGGTCTTGAATTCATGAGCTCAAGTGATCCTCCTGCCTTGGCCTTCCAAAGTGTTAGGATTACAGGCATGAGGCACGTGCCTGGCCTCATAATACTGTTAATGTTAATGGACATTGGGATTGTTTATAATTTGGGAATAGTACAAATACTGTTATTATGAATATCCTTTTTCCTTTTCTTTTCTTTTTTTTTTTTTTGAGACAGGGTTTCACTGTTGCCCAGGCTGGAGTGTGGTGGCACGCAGTCATGGTTCACTGCAGCCTCAACTACCTGGCCTCAGGTGATCCTCCCACCTCAGCCTCCCAAGTAGCTGGGATTACAGGTGCGCACCACCACTCCCAGCTAATTTTTGTATTCTTTGTAGAGATGAGGTTTCTCCATGTTGCCCCGGCTGGTCTCAAACTCCTGTGCTCAAGCAGTCCTCCCACCTCCACCTCCCAAAGTGCTGGGATTATAGATGTGAGCCACTGCATGCAGCTTGAATGTCTTTGAACATGTCTTTTGTTGCATATATGTATGCATTTCTGCTGGGTATGTACCTAGGAGTGGAAAGCAGAATCATAGTGTATACATATGTTTAGATTTGGAAGATACTGCTAGTTTTCCTGTGGGTCAGGCATTTAAGAGCAGTTTAGCTGGGTGATTCTGGCCTAGAGTCTCTCATGTGGTTGTACTCAGGATGTCAGGGACCACAGTCATCTTCAGGCTTTACTGGGATTGGAAGACTCACAGTGCTGTTGGCAGGAAGCCTCAGCTCCTCACCACGGAGCTGCCTCCTGACATAGCAGCTATTACAGCTTCCCCCAGGTGAGTGGTCCAAGAATGTTGCAGTCCTTTTAATTTTAGTCATTCTAGCAGATGTGTGGTGATATATTTTTGTGATTTCAGTTCACATTTCCTTGATGACAAATGAGATTGAGTAGGTTTTCATTTATTGGTTTGTTGTTTTGGTTTTCTTAAAAATATTTATAACCTATTTTAAATTTTTATTAGCTCTTTATTTTTTGAATATTCATTTTTCCTGACATCCTGTTTTCATTTTGTGGATGCGATATTTTTTATCCCTCTCATATTGAGGATAGTTTCTTCACTACCTGCCTCTTCTACCCACCCCCCAGGTTTTATTTCTCTACACAGTTTATGTTTCTTCTGAGTTCCTTTTTACCTCTTTGTTTTCTGCTTTTGATGTCAGGAGTTTTCCTTACATATCTCTAAGCCTTTGATTATCTGTTTGGATTTAAGATCCAGCTTTTTAAAAGCTGATTGGAGTCTCGGGATGAGGTCCTCGATGACCATGGGCTCTGTCATAAGGTCCCCTGGTGAGGATGTTTGGGAATGCCAGTGTCAGGATCTGTGCATTTGTTTCTTCCCTGCTCACCACCAATGGGTTGGTCAGATTCCCCAGATCATACTCTCCACTCTAATACCTGTAGGGTGTAAGCCTGGGAGTCTTAACATTTACTAATAAACCTTGACTTGAGTGGACAAATTTTGATTTTTAGTATTGTATTTGTACTGTCAGTGGTGTCTGTGAGTCCCTCCAGTCTCAAGACCTTCCGTTTTTCTGCTTCTAAATAATAAATCTCCAGCCATCTGCCAAGATGGGGAGAGGCAGTGAGGGGTGTTTTCCAACGCTAACAAGTAGTACTCCAGTTCTTCTGAGTGTCCAGCAGTTCAATTCAGTTCTGACACTTTCTACCTGGAGTTAGTATCAGATCCTACAAGTCAAAGAGCTCAGTCTCAGAAGACTGTCTCCACTTCAGATGCCAGTCACACGTTTCAGGACATCTGTTCTTCTGACTGACCCGCTGTAAATTGGGGGTTCCCACAAGGTCTGTACCCCCACCAGGTCTGATACATTTGCAGGAACGTCTCACAGAACTCAGGAACGTATTTTACTTACGTTTATTGGTTTATTATAAAGGATACAACGCAGGAACAGCCAAATGGAAGGGCAAGGTGCGAGGGTGGGTGAGAGTGCACGGAGCTCTCGTGCCTTCTGTGGGCACCCCACCCTCTCAGCACTTCCATGTATTCACCAACCCAGAAGCTGTCTGAATTTCACTGCAGAAGAGTTTTTATAGGGCTCCATCTCCCACCACCCCACTTCCTGGAGGCTGGTGGGTGGTGCTGAAAGTTCCACCCCTCTAGTCACTTGGTCTTCCTGCTGGTCGGCCAGCTCCATCTGAGGCTATCCAGGGGCTCTACCTAAATAACCCATTAGGGTAAATTCAGATGTGGTTGAAAGGGGCTCATTATGAAGAAGAAAAGGCACTTCTGTCACTTAGGTGATGCCGAAGATTTTTTGGGAGCCAAACACCAAATACATTTTTGTAGAATACCACAGCCAGCCAGCAGGTGGGTAGAGTTCAGGGGGTGGCTGTGCAGTGCTCTGCCTTCCTCTTAGCACTTCTGGAAAGCCCTGGCCCTGCAACCTTTGGGAAGTCAAATGTTAATCAGGTTGCCTCTCAGATTTCACCACTGGTGGCTTAGTATTTGGTTTTCTCAGGTTTGCCAAGATAGCTACCCTGTATAGTGTTGCTGTTTTCTAACTTAGAAAAATTTTTAGGATCATCTACTCTTCATCTTTGTGGGCTTATACCTTTAAAAAAAATCCTTTTAATGTCACTCTTATGAGATTTTAGGAAAGAACAGAGGAGATAAATATGTATGTTCAAACTACCATCTTTAAAAGGCAATATTAAGGCCAGGTGCAGTGGCTCATGCCTGTAATCCCAGCACTTTGGGAGGCCGAGGCAGGTAGATCACCTGAGGTCAGGAGTTCGAGACCAGCCTAACCAACATGGAGAAACCCCGTCTCTACTAAAAATACAAAATTAGCCGAGCATGGTGGCACATGCCTGTAATCCCAGCTACTAGGGAGGCTGAGGCAGGAGAATCGCTTGAACCTGGGAGGCGGAGGTTACAGTGAGCCGAGATCACACCATTGTACTCCAGCCTGGGCAACAAGAGGGAAACTCCATCTCAAAAAATAAATAAATAAAATAAAATAAAAGGCAATATTGGTTTTTAAAAAGGTGTGTGTTTTAAGAATACTTGCAGTTGTGAAATCATTTTTTTCTCCATTGATAGTTACCTCTACAATCATTCAGACATTTTATTAAGGCCATTTTACATTGTGTCATCCTCCAGCATCACTCTCTTACTTGAAATAAAATAGGCCTTGTAATCACTGTGCTCTATTGTCTCACTTTCTGGGCCTACTTACTGGGGCTTTGAGTATTTCAGGCACTCTTGCCCCATCCCCTCTGTCACCACCCGCAAGCCTCATCAAGCCTCTAATCTGGAGGTGGGTGGTGGTAAATGAGCAAGAGGGAACTTGCTTAGTCTCGGGATCCATCTGTAGGAACATAACGTTCTTCTAATATCTGCAGATACCCAGTTTCTGCAGGATAAATTTCCTCATGGTCTCCCCATAGAAGGGCCTTTCCTGCTGTTCTCGATGAGCAGATTAATGTAGGGCACAGGTCTTACCTTCTCCATGTTTTCCAGTTCTGCCTCTTGCATTGCACAGGATAAAGCTTTCCAGGACTAGGCACAGATAATTTCGGAAGCTAAGAAATAGCTGTGATGGTGACACCAACATTATTCTGTGGATTAATTTGGTTATTTAGACCTATTTAAAAGAATCCATTATAGGTATTTTATGTAATATTTTTCTTAAATTTGTAGTCCTGTGTGTGGCTTTCATTTGGGCTATGCTATTATTAATTAACTGTTACCACATTATTAATACATGTGGCAATAGAGTTGGTACCAGGCAGTGGTATTCACTTTCTCGGGCGCGTGAAGGGATTGCCTGTCTGGAGGTGAGGGCTAGTCAGAGAGTAGCAGCACACCTACAATCATCTGTGGTCATCTCGAATTGCAACCGTTGGAGTATTTTTAAGGGAAGTGGGTATTGTGGGCAAAGTTAGCAATAAGTGACAGTTAGCTTTCTAAATTATTGTGTCTCTGCTTTGAATTTGGGCTAAATAGCCAACATATAAATAATCATCATAGCTTGAAAAATGATCAGTGTCTTTAAAAGTGAAAAAAAGTGATATTTCTCAACCTAAAAATAGGACTACCTGGATCTCCAAATTTGAAGCGATCACATTAACATGTTTGGAATAATAGATTAGATAAGTTGAATGGATAGATATTTTAGATATCTTCTCTCCTTTAATTCCTATTTAAAAAATAAACTTTGTTGATAGGGTTATATCTGTTTTACTGGTACGAAAACATTTTTAGAGAGACTAAGAAATCTGTCCAGGAACATATAACTCAGTTGAAATTTTAACCTACATCACTTGAATCTAAAACCGCCATGCCTCCAAGTCAAGGTAAAGCAACAGAAACTGTCAGGCTTATGGTTCCTCATGATCATCAGTTTGCAGAGAATTATATTTCTGAGTATTGATTATAACAAATGTGTGTGAATGTTGACTTTCCTTCATGAGTTACTCAGTATTTATACTGAGAAAAGTAGACTTTAGTCTGCTGTTGTGTAGCCAAAGCCTTTGGATTTTAAGCTGTTCCCTTTCTCCTTCCTTTTCCCACCTCCCTCTCGGCTTGCCACCTCTTTTCTCCTTTTCCCCCTTTTCTTACCCCTTTATCTCCCCTGCTTTTGCACTGATCCCCACTCCTCTTCCCCTCCCAACAGTACCTACTGGTTTGGTTAGCCCTACCGGGGATTTTAGTAAATAAATACTTAAATGCTTGAATGTGATTGCACAGAGCAAAGTTGACTAATAAAAAGTTGATCAAAATTTGTATCTAGAATGAAGGATGTGAGAGAATAAACTGCCACCATTCAAGTGTTTCAAGAGAAGCTTAAAGGTAATTTTTTGCAGAAGCTGTCTTTGACTACCCCCACCCTCAGACTAGGTCACAGTCTCTTGTGATATGCTTTCTTAGAACATTTTTCTTTCTTATAGCACTCATCACTATAGATAGTAAATAAGATGTAACAAATGATTTGATACCTGCCACCTCCACTAGAATACAGACTTTGTGCCAGGAGGAGACTGTGTTAGTTTGTCTCACTAATGATGCCTCACTGCCTTAGCCTGTTCAGGCTCCTCTAACAAAATGCCCTAGACTGTGTGACTTATAAACAACCGAAATTTATTTCTCACAGTTCTGGAGGCTGAGAAGTCCAGGATCAAGGCACTGGCAGATTTGGTGTTTGGGGCTGTCTTTTCGTGGTGTCCTCACATGGCAGAAAGCAGAGAGTTCAATGGGTTCCCTTTTATAAGGGCACTAATCCTATTTGTGAAGACTCTACCCTCATGACCTAATCACCACTCAAAAGCCCCACCTCCTAAGAGCATCACACTGGGGGTTAGGATTTTAACATGTGAATTTGGAGAGGACAGAAACATTCAGTTGATAGCACTTGGTTAGCATAGTGGCTCCCACATAGTGGACACAACTGTGAGATGGATGGATTGATAGAGCAAATAGATTAATGAAAAGTATTTGATCTTTTGATTTCATCTCCTTTGGTTTGGACTATTGCTGTAGCCTCCTAACTGTTCTCCCTGTCACCATCTCAATGCCATCATCTGCACTGCCCCACTCCCCTAATTTTATCTACAAAGGAGATCTGGTCTTATTCCTTTACACCTTGAGAAATCTCCTATGGCTTCCTCCTGCTGTTTTATAAAGTTTAACTTGCTTGTGACACACCTCAGAGCTCCAGCCAATCTTCCCAGCCTCATTTTCTGTCATTCCTTCCTTGTACTCTGCATGTCAGCTAAATTGCATTACTCACTACTGCCTGTCACGCATACATCATTACAGATTTCTCTGGATTCATTTATTACGACAATTGTGGTTACAACATCCCTTCTCCCCTTTGCTTGACAAACTTCTACCAAGAAAACAAGGAGAACTTCAAGTGTCCCCTTGGGTAGCTCTGCTCCACGAAACCCTGCTCCAGCCAGAGTTGGAATTAACCTCTCCTTCCTTCTTGCTCCCAGTTAACTTTGTGCTTGTAAGTTATGTGAAACATTCATTACTTGAGATGGTAATTATTTACCTAATTGACCACTCTCTCAACTGGATGCTTTTGAAAGAGCAGGATCTTACTCTCTCTTACAGCTCCCTCAGCATGGAGTAGTGAAGAGTGTTCTTTAATACCAAAGGGACAAAGAAAGCTGACTGGGATCGGTCTGCCACATGCTAGTTGCTTCAGTTATTTTTTTGCACTAAATTATTGTGTCTCTGCTAATGTCCTTTTTCCTTTCTTCCTTCCCTCCCTTCTTCCTTCCTTCTTCTTTCCCTCTCTCTCTCTCTCTCTCTCTCTTTCTCACTCAGTAAGCTACCTCAAATCTGTTACTTAAGAGAAAAATGTAGGCTGGGCGTGGTGGCTCACGCCTGTAATCCCATCACTTTGGGAGGCCGAGGCAGGCAGATCACTTGAGGTCAGGAGTTTGAGACCAGCGTGGCCAACATAGTGAAACTCCATCTCTGCTAAAAATACAAAAATAAGCCAGGTGTGTTGGCGGGCACCTGTAATCCCAGCTACTTGGGAGGCTGAGGCAGGAGAATAGCTTGAACCCAGGAGGCAGAGGAGGTTGCAGTGAGATGAGATCACACCATGGTACTCCAGCCTGGGTGACAGAGCGAGACTCCATCTCAAAAAAAACAAAACAAAACAAAACAAAAAAAAACAACAGCAACAACAAAAAAGTATAAAAGTTGAATTTCACATTTGGGTTCAGTGATTTTTTTTTTTAAGGATTGAAATGTGGACTTATAAAATCATTTCCAGCATCTTACCTAAGAGAGAAGCATATAATCCATTCATTCTTATATTCACAAGATATCTCCTTTCTCAACCAAAAAGTTCTCACACTTTGGGCTCAGTTCAGTATTTGGGTGTTGGATACCATGTGTCCGGCATTGTACTTGGTACTATGTCACCTTGGTAGTCAGCAAGCACACGCCAGGCTCATCCCAGACACTCTGCAGGTGTGCCACTTTCTCTCCTTAGAACAGCCCTGGAAGGTGAGAACTCGCATCTACTTTGAGGAAACAGGCTCAGAAACCTTCAGCGCTATTTTCTATAAATTGATAAAAGAAAAATCATGATGTTAGAAGATACATAACAAGAGGAAGAGGCTTTTCTTGTCTCACTTATGTCTTGACATTGCCTGAGGACTGATTAGGAACTGAGATTGCCAATCATTTTAACAAGATTTTAGTAATGTTTGAAGATCTGTGCCTTCTGAATCAAAGTGGCGTGCAGAGGTACTTACCTTATGGATTGCTGGCTAATTGTGAAAGGAGACTCAGGCTTTTAACACTGCAGGAATTTCAAACTGCGGTCTCAGTGGCCAGAGTGTCTTACCAGGGAGCAGACCTAATGTATCCAGTTTAAAAGGGCGTGTAAGCTGTTGCCAGAAGTCTACATGAAGCCACATGATAAGTGATTTTGTATTTGAACATGAAGGGCAGTGGCATCATTGACCTAAGCTAGAGTTTCCTCACCCTCAGCACTTTTGACATTTTAGTTGCATAACCCTTTGCGGTGGGGGCGGTCCCGTGCACTGCAGGGTGGCTGGCAGCATCACTGGCCTCCACCCAGTGTATGCTGTTAGCAAAACCTCCTTTCCCCAGTCTTACCCCAGTCATGACAACTAAAAATGTCTCCAGATAATGCCAAATGACACTTGGGGGGCAAAATCACCCATGATGGAGAGTCATGACATGCATGATGCTGGGTGGTAGATAGAACCCTGGAAAGAGTTAGCCCACACCCTTGAGGAGCTCATGACCTAGGAAGCTTGTTGAGAACTTTTGACTAGGTAGAATATTTCTAGTAGTTGACTGAAATAGCTTTGGTTGAGGCTATTAGTAAAAATTTGTTTTAAAGAGGTTTAACATCTGTTTTCATTTCTGCTTTTCTGAGTTGCTTTGCTGCTCAATTCCTTTTATTTTAGCTGTCTTCCTCTTGGGACTTCAAACATTTGAGTGTGTCAAAATTTCCAGTCTAATAGGAAATATGTTTTGTTCAAAAAGAAATAAAGATATTTATAACTGTTGGGCTAGAATGATGGAAGTTTAACGCTGGTTAAGTGAGACTCAGGTAACAGACAGCAAAGGAGATACTTTAATAGTGAAGGGAACTTGAAGTCTGGTTGTATTCAAGATTCACTTCCTGTTCTTGTTTATCACTGGAAAGTTGCACCTTGTGAAAGATTTTAGATTTAGATCATTGTATTGTTCTAAGAAAAAAAATTCAAAATGCTAACCATGTCTTGGTAACTATAGCAAAATATACAGCACACAAAAATAATCTCATACCTGTCTTAGGGTTGGATTTTTTGGTATATGTTATGTGTTGAGTTCTGAAATATCTAATGTGCTTGAAATCTAATGTGCTTTTGTTATCTGAACTAAAGGAAAAAGGCTTTGTCAGTTACAAGAGAATAGGCATCCCTGTTTTGGCTGGATTGTTAGTTGAAGTAATAGAATGAATTCTGGCTGATTCAGCAGAAAGGGAATTTATTAAAGTAGCTCAGAGAATATTTAGGAAGGCAAATAATCAGTCATGGGTACACCAGAGCTAGAATCAACACTTTACAGTTCTCTCTCCTAAAATTATTTTGTTTACTTACTTAATGTTTAATATTGGCTTCTAGGATGTAGGATTCAGAGAGCAACTTGGTCTGTGTGGTTTTCAGCTGTTATTCCAGTGTGTAGAATAGCAGCTGGTTCATAGAGACACTTGATAATTATTTGCTGTATAAATAAATGACAATACCAAGGATAGGTTTGTTAATATCAGTGACAATATGAAGGAAAAATATGGAGTAACATTATGAAATGTTAACATTACGCATTCCATTTGGAGATTTTTTTTTGACAGCAGGATTTACCCTTTCTCTTAAGAAATCTTAATAAATTTATATTGAACAATTTTGTACCGTAGAGCCTTGTTTGACATATGTTCCTGATTTAAATGAATAGCCAGATTTAAATGAATAGCCACAAGCAGACTTGCAAGAGTAGATGTTGCTATTGCTGTGTTCTACATGAGAAAGCTGAGGGTCTGAGGATTGAGTCACTAAGTGACGGCTACTTAAGTGGCAAGCCTGGATGGAAACTCATGCCTGTCTGAATTGTGGCTCAGACATTTCCTTAATGCCTTAATGCCACCTTTTTTTTTTTTTTTTTTTTTTTTTTTTTTTTTTTTTTTGAGACTGAGTCTTGCTCTTTTACCCAGGCCAGAGTGCAGTGGTGCTATCTCGGCTCACTGCAGCCTCTGCCTCCCGGGTTCAAGCTATTCTCCTGCCTCAGCCTCCTGAGTAGCTGAAATTACAGGCGTGTGCCACCACGCCCAGCTAATTTTTGTATTTTTAATAGAGACGGTGTTTCACCATGTAGGTCAGGCTGGTCTCAAACTCCTGACCTCGTGATCTGTCTGCCTTGGCCTCCCAAAGTGCTGGGATAACAGGCGTGAGCCACCACGCCTGGCCAATGCCACTTTATTTTTAAAGGTAAAACAGTCTAGTTAATGGTCACTATAGCAGGAAGCAACTTGAGCATTTTAACTTGCCAGACTGAGGCTGTGTATTTCAACTTTAGCAATGTAAATGTCCAAAGACAACTTATATGATTGTATTCAAACTTTGCTGCTAAAATAAGAAGTACAAATAAACACACAATGCAAAGAAAAAAAGTTCCAATTGGGGGGAAGTGCCCCCATGAATGGGGCCTGAAGAAGCACTATATGACACTCCAGTTATTTAGCTATTACTTGTATTTTCATTTAATAGACTGAAGAAACTGCTGTTTCTTTTCAGTAGCTACCAAATGCTGCCACTTATGTTTTATACTTTTTGAAAATTTTAAAATAGTTCTGGTTTATAGAAAAGTTGCAAGGATAAAACAAAGAACTCCCATATACCCTAAAACCAGATGCCCCCGTTATTAACATTTTCCGCATTTGCTGTTATCATTTTCTCTCTACACAGTATTTTTTCTGAATCATTTGAAAGCAAGTTGTAGACATAATGTCCCTTTGACTCCAAAATACCATGAGTATGTATTACTTTATTCACATCTGGCAATTGTCCAAATAATGTCCTTTATGGCAAAAAGGAAAATCAAAATTCTAGTCCATCGTCTGGTTCAGTATTACATGTTGCATTTCATTGGTACATCCCCTTACTGTTTAATCCGGACTGTTCCTCAGTCTGTCTTGGGCGACCTTGGCATTTTTGAAGACTGTAAGCCAGGACTTACAGAAAACGATACATATTCTAAGGCTGCTGGAAAATTAAAGTTTGTGAAGGTGAAGCAGTAGATGAAAATAATGTGTAGTTTTCGTATTTCTCTTGGAATAACATTTTATAACTTTTTCATGAAAAATTTCAGTGACACAAGCAGAGAGAATAAAATGAGCCCTATTACCCAGATTCAGTAATTAACATTTTTGCTATCCTCTTTCCATTCCCTGGCATTTTAAAAGTATTTTGAAGCAATTTCCAGACATCATAATATCATATTTCATATTTCAGAAAGCTCTAAAATGGCATTTCTTATATAACCATAATGTTACCTTACCTAACAAAATTATTCATAATTCTGTAATATTATTTACTACTGAAACTACTGTTTCCACATTTATCCTATTAGCTTGGAAATGCCCTTTTACATTTGCTTTTGCATTCGATTGTGGTGTGTCTTAAGTAGCTGCTGCTGCTGCTGCTGCTCCTCCTGCTCCTCCTCTTCCTCCTCTTCTTCCTCCCTTTGGTAGAGTATTTTTGTACTTTATTAGAATGGTATGGTGGGTATACTAGATTAACTGGCTCATTATTTATTATTACCTTTCTTCTTTTTTTTTTTTTTAAGAGACAATTGTCTTGCTCTGTCACCCAGGCTGGAGTGCAGTGGTGCGATTGTAGCTCACTGTAACGTCAAACTTCTGGGCTCAAGGGATCCTCCTGCCTTAGCCTCCTGAGTAGCTAGGACTACAGGCATGTGCCACCACGCCCAGCTAATTCTTAATTTTTTATAGAGACAACGTCTCGTTATGTTGCCCAGGCTGGTCTCAAACTCCTGGCCTCAAGTGACCCTCCTGCCTTGGCCTCCCAGAGTGTTGGGATTATAGGCATGAGCCACCATGCCCGGCCAGCTGGCTCATTATCTGTTCCAGGGTTCTCCTAGTGTACTTCCCATAAAGCAGAGGTTGGAAAGCTGAATGCTCTATTTCTTAAACTCCCTTGCCTGGAGTTCTGGATATGATTTAGGTTCCATTATTCAGAAAAACGTGTGGCTCTTGAATTCAGTATGAGCCAAGGCATATGAGATAGCCATTTTCCTGGTGCAGTTCTACACATCCAACGGGGTGCCAGAGTTCACAGTTCAACTCCCTGAAACTCCCTGATCCCTAGACTCTGCCAAAGTGGTTTGACCTTGGAGCTCACAGTTGATGTAATTAACTTTTGTGATTTCCCAGCTGCCTCAGTGTGTCAGAGGAAACAGTTCTCCTGGTAGACCAGTCCTTATGTGTTCCAGGAGTCTATTCCTGGAGGCGCTGGATCTGGCCTTCTAGCCTTTTCAGCAATTGTATAAGCACCGAATTCTGTGTACTAAATCTGCTGCCCAAAATAGCTGACAAGATTTCTGTTATCTATAACTGAACCTTGGCTGACAGAACTGCTAATCAAAAGAATGTAACATTTATATTTGACTTCAAATGTATATATACAAAGCAACATACCTGGATCTGAAACATTTAGATTTGAACTGGGACATAGTTCTTCCTTGTGGTCCTTTGTGTTAGGAGATCAAGTTCCTCAAAGAACATTGTGTGTGTGTTTATGAAGCCTTGCTGATCTTTTCATGTGGCTTTCTGGTATAACCTATTCTTTGCTGGTGACTTTGTTACCACCAGCCATCTCTTATTAGGACTTCTTTTTTTTAATATTTATTTATTTTTAATTTTTTTCCCACTTTTAGGTTCGGGGGGTACATATGCAGGTTTATTACATGGGTAAATTGTGTGTCACTCAGGCTTGGGGTACAAATGAGCCCATCACCCAGGTAGTGACCATAGTACCCCATATGTGGCTTTTCAACCTCCATCACCCCACACTCCCCCAACAAGCAGTCCCCAGTGTCTATTCTGTTGTTCCTATCTTCGTGTCCATGTGTATTCAATGTTTAGCTCCCACTTATACGTACAAACATGCAGAATTTAGTTTGCTGTTGCCACGTTATTCTTAGGACTCCTTGAAGGTCTGCTGAGACTCCCCTCACATGTAACCTTAGAATGTGGCCAGTGCGCGTCCCATTCTCCTATGATTTGAATTGCTGTGCTTAACTGATTGGAGATGGAGACTGGTAACTGTGTCTCAGTTCTTTCTGAATCCATCCCTGAATTTCTGCCTCTACCCCCGATGTAACAAGAGTAAGGGCATGTGTTAGAGAACATACTTACCATTTTTAGAAATTTATTACAGAAATTTTCAAATATACATAAATACAGAGAGAATGGTATAATGACTACCATGTACCCATCACCTTTTAATCATTTTTTCAAACACACAAACTTCAAATAATTTGACAGTTGGATCCCTAATGGGACACTGGTTTCCATTTTTCATTTTACCATGTGGTTCCTAAAATCTGCATGGTGTTAGCCTGCAGTGTCCCTCAACCCTGCCCTTGCCTCAGATTTGCCAGTATCTCTACGGGCCTCCCCAGAGGCCTGAGTGTCAGGTGCAGGCACAGGCAGGTACCAGGTTTCAAGTAGAGCTCATAGGAGATTGTTGGGACTGAGAACCAGGATTGCCTTGATCTCTTGTCACATGTGTATCAGGCCTGTGGGTCTGTTTTGATAATGTCGTCTTCTTAACTGCTGTTCTTTTTTTTTTAAATTTTGAGACAGGGTCTCACTCTCACCCAGGCTGAAGTGCAGTGGCACGATCATGACTAACTGCAGCCTTGACTTGCTGAGCTCAGGTGATTCTCCCACACCAGCCTCAGTTCTTTCTGAACCCATCCCTGAACTTCTGCCTCCACCCCATGTTGTAACAAGAGTAAGGAAAAATATCTTTCTTTCTTCTTTTTTTTTTCTTTCTTTTTTTTTTTTTTTTTTTTTGGTAGAGACGAGGTTTCGCCATGTTGCCCAGGCTGATCTCCAATTCCTGGGCTCAAGTGAGCCTCCTGTCTCAGCCTGCCAAAGTGCTGGGATTATAGGCGTGAGCCACCACGTGCAGCCTTAACTGCTGTTCTTTTAACAAACCAATAATGTTCAACTTTAGGACCTTCTTGCCCTTGCTCCCTTACTGGGGAAAATAATAAGCAATAATACATGAAATGGCACTTGCATATACTTTCATTACTCTCTTGAACATATAATATATGATATGCTAAAACATACTGTTTGCATTTATTTTTATAGGCTAATATAGGCAGTAACCTTATACATTTTTACTATGTAGCCCCTGCCAAAAAATTTGATACTTCATGCCAGGACTTGATGGGAAAATTGTGGGACTGCTGCCCTCAAGCAATAAGAACGTATCAAAATGTTACTTTTTTTAGATTAGGTCTCAAACCTTTTGTAGCCTCCATGTAGTTTCATTCTGACACACTTTTTTCTTCTCAAAATCTGCCTGGGAAAAGTCATTCTTGTACAGAAACCAGAAATAAATGTTTTAACACTCTGAGAAAATGGATAAAAGCCAATCAGAAAAGCACTTGAGTTCTTGTTTTGGATCAGTTGCAGTAGGTGCCATGTGGGGCAGAAAGTAACGTGGCCCCTGCTCTGGAGTGGTTTTCAGTTGAGTGGACAGGATGTCTAAGAGCATTACTAACTACGAGAAGCCACACAGTTAGCATGCAGATAGACAACAGCTTTAAAATTTTTGAGGAAGGTGAACTCTTGAAACAAAAAGGAAATAATTTATTGTATTGCCCTCTTAAACAGCTTCTTCTTTCTAACAACTACAGTATTGCCAGGATTTCTCTCCATTTGGATATGCATTATCAGAGATAAAGTAGCATAGCAGTCATATGCTGCTTTTTTACATGTGGAAGGAAATGGAAAAGCTAGTGGTGCTCCTCTTATACTCTCAACAGAAAAGTTTCATTTTGGAAAATAAATCCTGACTGATTTAAATGTCATTCTAATTTCTAATTTAATATATTTTCCATGATTAGCATTTTAGTACCAAGCAAGTATTAGTTATCTGTTGCTGCCTAACAAATTATGACATGTAATAATATCAACCTCTTACCATACTTAAAAACTACAAATCATATAATCTCCTCAGCTAATATTTGATGACCTATAGTCAACATGTATTTTTTGGAGCACTGTCTATGTTCAGGGTGTCATGCCCAGTGCTATCCAGAATAGAAAGAAGGAAAAGCTAGTGTCTCTTCCCCAATGGAGTTTATGTTTCATTTGAGGGATACAAGAATATTGCACATGAAATAATAGACCATAGACCGTACGATGGCTGGCAAAGAGCTTGCCTATTATCTAACACTTACTTCACTGACAAGACAATTGAAGTCTAGAAAGGCTCAAAGACTGGACAAAGTGGGATGGAGCTGGGTTGGAGTCTGACAGAACCAGGCCACCCATCTCCAGGCCAGTGTCTTTTTTCTTCCTTTGTTGTAAGATCTAAATTAAAACTATGTGGCATATACTGTAAAAGCCAGATAAGTTGAGGAAAGGAAGATGGATGGCTTTGAGTAGTCAAAGAAGGATTAAGGGAGGCGGTGTGATTTGGATGTAAGTGTAAACAAGAAGGGGAGGAAGCAGGAGAATCCCACTAGAGAGAACCAAACATTTTATCCACAGGACAGACAAAACCAACTAGACAAACTTGAAAGGCCCATATTGGGCAATGGAGATAAATCAGGTTGGAGGGAGTCGAAAGTGTGGGAGAGGAACTTGGACTTGATGTGGTAGATCATGGGGAACTATTCTCAATCCCTGAGCATGAAATGACACAATGAAAGTGGGATTAAGGAAGATTGTTTGCCAAGAGAACTGGATAGTGTCTGCATTTTTCTTTTCTTACACTCTGTGTATTGGTCTTTTTTTTTTCATTCCAAGTAGGTTAAACACTGTTTTAATCAGAACAGGTTAGCTTATGTTGCAGCCACGAAATAACCCTGAAATCACAGTGGCTTAATCCACAGTGTGTTTCTTGTTTGCACACTTGTCTAATGCAGTTGGGTGGGGCATGGGGTGGGAGTTCTCACTTACTCATTCAGGGACCCAGGCTGACAAAGGTGCCACCATCTAGAACATTGCCAAACACTGTGGCAGAGGAGAATGCCACTCCCTCTCACCTCGGGCTGGAAGTGACACACGCGTCTTTTGCCCCCAACCCATTGGTCAGAGGTAGTCACCTGCTCTTCCTCCCCACCCCCAAGGAACTTGAGGATATTTGGTGAGCAGTGTGTGTCTCTTTTAAGGCTTTCTGAGGACCTGGAACATATCTGTTTATTTGTTTAAGAGAGAAAATACGATGATGAAGAGTGCAGACCATGGAGCCAGACCCCAGAGTGTAGAGCCTGGCTCCCCACTTGCTGACTGTGTGACCGTGGGCAAGTTACTCAACCTCTCTGGAGCATAGTTTCATCATCTGGAAAGTGCGACTGATAAATAGAACAAGCCTCACAGCATTCTTGTGAGATTTGAATGAGCACTTTATATGTAAAGTGCTTAAAGCACTATGCTATATAATTGTTAGCAAGTATTTATTATTGTTAATCTGCTGGCTTCTGGTACAGCATCCTAAAGAAAGGCTAAAGTTTCTGACTCTCATCAAGAGGCCTGGGGGAAAGAGGTTGTAATTAGGTGTGCCAAGGCCAGTGTCTGGACTAGGATGATGGTAGTGGGCAAAGAAAACAGGCAAGGCCGGGCGCAGTGGTTTACGCTTGTAATCCCAGCACTTTGGGAGGCCGAGGCAGGTGGATCACTTGAGGTCAGGAGTTTGAGACCAGCCTGGTCAACATGGTGAAACTCATCTCCACTAAAAATACAAAAATTAGCTGGGTGCAGTGGTGGGCACCTGTAATCCCAGCTGCTCAGGAGGCTGAGGCAGGTGAATCATTTAAACCCAGGAGGTGGAGGTTGCAGTGAGCCAAGATTGCGCCACTGCACTCCAGCCTGGGTGACAGCGAGACACCGTTTCACCACCAAAAAAAAAAAAAAAAGAAAGAAAGAAAGAAAAAGAAAAGATAGGGAAGAGTGCATTTAAGAGGAGAGCACCCAGGTAGGGATTTGTTCACCACCTGAATCCCATGAATGAGAGAAAAGTATCAGATGTGGGTGACAGAGAATGCAGGTAGAGTTTGTAGAGAAATTCAGGGGCTTGAGGGGAAAGGTGAATTGAATTCAGATGTGGTGATGGGGAGATGTCCAAGGCCCTGGAGGACATAGGACAGGGAGGAATGGAGCTCAGGCTACAGGGTGGAACCTCTTACTAACCAAGTTTCAGTAAGTGGTGGCATGAATGCTCCAAGTCAGGCCACAGGTTCTGGGACCGGAGAGTGTGGGATTAAACCGGCTCTGCCACACCATGTGACCTTGTTGCTATAGTTTCCTCATCAGCAAGATGGGGATGATAGTCATACCATGTCTTAAGGTAGTGAGGGTTAAATAAGATGATGCCTGTAGAGGACTTGGAAAGTGGCATGTAGTCAGTGATCAGCAAGGTCTTAATCGAATAGAAATTTGGGGGCTGTCTTTTAAGCAACCTGCTTTTCTGAGTTTAATGAAAACCTTCCATTGGCAGCAGTTCTTATGAGTACTCATGTAGTCCTCCCTGGGTTCAAAATAATGGCCTTGTCACCGGGTCACTTGTAATCCACATGCTTTTCATTTTCTCATTCTTCACCCAAATAGTCAGTGAGCAAATATTTTTTAGCTATGAAGAGAATAAGAAATTACAATGGTCCAAAAAGTAACCAAAATAGACCATTTTAAGGGCTAATTTAAGATCAGTGCTTCCCCTTCTAAAATCGCATGCCACCTTGTACTCAATGGTAGGAGCCACTGTCTGCCCTTGCCTCTTGAAATATAAAATTATTTCTGTATTTAGTTTTAAATTGCCTTGTTGGCTAATTAGCGCTCTCCTTTAATGTGTCTAATTTAAATTACAGGATCTTCAAGGGCATACGCTCTATATTGTGTAACTGCCTTCAGTTACACACGTGCTCTAGCATATGTAATTGAATATTTGGGTTGTTTCTTTTCATTGAGAATTAAGAACTTCACAGATATTTCAGTAGGGCTTTAGAATTTTATTAGTAATAATACAAAACATACGTTATCAATTAAATAGATATTTGAGGACCTTCAATGTGTAGGTTCTATGGCAATGCTGTATATATAAGAGAAGAGGCACTTGCCCTCACCGAGCCCACAGCTTAGCCAAGTTTATAATCTATACCTATTGTTGGGTTATTTGTCCTATTTAAGGATTATGAAGTCGGCTAGCATGTAATAAAGCAGTCGAGGCTTCTAACACCTTTTCAGGGGCCACATGATTGAGTTGTCTTCTTTATGGCCAGGATACAGAATTGGGGTTACATTCCTTTTTTTTTTCTTTTCTTTTTTTTTTGAGACAGTCTCTCGCACTGTCACCCAGACTGGAGTGCAGTGGTGCAATCTCTGCTCACTGCAAGCTCCGTCTCCCAGGTTCACGCCATTCTCCCGCCTCAGCCTCCTGAGTAGCTGGGACTACAGGCGCCCACCACCACGCCCAGCTAATTTTTTTTTTTTTGTATTTTTAGTAGAGACCGGGTTTCACCATGTTAGCCAGGATGGTCTCAATCTCCTGACCTCGTGATTCACCCGCCTCGGCCTCCCAAAGTGCAGGGATTACAGGCATGAGCCACTGCGCCCAGCTGGGGTTATATTCCTAATGCTGCCTTTAATTTATCAGGGTGCCTGTTCTGAAGTTAGGTTTCTTTATAAAGTATGGGTGACACTGTTTGCTCAACCTGTTTCACAGGATTGTAGAAAGGAAGATGTTACATAATATATGGACTGTTTTATAAATTATTGAGCTCTTCACATATACATGATGCCATTTCTAACATCTGACACTATTCTATTTTTACTATCCTCTCGCTGAATAGTCAGTGAATTTATTTACACTGATCCAAACTAAATAGCTTTGAGGGTTTTTTTTTTTAATGTGGTCAACTGCCATAATAACGATCCATTTTCCCAGATTAGTTTTTCTAGCTCCCAATTATTATTTAAAATTGTTAATAATGTATCACCCGATTCATGGAGAAAATACTTATAGGGTTGTGATTTTCAAACAGTATGTTATATAATAAAGTCATGTTCTGTAACAGAATATAACAATTATACAGCCCTGTCCTGTTCTCCAAGTTGACCTCCTGGTTAGGAGAATGCCCCGGAAATAAATGTAAAGCTAACTAATAACAAGACAGTGAGAGGATGCCCACAGCCGTGTATGAACAGTGGCTTGATGAGTAGAATGGGCAGCCTTTAAGGGGAGTTATTGGCTGAGTTTGATTGGAGTACAGACTTGTAAGAAAACATTAATTGGAGATAGGATTAGAGTTTACCTTTTTGGCAGTATGGTTGCTGATGACTGGATAAAATCATTTATATAGATTTGTGGTATAGTGGAGGGAGGAGGCAGAAAACTGAACAGATAAAAGAATGTTATTCTGTTGTCAAATGCCATAGGTATTTACTCTCTTGTTTGTAGGATCCTAAGAATTGACTCCCTTAGCCCAGAGAGGACTCTTGCCTACCCTAAGACAGTGTGTTGGCTCATACATCCCAGAAGGCGTCTCTACTCCAGTGTAGTCACAGAACCAGGGCACCACAGAGAAGCTCTGAAATGGAGGAAGCTTTCTTTTTGGTTTTCCTTTAGTAGTCTTCACGATGGTTCCTCTTTAGAGATCCAACTCAGATGACTACCTAAGTGCCAACTTACATACAATTTGTTGTTTTGCCCTTTCTTTTCCTTCACTTGGGAAAGTTTAGAGGTGGAGTGAAGGAAAGGCAGTAAGATTTGGGCTTTCATCCGTGTTGTCTCACCTGTCTGCATAAGATGTTACAAAGACCAGTGCCTATTTTTGACAATGGCTTTAAAATCAGGTGGCTCTTTGTGAAATAAATGTAATGGAAATCTGAATATACTAGTAAATGGTGTTGAATCAACCATTAAGATTAATTTTCATACAGAGTAAAAGTTGAAAATGGGTAAGATGAGAACTTTAAATAAAATATTTTCAGGATATAAAGTCCAATAAAAATTTAAAGTGTAACAGAGTGAGACCCCCTTTCTGAAAAAAATTTTTAAAGTACAACTCAGAATTAACATTTTCTTTATCTACCATTATAAAAATTGGTGTCATTGCCAACAGAGAATACTGCATTGGGGTAGTTTTGGGGATAAAACAAATTTGAACAGGCAGACCAGTTGACTACCTGGAAAGGTCATGCTACTCATACTAAGGTACTCATTTCAGCAAGTATATAATATTGTAAAGAATCCTAAGATGCTTAATTTTGTAAGTTTGCATTTTACTCGGATCGTATTTAGCAAGCAGCAGCTATATTTTTCACTGCTCATCATGCACCACCCTTCTCCTACTTGATAACTCAAACCATTGAAATACAGATGTAGAGTACTAACAGCTTGGGGGAAGAAAAGAGAAATGATCCCCTAGTGATCCCAAGAAAACCAATCATATAGGCATGTCTTTTATTCTCAAGATGAATTTAGCAAGCAGACCCTCCTCCCAATGGGCACCTCCATATAAAGTCTTTTTCATATTGCTAAGCAGAGGCCCTAAAAGACTGTGCTGGCAGCTCCAGGAAAAGCTCAGTGCTTTCATTGCCTCAGTCATCATCATCATCATTTATAATGTTGCAGTTCAAAGTCTATTGCCAATTATCTTTTCCCTGACACTCCCACTGATAGTTGACAGGGAGCATTGAGGGACAGACTCATAACTTTGCAGCATCCTGCTCTTTATTCCAAAAGAGTTCCTTAACAAAGTTTTATGACCCAGAACGAAACAAAACAAAACATTGGTGTTATTGAGGGAATTAAATCTAACATTGAGAGAAATTTGGATTTAAGAAATATGTTATTTAAAAAGTATGTTACAGTATTAACATCTGGCAATATATAATCTATTCAGTCCTTTCTAGCCATTTGTTGGCAAGAAATAATAATTAAATTTTTTATTAAAACAAAACTTTTTACATTGGGAGTTATTAAGAGCGCCTCCTTTTGGTGTATTCGTTTACAAATAAAAATGAAATATTTATTTGCATTTTTATTGTGCTTTATGTTGTTTGCTTTATGTTGTTCTCTTGGGCTTACTTCCGAGTTGGAGATGGGAAAGTGCCCAATGAAAGAAATATAAAAGAATACTAATTGGAAGCTGAACAATTATTTTGCTTTATAAGGGAAGTCCTGCAAAGTTTGTCATACAGTTTACGTCACTATAAACCAAAATACAATCCATTTCACTTTCCATTTGAAGACTTGGAATGTATCATCATCTGCGTTTCTGTCATTTCACGTGAATTTTCTTCAGGGGCTGACTTCACAGCACTAGAAATCGATACACTGACTTGCCGTTTCAGCATCCTCATAACCTTTCTCTTATACCCTTTACATGCAAAGAAGTAGATAAAAGGGTCCATGCAGCAATTGAAGTTCATCAGGCATACTGTAAAGTGCAGAGAAATCTGGAACGAATGTCTTTGGCTACATTCCAGGAAATTAGAGAAACGAAGCTTCTTAATCATATGTTGAATAATTGCAACATGGTAAGGTGTGAAACAGAGAACAAACACAACAATAATAAGAATAATTGTGTTGAGAGCCTTTTTGTTTACACCAGATTTCTCAGTGAGTGGGTTTTGTTTGGCAGTTCTGAAGAGTTTGCAGCAGATCTGAGAATAGCAGATGAGAATGATTATAAGTGGAAGTACATATCCTATGAAACATGCCCCAAGCAGAATCCAGGGAAGAGATTTAGTTTCTTCAAAGTTTGGATACTCCATGCATGTAATCCTTTCAGCCTCCTGCTTTGACATAGGGTTGATGAGGAGTGGGAGTGTCTGAGCAAATACTAGAATCCAGACAAATATGCACACGCCTTTTGCATGTTCAATCCTTTTTATCTTGTTGTAGCGTAGAGGGTGCACCACAGCAATGAAGCGGTCAATACTCAGGCAGGTCATAAAGTTCACACCTGCATATGTGTTGATGTAAAACACTAGCGCAGTTATCCTACACAAGGCATCTCCGATTCTCCAGTCAAAGCCCATTGCATAGTAGGCTATTCGTGTAGGCAAAGCGGTGGTAAAAAGTATATCAGAAATCACCAAATTTGTTGAATAGAGGGTGGTAGAGTTGATTTTTTTCCTGTTTTGAACAATGACGACCAAGGCTAGTAAGTTTCCCACGAGCCCAATGATGAAGACGAGGCTGTAATGCAGAGGCATTACTATCCTGGCCGTGCTGTGATGTGCATAGAGGTCACAGTCATTTCCCTGAGGAGTTGCAGAGGGCGGAGTAAAATTGTTTGCCATTTGTATATCCATTGGTGGTGGTCCAGGTGTCTAGAAAAAAACCAAGAAGGATCATATAAGTAAAAGCATATGTATTCAGTTTGATTACTCATTAGTTTTAAAAAAGTTTAAATAATGTATCAAAGCAATCCAAACTGTCTTTTATATATCTAAGTTTTAAAATTTCATGACATGCAATTTTTAACAGTTTATAATTATAATATGGTTACATATATGATAACAGGAAGAACAGAATAAAATTTGTGTTTTTACTCTCACAATTTGCTGACTTTGGCAAAGCTCTGGCAAAGGAAACAGAACCATTTAAATAGGGCAAACGCACTTTTGTGACAGAAGGGAATGCACTAAATTTTTAGGCAGAAATTCCCCTTCCCTTTTTTGAATCATTGTCTGGTTAAGTAAAGCACCCCACATTTCAGACAGGCATTAAGCTTTGCTTTTAAATTTAATTTCAGTTGGATTTTTTTTTAACCAAATGCATATCACTGCCAGGAAATGAAATCAGTCACCACATTTATGTAGTGAAATATGAACTTACCACAGTGATCTGATTTGTGTTAACCTAAAAGTCTGAGAAATAGGCTTAGTCCATGTTAGGAACTGAAAGTTAGATTTTCTTTTTAAAAAGAAGAAGACGACGACCGCAACAACCATGACTAAAATGACAAAAAAAGAAGAAAGATAAAGAAAATGAGAGAGAAAAAGACTTAAGCTACTTCAAGGGGAAATTATTAAATTTTAAAACTCTATCAATCTGCAAGTACTCCATGGATCCATGCAATCTATACTTCTACCTTTGCACATAGTAGCAAGCATCACACTTTATATTTTGTTTCTTGCTTTATTCACCAAACATCTTCATGTCAGTGCAATGTATATATTTGTCGTGTATATTTTATATAAACATTTGATAGATATTCTACAGTCTTCCAATGTGTCAATGCATAATTTGCTTAGCTACTCCCTTGATGAACTTTTGGATTCTTTCCAATTCTTTTCTTGTTATAAATAATGTTAAAGCAGAAATTTTAAGTACTAAATTGAAAAATGGAAAACTCCTACAATAAAGTTCTGTAGATGAGGGTAAACTTTGATTAAAGCAGGAAGAACAGAGCAATAAATCCTGTGTGATTATTTTTAAAAGAAAAATAATTCCTCTGATAGAACTGTGTGTACATAAATCTCACCTGGAAGTCACCAAAATTAAGGGGCACTTTCAGCATATCTAGTGATGTTGCTACTGTATATTTAAAGAACTATACAGTATTTCCTTAAAGACTATCTCTACCCTGATCAAAAGCACTGTCTGCAAATCTGCTTCTCTCCCTGCTGTATTAAATGACTTGGATCTCAGCTAACTTCATTCTAACAACCTTAAAACTGAGATGTTCATAGACACTGAGGGTTAGCAGAGGATTGTGGTCATGTTATGTTAGAGGTATGCATTCTGTACAGTGTTGATAGGTTAGTCATTATAACCTAAATGGAAATAAAACCTAAAGCAAAAGAGAGCAAAAATGGAAATAAAACATTTTATTATCCAGAAAAGAGACAATGGGAAAAAAACAAAGAATGAGGATGGTAAGTAGAAAACACAAGAGGGTAGGGATGTGTCACAACAAACTTAAATGGGTTGAGCTTGCCTATTACAGGACAGAGACTATCGGTTTAGATTAAAAAAAAAAAAATTCCAGCTGTTTGCTGCTTAGAAGAGATACAGCTCAAAGTGATAAAGAAAGGTTGAGAATAAAGGCAAGAGAAAATACATACCAGGCAAATCCCAACCAATAAAAAGGTAGTATGGCAGTATTAACATCAGAAAAAATAGAATTCAAGGCAAATTCAATATTAATAGGAATACAGAGGGTCACTGCAAAGGTTAAAAAGAACAGTCTACAAAGAATATAAAAATAATCATGAAATTTGCATGTAACAGCAAAATTTGACGGAATTTGAAGGAGAAATTGGCAAATTCACAACCATGGTGGGAGATCTTAACACATTTCTATTATGATGTGCTAGATAGAAAAGAGATTAAAGACTTATTTACTCAACATGATTTAAAAGCTAACAGAACTTGTACTGAAGACACATGAGCATATATGCAAATTTGACCATGTGCTAGGTCACCAGAAGACTCAAAGCTTTCAGAAAATAGTTATTTTCTGATCACATTGCTTGACTACAGTGCAGCTAAATTATAAACCAATGATAAAAAGATAAAGGATAAGTTTGGAAATGAAAAAATACACTTCTAAGGAACTCATGGGTTAAAGAAGAAATCACAGTGGAAATTTCGAAATGCTTAGAACTAAATGATGAAAGTACTACCTGTGAAAACTGTGGGATGCAGATAAGGCAATCTGAGATAGATATAAAGCCTTGAATGCATTTATTTAAAAAAGGAAAGATTTAAAATATATGTTAAATATACAGTTCAAGAAGCTAGAAAAGAACTGTTTGTCCAAAGCAAGTGGAAGAAAACAATAGAGATAACTGCAGAAATTAATGAAATATAAAAGACAATAAATATCAGTTTTACATTTTGTGCAGGAAAAAAAATGGAGTGGTTCTTAAATAGAAAATCATAGGGATTTCATTGTGGAATAAAAGTAGAAAAAGATTTTTCCATTTAGTTGGGAAAGGCTTCATGTGAAAAGCAGCTTTTCAGGAACTAGGACTAGACACAAGAGAGAGGTGAAAATTCCAGGCAAGGGTTGCAGCTTTGGAATAGGCAACAATAACTTTTATTAATATTTTTCTAAGTTCTTTGAAAATGTATTTTTTTCTAAGTTCTTTGAAAATGTATTTTTTTCCAAAAATCTAAATGTATATTTTTGAGTATTTCTAAGCAGATTCATGGGAATTGCCTTTAAAATACATGGCAGGAAAAAAATACTTCACTGTAGAGTCTGCAAATCCTCCATATGAATAATTATTATTGTAGAAATTAGGAAAGTAACACTTATGTGACACTCAGAGGTGCCATTGCTTGCCAGTTTGTATACAAATGCGTGTCTGACTGCATCACCAAATAAGATGCAGCATCTAGCAGAGCCAGAGATTGCAGGAGTTTCAGAAAAAAGTTCAAGAATGTTTTACATAGTTTATAAACAGTTCAAATATCCTTCATTAGGGGATTAAATATTTTATGGCATAGCCATACAGTAGAATACAGGAATACAGCCATGCAGTGAATACAGTGCAGCTCTGAAAATGGCAACATGAAAATGCCTGTTTCTTGACTGGGAATTATGTTAAGTGAGGAAAGCAGATTATACAACATGCCACTTTTTTGGGAGGTAGGGAAGCAAATACACACACACACGCACACACACACACAGAAAGATGTCTGTATGCCAAAACATAATTTTGTATGAGTAATTTTGGGGCTTTACTCATATATTCTAGATTTTTAATGCTGAACGTTTCTATTCAGAATGTTCATTTCTAGTCAGTGACTGGAATGAATAAATAGGTAAAAAAAATTTTAATGGGAAAAAATTTTAGTTCCCCTTTTCTTGTAAAAACCTTGTTATCTGACATGCTTTTCAAAGCTTGCTGTTCAGTGTTCCTTTTTCAGATTTCTGCATTGACTTACTAGTTGTGTACCTTTGCATTGTGTCATCATGTAGAAACCTCACAGCAGCCCTATGAGCTTGAGCATTGCTACCCCTTATCTACTTCGCAGGTGATAAAACTGACAATAAATATCAATTTTATATTTTGCACAGGAAAAAAATTGGAGTGGTTCTTAAAAGCCACGCTGGGCTTAAATGCCATGCTAGATCCCTCTCTGTGATGACCTGGCTTCAGGTTTCTTCCTCTGTTCAGTCCTTAGCACAGGCAGCTGTTTCATGCTGCCCTTAAAGAACTGAGGGCTTGTGGTTTCAAAGTGGTCTAGGCTCTAAGGGCCATCCTCAACTATATCATGGCACATGCGCAACATTGCCCAGCTGCTCCAGAGCAAAGGGACAACTCCTTCTAAGGGCAGGGGGTGCCCACTTCCAGGAGAGGTGCCTTCCCAAATGGGAAGCCACTTGTGGCCACACATCATTGAGCTCCAAGGGTAGCCTGTTGAGGGTCCTTAACTGACGACCGTTGTGCACTGGAGGTGGCCAAAGAAAGGCATTTGCAGAATGTGGACGTGTAAGTGGGATGGCTTGGAAATGATCTTAGGTAAAGGTAAATGCATGCTTTGGATATTTGGATGTTTAGTAACCTCTTGAAGGATGATTCCGCTAGCTGGCCCTAATATGTCACTTTAGTTCTTGCTTATATTTATCCTGTGTTATTAATGTGGTAGTTTTAGCCAATTTTATGATCCCAAATTGAGAGGAAAATCCTTTCATATGCGTGACTGTTACTATCCCATTCTTATATCAGCCAGTCCCAATTTATTATAATCTTCCCTTAGAGATATTACTTTATATCTTCCTTTAATCATCTTAAGGATTCCTTTCTGAAACTTGAATTAAGTCCATTCTTTCATTCAGCAGGAAAATGGTTTTTAGTGCCTCCATGTGCTAGATGCTGGGAATACAGAGATGGTACCTTTTTGTATTAGAGGGTCTGGAACTGAAGGGTGAATATATAGCGTTGAACATGTGCTGTTATCTGAGTGAGGTGTTCCTCAGGATTTTTTCACATGCATAGCAGTATGTGCTGGGTTCCTCCTCATACACAGCAGTACTCTGCTCACTTTGTGCATTACAGTGCACCAGTGTCAATATTTGGATAGTATAGTTATCTTTTAATTATTTTCAGGTAGAAAATTTATTCTTAAGTATATTTTAAGTATTTTACATTTTAATTATTAGGCAGCAGCTTCTGACATGTTATTTAAGATATATTTATATAAACTAAGGTATACTAGAAAGTATTATCATTTATCATTGTATTGCCTAGGGAAAAGCCCAAAGAAATGTTAGTTCTAAATCTTTTTTCTTTAGAACACTAATATCAGAATTATAGCTTCCTCATAATGCATTCTAATGAAAAGATGCACGTGGCCCCTCAGCCGTCCTTCGTGCTGCCCACACTGAGGGACAGGAGTCAGGACAGAGGCCTTTCCCTGGAGGGCATGGATAATGACTGGGCCACAGGAAGCCTGGATCCTTATTCAGGTTCCACCTGTGGAACAGGGCCCTGTCGGCCTTCAAGGCTCCTGTACCTTCTGCTGGGAGCCACCCTGGAAGCCATCTATGCCATTCTCTTATTTTTATTGGTAAACAAAGGAGACAATCCCAGTTTTGCCTCTGTAATGCAGTACTTGGTCCTTTTAACTTTACTGTTATCCTAACATGTGTAAAACAGTAAGTTTCTTCCTCAGCAAAATATCTTCCAAAGTATTTTTACTTATGCTTTGAGAAGTGAGCCTGTGTGTTTTTTTCTCTAGAATGTATTTCATTGCTAATAGAGTTGCTAACACTTCTTGAGATATTATCATCTCATTTTTGCATAACCGGACATGTTGACATGAACTGACAGGTTCTTTCTAGCCGCAAAAGGAAAAAAAAATAAAAGGCCCCCCAAAACTCATTTATTTAGCATCTAAGAAAATCCCTAGATACCCACTTGGAGGGATTTGTGATTTTTCACAGAGGACATGTACCTTCCATGGTCCTAATTTACTCGTTCAAGTAATTAAAGTGTTTTCTTAGCCTTTAATTTGGGCAGAAACAGAACAAAACCTTTACCATATTCGGGGATTTAGTTGGTGCTAGAATAACAGCTTTTGGTTTTTGCTGAAATGTCACCTTTGCCCTCTAATATTTATTTATTTTAATAATCATCAACACCTTGAATGAAAAGGGGCTTACCTAGGAATTCTGTTTAATTGTAGCCACTAGCAATGACTGGAATGGGTCAAGTTGTGCTGAGATGATCACCAATTGGAGGTGACTTCTCTGTAGGTCAAGTCTTCTCTAGAGTCAGCTTATACAGAGAGGTGACCTAAATCAATGTGCCCACAGTGGATGTACCAAAGAGGAACTTCCAGAAGCTCACTTTCAAAAACAGCCAGGGGAGCCACCCAGATGCAGCCACACAGATACTAATTATATGTGTATATTGTTAAGTGAGGAGTGTTTGATCTGATACACTGTCCTTGGCTACTTTGAGGAAAGGTTAAGACTGAGGAAAAATTTCTGGAGCAGGGAGAAATAAAATCATTGGAAAGGAGGGGGAAGATGAAAGCTCAGGGTTAATTGAAATTTCAAAGATATGGTTCTACTGAGGAAATAAAGATAAGCACAGATGTATCAGGATGGCAAGCTGGGGCTGTTTCAGCTCCCTTGAGAACAAACCTGCTCCAGGGAAGAAAGAAATCATTCATTACTTCTTCCTCTGGTTACCTGGTTTGATAAGTATTTGTCAATTATTTGAAAACGCCTTCTTGTTCAAACAGGGGCATCTAAATTTGGCCCAGTGTCACACATACTGGGTCCTAGCATTCAACTAGTGATTTTTCTCATCACCTTTTTCATTGACTAAACAGCCATCATCTGAGGGATTATGGGTGTTGTTTGCCTGTAAAATGGACAGTGGGAAACATGCATTCCTGGTGTGCAAGAGGAACCTGCACTGCTGTGGAGCTGTGACCAGCATAGTCAGAGCCTCCTGGTGCTTCATTAGTAAAGTCAAATTGTCCATTCTATTAATAATACGCTGCTAACCAACTGTCACAGTAGTCAGTACATGCCTCTGTGGCCTGGTTAAATACATCTTTGTACACTGTAAGGTGACTTTTTCCCAGCCAACTTTGAGTCCTAAATTGATAGCTATGTTTATGTCCATGATTCATTTTTTAGAAGGATTGAGAACAATGATATTCAGCATAGAGTTGACTGTGGTCCGTCTGTTTGGGGGACCTCCCCTGCCTCCTGGGGGCTTGCTTTCTGGCTTATGGAGTGTGACTAGCCGAGGGGCTTAGTAGAGGCAGCCTTATTGAGGAGCTCTGTGACCAGCCTGCCAACCCCATTGCATATCCTGGGTCAGACCAGCTCCCAATAGATCTGCGAAAGGCCATTTATAGGACCAAGTACAGAGAACTTCTTCAAGACAGAAAAAGACAGAAAAACATCTTCAAGACTGAAAAAGGGTTTAGCAGTCTACTGTTTCCTCTTTGTGCTTTATATGTGTCCTGAACCCAGTGGATGTGCAGCAAAGACCCACTTCGGCTTCATAGACGCGCTCCTTGGAAATGATGGAAAGGTGCTTGAGCACGGGAATTCTTTGGTTGAACACCCACTTGCACATTTGGGGTTTCACATATTCTAGTTATTTTCTTTCACCTTTCACTGGTAAAAGCCACCTATGTGGCTTTTGGTGGCTTTTATATTGAAAAGTATGGAAGTTATTGAAGATGAAGATGACATATGTTTAGAGAACTAAGAAACTAAGAATCCCACCATAATACTCATTTTAGTGTAAGAAAGATATTCTGTGTTTGTATCTGGCATGATTTGTAGGATGCAGCATGTGGGAAAACTGCATAATATAAAAAGGCTCTTTATAATGAAGCTCTGTGTCTATAATATTTCTCCTCTGAGTCCTGAATGTTTCTGGAAATAATATGTACCTTTTCTCTTTCAAGTTCAAGGAGTTTCAATTTTGTTTTTGTCTCTTATCAGATGGAAATTAGGGAGGAACATTAAATATCATTATTTTATGGATAAACTGAATTCCAGGTCAACTCGGTCATTCGCTCAGGGATCTTACTGTGGTACTCAAGGCAGGGGTCGTGAAGGCGCCCAGGACTCCGTGTTCTCCCTCACCTGCTGCCTCTGGTCAGCGAGCAGTCCCTGTGCCTCAGCCTTGTGCTCTGCTGCACATCCGTGTCTGTCTGTCTGCCTGTTGTGTGCCATTCCCGCCCTTCTGCCCGCAGCCACGGCAGCAGCTTCCCGCCAGGCTCTCAAACGGGGCCCATCCAACCCCAGGCAAACCACAAGCTCTGTGTCATGACACACAAGTTCCCTCATGATCTGAGCTCCATTCCTTCTTCAGGAGGGTTGCTGGTCAGCTTCCCCTGATCGTGGCCTGGCTCCAGGCATGCAAAATTACTTAGAACCTTTGGATATCCCACGTTCCCTCACAACTCTGTGCCCGGTAACATTCTTCCCTCTGTTTGATGTCCTCTGGCCCCTATCCTGTATCCTTAGCTCTTACTTTCCTTCAAGCCTTAGTTCTAAGTATCCCAGGAGCATTCCTGTTCTCCATCCTCTGAAAGGCAGTGTGGGTGTATTTGTGAGAGTGCTGTGCTCTGTCATAGTGTCTGCATCATTGATTTTCTTCCCTGTCTCCCATGAGCCTGTGAAGTACTGTGAGTGGGGACCCTATGGTGTTAATTTCTTGTATCTCTAGGTGATGTATGATCGATATTCAATAAATACCCATTAGTTAAAGAATAGCAACATTGCAGCTTTCTTAATCCTTAATGAAAGGTTCTTTATTACACCCCAGTAAGCCCTTGATGAATAATAATCAATTAAAATTACTAAGCAGAGACTGTGTTCCAGGCACTGCCCTGGGCACTCTATGTGTGTTTACTCATTGAATCCTCTCAGAACTTTCACAAGTCCATTGACAGAAGGTGAAACGGAGGCACCAGGGCACTTAAGTGACCAAAGACCTAGCTGTTAAATGTTAGGATTCAGACCCAGGCAGTTTGGCTTCAGAAGTCACATTCAGTACAATACATTTTATCTCCTATTTCCGACGTGATCTGCTATTATGGGTAGAAAACAAGTAAAATAGGAAGGCATCTCAAAACCTTAACGTACACTAACTCATACCTATCTGAACAAGAGAGACTAGGAGAACTGGGGGAAGGGAATGGGAGCAGGGAGGAAGAGATGTTGATTCAAATGAAGGAGTTTATTAGTTTATTTGTAGCATATTTTAAAGTAAGTAAAGGTTTTATAAATGGATTTAGAGTACTGTTTTAACAGTATTTTAATAATAAAACAATTTAGACTGAAATTTCGATTGAAAAAAGATGGTGAATATCTAGAATAGGCTTTTATGCTGTTAATTGATTTTTAAACTACTTTTTAGATATTTGCAGAGATTTAACAAAATATTTTTATTCTTCTCTTTGGGCTTCCAAAACACCACAGCCATCTGTGTTACTGTCACAGCTTTCAGAGGATTCTCACATGTGTTATCTCATTTTATACAATGCCCAGACTTCTTGAGAAGGTGATAAACCCCCCAGACTGGAGAACACCACGCGTCCTCTACACAGGCCACGTCCAGGGCTGCCTAACAACTCCAGCAGGTCTTAACCATAGCAGAGAGAAAAGTATCCCTGTAAACGGCTTTATTAGGTGCGAAGCTCTTTTAAATGTAAGCTTCTTGAGGATGATGACTTGATCTCATCCAACATTTTATCCTATAGAATGCTACAGAACCAACCTACAATAGATATCTAGTAAATATCTATAGAATAAATAAATGAATTAAAGTCATATAGAAACCTGAGTTAATATTTATTCCATTAACTGACTGGTCATGGTACTAATTAGCTCTAGGAAGCCAGATGAAAGTAATTTATGCAAGGGATCATTACCATTGTCACTAACGCGATACATAAACATGTGAGTGAACATTTTGTGGAGTAGCATATTCTTTGTGGTTTTATGTCCAAAAAGTGCAGTGAACCCGCAGAGAGAAAACATGCTAAAATATAAGAAGTGTGCAGTCCTACCAGTAAGCACAGTTAGATGTGTGATCATCCATAGACTCAGGGCCATTTATTTATTTATTTATTTATCTATCGAGACAGAGTCTCGCATGGTCGCCCAGGCTAGAGTGCAGTGGCGCAATCTCGGCTCACTGCAACCTCCGCCTCCCAGGTTCAAGGGATTCTCCTGCCTCACCCTCTTGAGTAGCTGGGATTATAGGTGAGTGCCACCGTGCCTGGCTAACTTTTATATTTTTAGTAGAGATGGGGTTTCACCATGTTGGCCAGGCTGGTCTCGAACTCCTGATCTCAGGTGATCCGCCTGCCTCGGCCTCCCAAAGTGCTGGGATTACAGGAGTGAGCCACCACACCCAGCCTGATTCAGGGTCTTTATGTAAAATATCCATAACATATCTGTTGGATTCACCCTCTGGTACGTCAGTGGCCAGAGAGATGGGAGAAGAATGATGGGAGACAGTTTTTTAGCACTTATAATGAGAGGCAATGTTGTAAGGACTTGGCAGTAGTAATACTCCCCATTTTACAGGTAAAGCAGCTGAAGCCAGATATTAGGTAACTTGTGTGTGGGGGGGCCACACAGCTTGTAAATTTCATTTGATCCTGATTTCAGAGCCCTTGCTCTTATTACACTATATTGTACTCAGAGTGACACCAAAAAAACAAAATACCACGCCCCCCTCCCCCAACACACACACAAACACACATATATAAAACCCTCACTGCCCTTTAAAGGAAGTCTCTTCACAGCTTCTATTTTGCCAAGTTTCTGTTACCACCATTCCCAACCTGGACATAAATGTTGCCAAAGCACTGCATAGAATTCATTGTGATTTTTTCCCCTCAGGCACATAGAAAAGATACGTTTAGTCTAAGTAAACACAAGTATAAACCACACAACAGACTTTTTTTTCACTTATCTAATTAGTAGTATTTAGCATTTAAAAAGCAAAGATTGGTACTCTTTGCTGGCGGGAGGGTAAATTGGTAAAATGTTTTTGTAGACCAAAAAGTACCGTTTTATATCTAAAGCTTTAGAAAATATACCCTTTGCCCTAGGAATTCTACCCCTGAGATTCTATCCTGAGAAATAATCTTATATTTCTAATAATTCCTATAGCATAGGAATATTCTATATTAAAATAACTTTGTTCCTTTTCCTTCATACTAAGTTATCCTGAAATATTGGCATTATTTGCATAGTTTTGCTTGATACTGTCTTTTGTCATTGTGAGTTTATACAGTAGTACATGAAGTGAGCCCTATTTTTTGACAAAGATATTTCTGGTGGACCCATCGCTTTCAGTCAACTTTATAAGAACTAACTAGACCTACCAGTCAGCAGAGAGAGTAAACTTACATTATTAATATAATTTTTGTTAGAAGTGATGGTAGCTTGTTCTTAAATAGATTGTTTTCCTTTTTACCTTTTACCTTAAAACTTAGGCTTTTAAAGTTTTTCTTTAAAAAGTTTGTTGAAAAAGCAAAAGATCTTGTACTTACATATCAGTGACTCGTTCGGGTCTCTGTGTAGTAGCTGTGAGTAGTTGTCCAAACTGAAGTAAGTTTTAACTGTGGCATGTTGTTTTAAGAGAGGCTGTGCAGACCTCCTTTTATGGTGGTGACTTTTTTTTTCTCTGTCACCCTGTGACTGAGCATGTAATGAGCAGTTAGCCTCGTGTACGTGTGTGCACTTTGTGTTTTTTTTTGTTTTAAATGGGAAGTGAAATTTTTTATAGTGATTAAAAAAAACTATCCAAAAGCCCCTTGGAATTTATGAATTGTTGATATCTGTGGAACTTTATAAATTTTTCTGTAAAGGTTTAAGTATCAAAAAATTCTTTGAAAGAGACTGAAGCAATAAACCTTAACCAAAAAAAAGACCAAGTTACTGATGATTTTATATTGATTTTGCATGTAAAAGTATGGGTTTTTAAATGTTTTAAGGAAAATAGTGTCAACTTTGACAGTGCTTTTTACCTGGAAACTTGGTATCAGGGAGTAGTTTACACATTCCACCTTATCCACAGCTTATGAGAAAGAAACAGGTTTCTGTGGCGTGGGGGTGAGTGACAGTCCAGGATGTGGAGTGGACTGGATTAGTCGCCGTTTTCAGTCGAGAGGCTGCCTGAGTCAGAGGCTGTGTGAGTACTTGAATAACAGGGAAACAGTTGAAGGGAGGCCCATTATAGATAAAATCCAGCCTCTTCAGCACAGGGTGAAAGAGACTCATGCCATTCACCTCATAGTTGTAGTTGACTCAGTTTAAACCAACTAACGTGTCTGTCAGAATGCAGTTTATTTGTAGGCTAAATTACCAGATATGTAGCACTCAGATCAGGAGAGGTGATGTTTACACTTAGTCAGGACTGATCTGGCCATTCCCAGCCACTTCTGGGTGCTGCTTTTTACGAAGACATAGATAACACCTGTGGCAGTGAGGGGCCTGGATAGCAGGTCTTAGGAGAACTGATTAAATAAGCTGGGGATGTGTATGCTTTGTAGGCATAGGGTCATTATCCTTATGCTTGTGGAAACTCTCATAGAAAAGTGTTTACATTGCTTGTGTCAGTCTTCCTAACTCCAGAGACTAGCGGGAGGGTCAGTAAGAAGTTACTGGACATAGCTTTTGGATCAAAAGATGAGAGTCATTCCCAAAAGTTGTGATTATTTTGAAAAATGGAATATGCTGTTTCTTATTTAGATGCTTGAGTAAACTTGATGATTTTGAGGGATGATGTAAACAGAATTGAATCATTTGGTAGGAATTTGTAACTCTGTGATCTCAGAAGCCTTTCTGCTCCAGGATTCTGTAAAAATAGTCGAGTAGCTTTTGCCTCCCACAGATGTCATTAGGTTCTTCTAACGTCTAAAGTGCTGTGAGTATGGAGGAACATTGTCAGACACAAGAAAGAGCATCAAGCAAGTCAGCTGAATTCTTTGGGCCGCCACCTCACTGTGTATAAAATAAAGGTATTGAACTAAATGATCTCCAAGGTAATTCCTAGTACAAAAATTCTATGAGGGGGTAATACAGAGATTTTATGACTTGGTGGATAAACATGACATCATATTCTAGAACTAGTTCATTTAAAACTTAGGCTGCAGAGTACTTGAAGAAGACACTGTTGATAAATTTTTCAGTTTGTTGAAAGACCATTCTGGTGGGGTTTTGCCTGTTAATTTTGAAATAGTTATATTAAGTAAAACATTTTTATATAGTGAAGGACTCAGCTAGTTCAAGTAATTCCTCTGACAAACTGGATCTGTCCTCCCAACCTTCTTTTTTTTTTTTGAGACAGAGTCTCGCTCTCACCAGGCTGGAGTGCAGGGGTGTGCTGTCGGCTCACTGCAACCTCCACCTCCCGGCTTCAAGCAATTCTCCTGCCTCAGCCTCCCGAGTAGCTGGGACTACAGGCATATGCCACCATGCCCAGCTAATTTTTGTATTTTTAGTAGAGACAAGGTTTCACCATGTTGGCCAGGATGGTCTCAATCTCTTGACCTCATGATCTGCCTGCATTGGCCTCCCAAAGTGCTGGGATTACAGGTGTGAGCCACCGTGCCCAGCCCCTTTTTTTTGATATCAGAGTAGTCAGGCAGATGAAGAAGAGGTGATGGGGTCATTATCCTGTAAGAGGCCGCTGAAGCTGTATATTAGATCATTTCATGAGCTCACAAACCTTGTTTTTATTGCTGTTGAAAGTTACCAGGGTTTCTTGAGTTGTGATTGTACTGTAAAAGTAGAGTTGGCCTTTACAGTTTTTTTGTTTGTTTGTTTGGAGACAGGGTCTCACTCTGTTGCCCAGGCTGGAGTGCAGTGGCACGATCTTGGCTCACTGCAACCTCTGCCTCCTGGGCTCAAGTGATCCTCCCACCTCAGCTTCCTAAGTAGCTGGGGCTACAGGCACATGCCACCACGCCCAGCTAATTTTTGTATTTTTTTGTGTGTGTGTGTGGAGACAAGGTCTCATTATGTTGCCCAGGCTGGTCTCAAACTCCTGACCTCAAGCCATCTGCCCACCTTGGCTTCCCAAAGTGCTGGGATTACAGGTATGAGCCACCACATCCAGTGACCTTTTCTATAGAAGAAGTGAAATGGACATTTGCAACCTTAACAAGGTGTCTCTGTTATTTTATGTTTTCTATCGAGTGCGATCATGAATATATAGCAGTAGATGCTCAGTAAATATTAGTGATTTTAAAGGATGAATTAGCAATGGCTCACGCCTGTAATCTCAGCAATTCAGAAGGCTGAGGCAGGAGGATTGCCTGATGCCAGGAGTCTGAGATCACTGTGGGGAACACAGCGAGACCCTGTTTCTAAAAAAAGTTTAAAAATTAGCCAGGTGTGGTGGCACACACCAGTAGTCCCTGTTACTCTGGAGGCTGAGGCGAGAAGATTGCTTGAGCCTAGGAATTAGAGGCTACAGTGAGCCGTGATTATGCCACTGCACTCTACTCCAGCCTGGGTGACTGACAGATACCGGTGTCTCAAGAAAAAAAGAAAGGATGGATGAAATGTTTATAACCTGCTTTCTCTTTTCTGTGCTACCAGCCTCATCTGCTTAAGCCAGAAAGGGCTTCCAGAAGGTAGTTCTTCACAGTATGAAAAAGGTCAAACTGAATTACTGTTGACAGTATAGAGAACAGATGTTGTCATAAAATAAGGAAAAGAAAAAGACTGGTCAGTGACTAATAACATTATGGTATTTTGTGAAGTCTGTGTGTGTAGAAATAGCAACGGAAAATTTCTGCAGAACAGCCCATATAATTTTGGTCTGAAATGTGTATGTGTGGCCTAGTATTTAGTCATCATTTAAAATTATACAGTGATTAATATTTTTAAAGGAGTTTTTAAACTTCTATTGGTATGTGAAATGTAAACTGTGGTCATTAAAATTTCTACCAGTATTTTTTTTAGTTTACGTTGAAATGTAACCTCAAAAAAGAACTCTGCTTTAGGTTATTTAGTTATAACATCACTATTTGTACTTTATTACTAAATGTAAACAGAAGAACTTCTATGAATTAAGCGCCTCCAAGGGCATGTTCTGTGGTAAGAGACCTCTGGTGCGATTGGCTCCCCAAATAGGGTTCTATAATCACCAAGAGAGCAGGCCATATTTTGAGCTACATATGAAACCATGTGTTTTAATCCCATTAAAAATGATAAAAAGGAAGGGGGCTTTTTAAAACAAAAGGCAAGTTCTGCTGTATGGTTTTACTGTTTTAAAGGAAAATTCATTTCTTCTGCAAATATTTATTGAAACCTTACTCTATGCCAGGCACAATTCTAGACAGTGGGAATAAAACAAAACAGACCAAAATCCCCATCTATGTGAAGCTTCCATTCTACTTTTAAGATAGATAGGCAGTGATGAGAAGGCTGTAAGTGCTGTGGGGGAGGACAGTCAGGAAGAGAGTAGAGAATGCAGAGGGGGAAGGCTGTGAGGGCGGGAGGTGCGGTTTGAAATGGGGCAGTCAGGGAGGACCTCTCTGAGAAGGTGCTGTCCTGCGGAGCACAGGATCAGAATGGGGATGGAGATTCAGGGCCTGGGACGTCTTTGTCATGACTGTAGGTGGGGAGGCATTGGAAGATTTATGCCCAGGAGTGACTAACTCATACTTTTCCATGAAAAGAAGGCCCAGCTGTTTTAATCAGTTGTGCTTGGGTTTATAATTGGACAAAAGCAGTTCTTCTGTGTAGTATTTAAAAACTGCTTTGTTAATTTTAAAAAATCCAACCAATATTGAATATGGATCATGTATAAGAATCTGCATTTGGCAAACCTAGATAAAATATGATGCTTTCTCTCAGAATTAATAATCTAATGGGAGGTTTTTGAGAACTCTGTATAGTCAATTCAAATGTGAGTCATACAGTTGTTCTAGAATAAGGATTATTTTGTGGCCCTAAATGTAGTGAGCTCCTAAACTGTGCCAAGCATTGTGCCAGGTGCTAGGAGAACCAGGACTGCCTCTTCTTCCCTGTCCTGGGGTGCTCAGCCTGGGAAGAAGGACTGATACGTGAGGAATTCTAGACTGGGCAAGTGGGGGTAGGAACCCGCTGTGCCGTGCACCTCCGTCTGCCACCCAGTCCCTGCCATCCTTCTCACTGGATGGCTAGCCAGGTGTATCTCACATCTCTGTGTCCCCAGTCCTGACACAGTGCCTGCACTTAGGCCTTACTGGCTGGAGTTTTCCCTGTTCTAGCATTTGCTGCGTTTGTGTTGATAGCAGTTGATGCGGCTGCCATTTATCACATTTGTTTTGTGTGTGTTGTATTTTGGTTTGGTTTTGTTTTTAACAGTAGAATTGAGAGGACAGTGCATTTTTTAAAATAACGTAGTCTCTATCAAGGATGAGAAATTGCGCAAGAGGCCAGGAGGGTCCTGTGTTTCCACAAAAATGGCACCAAGGACAGTTCTTTGTAGAAGTGAAACATATGTTTTGCATTTTTCTCGTGATAATGAAATAATTCTTTTTTTTCTGGTGCCATTTTCCCAAAAGTGGGAAAATAAAACACAGACTGAGTAATTAAGCCAAGTGTTTAATGGAAAACAGGTGCAAGCTTGTGCCCAAACCACTCTACTCATTCATATTACCTGCCTAGCACTTGTAGGAATGTAAGATTTCCGTCCTGTGATGAGTTCCTTGAGGTCAAGGACTGCTTCTTTCTCTTGGACGTAGTTGTAGCTCCTGTGCTGGGCATCTTACCGTGACATCCTTGGCACGCATTTGATTCACTGATTCATTGCAGTGGTGAAACTGACATAGCTTGGGGGCCACGAGGAGAGCCACCAGCTGCCAGGAGGAGTCAGAGAAGTCTTGTGGGAAGAGCTGAGCAGTGTTGCACAAGCTGAGTTTCCTAGGCAGGAAAGTGGAAAGCAGAACCTGCGTCAGTGGAGAGTCAAAGCAGCCAGCGTGTTCAGGGAGCAGCTGTGTGGATTTTTGAGAGGGCCTTGTGTGTGTTGGGCCAGATGAGGGGAAGCAGAGAGGAGGACAGTGGTGGCAGACTCCAGTGATGAAAGCGAACTGGGGAGCTTTGCCATCACATCTTTATGAAGCATTTTATCTTTGGATACTGGAGCCTATGGAAGGAAGGGTTTTTTTGTTTTGTTTTTTATTTTTTTTTGTTTTTGTTTGTTTGTTTGTTTTTTGAGACGGAGTCTCGCTCTGTCGCCCAGGCTGGAGTGCAGTGGCGCGATCTTGGCTCACTGCAAGCTCTGCCTCCTGGATTCACGCCATTCTCCTGCCTCAGCCTCCCGAGTAGTAGCTGGGACTACAGGTGCCCACCACCAAGCCCGGCTAATTTTATGTATTTTTAGTAGAGACGGGGTTTCACCGTGTTAGCCAGGATGGTCTCCATCTCCTGACCTCATGATCCGCCCGCCTCGGCCTCCCAAAGTGCTGGGATTACAGGCGTGAGACACTACGCCCGGCCGGAAGGAAGGGTTTTTAAGCAAGGGAGTGTTGTGATCAGAGTTGTATTTTAGGAAGAGAGTACTGCCAACAATGTTAAGAAATGGATTAGAGAGAAGCAAGACTGTAAGTAGAAAGACACATAAGACTTTTGAATCTGTCAAGGTGAAGGTGTCAAATTGACATTCAGAACCAGGTGAGGGGTGGGCAGGCAGTTTTAGGTCTCACTTCATTTTCTTAGCCCAAGCTATAGAAAGGGTTGAGATTGTATGAGGAGATGAGAGAGCAAGAAGAAAAGGCTATAATGGAACCATGGAGAAGCCAGAAGAGTGGTGTAAGAAATCACTGGGCAACCACTGAGAAGCAGGGTTTCAGACAAAGGGAGGAAGGAATGTGAGGAAGGGAGGGCCAGAGGTGAACCGTGCCAGTGCCATGGCGACAGATCACTGGACAGGGCTTGAGATGAGGCTTTTGGATTTGACTGAAGAATTCTAATGTTTGCTGCTTTCGATTTGTCTAGTTTCTCTCATTAGATTTTAGTAATACCTGGGAAGAAAACATAGCCTCCACTTTTCTCACACTTAGTAGGTGCTGAACCACTTCTTTGCAGTGGTTTCAGGAGGGTCAATAAGGATAGAATGATTAGAGTTTTCATAAAGTGTTCTATAAGTACAAATTATTTTGGACATGAATCATATTTGAAAATCAATATGTATATCTAAGACCATGCTTTCAGACTGAAATAAAATTATAAGCAGTGTTACTTCAAAGATACATCTGCCATTTGTGTTTAAAATTCACTATTATAGTGATTTTTTTTTATTTGTTTGCATAGCCTGGCACCTGTGTTTGCTCTGTTTGTACCATTTTACTGCTCCATACCAAGAGTCCAAGTGGCACAAATTCTGGGTCCGTTGTCCATCACAAACAAGACATTGATTTATATATTGGGACTGCAGGTACAGTATGCATTTTTATGTTCACTTTTCTTTAACCAGATCTTTTTTTTTTTTTTTTTTGGTCTTTTTCTCATTTGATCTCCTTGAAAACAATGGTTTTTTTCCCCCCATAATCTTGGCTTCATGATCTATATCAAATGTTTAAAGGAAGTGTTACAGAACAAGAACATCAAGGTATAGAAGATACTAGAATACTTTCATAGTCTTTAGAAATCTGATAAGAGCTTTCACTGTAATTTGTATCTGTGGAAAATATTTTCATTTCATTGTACAATTGCATGTGCGTACTTTTTAACAATCATAGTATGAAGTGGAAACAAATGAGAACAATCAAAAAGTAGAAAGTAGAAAATCAGTGTCAAAATTAATTTATTGAATACAGTGTCGCAAATAAAGCTCTGAAGAAGAAACCCGGTGTGCTCTACCAACCCGAGCTTTGGGGTTTTCAAGAAGCATTGTCAGCTTGATTATTTCCTTGTTTGTGAAGCTGTGATGGTAGCGTCACCATTTGCTAAATGGTTTGCTGTGAAGACTACTAGAGTACTACTGTCCAGGTTACATTTGAAAAGCTTCTTTGCCAATCCTCAGCGAATGTCAATTGCTCCCTGCTGGGCTCCAGGTCTGTGGTAGGAGAATGATTTTCAGTTTTCTATCTGTACTACCTGTCACTTTTCTTTTACTCTCACGGCTTTTGATGTAGTTTTATTCTACAGCTTCCTGTGTCACCATGTGTCGCTTGGCCTTTTGATCCACTGATTAATACTCATAACATTCCTTATCCCACGCACTCTAACCGGATACTGGCGTCACTTCAGAATGCCTTCCTCCCTCCCCTTTTAACCTTTAGCATTTCCTCTCACTTCTCCAGTCTGCTGTCATGTGTTATCAATGGCTCATCTGGGGCGTTTTCTTACCACTTTTACAACCGTTTCTCATGAAATCTTTTTATTCTCCATCTCTCAACCCCCGTACCGTTACACGCCCCCTGATCCTACCTGATATCCATGTAACCAAATAGCCCGTTTCTGCATTTGATTCTTATGAGTAGGATTTGCTATAGCAGATTTAATATTTTTAAAGTTGTTGTGACAGAGGCCATGTGGAATTCGAAGAGCACTCCAGACCTCCCTCAGGAGACCCAAGTTCTAGTCCTAGCATGGCTGTCTCCAGCCATGAGACTTGGGTTGAGTCATGGAAACCCTCTGAGCCTCACATTCACTGTATAGTTCTTCCAACTCTAAAGCTATGTAGAATCTTTGAGAATGAAAACACTGTTTTATTAATTGTGGAGTAGGAGTTCAGTGTGGCATTGTGGAAAGTCTTTGGAGCCAGGTTGTTGAATTTCGGTTTAATGACTTGGTCTGGTAATGATTTGCTTTGTCACTTACTTTTTCTGAGCCCCCATTTCCCCATCTATCAAATGGGGATGATAATATCTACCTTACAGAGGTATTTTAAAGATAGCATGAAGTGTTTAGTGTAATCTGAACAGATAATAAGAGTTAAGTCAATTGGTTACTATTAATTAATAATTTATATCTCTATAGCTACCACTATTCATTTTTCTGAGATTGTAAATGTATTTCTTGTTTTGTTTTTGGCATAAAGCAAGTAGTATGTTTCATCTCTCGGGGAAAGGGGGTCTTAGTTGGATGAAGAGGCACAGCATGGCCTTCATCACGGGGCCATTGTAGTAGGTTGGTGCAAAAGTAATTGCGGTTTTTGCCATTAAAGTAAGGCAAAAACTGCAGTTACTTTTCCACCAACCTAATATCTAGTGCCGTTTCCACAGTGTTACACAGCTCACCATGAGGGATCCCCCTTAGCCCTGCCGAAAGCAGAAAGGTAGATGCAACTACCACGGATAGTTTTTCAAAATAATATAAATTTCCAATATTTTTGTAATATTTCCGGTAACTTTGAGAGGGAGAAGTTGAGATCAGAAAATAGAGGTGGAGATGCCTCATTGCCTCCTTGATAAAATCTAGGTCCTTAGCATGAATGGCATGCAGGGTTCTTCTTGACTGTCTGGTGTCAACTCCCCCTGTGCCCACCTTGAAGGAGTGTAACTGAACTCCTTTGTGCTAAAATGTCTGTCCTCCACCTGCCTCCCTCCCCTCCAAGCCTTTGCATGTGTTTCTGTGCCTTTGTCTCTCCCCACTACAACCAGGGACATTGTTGAATGAATGAATGAATGGATGAATGAATGAATGAATGAATGAAGACTTGAATCATAATCGGAAGAGCCAAAATGCTTAAGGCTCATTTAAGTATCCAATGACTTGAGAGCCCATAACATCATGCCCTGTGCAATGGGCTATGACGTTGTGGGCTCTCAAGCCATCCAATACTTAAATCAGTATCACCCACTGGGTGAGATGTAGCCCCTGTCCTCAAGGAGCCCAGCCATGAGAAAACACACAGATACTGTGAAGACATAGGCAGACATAATGGGGACCACACAGGCAATGAGAGGCTTCAGAACCCAGAGGAAATTACTTTTTCAATGACAAAATGATACGCTCTTTTTACTTGCGTATGAGACCTGGAAGAGTGGAGAGCATGGCTGTAGAGCCAGTCCTGGATACACTCCAGCCCACCACCTGCTAGCTGTTGACCTGTGGCAAATTGCTTAACCACTCGGTTTTACTGAAGTGCCTTGAGAGCAATGCCTGACACATAGAAAGTGTTAGCTAGTCTGTTATTCTTTCTATTTTTAGAAGAAAATTACAGCAAAATATTTGTCTACATGGTTCCATCCTTATTATTATCAGAGTCATTTCCACTGAACAAACGTCCGTGCTACATCAAAGGTTCAGATTTAAAGTTGCAGCCTGTGCTCATTTCTAACTGAGCCTATCACTAGAGCAAAGCTTGCCAGCCTCTTTATCTGAGTGTGTCAACTCTTACCTTTTGTGTCTGTCTTCTTTCTGTGTGTCCTTGGTAAGTGTGCAGAACTTTGAGGTTTTCATCTAGCACAATGCCAGCGATGAACCTGGGCTGTCCTGCCTGAGTATCCTGCCTCTTCTTCCACAATCAGAAGTAAACCCCCAATCTGAAGTTCTAAAAATTAACCAACAATAACCCACAAATCATTTCTTTGTTGCAGGAACACTTTCAGAGTCCTTATGATTTTTTTTTAATTACCCTGAGCACAACTCTAAGATATAAACGATTTGGAAAACAAAGGGAAGAATTTCATGAGATCTAATTCTAATTACTTTTGCCATTAATTAACTTTGTTCTGTTATTTAGTTTGCTCTTCCTTGGGTGAACTAGAATGAGAATATCAACACTTGAGAAAGTTACCATTGGACATAGACCTAAGTAGGCTGGCAGGGTTCTTCCCATCTAAATTTAGGGTGACAATGTTAAGAAATTAAAATGAGAAAGTTATTTACATAAATATCACATCATTGCCAAGCATGGGATGGTGATTACCTGTTTTGTATGTTGTTAATTCTAATAATTTCTTTATATGTAGTATTTTACTTTAAGTCAGTTGAAATTTGTAAATAACATCATACTTGGGTTTCATTTATTTTTCTTTGCATGGGGTGTGGGCCAGGTTCAACTTGTTTTAGGCTATACAAAGTCTGATGTCTGAATAAAAAAAATTAATATATAATTTTCTTTTAAGTAACAGTTGATATTTACTAATTTTCCATTTGCTTCTCTGTATTATGGCATATATAATTAATACTTTATATAAATGGTCATGACTATAGTTATGTAAAAATAAGTGTGCTGTGACTGGCAGTTGAATTTTATTTTTAGTTGCCTTTTTTTTTTCTTTTATAGCTTTTCACCTCTGGTTCCTACATCTGGATTGTAGCCATAAGTGGACTTGTAAGTGTGACTACCCTTTTACACCCAATTCTCTCTCTCTCCTGTAAAAACATTAGGAAAATTGTCCTATTTAGATTGTGCGTCATATTCAACTGTCTCACCATTCTTTTTTTTTGAGACAGAATTTCACTCTTGTTGCCCAGGCTGGAGTGCAATGGCTCGATCTCAGCTCACCACAACCTCTGCCTCCCGGATTCGAGTGATTCTCCTGCCTTAGCCTCCAGAGTAGCTGGGATTACAGGTGTGTGCCACCACGCCTGGATAATTTTGTATTTTTAGTAGAGATGGGGTTTCTCCATGTTGGTCAGGCTGGTCTCAAACTCCTGACCTCAGGTGTTCTGCCCGCCTCAGCCTCCCAAAGTGCTGGGATTACAGGCATGAGCCGCTGCACCCGGCTCTCAACATTCTTTTAACCCATGGCAGGTCTGGCTCAATGTTACTTCTGTGGTGATTAAAAAGGGCCAGTCACGGCCAGGCGCAGTGACTCACGCCTGTAATCCCAGCACTCTGGGAGGCTGAGGCGGGCAGATCATGAGGTCAGGAGATCGAGACCATCCTGGCTGACATGATGAAACCCCATCTCTGCTAAAAATACAGAAAAATTTGCTGGGCGTGGTGGCAGGCGCCTGTAGTCCCAGCTACTCAGGAGGCTGAGGCAGGAGAATGGCGTGGAACCCGAGAGGTGGAGCTTGCAGTGAGCCGAGGTGGCGCCATTGCTCTCCAGCCTGGGCGACAGAGTGAGACTCCATCTCAAAAAAAAAAAAAAAAAAAAGGCCAGTCACAGGGAAAATTGAGACAAAGGAGGCCAGTTTGTGCTTTCAAGGTAATTTTGATGAAAGTTTTAGCTGGGCTTGTCAGTGTTGTTTTTAAATCATAGAAAAAAAAAAAGCCTGAAAATGAAGAAGTTGGACTTACTAAAAATAAGGAGAGATAGTCTGCTCATTTTGTAAAAAGACATTGTCACACGAGGGAAAAAAATAATGCCAACTGGAAAGTCAGGTGGGTTGGACCTGACCAAAGTCTCATCATGGAAGAAGGGAATGAACCAAGCAACCTCAGTATGTTTGCTGGAATTTTTTCATCTTGTCTATGCTATTGTATTTTAATAATAAGCGTTTGTCCTAAATTCTCTGTGAGGTATTAAAAAAAATTAGAGCATGAAGTGGAGTTTTATTCTTCATCCATGACTTAAATTTAAACCTCCAGATTTATAAAAATAAATTTTAACTAGCGGTTATAGAGCATAGATTTTATTTCTTTCTTAGAAAAGACTTAAATGACAGAATGGATTCATAATAATACACATTTCACTGCAATCACTGTACACATTTCAAATAAATTATCACTATCCTTGTTTCTTGGGTGAATGACTGGTATTTGGGGCTAGTGTGTCATCCTGTACGCCTGCTTACCCCTCTTCTTCCTTTAAGCTCTCTGTATTATTCCTTTTCTGTGTTCATTCTTTGCTTAAAATTCACGCCTTTGTTCCCCACAGCTGATATGCTTGCAGCCAATATTCTGGGGCTCCAAGTCACTTTGTTTTCTCCTCCCTAAAAATTTTCACATCTACCCAGATACCTGATTTGGCTTCAGGACCACAGAGCTAAACCCTATTGTGAAGTCTTCAAAACACCTAAGCTATCCGTCTGGTATTCTTGAGACTTGTGGTGGCTTAGGGCCATCCTGGGGTTAGACTGATTCTCTGGGACACAGGTGCCAGACTCCCCCAAGTCTAGGCTCACCCAGTTAGAACTGTTGCGTGACTGAGGAAGACTTAACCAGCCTGAGAACAGCAAAGAAGGAGCTCATTGCTTTGATCATGAGAGATGCCTGAGGATGTACTGTTTGTTCCATGGCATATTTGTTTCACTTAGCAGTAATGGTTTTGAGTTCTGTTTTAAATATTTTCCAAAAGCATTCAAATATTGAAGTACCTTATTGTATACGATTTCATTGTGTTAGTTACTATTAATTCTTTTACTCTCCATATTTGTCCCCTTCCTTAGTAACTCTTATGTGACTCAGTTTTTTAAAACACATTCCATTTTCTTTCTTTATTCTTTTTTTAGACTCCTAGCTTTAAGTGCCTGCTGTCTCCTCAGAAAGTTGCATTGTGTGACATTCAGTGCACTAAAATTGGAGGTTGCATTTTTCATCTCTTTATAGTCTTTTTAAAATCTAAAATTATATGTTATGATTATAGTCTTTTCCGGTACACATGTTTAACAGGTAGTGGGGTACCTGTTTTAACTTTTTAAAAGGAATCAGACGTTTAAAATAAAATTCTTGACCAAAAAAAATCCCTTGTTTCAGAAGGGTGAATAGAATTACAGTGTGTTTGGAATATAATTCAAAGATAATGTAGCATTTTAAAGAACCCTACTAATAATAAACATTTCTGAGCCTTTTACAGTCATTGATTCAGCCAAAGTTACCGGCCTTCTACTATGACAAAAAATCTGATAAATCTTCATATTAACCTTGTTCTTTATTACTATTTTACCATAATTAGATGACTGTTTATTTAAAATAATTAATATTCATGAATCATGGCCAGTTTTCCTATGTTCCTATACCATAAATGTTGGTGCTTGTTTTGAACCTAAGGAACATTTTCTTTCTTTGTCTAGAAAATTCTCATTTTTATTATGAAATATTTACTGTGATGTGGCATACTTTAGATAAGGAAGATTGTAAAAGACAATATCAGTATTATTTGTGAGTGTTTGATTTACACACCACTGACTATAGGATCCAAGCCTGAGATTCACAAAGCCACAGTCTGCCTATTCCAGATGTCTCTTGCTCAACATGACTTCCCCTCTTCCTTTATAGATCAAGTGACTTCCCTTTTTGGGGAGATATTTATGCTAAATAAAATACTAACAAAATAAAATTCTTACTATGCAAAAGAAATGCACAGATAATTATAATTATAGATGATATTCAGTGTTTTGGGGAATGTTACAAAACCTGTTGATGAGATTTCACATTTTAGTATTGAAACCAGTAATTCACTTAACCATGTGTGTTAAGCAATGATTTTATTTCATTCTGGCAATTAATGTGGTTTTTAAGAAAAAGAGTATTTTTTAAACAAAGATATTTGTATGAAACATGAGTAATTTGTTATTTGCTGTCATAGAAACCAAAAACTTTACTCATGCTTTTCTGGAAAGCTGCCAACTTTGGATTGAGCTTATTTTATTTAGCTAGGTACTGGTTGATTTATTTTGTTTAGGCTAGCTTTTTTGTTTTGGAGACAGGCTCGCTGTGTCACTCAGGCTGGAGTGTAGTGGCATGATCTTGGCTCACTGCAACCACTGCCTCCCGGGTTCAAGTGATTCTCGTGCCTCAGCCTCCCAAGTAGCTGGAATTGCAGGTGCACGCCACCAAGCCCGGCTACTTTTTTTGTATTTTTAGTAGAGACGAGGTTTCACCATGTTGGCCAGGCTGGTCTCGAACTCCTGACGTCAGGGGATCCATCTGCCTCAAAGTGCTGGGATTATAGGCGTGAGCCACCGTGTCTGGCCTAGGCTAGTTTTTAATCTCTCCTCGGTGTCCCTTATTCTTGCATAATTATAGATGTCTTTGAATATATAACTTTAAAATATTCCACTGATTAAAATAGAAGGTTGATAAATTATGTCAGTACAGTATTTTACTAGGTAAGTTGACCACTTTTTATCTTCAGTGATATCACAGAAAATAACTAAATCATTTTTCTGAGTTGAGGGAAGACAGTTTTTAGCTTACAGGAGCAATAGTAAGTTAGTTTGCCCAGGATGGCTGTCAGACCTCAGTCCTATTTTGTTATCCAGTAGAGACTCCAGCTGCTGCCCAGGAAAGGTGAGGGGGATTCTCTTGTACTTAAAGATGACTGTAAGATTATTCACATGTATCATTGATAAATGTTTTTGTGTTACCTTTTTCCTCATTTGACAGTTCTGATTTTTAATGCAAACATTTAGTATTTAAAATAGGACTTTTCATGAAATGTTGCAAAATTGTAATTGGAAAGCTTGGCTATTACAGCCAAGTGACATATATCAGTTTAAACAAATACTTCAACATTTCAGTGACCGTATCAACTGTTCTTCTAGATGTCTGGTGAGAGACCTTCAAAAATTGAAGTCAGTCTTTACATATTCATAATTCCACTAATTTTCTTACACATTAATACTTTTCCTTAAAGCATTGCTTACTTACTGAACTTCATTTAAATTCTTCTTGTGGTTCTGCAGAGAGCTTTTGAGCCATCTACATCTCAGAACTTCTTCATTTTCTACAGTTTTATGAATCATAGTACTGAGTCATTACCACAGGGATGCACCCTAATTCTCAAAAGCCGAGGTCTCAGGACTGATCTGATTCTGGCATGATTAAAATAGAAAGAGCCTTCTTTTGCCAATTTTCTTTTTACAGTTCACACATTTATCTTTACTTGACCCTCTTTTAAGCTGTTTGAGAGTGAATTAACAGGCCTATATTCCTCAGACTTCTCCCTTCAACGCAGCCCTTCACTGTACCCATTTCCTGCATTCGTTACTTGTCATGTACAGTATATCAGACTTTGATTATCTCTGATCCAGCAGCCTTAGTGTGGAAAAAAAACAATCTGTTACACCCAAAAGTAAGATTTGGGACTTCAAATGTGGTCTGAGTTTGGATTGTTTTCTGTAAGGAGTGGGGATCTTTAAAGCACTTCAAGAAGAAACACTTTACGATGGTGCAAGATTACAGAAGCCTTATCAGGGTTCGTAGATCATAGGACAGGGGTAGGGAAAATGAGCCATCTGGAGGGAGTCAAGACAGCGCATTTGCGGGCTGTGATTTGCCTTTCTCTCTTCCCTCTGTAGTACTTTTAAAGACAAACAAAAAAACCCAAACCACTGTCTTAAAGTAACTGTGAACAAATGGAAACAGCATAACCTGCTGTGGAAGCATAAGCATCTTTAGAGTATGTTTTGAGGCCCTGGCCTGCTTCTGGGCGAGGGATGGTAGGTGTGAGTTCCTCTGCGCCGCCTTTGCTTGTGCCCAGCTCTCTCTTCTCTCCGTGCTTCCTTTTCTCCTATTTAACCTTTTTTCCCTTAGATTGCTTCTCCATTGACCAAAGAGTGGTATAGGTAGCAGCTCAGATAACTCCTCTGATGCACAAGCCTCCCAGTTAAACTTACTTTAGAGATTTGGATTATTTTCTAGTAGTTCATTGAAAATGAGGACAGGAACTGCAAAGAAAAATCAAGGCTAACCAGATACAGTGGCTCATGCCTGGAATCCCAGCACTTTGGGAGACTGAGGCAGGTGGATCGCTTGAGCCCAAGAGTTCAACACCAGCCTGGCCAACATGGCAAAACCCTGTTTCTACAAAAAACAAACAAACAAACAAACAAAAATTTCAAGGCTGACCAAAGCCATGAGGGTGATGGGACTTGTGAAAGGACCACATGTAGAAGTTGAAGACAAGTAGCAGGTTCTTAAGAAGCATCCAAATTTGGAGGGTGCCTTATAATTAAAATAGCAAGTGTGATGTCAGTGCTTGTCCAATGTACACCCCACACACACTCACATTCACGTTGACTCATCCATATACACTCCCTTTTCTCCTTTTTCCTCCCTCCCTCTCTATGCTACCTTTCCCACTCCTGACCACAGGGAGCCAGGACTAACTGGAAGAAGCCTTCTATTAATATATTCTTCCTTGTGGCAATTGCAACTCAGGCCCAGGATGACAAATGGTGTCTTAGGCCATTGTTAACACAGGGAGGTAGCGACCAGTTGACGTGTGATTTTTAAATGCTCAGTGCAGAATAAATGAAATGATGCCATTGTCTTAATAAAGCTGGCAGATAGAATTGCCTTATAAAATTTATAAAAATAGCTATAAAATTTTATTATTGCAACTTATGTTCTACCTGTAGGCAAAAATCTAGCCTCCTTTCAAAATGCGACCTCCTCACCTACCCCTGTCACTTCTGTGAACCATACACTCCAACTACACACAATCCATTCCCAAACATCCACTTTCAGGATTCTGTATGATTGTGCAAACAAGTATTTTTCTTTAACAAACACACAGCACTTAGTATGTACCAGACACTTGTGGTAGATTTTTTACTCTAGTATTTTTGTTTGTTCAAATATATTTGGTCAAAATATGTTCTGCCCCTCTCTACTGAAGCCCTCCCTATAGGGCCTCTGCATGCCCTGTTGACATCAGGTTTTGTTGTTTGACTTACACTAGCCACTAAAATATGAACAGCAGTGACAAATGCTTCATCCAAGCAGAAGCTTGAAGAGCCACTGCCTGGTTCCACCATTGCTCTGTCCCCTTTGCCATGAGAAAAGCAGGGCCCGGAGAGGGGCAGCTCCTCAGACTCCAGAATGAAGAAGTCAAATGGAGCAGGGCTGTACCAACATGTAGCATGAACAGGAAAGAAATCTTTGTTATAAGCTACTGAAATTTGATAATTTGTTACCACAGTATAACTTAGAAAAAGCTGACTAATAGTACTCTTTTCTAAGCACTTTACAAACATTATTTTAATTAGCCCTCATAAAAACCTGAGGAACTACGGAATATTCTCCCTATTATAGATGAAGAAACTGAGGCACAGGGAAATTAACTACAGTCATGCACTGCGTAACAACGTTTTGATCAACAACAGAGTGCGTATTCAGTGGTGGCCCTGTGGATTCTAATGGAGCATAGGTAGAAACCTGGTGTATGGCACTCAGTGTTGGCACTGCAGATCAAGTAGGGGAAATGACTGATATTCAGTCATGGTGCCAGAACACTTGATTTTCTGTATGAAAAAATATATATAAATGAAAATATATATCCCATCTAGGTTTGTGTAAGTACACTCTGTAATGTTCACACGATGACCAGATCACATAACACATTTCTCAGAATGTGTCCTTATCATTAAGCAACACATGACTGTAATTTGCCAAGAACACCAGGTAGCTGAAAAGTAGTGGAGACAGGATTCAAATGTAGGTAGCATAACTTTAGTGTCTATGCTCTTTTTTTTTTTTTTTTTTTTTTGATACGGAGTCTCTCACTGTCACCCAGGCTGGAGTGCTGTGGCGCGATCTTGGTTCACCGCAAGCTCCACCTCCCGGGTTCACACCATTCTCCTGCCTCAGCCTCCCAAGTAGCTGGGACTACAGGCGCCTGTCACCATGCCCAGCTAATTTTTTTGTGTTTTTTGTAGAGACGGGGTTTCACCGTGTTAGGCAGGATGGTCTTGATCTCCTGACCTCGTGATCCACCCGCCTCGGCCTCCCAAATTGCTGGGATTACAGACATGAGCCACAGTGCCCGGCCTATGTCTATGCTCTTAAAAGATAGCTTTGCATAACCACATGCAGTTTCTTCCAACTATATCCCCTATTTCACTCACATATCCCTTCTTCTAGGAAGTCTTACTCATTTAAGTCCTGGCCCAACCCTTTTCCTGAGTCAGTCCTGACTTTATTTATGAGAGCTCTCCTCTTAAATTTTTAAGTGACAGTTTATAATTGTTGACTATAGGTATGGGGTTGTGCAGCGAATCTCTGGAGCTTATCGCTCTTGCTTAACTGAAACTTTATGCCTGTTGATTTTTAACTCTCCTTTTCCCTCTGCCCCCAGCCCCTAGCAACCACCATTTTACTCTCTGATTCTGTGAAATTGACTATCTTATATACCTCATATAAGTGGAATCATGCAGTATTTGTCTTTCCGTGACTGGCTTGTTTCACTTAGCATATAGGTCCTCATGTTTCATCCATGTTGTTGCATATTACAAAATGCCCTTCTTTTTGAAGGGCTGAATAGTATTGCATTGTATGCATGGACCACATTTTCTTCATCCCTTTGTCTGTTGATGGGCACTTAGGTTGTTTCCCCATGTTGGCTATTGCAAATAACATGGTGATGACATGAGAGTGCCGAGACCTCTTTGAGATCCTGATTCATTTCTTTTGGATGTATACCCAATAGTGGGATTGCTGGATCATATTAGTTCTATTTTTAATTTTTTGAGGAACCTCCATACTGTTTTCCATAGTTGCATCATTTGCATTTCTGCCAACTGTGCACAGGGGTTCCAGTTTTCCCCACATCCTAACCAACACTTGTCTTTTGGTGTTTTTTGTTTTTTTATAATAGCCATCCCAGCAGGTGTGAGGTGATACCACATTGTGGTTTTGATTTGCATTTCCCTGATGATTAGTGACATTGAGCATTTTTTCATGTACCTATTGGCCATTTGTATGTCTTCTTTGGAGAAATGTCTGTTTAGGTCCTTAGCCCATTTTTAAAACTAGGTTATTAGTTTTTTGGTATTGAATTGTAGGAGAGTCCTTTTAGTTTATAGGAATTCTATGTTATTCTTCATAATCTTCAGTGCCTAGCACAATGTCTACTTGATACACATTCTAAAAATAATTTTTTAGTTTAAAAACTTAATATTATCAAAAAATAATTTCTGTACTATAAAACATTATACTACATGATTGTCAGGATGCTTACAATGTGTACTGCCTTACTAGGTTCTTGATGTGTTCTCTATAGTGGTAGAATACCTGGACTGCCTATTTTAAAGATAGGGAGGCTGAGTTTCAGGTTGCATGAATGATGGGTGGTAGAACCAGGACAAAGGCCAGGTGTTCTGCTCCAGGCCCAGTGAGTCCAGCACCTTACACTGCACATCTCAAGGCTCTCATCCATGTCTCTTCCAGCCACGAGATGCACAGACACAGTTATTCTTAAAGTTTCCCTTAGCCACACCACTAGGATGAGGCCCCATTCATCAGCAATGGAGACATGATTCTGGAGGGCAATCTTGGGTATGAAGAGGTTTTCAAAGTCCCCAGAGGCCCTGAAAAACACAATCGACAACTTTTTGCAGCCTTCTGTGTGCTGACCAATAGCCAAGGAAAATTTTTTCTCATTAGCAGACTCTATTTTCTTCGTAATATGAAGAATGTGGCCTATAGCTATGCTTTCTCTTCTAAAATCATCAAGATATTTAACTGGTCCTCTCTCCATGCTTGGTTAAAAACTCAGCTTAAACCTCACCTTCAGCAAACTCACTGTCTTGTATTTCTTGCATTGTCATACTCAATCTGAAGTAAAGAAACATTCAGAGAAAACTTAAAGGATAATTTAAAGTATATTAGGCTGGTATAGTAGTGTTACTGAATAAAGGAAAAAGAAGTAGAGATAAGGAAGAGGTTGCCAAGAAACACCCGTACTTTTACATTGTAGAGATTACTGGTAGATTATCATGTCCGTTGCAGGACAGAACATTTTCCCATGGGTCTTCACATTGTCTTTTTATCAGGAAATTAAAATTTTTTCATCAGTTTTGATTATCTCTTTAAACTATATGTAGTTTTGGTTTTTGGTTTTTCTCTCTCTCTCTGTGTGTGTGTGTGTGTGTTTAAGTGTCCAGTGTTTGTCTTCGGGGACTGACTGTGTTGATATTTTCCTTCTGTCTTGATGATAGCCTCTGGGAAGGGACTATGGTAAAATTAACATGTCGTTTTGAATTTATTTATTATTTATAAACAACAGCATAGGATGTTATCAAAGGTCTTCCATGTTAGCTTATATTGATAGCTGAGAACATTTTCAAAGCAGCAGAAGTTTTTTGTTGTTAAAAGCTTGTTTTTGTTCTGCTAAAATCCTACCTCTTATAAAATTTAAAAGATTTATGTATCTATTTGAGATCTTTCTAGATCTTCACATTCTTTTTTATTAAAAGATTCTTTTTCCCTTTTTTTGTTTATTAAGATGTTATTTACATACAATAGAACTCACCAATTTTAAGTGTATAGTTCGTTGAACTTTGGTAGTTATATACAGTCATGTACTCACCACCATAATCAATATGGAAAGCAGTCTCCTGACCATGAATGGTGGCTTCATGCCCCATGCTCTTTCCCCACATCCAGCTGCCAGCCGCAGGTAACCACTGATCTTCATGTAATTATAGTTTTGCCTTTGCTGGAATTTCATATACTTAGTATTGTATAATATGAAGTATTTTGTGTTTTACTTCTTTCACTTGAACATGAAAATTTCACCAATTTTTAAAATTAATTTTTCATTTATTATTGTATTAAGTAACAATTAATAGATTAAGTATTAATCTATAGTATGGATGCACCATACTTTGTTTATCCATTCACCAATTGGTGGACATTTGAGTTGCTTCCAGGTTTGGATTATTATGAATAATGCTGCTGTGAACATCTGTGTACACATTTGTGTGTGGACATATGTTTTCCTTCTTTAGGAACGGAATTGCTGGGTCATATGGTAAGTGTATATTTGACATTAGGAAATACTACCATGTTATTTTACAAAGTGGCTCTACCATTTTGCATTTCCACCATCGATGTTTGAAACTTCCAAATTCTCTACACCCTTGTCAACACTTGGTATTGTCAGTTGTTTTAGCTTTAGCCGCTCTATTGGGTGTGTAGTGGTATCTTGTGGTTTTAATTTGCATTTCTCTAATGATTAGTGATGTTGAGCATTTTTTTTCATGTGCTTAGTGGTCATTTTCATATCTTTTGTGAAATATCTGTTCAAATCTTTTATCCATTTTGTTCATTGGGCTATTTATCTTCTAACTGACTTAAAATAATTCTTTATATATTCTAGATATAAGCTCTTTGTTGGACATGTTTTATGAAAATTGTATTCTAATTTGTGGCTTGTCTGTTACCAAAAAGCAAAATTTTAAAATCTTGATTAATTCATTGTTAACTGGTTTTTAAAATAGTTTGTGCTTTTGATGTTCTATTTAAGAAATCTTTGCTAATCCAATGTCACAAAGATTTTCTCCTATATGTTCTTCAAGAATTTAATAGTTTCTGCTATTACATTTAGGTCTGTGATCCAGTTTGAGTATAATTCTTTTGAGGTAAAGGGTAAGATTTATTCTTTTCCACACAGATACTCATTTGTTCCATTACCAGTTATTGAAAAGACCCTTTTCTCATTGCATGACCTTGGCACCAAAACTCAGTTGACCAGTATAGGTTTATTTCTTGACTCTTTTCTTTCCCAGTTATCTATATGTCTGTCCTTACGCCAATACCACACTGCACTGATGACTACAGCTTTATGGTAAGTCTTGCAATCAGGCAATATAAGTCCTCCCACCTTGTTTTTCTTTTTTAAAACTGGTTTGCTTATTTTAGGACACTGACTTTTAATATACACTCTACAATCAGCCTGTAATTTCTTCAAAAAAAGGGGAAAAGAGTTAAGATTTTGCTTGTAATTGCGTTGAAACTTTAGATCAACTTGGGAAGGATTGCCATGGTGATGGTTTTTAAATGTTTCCACAGATTCTTTTACACATCAAGAGGTGGAGCTTATTTTTCCTCTGCTAGCATTTGAGCTGTACTTGGTGATACTTATAATGAATAGAATGTGGCAAAAATGATGGAATGTGACTCCCAAGAGCAGATCATAAAAGACACAGCTAGTCCTGTGTCTTTACTCTCTCCTGGATCTCTTGCCCTTGGGGAGCCCATCTACCATGCCATGAGGACTCTTAAGCAGACCTGTGGAGAGGTCCACATGGCCAACAATCGTGGCCTCCTGCCAACAGTCAGCACTAACTTGCTAGGTGTGTTTTTGAGCCACCTTGGAAGGTTATCCTCCAGTGCCAGTCAGGTCTTGAGATGAGTGCAGATAGGCTGACACCTTGACTGACTACAGCCTCATGAGAGACCTTGAGCCATAACCACTCAGCTAAGTTACTCCCACATTCCTGCCCCCACAGAAATTGGATAATAGATGCTTATTGTTTCAAGCCACTGAGTCTTAGGTAATTTGTTGCTCAGTAATCAACAGCTACTACAACAATCTTAACAGTATTGAGTTCTCCAATGCACGAACGTGATAAGTCTCTACGTTTATTTAGCTCTTCTTTAATTCCCCTTTGCAATTTTTAAATTTTCAATGTACAGGTCTTGCACATCTTTCATTAGATGTATTTCTAAGTAATTCTGGTATGTTGATGCTATTATAAGTGGAATTGGTTTTATAAATGTTTTCCCAATTGTTTGTCACTAGTGTGTAGAAATACAGCTGATTGGCTGGGTGTGGTGGCTCACAGCTGTAATCCCAGCACTTTGGGAGGCCAAGGTGGGCTGATCATGAGGTCAGGAGTTCGAGACCAGCCTGACCAACATGGTGAAACCCCATCTCTACTAAAAATACAAAAATTAGCCAGGCTTGGTGGCGGATGCCTGTAATCCCAGCTATTCAGGAGGCTGAGGCAGGAGAATCGCTTGAACCTGGGACGCCGAGGTTGTAGTGAGCTGAGATCATGCCACTGCACTCCAGCCTGGGTGACAGAGTGAGACGTCATCTCAAAAAAAAAAAAAAAAAAGAAATACAGTTGATTTCTGTATTTCGTTCTTGTGTCCTGCAACTTTTCTAAATGTGTTTATTATTTCTGGTAGCTTTTCTGTGGATTCCTTAGAGTTTTCAACATAGGTGGTCTGTGTCATCCAGAAATAAGTTTTATGTGTTTATATGCTTCTTCTTTCCCAATTTGTACCTTTTATTTTTCTTTATTATACTAGCTAGGACCTCTAATAGAATATTAAATAAAAGTGGTGAATGGATATCCTTGCTTCTTCCTGGTCTTAGATGGAAAACGTTGAGTTTTTCACCATTGAGGCTGTATCTATAAATCCACAAATCTTTTAGAGCTTCACATTCACTTTTAGTTTGTTATTTTTCATCAAAGGTAAGAAATGAGTTTCAACTGAAATAAGCCCATATTTTTATTAATTTTTCATTTTTTGAATCCATTTAAGAAAGTGCATGTAACTTTTAAAGGAGGATGGTCCGCTTGTTAAAATGGATATTAGAAGGTGTTTGTTTACATATAAGAACCTGATGATGGTTTTCTCCATGTGCTAGAGACTCTAGTTGCCTTCCAGTATATTTTTTCCTTCATAAGGGAAGGTTCGTTTTATTTGAGCCAGCAATGCCTCCAGCTGAGATCACGTATCTCTTATCCTTCGCCTCTCAGTCTGACCACTGGTCTAAGTCCTGGCGTCCTGGCCATTGAGCTGTAAACACACATATTTGTGTGACTTCTGAGAAGGCTCCTTAAAGTCGCCTTTTGTCCTTTCTTATTTTTTTTCTTCTGGCTGCTTTGACTACAGTTAAGATGTTTGGAGCTTTTTAAATATGAAGGTGAAATAAACTTCTCTTGTATTTAAGCCACTGTTGTTTGAAGTTTTCTACTTAGCATAGTTGACCTAATCCTCCTGATGCATGATTTCCCAAAAGGAAAAGCCTAGAGCAGGTTTCTAAGACAGTATGTGAGAAACGAATAATCTGTGATTAGTGTTATTACTTCTGTCTCTATTCCAATTTGGTTTTCCAAGAATCAGAAGGATATCCAGCATTTTAATTGGGTACCTCAAAATCTTTTAATTTAGTATCATTTCTATTCCCTCATATGAGATAGAAAAGCTATAGAAAGTTCAATCTGAATCACTTTTGCACTTAAAGAATAGCAAGTCTCAGAGTAACTGCCAAAGGCACATGGTTCTGTCTGTCATGAAAAGAATAATCTTTTCAAAATGTATGACAAATGGCAGAAATAACTTTGGGAATCCCTAATTTGCATTCACATTCTTGGGGTAATAAATTAGGGAATGTACAAAGTTCCCTTATGCTTTCTCTAACATTTTCATTGGAGAAGAAGGAATAGGAAAATGTAAGATGCATCAGGGCAGGGATTTTTCTGTTTTGCTCCTTACTATGTTTCAGTGTTTAGAACATAGGCTGGCACGTATTAGCATTGAGTAAATATTTGTGGAATGAATAAATGAGGTCTCGGTGGGTCTGGTTACCACAGGCCTTGAGGGCACATGAAGTCTATGTGCTGGGGCTCAGTTGCAAGGGGACATTTATTCCTTTGGCTGTTCCTTGTCATGCAGAGGCAATATCATGCCCCTGGGAAAGCAGCCCCTAGGTTTGTCCTGTTGTCCCAGTAGATGGTCGGTTTCTTGAATGTGGGACCGGTGGTTGGCACAGCTTGCCTTGTGGGTTTTTGTTCAGCCACAGTTGGCCAAAGAAAGCAATCGACACCTGTGTGTCATTGCAAAGTCATAGTTTCTAACCTTTGCCTGTTGTGGTTTCAGGCTAGTACTAAACAGGACCAGAGGACAGTTGAAGTTTACTCTCTATAATCAAGAGTGTTTTGCATGTTTTCTACCCAGCAAATTAAATTATTTGCCTGATGAGCATTATTTCATGATTCCCTTCCTAAAAGGATGAAGCATCTGGAAAATCTGAAGAACCGTGTAATTGACGTCCATGTTTATTAGTGGACTAAGAGAAAATCATTTCCTCTTGCCTTACATTCTCAGACTTACAGGGTCACAGCTTCTGCTGTTGGCATATGGGGGGCTGCTCCCTCTGACCTGGAGCCAGCGTGGGTCTTTGGCCTAGACTCTCAGCTGGACGTGGGCCAGGGGTTCTCTGGTTGCGTGACCATGTGTCCCCTTTCCTAGCCAGGGTTCCTGCTTCCTGTTGCCCAAGTGCTCAAACTCCAACTCGAGCTTGTCTTCCCGGGCATATGCTCTTTGTTCCTTTTTGCTTTATCTGATCGTCCTGCACTGACCCCTTGCCTGCCGGAGACTGCGCCACTGCTGCCTTCTTTTTCAGTGGCCCCTCCGTTTGCTCTTTGGCTTACCCAGGTCTGAGGGCCTGCAAGACCTCCTTGGTAGAGTTCCCCCAGCCCCCTGACACACAAATCCAACATATGGTCTTTTTCTAAAGCCTGCTTTTCAGAGGGTCTATGGATTTCAAGAAAACTCGCTCATTCAGAAGACCTAGTGTAAAAAAGGTTTATGAGATCATGAAAATTAGGTCAGGCATGGTGGCTCACACCTGTAACCCCAGCACTTGGGGAGGCCAAGATGGGAAGATCACTTGAAGCCAGGAGTTTGAGACCAGCCTGAGCAACATGGTGAAACCCCGTCTCTGGGGGGGGAAGAAAGAGAGAGATAATGAAAATTAAAATTAAAAATAATGTGTGAATGTAACATAGTATTATAATAACTGATGCTCTCTAAAAGCTTTTGGCAGTAATTAAGTGAAATCTAATGTAATTATTTTTGTCCCATCTTTCCATAGACTAGGGTTTTAAGCACTTTATATTTTAATCCTTTGTGAAAATCTAAAACATTGTGCAGTAGCACTTTATTTGACAACTTGAGGTCATGCTGGCGTGCCAGTGACATGGACAAGTGAACTCTTTATCTTTTATCATATGGGAAAGTATAAACTTGGGACCAAAAAGAATGCATAACTTTCCAATTTCCTTTAAAAGGATCTAAGATAATGTATTTATTTTTGTGGAGCATTTGTTAATTCACCATTCACCCAGGAAATACTTACAGTACTATGTGCCAGACACTGTTCTAAGTGCAGAGGCCAAGTAGTGATCAAAAGCAACCCAAATCTTCCCCATTCAGAGTTTACATTTAGATAGATGGGATAGAAATGTAAGCAGATGAACACAAAAGCCCTACTTCCCTGCCAGAATTTGCAGTCCTATTTTTGTTTATTACTGGGTGGGGTATCCATATTCTTCACAGAATGGTCCTGCTGAAATTGAATACATAGTTTTGTGAGTGTATACTCACGTCTGATTGTCATTGTGGGGGCAGGGAAGGCATGGACAGGAGAGTGAAGATCTTTAACCTTCCTCAGTTTCTTAAGGGAGTCTGTGGCCTCCCCCCCATAAATTAAGAGCTTCTACCAAATTGTGAACTCCTTAAATACTGGCAAAAACTATGCATTTTCATTATATTTTTCTTAATTTATTTAAAAACCTGATTTAAAAAAAATTAGCAACAAGATCTTGCTCCGTCACCCAGGCTGGATGCATTGGTGCAATCATAGCTCACTACAACCTCGAATTCTTGGGTCAAGTGACCCTCCCACATCAGCCTTCCAAGTATCTGGGACTACAGGCATGCACCACCATGCCCAGCTAATTCTTTTTATTTATTCTTATTTTTTTTTTAGAGATGGGGGTCTTGCTCTGTTGCCCAGGCTGGTCTTGAACTCCTGGCCTCTAGTGATCCTCCTGCTTCAGCCTCCTAACATGCTGGGATTACAGGCGTGAGCACAGAAAAACCAACATTGTATTGTTGAGCTTTTAAGGTATATAGGTGTAAAATATGACAGAAGTAACGCAGTGGATGGGAAGACATTACATGGAACTGTAGTAAGTCTTAACCTTGTCAGTAGGTTCTTGGAAATTCCAACTTTAAGCAAAACATCATTCAAATAATGTCATTTCATTCAACGTCTTTTCATTACAGCATTGAGGAGACAAAATTATACTTTGTTTCAGTTAAAGTTGGAGTTTCCAAGAACCTATCAGTGAGTTAAGTGAGGACTTACTGTAGGGTCTTGCAAGCTTCTCCTGTTTTACATGAAGTAATTCAGTATTAACTCCAAATATATTATGCTCAATTTTGAATGCATATTATAACCTCTAGGGCAAATATGAGGGGGAAAATACAGTGATATATAGCTGAAAAAAACCAAAATACTAAATAATATTTGATAGCACAAAAGAACGTAGGAAAGGGGGAGTAAAGAGTAAGAAACAGATGAGACAGACAGAAACCAAATTGCAAAATCCAGCTATTCAAGCAAATACATTAAGTATGAATAATAGCTAAACACTCCAATCAAAAGGTAGAGATTGTCAGACTAATTTAAAAGAAAAAAAATTGCTATATGGTATCTACAAGACACACTTTAAATACAAAGACACAAAAAAAGCCTGAAATTAAAAGGATGAAGATATATTATGGAGACAGTAACCATAAGAAAGCTGAAATGGCTGTTTTAAGATTAGACAAAGTAGACTTCTCTATGAGTATTACTAAAAACACAGCAGAATGCTTTGTTATGACGAAAGGGTCAGTTGTGTTTGTGTGCCTAATAACAGCGTCCACAAACAGGAACAGCTTCTAGATATATGAAGTTAAAATAGCTAATGGGAGCAATGAACAAATCAACAATCACAGTTGAATACTTTGAGACCGAAAAATAAAAATGTTTAATTTTGTACTTCATTCAAATCTCACAGCTCTAATTTGTACTACATTTTTAATATTTTGTTATGTTTATAACATTTTGCTATCTTCTGCTGAATCAGCGTAATGCTGATATACACCCTATTTTCTGTTTTATATCAGATCTTCAGAAAAGGCATTTCTACTTCCTTGCCTCCAATTCATTACTGTTTTTTTTTTTCCATATTGACTTCATATGTCTCTCTTCATTAAAAATATATATTTGTTACAGAGAATGCCTCTGCCTACCCCCTACCCTGTCCCCCATCACCCCTCTACAGCAAAGACTGCTTTCTGTGATTCTGTAGTTACCGCAGACAGATGTGTGCACAAACGGCATAGACTATTATTTTGTTGTCTGAAATTTTGCAGGAAGATGAGCGCAACATGTGATACCTTCTATGTGTATTTTTCATTCCACTTTAAACACATCAGTACACGCACATGGAGTTCATCTGGATGGCTGTATAGTACTGTGTTGTATGAATAACCCACTCTGCAGCTGTTCCCCTCTTGGGGATGATTTGTTTCTGCTTCCTCTCTCTCTCATGCAGGGCTGCAGTGGAATGAGCCTCAAAGCTCTACTTGGTGTTGCCACATTGCTCCCCAGAGGCGCCATAGCTTCACCTTCCCTCGGGACTGTGTGAGAGTTCTCAGTTCCCTCCATCCTTACCAAAACCTCACACCTGGAATCCCAGCACTTAGGGAGGCAGAGGCAGGAGGATCGCTTGAGCCCAGGAGTTCAAGACCTGCCTGGCAACATGGCAACACCTCATTCTCCACAAAATGGAAAAAAAAAAAAAAGAGATAAAACTGGATGTTAGAGGAGCTTTACATTTTTGCCAGTTGCTGTATTTAAGATTGCTCATTTTAGATTTCAGAGTCCTAAAAACAAGTGAGGATAAACATCTTTTCATGAGTTTGTCAGCCATTTGAGTTTTCTCTTCTGAAATTACCTTTTCATATGCTTTTAAAACTGGGCTCTTTCTTACACATTCCTAGGGTTTCTTGATATGTTCTGAATGCTGCCTTGGTTGGCTGTATGAATTCTGAATACTTTCTTCAGGCCTCTTGTGTTTTCATTTCATTTATGGTAGCTTTTGGCATACTACAGCTTTTAAATTGTAAAGTAGACCAGTGTGTGTTTTCTTTTCTAGTTTGTACCTTATGTTTCTTAATTTAAAATATTTTGCCACCCCAGTGCCAAAAAGGTATTCCTTCTGTATTTTGTGCAGAAAGATTTACAATTTCATGAATTCTATTTGAGTTCTTATTCCATTGCAAGTTTACGTTTGGTGTCAGGAAGGGGCCCTGTTCTGTCTCTTCCTTGTGTATAGCCCATGTGCCCCTTCCCTCCCAATTTACCCATGTCTGCTGAATACCAGGTGCCCTTACACTGAGGATCCTATTTCTAGGCTCTTGTTCTCTTGGTCTATTTAAGTAACCCTAGATAAAGACCACACTGTTTTAGGTAGCCAAACTTTATAGTATGTCTTGAAATCTGATAGGACTTACGTTTCTTTAAAATTGCCTTGCCTTTTCTGGGTTTTTTATTTCTTTGTCTTTTAACTCTTAATTGTGATATACAACACAAACTAACTGTCACAAAGCCTTGCAAATCACTATAAAGCAAATATACCCATAATCCACCATGCAGGTACAGACCATGCCTGGCCAGCCCCGCAGCCCATGGTGCCCCCCTTCCTTCCCACCTCTCTTCCTCCTTCCCACCTCCCTCCTGTGACCCCTTCCCCTTCTTTCTCCCTCCCTTCTGTGACCCCTCCTAGCACACATAGTCATCATCTTTGCGCTTTCCTGTCTCGTTTTACTGCTTAGTGTGTGGTTTAGGTTCATTCATTCACAGAAGTGGAATCGTGTTTTCAGGCTTTGGGTCTGGCTTCTTTCTCCCAACATGGTGTTTTTAAAATGCAAACCTTAAATATTCCGCATGAATTTGAGGCTTGGCATTTACATTCCAACAAAACACCCTGTTAAGATTTTATTTTGAATGATATTTAATTTATGTATTAATTTGATGAAAATTGGTATCTTAAAAGTTTTGCATCTTCCTATTCATGGAACTGGTATCTTTATTATCACTAGGGTTGGTTTTGAAAAAATATCCCTTATTATCTTTTTCTTTTTTTTCTGTCAAGGCCTTATATATATATTATTTATTTATTCCCAATTATCTTACAGTTTTTCTTGCTGTTATTTGCTAACAGTTTATTTTTTCTTTCTAAACAGTCTGTATTTTATCCCTGGTTGCTTTTAAGGATTTCTTTCTTTTGTTTCACCACAGTGGATCTAGATGTAAATTTCGTTTTAGCATTCTTTTAGGGACTCTTGCCCTTTCATCCTAAGGATTTATATTCTTTCTTTATTCTAGAAAACTCTCAGCTGTTTATCTCTTTAAATATAATATCCTTTCCCCCATATTCCCTCTGTTGTCTTCTTCTGGAACCCCTATGCTGACAGCCGCATGAGATGCACATAATCTGCCTGTGCAGAGGCCTTGGCCTTCCCAACCCACATGGACCCTCCTTGGTTCATGCCCTACACAGCTTTTCCCTTCTCTCTGTGGAGGGGAGAAAGGGTACATGGAGCATGAGGAGGAACTGGGGTGCCTCTTACCCAGACTTAAGTAACCCTCTACTTCTCTCCTCCTTCCACAGGGCCTAGACCCTCTAGTCCAGGGGTATCTAGTCTTTTGAACTCTTCTGTGACACATTGGAAGAAGAATTGTCTTGGGCCACACATAATATACACTAACACTGAAGATAGCTGATGAGCTTTAAAAAAATTGCAAAAAAATCTCCTAACTTTTTTTCTTTTTTTCTTTTTTTTTTTTTTTTTTTTTTTTTTTTGAGACAGAGTCTCACTGTGTCGCCCAGGCTGGAGTGCAGCGGCACAATCTCGACTTACTGTAACCTCCACCACCCAGGTTCAAGCGATTCTTGTGCTTCAGCCTCCTGAGTAGCTGGGACCACAGGTGTGTGCCACCACGCCCGGCTAATTTTTGTATTTTTAGTAGAGACGGGTTTTTACCATGTTGGCCAGGCTGGTCTCAAACTCCTGACCTCTTGTGATCCGCCCGCCTTGGCCTCCCAAAGTGCAGGGATGACAGGTGTGAGCCACTGCGCCCAACCTTGTAATGTTTTAAGAAAGTTTATGAATTTGTGTTGGACCACATTGAAAGCTGTCCTGGGCCACATGTGGCCCACAGGCCTCAGGTTGAACAAGCTTGCTCTAGTCCCTGTGCTTTTCTGAGTCCCACAGGACTCTCTGCAGGCATTTGGACTTATATGCTGCTTATATGCAGAGTGGTTTATAATCACTTGATAAGCTTTCTATTTTGTTAGCATGGTTCAGGATTAGTTTCTGGTTTCATGGACCTTGGAGTTTGTTTCTGTTTTCATTTTCTTTGTCTTGTACTATTTTTGAGTAAAGGGGCACAGAAATTATTTGAAACCAGAAGTTGTCCACCATTCACTCTTCAGCCTACTACAGTCTGTCTTTGGTACCAAAACTGTTCTTGTAAACACCTTGTTTATCAAACACCTCCATTTGCAACATCCAGTGGCTAGTTCTGTCTTACTTATCAGCTGCATTAGATATAGCTGACCATCCCTATTTTAAAACACTTCTTAGCTTCAGTGATAACTAAACTCTATTTCCCTTCTCTTCACTGGCAGCCCTGTCTCAGATTTCCTTACTGGCGTTTCCTACTCTGTCTGTCCATAGAATATTTGTGCACTCCTGGATTCAGTCCTTAGTCCTGTTCTCTCTTCTGCTGTGTCTCCTCCTCCCCCCCATTTTATCTCCTCTAGTCCTGTTACCCTAAATGTCATATCATATCCAGTGACTCTGAAATCCTTATCTCGACCTTTTCCTTGAGTTCTAGAATTACATAGCCACCTGCCCACTCAGTAGCCCCCCAAGATATCTAATAGACACTCCCAAGCTCGGGCTGCGCAGCATCTGCTGCTTTCTCTGCCCAAAATGTTATTTCCCCAGTTCATCAAGTCACGGGCACCGCATCATCCTTAAGATCTTCGCTCAAGTATCACTTTCTCTGAGGGCTCTCCTGATGTCCCCCGCTGCCCCCAGAGTAGGTTCGTGCCCCATGTCACTTTATTTCCTTCCCAGAACTTGCCAGAAATAGTTTTATGTGTTGACTTGATTACTGCCTGTTCTCCACATTGACTGCTATAAGCCCTGTGAGAGTGGGGCCTTGCTTATCTTGTTCTTTGCTGTATTCTAAGTTCCCAGAACAGTGCCTGGTGTGTAGCACAGTCTCAAAGAATTCTTGCCAATTCATCAATTTAAATTTTATTTTTAAACATTGAAGTATACTTTTCTCATATTAGAAAGTTGTCAAATATGTTCTAATCTGATCTTCTAATCCTAAGAATCAAATTCACATCAAGATTTTTTTTTTTTTACAAAGGAATAGCCATAGTCATTTTTAACTAGAAAATCATAGGAAGCCTTGAGACTTCTGTAACCATACATTATAAATGACCTTCAAGATGAAGACAAGGTTGGTTTATAAATGGAACTAATATTGGTGAGGATTTTAAATGTCTAGAAAAATCAGTAGTTGAAAAACTGATTAAAACACTATGTAAATAAAAACCAAGATTTTAGATTGTGTTTATTCTCTGATAAATTGATCGTGTGACTGGGTCAGCTGAGACATGGCAGTTGTTTTCTGCTGGTGTCTCTGTGATGGCCATCTGCCAACAAAGGTAACCGCAGAGTCAGTACAGTGTGAAAGTGTTTCAATAATCAGATCTTTTACGGCTTTTTAAAAAATGAAGACAGTGTCTTGACAATCTTTTACCAGAACTTTGAATACTAAATGATTAGAATTTTGCTAGCTCTTCTAATTCAATAAAAAACAATTTTGTTTTACTAAGTTCAATTTTGTGTTGATTTGCACTGCTTAGTGTTCTGCAGTGTGGTAGAGGATTTTGCTTATTGCCTAACACTGCTATGACTAAGAAAAATACCGTGTGCAGTGTCTGGAGGCTGCTGATTTTTGAGTCGTGTACATTTTTTAAAATAATACTACATTTAAACAATCACATTGGACGTTTTTCTTCTAGATGTCCGGTCTGTGCTACGACAGCAAAATGTTCCAGGTGCATCAGGTGCTCTGCATCCCCAGCTGGATGGCAAAATTCTTTTCTTGGACACTTGAACCCATCTTCTCTTCTTCAGAACCCACCAGCGAAGCCAGAATTGGGATGGGAGCCACGCTGGACATCCAGAGACAGCAGAGAATGGAGCTGCTGGACCGGCAGCTGATGTTCTCTCAGTTTGCACAAGGGAGGCGACAGAGACAGCAGCAGGTAAAAGTGATAATAATCACTAAAAATTTAGAAATTCTCAGTGGCCCAAGCAAATCTTTCCTCTGTGATTGCATGTGAGATAGAGACTACATTTTATTCCAGTGCCTTGCAAGTGGATTTTGACATTTCCAAAGAGATTGTAGGTCTCTGTTAGTGGCCATTCTTAGTTTTTTAAAAAGGTAAAAAATAAATTGCAGCTGAAAGATTGGTCAAACTGGACATTCTTGTTCCACCTATATTAGATAAGCATGACTTCTTAGAGAAACACCAACCTAGTTAACAAGATGTGCTATTTATCTGTTTTTATAATCTTGTAAAAGCCACAGTGTCTTCCTGTTAAAATGCTAATCATATGCTATGGAGTGAAGAACAAATGTAAAATTTCTTGATTTTCCTTGGTTGAAATGAAGAGAATATGAAGGCAAGAAGATTTTCAGTGGAACAACCAAGGAGTAGATAAAAAAAAATGCTGTGTTTTCTCAACCTTGCTATCAATAATCAGAAATTATTGCACATTTGTCTACAAATTCTGCATCCAAACAATCTGATACTACATTTGTCTTCCATGGGCAGTGAGAGAAGGAGGGTTAGTGCACATCAGGCTAAAACCTCAGGCCTGATCTTTCTTGGACACTTCTGTGAGCCAGCCCACAGGGCTCCCCATTTTTCGCCTCCACCTTCTTTACCCCTGGGGTAGTTGTAAACCGTACAGTTACCTCTGCCATCTCTCTGTCTTCCACTAGCATTGGATGCAAGAAGTAGGTCTGCAGATCTCACGATGGTTTGGAGAAGTGAAATCAGGTTTGAGGTCCTTAGAGTCCCATTGGAGATGCAGGTCCCAGAGTTTATATCAGGGGGGGGGAGGAAGGGGGCAGCTTATTAGGGGCAGAGTCTACAAGAGAAATAGAGAAGCAAAAGTTGTTTCTTAAAGATGTGCTTGAATTTGAGTGACTCTGGAACATGCCATAAAGATGCCCATGGTGTATTTAAAGCTGGAGGATGGACATCTCTGTCTTGGAAATGTGGAAGCTACATATATATATAGGTGATGGAGTCACCTCTGTAGGGATGAGAGCTGAGAGCCGAAAGCAAAGAAGTAGTAAGTTCTGTAAGAGAAGAGCTACATCCAAGATGAACACAGGCTACAGATGAAGCCTCGTATTTAGCAGGAGGTAAATCCTTCAAGGAAACTGAGAGAAGAGCGAAAGGTATGAGAAATCAGAATGATCAAGGTCAGAAAAACTGAGTAGTGATTGAGTATAAAGGTAGAGGCACAGAGCTTATGAGGGAGAGAAAGAAGTAGGGGATGGTTCTGATGTTTCTGGCCTAGATAATCTTAGATAGATGACTGATAGTTCCATTTCACCAATATCAAAAGAGCAGATTTGGGGGAAATATGTTGTCTGAGATACCTTTGGAATCCTGGGAGGAGATTCTCCATTGGAGAGCTTTGAATTTGTCCTCATAAGCAAACCAGAGAAGTTGCATTTCTCAGATTGGCCTCCCCAGGAAGATTTTTATACAAAGAGTTTATGAGAGAACACCGTCAGCATCAGTATCTATGGGGGCGGGCTGGCGAAGGCAGCAAGATGGGACAGAGGGAGCAGCTGCAGTTCCAGCAAAAGCCTCGCTGGTCTTATGGAGCACAGTGAAGCTGGGAGAGCCCTTCTGAGTTGTCCCAAAATGGGGACCAGTCCTGTTGGGTAAGTCCCATGCGTACGACCTCTTTGAACCTTAATTACCTCCTTAAAGTTCCTACCTTTAAATACAGTCACATCGTAGGGTTAGGGCTTCAGCGTGTGAATTTGGGGCAGGGGCAAGGGGTGGGAGACAGTGTGTTCCATAACACTGCAGAGTGGAAAGGGCCCAGCATAGTCTCGGCGCTGAGTGACTGTTCTGCTTGCAGACGGTAGTTATCAGGCACACACAGTCTCTGTGGATGCCAGGTTGGATGCTCCATAGTGGCAGGAGATAGGTCGGCCTAGGTGAGGGGGACCCACACATTCCTCTGTGCTACCACCATGGCCATCCATTCGTGTGCCAGCGCTGGGTTATCTGGTGATGGAGCCACAGTCATTCTGTCCACCTTCCATTTGGTGCCTTTTCTGTGGTGGATGCCCGTGGTGGGCACGACCTGCAAGACACTTGATGCTGTTCCTTTAGCTGGATCCTCCTTGTTCCCTCCCTTCCAGTCCCCTGACCGACCAACCAGGTGATCTGCCATGCCCAGCAGATCCACACGTGTAATTGCCTCAGGCCACTTCTCTTCACACAGAGTTGATGACCAAATGTGCTGCCCAGGCTCTGCCCATAGGGGGTTCCCCTGATCGCTGTCTTTCAAGATTGAGCCATCATGCAGCCGTTTCTTTCAGCTGCCACTCATGTCCTGAGCCAGCCTGTCCATTTGGCTGTTTTCCCCTCTGTCACTTGGTCATGAGGGGCCCACCAGCTGTGGTAGTCGGTGTTAGCTGGGAAGAGGCTGTGGTGCAGCAGAGGTGGCTGCCAGGGTGGTCTGGCATGCCTGCTTCTGCAGCTCACCCATGCCCTGCAGCCCCACCTATGCTGAGCCCAGATGCCCGTGTCCATCTGATGATGGGTTTCTGTCGGCCCACCTGGCTTGGTAACTTGGTGGGTCTCCACTGCTGACCACATGCTCACTTTGTGGCCTACAGACAGGCACTTCATGGTGCAGCAGCAGTTTATGCAAGTGGGATTCTTGGCTGTTTGCGCACGCCCTCGCTCCAGGATTCTACGGACCCCCATTGTGGTTCTCCTTTCCTGCCTTGCTGTAAACTCCGCACGGTGTCTTTCCCCCCAGATACTTGGAACATCACGGGATCTGCCAGGTTGTACCCAGGCCTCAGGGAATGAGACAGACCCAAACCCCTGCCCTGCTGGAGCGTGCATTCCCACCAGGCGCCTGTGAAGTGGCACAGGCCTTTATGGCTGTCTACACTGCTGTCAGACTCCTCCACTTTCATAGGATGGTCTCACTAACAGATCTGAAGTCCAGAGCAGGACACCAGCCCCTGGGCTCTTGCTGGGCTTTTACGTTGAGTGGTCTGCTGGGCAGCACAGACCAGACTCTTGATTTTTTCCTAAGCTTCCTAAGTTCTCTTCTAGGGTCCGCACATGGGTACACCCAAACCTGAGCACTTAGCCTCCTGCTGAACTTCTTCACTCAGCTGTGTCTCAGTTTTCTTCACATAAGTATGATAAATCACCACGTAGAGAACTCTTTTGTTAAACCACCACTGGAAATTATCTGCCGTATTTGTGTGCATGCACGAGTACCGTACAGGGTGCAGTTGTATTGGAATGTAATACCAGGAGAAAAGTTTATTTTCATTTACTTTTCAACAAATAAGTACTTAGTGCTTATTATATGGTAGGCCTAGAGCTGGACATTGAGGACACAGGTGTAAAAAAGATAGCCCCCAGTCCTTTTTCTTATGGAGCTTAGGTCCTGTCTCTCTTGCAGAATTAGCATGTTTCACTCTTTATCAGTAAGAAGACCACCACCATTTATTTTGCCAGTCCTATAGTAAGTACTCAGTATATGTTATCTCATTTATGCCCGGTGTACGCCTAGAGAGATGCAGGTATTCCCTCATGACCCCGGAGGCTCAGGGGAGTGCTTGCTTGTCCAGGGGCATGCAGCTGTTGATGGGGATCTGGGAGTGAGACCCAGCTGTGTCTGACTCTGAGGTCTCTGTTTCTGATCCCTAACTCATATACCTCCCAATATGAGAGCTCCTTGGTGATTTGTTTTCCCCCTTTTCACTTTGGCTGGCAGGAAACTCAGTGCCAGGCTTCAGGTTTAATTAGGGTTAAGTTAGAACTTTTGCTTCCATCTTCTTCTTTATGTTTCAAATACATGTTTTTGTTGTTTGCTCCTGTATCTTTTATTGTAGGCAATCTCATGCTGTGTATTTCATTTAAAATACAACTGTTATTTATTTAAAAACTTGATTTTTAGATGCTTTTCATAGAATCTGAGTTTATTTAGTCAGAAAGTCATTTTTTTTCAGTTACTAACTGCTGTATGTTACACATGATCTGTCTGCAGTTTTTCATTTCAGGTATTCCAAAATAACACTCAAGTCTTGATTCAGTGTTGTATTTCTTTAGATTTCTCTTGCCTGCTTATGCCAGAGTTCATCCTGCCATCTGGCAGGTGCTCGCTGCCACCCCCTGCCACGTGCTCCTCGTGTGGCTCTGGGGGCACAGTTAGACAGTTAGACTGCTTGGGAAGCTCTCTGACCAATACTGGTGGCTTCGCTGTGGGCACAAAATAAATGAAGAACATGTCCTTTCCCTCCGTGAGTTTGTGGCCAACTTCAGGGAGCTCAGGCAGTTGTAGTTGAAATAGATGAGCATCCAAGAAACAAGGAAATATTTACTGAAGCACCCATGCAGTGAAAATCTGAGGAGAGAGCCACTGGTGTGGACTGATGCTGCCAAAAAAGATTTCAGGAAGTAGAAGGACGGGTGGAATTTGGATGGGTGGAGAGGGTAAGGCACATCATTCCAGAGGAGAGGACCAGCAAGAGTGAGGCATGGAGGTGCTAATGAGACCTTAAAAAGGAGAGACCTCCAGGAGCCCTGTGATTGACATGTGGGCAGATATGTAGTGAGAAATGGGAAATGATATAGTAACTGATAATGGAGGGAGGTAGTTTAAGCCTGACAATAGATTTCGGCTTGGACATTGGCTGTGAAAAATTGTTTATTCAGTAACAAAGATAGGACAGTTATCTCAGAAAAATGTCATTTTATTGCACAGTGTAAGATGGACGGGGGAAAGGAGAAACCACAGAGGAGGAGACAAATAGAAGGAGGTTTCTAAAGCCCGGCTCTCAGAGGAGTGCCTTGGCTGGGCTGATGCTGTACTCTGGATCGAGCTCTCCTTCCTCTGTTCACTCCCTAAATAGGTTGTTTCCCAAGACTCAGTTCTCTGCCTACTGAGCTTTTCACGTTAGACACCCAAGGGGACCCACCCAGCCCCTGTCCTCACCACTTTATTGAGCTCATGGCTCCCATGAGTCCCTCAAGATCTAGAGACTGGACCTCCCTCTCTCCTGGGGCTCCAGACCGAAATATCCTACTGCCTATAGTACATCTCCACTTCACTGTCCCATCAGCTCTTGACAGGTACTGTTTCTTTTTTTCTTTCTTTTTTTTTTTTTTTTTTTGAGACAGAGTCTTGCTCTGTTGCCCAGGCTGGAGTGCAGTGGCGTGATCTTGGCTCACTGCAACCTCTGTCTCCTGGCTTCAAGCAATTCTCCTGCCTCAGCCTCCCGAGTAGCTGGGATTACAGGCGCTCACCACCACATCCGGCTAATTTTTGTATTTTTAGTAAAGACGGGGTTTCACCATGTTGGCCAGGCTGGTCTTGAACCCCTGACCTCATGATCCACTTGCCTTGGCCTCCCAAAGTGCTGGGATTACAGGCGTGAGCCACCGCACACAGCCGACATGTACTGTTTCTTTGCTAAATTTGTTTCCCTTTCTCACTCCCTACCTGATGAAAAGCACCCATTGTTTACCCGAAAGTCCAAACCTAGGGTTTCACCCCAGACATTTCCCACTTATACATCCATGTCCTTCCTGCCTTCCCCACCAGTTCAGCCCCAAAGAGTCTCCCTCCTTGATGTAAGTCCGTCATTCATCTCCAGTGCTGTAGTTCAGGCCACCGGCGCCATTTGCCTGGATTTCTTCCCTCCCATCTCCATCACCGACTGCCTCCCTCCTGAGCCTGCCCCACAGCCTCCACCAGTGATCTCTGTGAAAACAGAAATCTGCTTGTTTCACTCCAGCTATCATCCTTCAGGGCCTCTCCATAGCTTTCAGGGTGGTTCCAACACAAGGCTCCTGCCTGCTATGTGGCCGCATCTCCTTTCTGCTGCCGTGTGCAAGCCCTTAGGCCAGCCATGCCTCACCGGGTTACTCACAGTTAACTGCTGCTCATATTGTTTCACGCAGTCTCACCTTTACATCTTCCCTTTCCTCTCTGCCCAGAATGAACTTCCCTGTACCAACCCCTTCACCCCACCCCTCCCACATACACATCATTTTCACTTGTCTAGCTGCTATTTACTCGGCATTCCTGACAAATATCGCCTCCTCAGGGAGGCCTTCCCCAGCTTCCTGGGGGGCTCCCAGGGCTCTCTCTGCCCCTGTAGACACTGCCTGTCTCTCGTGGCACCGCAAACCCGATGTTCACTGGTGATTTACTGCCCTTTCTCCACCAGTGTGTCTCCGGATGGAGCAGACTTGTTTTCTGTATATCTCCAGTGTGTGAATAATGCCTGGCAGATGTTAGGAACTGTGGGAATTAATGAGCAAATATGAGCATAATAAATAGATACAGAAAGACTTTAAGCAAGCTGAACACAGATGAATAATCAGGGCTGGAAACATCTACAGAGGTTGAGTGCAGTGGTTCACGCCTGTAATCCCAGCACTTTGGGAAGCCCAGGCGGGCAGATTGCTTGAGCCCAGGAGTTTGAGACCAGCTTGGGCCACATGGTGAGACCCCCATCTCTATTTAAAGAAAAAAAAAGATCTACGGATACTCTTGAGAGAACAGTAGAAAGCAAGACCCATGTCTAGAGAGTGCAAAGAGGGAAAAAAAAGAACCCCCAGGGACCAAGGAGAAAACCAGTTCAGTGGCCAGGGAGCCTGCGGAGTAGAATGTTTCAGGAAGAGTAGGTGTTTCAGGAACAGATTCAGACGTTACTATCCCCGGGCGCCCCCCCCCCCCCCCAGGAAAAAAAAGGCAAGTGAAGATGATACTGGAAGACCACCACTGGATTCAGCAGAATGAGTTCACTTTTGAAAGGGGCTTCGGTGGAGAGATGGGGATGAGAAGCGCTGCATGAGCTGGAAGTGGGGGAAGGTCAATATCACTCTGTTCTGACTGGCTGCCCTCATTCTGGGACATCACTGTGGTCACGCTGGTCCCCGTTCAAGTTACTTTCACTCTGTGAGAAAGTCAATATGATCTTATGCTCCTGAAGCATTTTTAGTCCACTGTGTGGCATATTCCCATTCCACAGCTCTGATGAACAGTGACCAGGGTGATGGCTCTATAGATCTCACTTCAACTGAGACATGAGACCTAGGTGCTGACAGGGGCAGGGTACAGTGGTCCCATGCTCATCATTAAGCACAGGCATGTGATAACGTCATCTAGTGTGCTTTGACCTCCTACAGATCTTTCTGGACATTTCCCGCCAGCACTGACTATCCAGAGGCCTTTGGAGGCTTGTCTCATGGGCCTGTGGCAGTGAAGATGGAGTGGGCTGCAGAGTATTAGCTGCAGCCTGTGGTGCCCACTTCTTATCTCCCTCCACATCCACAGCTGTCCCATTCTTTTGTAAACTCGGGACACTATGCTGGACACACATAAGCTGCTCTCAGTAGTTCCTTGCCCGCTGACTCACTCTTGTCTCCCAGCAGAGCTGCCTTCTCCAAAGCAGGTGGCATCTCAGAGTCATTTTGCTACTTGCAGCTGTGATCATCTTTACACTGCCAGGGCCATTACATAACTTTTCATGGGTTTGTGTTTTGTTCATCCCCAGTAGAATATGAGCTCTTGGAGGACAGGAGCTGTTGTACTTCTTTGTCTTTTGGCTCTAATGCAGTGTACTGCCCTGAGGGATTAAATAAGACGCCGCCTGCGCCTTCAAGAAGTTTGCAGCCAGCGAGGGGAAGACATGAGGCTGTACTAGGCACTAGGTTTCTACAGGAGTCTGTGCAAAGAGAAGAAAAAAGAACCCTGAGCCTAAACAGTGGGTGTGGCCAGTTCTCCCTAAGGGATACAGCGAGGGTAATCTTGAGGCCAGCATTGGGGCAGGTGTTTCAGTCACGGGGGGCCTTATGAAAAAACGCACAGGGGCTCAAAACAGCTGTGGGGACAGCAAGGAATTGCATTCGCCTGAGATTGAGGTTCCTATAAGAAAGAGGCAATGAAAGACATGGTTGGGAAGAGAGCAGAGGCCAGGACGGGTCTTCTACCAAACTAAGAATTGCTGTTGTGTTCATCCTGCCAGAAGTGGTGGATCAGTGAGGCCTTTTAAACAGGAGAGTAAGTTAGATTTATTTTTAAGAAAGCTCACTTTAGTCATAATATGAACGTTGTCTGAAGGGATGACGGTAGGCTGGCCACAGTGGCTCATGCCTGTAATCCCAGCGCTTTGGGAGGCCAAGGCAGGAGGATAGCATGAGCCTAGGAGTTTGAGACCAGCCTGGGCAACATAGTGAGACCTCTTCTCTACAAAAAAATTTTTTAAATCAGCTGGGCGTGGTGGCCTGTGCCTGTAGTCCCAGCTACTCAGGAGGCTGAGATGGAACGATCACTTGATCCCTGGAGGTCAAGGTGCAATCACGGCTCAAAAAGAAAAAGAAAAGAAAAGGTGACACTAGAGGAAGAAGACCAGGTGGGAGACAGTGAAAATTCTGTGTGCTCAGGATATTGTTGGTGATGAGCTAGAGCATGCTTAGCTCATCACAGTGAAGGACGAGGGCAGGCTTTGCAGAGCCTCCTTGTCTTCAGACCTCCAGATCAATTACTGGAGTCTCCTGTAGTAATGATCATCCGAATGGTGCCTGTGCAACCTGAGTCTCCACAGCTTCACGGTGCATGTCTCCCTCCCTTTGCTCGCTGTAGCAAAGAAGCTCTGTGTGCTGTGATGAGAAAGATGTATCTGTTCTCTACCACTGGCCCCTGACACACAGCACCTAAAGCCCTTGGAATCTCCACAGTGAGCATAGGGTCCAGCCCTACAGGGCTTAGCAGGTGTTCTCCCCATGTGCGGAGATGAGATTGTAATAAATAAAGACACAAGACAAAGAGATAAAGAGAAAACAGCTGGGCCCGAGGGACCACTGCCATCAAGATGCGGAGACCAGTAGTGGCCCTGAACGGCTGGGTGCGCTGATATTTATTGCATACAAGACCGGGGGTCAGGGTAAGGAGGGTGAATCTTCTAAGTGATTGACAAGGTGAAGCAAGTCACGTAATCACAGGACAGGGGGGCCCTTCCCTCTTAGGTAGCCGAAGCTGAGAGAGAGAAGGCACCATACGTCAGCGTTTTCTTCTATGCACTTATAAGAAAGATCAAAGACTTTAAGACTTTTACTATTTCTTCTACTGCTATCTACTACGAACTTCAAAGAGGAACCAGGAGTACGGGAGGAACATGAAAGTGGACAAGGAGCGTGACCGTTGAAGCACAGCATCACAGGGAGGGGTTTAGGACTTCGGATGACTGCGGGCAGACTGGGATAATATCCAGCCTCCCACAAGAAGGTGGTGGAGCAGAGTGTTCCCTGACTCCTCCAATGAAAGGAGACTCCCTTTCGCGGTCTGCTAAGTAATGGGTGTCTTCGCAGACACTGGCATTACCGCTTGACCAAGGAGCCCTCATGCCGGCGTGACAGAGGGCTCACCTCTTGCCTTCTAGGTCACTTCTCACAATGTCCCTTCAGCACCTGACCCTATGCCCGCCGGTTATTCCTAGGTTATATTAGTAATGCAACAAAGAGTAATATTAAAAGCTAATGATTCATGATGTTTATAATGATTGATAATGTCCATGATCATCTCTATATCTAATTTGTATTATGACTACTCTTACTCTATTTTCTTTTTTATACTGAAACAGTTGTGCCTTCAGTTTCTTACCTCGGCACCTAGGTAATCCTTCGCCCACAGTGAGAAGTGTCTTTTCACATGGATGACTGATGTCCAGGCTCTCCTGGATAGCCTCAGATGGGGGCTGGTTACCAGGGGAACTAATAAGTGATTAGAGGGTTGAGACTTTCAGCCCCACCCCCAACCTCTGTGATTAGGGAGAGGGGTTGAGTTGATCACCAATGGCCAGTGATATAATCAATTATATCTACATAATGAAGCTTCCATAAAACCCCCAAAGGACAGGGTTTAGAGAACTTCCAGATTGCTGAATGTGTGCTGGAGCAGGGTGCAGGGGGTGCCAGAGAGGGGCAGGGGCCATGCCCCATGCCTTGCCCTGTGCATCTCTTCCATCTGACTGTTCATCTGTATCCCTTGCAATATCCTTTCTAATAAATGGGTAGATGTCAGTGTTTCCCTGAGTTCTGTGAGCCATCCTAGCAAATTAACTGAACCCAAGGAGTGGACCACGGGAACCCTCATTTATAGCACGTTGGTTAGAACCGCAGGTTAGGTCTGGCGATTGCCATCTGAAGTAGGGGAGCAGTCTTGTGGGAGTGGGCCCTTAACCTGTGGGCTCTGATGTTATCTCCTGGGAGACAGTGTGGGGATTGAGTTAAATTATAGGACACCCTGCTGGTGTCCACTGGAGCACTGCTTGGGGTATGAAGCCCCCCAGCACATCTGGTGTCAGAATATTGTGTTGAGTCGTGTGTGAGTGTAGAAAGGAAGAAAACAGTGTTGTTTTTCTTCAGAGCCATGCTCACAATAGAAAGCAGCGTAATATAATGAAAAGAACAAGAATGGGCAGTTAGGGACTCAATCCTGGGTTGACAGGGACATCTATACACAATCTGTAGAATACTGTTGTCATTGGGGATAAAAAAAATTATACAAAATTACCTTAGGTACCAGAGGCTCTATCAGATATTAGTTATTATCATAGTATTGGGCATCTGTTTTTGTGGCTCTCAGGAAGTTTGAGAGAGTCCTAATTTAGGAGCCAACCTTGATAGTTATTACTCGTAAAAGCTTGTAACCTCTAGAGCAACAGTCAGCAGGTGATGGCCTGTGGGCCAAACTACCTGTTTTTGTACAATCTGAAGCTAGGAACAGGTTTTACATTTTAAATGGTTATATAGGTAACTACATAGTATCTTTGATCTCTTGCCTCTTTATCTTCCAAACCTAAAATGTTTACCACCTGGCCCTTTACAGAAAAATATTTGCCAGTCCCTGCTGTAGAAGGTTATATAGCCAGCAGCTTTCAAAGTAACCTTTTACCTGGAAATGTGAATTCTCTCTTAGTTCTGGTCATCTGTTATTTGTGGGAGCCAATCCTCTCTCTGTTGGCTGATGATGAGAATTCTGTTATATACCACAACACAAACTTGGGGATAAAACTTTCCATTAGGCATTTCTGTAAAATTTCCATCTATTTTAGAAGCAGAACTAAGGTGAAGCCCAGTGTGAATGAATCCTGCTTGTTGGTACAAGCCAAGTGGGACATTTGGCAGCAAAGCCCAGGAGTCCTTGGTGCTCTTCTTTTAACTGCCTCCTCATCTCATTGGGCTGCCCGGTGTTAACTGGTTGATTATCACCTCTGTGTTTTGCCTGCAAGGAAAGAAGCTACTGACACCCAGAGTGGCTCAGCGATACTCACACGTGCTTTCAGTTACTTTCGCAGCATTTGGTTAAAGTGAGTTTAGCTGCACATCCTCACTTGGTAACATTCTGTGGCTGTGAAAATTGTTTCTCTCTTTATCCTCCCCCAGCAACAGCCATTTGGTATCATCTGAGATGTGCACCAGGAGGCAGATCTGCCCTGTCAATCATGAGAGTTCCTATCATTAATCAAGTATTTTGAATTCAATAACTTTTTTTAGTGTTTTAAAAGTATTTACTGGTCCTTGATGTATTTTTTAGCAGCTGATGGAATTCACATACCATATAACTCACCCCCTCGAAGTGTACAGTTCGGTGGTTTTTAGTATTTTTTAATTGCACAAATACCGTAATTTGAGAACATTTTTCATCACCCCAAAAGAAACTGCGCCCCATTAGCAGTCATTCCCATCCGCCCTGTCCTAGGCAGCCACTTAATCTACTTTCTGTCTCTGTAGACTTGCTTATTCTGGACATTTTATAGAAATGGAAGCATATGTAGCTGATCTTTATGACTGGCTTCTTTCGCTGAGCTTCACGTTTCTGAGGTTGACGCATGTTGCAGCATGGTTGATTTTCCCTCTGTGGTTTAGATAGCAAGATCTGCCTAGTAGAGCTTTATGTGTGCAAGTGCCACTCCACCAGACCAGTTTCTGTCACTGCCCCTTCATCAGGCCAGCTTCCTTAGGAAGCTTCCTGTTGCCTCTTGGCCTCACCAGTGCTACCATTTTCATTACCGTCTATTCCGCAGAATACACGCAGTGCCAGGCTCTGGTGAGTCCCACAGTGACCAAGGCAGCACGATCCCTCCTCTCCCTGAGCTTAGAGTAGAAAGCGTCAGTTACAGTGAAATGTGATGGTCACTCTTCTGGGAGAAATGTGTAGTGCAGTCAGGAAGAGTCAAGAAATTGTGTCTGGAGGCAGCACCGTCGGAAACTCTCTACCTCCGTCTCCACCCCTGTGTCCGGGGTAGGGGCAGTGCACGTGTGTTGCAAAGGAGTCCACCAGGAATCCAAAGGGAGCGAATTCTCATGTGTCCCGAGCATCCTCAGAGACAGCAAGCTGGCACGTGGCACCCTCCTCAGCACTTTTCCTTTTTGGCTATGCTCTTTCACTTTTTGGTGCAATTTGATTTGAAAACGATTCTTTTCAAGTTGCTATGCTTCCTTGTCAACAAAGCAGTCTAATCAGTTAAAGCTAGTTCTTTTATGACTTTCTTCTTTCAAGAGTTTATAAGTATATAGCATCAGATGTGGAATAAGTTACTAGTGCTTAGTTGATAAAAATCTGCAAATTAAATGAAAATTACTTGCAAGAACTCTATTTTCAGTGAAGTTACAGCTACGCTGTTTATCTCAATCTGTACCTCCTTGCAGAAGCTACTGCTGTGTTTCCAGTGCTTTTGTAGTTGATCATACTGATCTTTTTGACAAAATTCAGAACAGAAAGATAGGATCAATCTAAAGTGTGATCCTTTTCCAAGACTGACTCATTAAGTGACCTTGAGAAAATCATTTCTATTTTCCATCCTGCCTTGGTGTCTTCATGAGAAAAAAGAGCGAGGTACAGTCTCATGATACCTCAGAAAACAAGCAAATGATGATGATGTACTTGGCTTTTTGAAGATGTAAAAGTTATCAGTAATCCTAATTCTTTTCCTGGGTTTTCCTTTTGTCACTTATTAATCAGTTTTTGAAAGGACGAATGAATTTAGAGATGTACTCTGGAGCAGTATCATGTTAAACCAGGGGTATATTAGAAAAATCATCCTCATAATCATTCTGGGAAGTTTTTCCTCCCCAAAAAAAGCCATCCTGATGGGTTTTCAAAACCAGAAAAAAGCTCTTAATGAGGAACAGACCACTGGAGTACCCATGAGCATCTCAGGAAAACTGAGACCCTCGAGAAGCCTTGATTTCGTGCAACCCCCAAGGTTTCAGAGCCAGCAGCCCAGTGCTGTGGTTGACAGACGTGGTTTTGTGGAGAAAGCAGCCAGAGGCCAGGAATTTTCAGAGTCGTGAGTCACGATCTCCCACCCAAGATTAGAGCACAGATTAGCCATACTGAGATTTGGTAAAATCATTCTGTCTAAGCAATGGAGGTGTGTGCACACGTGCAGTGCCTGTTCACAGGGGATGCAGGCAGATCGTGGGTTTAGGATGGGGGAGGCCACCGCACCCCCCTTCACTGCTCTGCACCTGCTCCCTCACGTGGACACTGTCCACAACTGTGGCTCTCACAGGACAGTTGCCCAAGGAGCTCATATCTTATTGGAGATAGGGGGTTGTACAGGTGACATTCATGAGCAGTGTGAGCCGGGTGACATGGGGGTGTCAACCCAGCATCTGTCCAGGAGCTCCTCCTGCAGCGGCTCTGGCAGGTGGCCTGAGGCTCCTTTTTGAGAGAGAACTGTTTGGCCTTCCAGATGTTCTTTAATATAATGATTGGGAAGAGACAGCTCATAACTAGCTTAAGGCTATCTAGTCCAGCTTTCCATTTTACAGCTGGGGAAACCCAGACTCAGGGTTTTATTCTCTGTTCACTTGGCGGCTTGGCTGAGTTCTGTGGAAGTTCAGCAGAGCAGGGGAACAGGAGGGTTTGGGTTGCAGAGAAAGAAGCCACTTACAGATGGGAAACAGGAGTTGGGCCCTATGCAAATGGAAGGGACCAGGGAGGGCACTTTAGGTGGCAGGGACAGTTTGAGCCGACATAGTAATTTAGGATGTAATTTAGAGAAGTAATTTACGATGGGGCTGGTTTGGGCAGACCTGCAAAACAGGACAGACTCAGACAGGATGCCCGAGGGTTTTTGGTTGAGGCAGTGTCATTGTGAAAGGGCTTCTTGTGCACACTCACTGACCGTGGCATGCAGATTGGATTGGGGAAATCTTACTGGCAGTCATGTCATCCAAGAAGTTGTTGGCATAATCTCGGAGTGCAACAGCAAGGACCTAAACGGGCAGATCCTCTCCCAGGGGAAAATCAGTAGTCCTTCAGCGTTGGCTGGGTTTGATGGACAGAGGAGAGCTGAGTCCAGACATGAGCTGGGAAGTGGACATCCGCCTGCCACGGTGAACGCAGATAGGCAAGTGCGGGAATGAGACTCAGGTGGTCACTGAAGACATGAAAATGGATGAACTCTCCACGGAGGAAATGTAAGAAGAGGGGAAACCTTGAGTAATCCCCAGTCTCATTTTTAATTAGGAGTTTCACCTCTGTTTCTGTCAAAACATTTACTGTAACAAGTACCAAAACTAATTTTAATTTTGACTTTTACTTTATAATTTGTGTGTAGAGCCAATGCTGGGAAGGAAAAAATGACCCCAAATTTGGCAGACAAAAGAATGAAGGAAGGGAAAACAGAATATACGATGCAGAAATGGATAATCCACACTCTGAGAGATGCACTTCCATTCTTATGTCTTCAAGGCCACTGTCTCAGTCCTCGCTGTGTGGCCCTTACCGTCACCAGCGTTCAGTGCTTACAGGTGTGTCACTCAGTCGAGGGAGTGAGGAAGCTGCAAGACAAGGCCTTGGCATGCTCTTCCTGCGCTGATGTCCCTGACCTGCAGCTGGGCTGTGGGCTGTGGAACCCTGTGGTCCCCCCACGCCACCCTCTCACCACCACCTCCTCCTCACAGAGCAGCCTTAGCATTCTCATTCTCTACCAAAACCAAAACCAAACCAAAACACAGGAAAAGGTTGGGACACCTCTGGTCCTGACGGTCCCTGGAGGAAAAGTTCCCCATGAGGAGTGATGGGTCAGTCACGTTTTCAAAACAAACGAGAGCCAGGACGCAGGCCTGTGGCTCAGCCCGCAGCGTGCTTGGTGCCACAAGCCCCCCCGCAGCTGCCCAGAGTCTCACCCCACTCTGTGCAGGGGGCCTGGAGGGCAGCGGCGGCACAGACCCACTGGACGCCCTGGTGCATGGCTGAGCCATGTGCATCCCATGGCTCTCTCCAGAGTCCCTTCCCTGCACCTCCAGGGCCTCCCCAGATGGAACTGGCTGGGAGCCGTGCTTTGTTGAAACAAAGGGAAAACCTGTCTCTCTTGGGTTTGCAGCTGCTGTTGAAACCAACTGAACCTGTTTGTAAAATTGTACCTATGTCACAGTAAGATCAGCTGTGCTAGGTATGTCAGGCCTCTGAAAAGAAATGTCATTAAAGTAAACAAGACTTGGGACACATGTCTGTCAGACTGTACACAGTAGAAGCATCCCTTGCAGGGGCTGTTGGGTTGCATCCTAAGCTGTGCTGGAGCTTCCCGATGTACTCTGTAGATGTCTTTGCACCTTCTGTCCTCATTGCCATCCCCAATCAGTCCCTGGAACACCAGCTGTGGCCCTGACCCTTTTAGCCCCTGCATGGAATGCACAGGCAAGGCGTGTGGCCTTTGGGACTCCAGCCGACTAGAGCAAGACAGAGGAAGAAGAGACGGGGCAGAGGGCAGCCGATAGTTGGAAACTTCTGTCCCCTAAGCCAAAAGGTTCTCAAAACTGAGCAACAGGATGTATTGTGTCTCCTGATCGTATTGCCATGGAAACTGCCTTCTGTTCTGCCTAGAAGAAATAGTACTGTTTGAAGTATCTCATCCATCAACACTGGTCACTGTGAGAAACCACAAAGGAAAAGTGAAACCGAGAGCTGCAAAACTAGCCTGGGACTTTGTTCAAGCGATCATCTCCTTTCCCTCTAGTTTATTATTTTTTCCAATACCTACTGAGACTACTGCTAAGCAGCACAGAAAGATACAATACACTGTTTTTATAGCACGACACAAAGATCATGGGTGGCACTTCACATGACAGGGTTAGATTCAGTCTTCTGAGTTTTCTAAGGTTCCTATTTTTAAGACTTTACCAAGGAACCAAGGCTTTCAAATATGCAGCATGGTTTCTTCTGGGCCTCGCGTTGCCCCATCTCTTATCCAAGTGGTGAATGTGTTGCCAGTTTGTGTGTGGTTCTGGTGGTGGGCTTTGTTTGGTTTTCTTTTTTTGGGCTTTGTTTGGTTTTTCCCCAGTTTTGCCACAAAGCTTTTGCTGAGGACAGCAGCCTCTGTGGTGTCTTTTCTCTCTGTATTGTGCTCACTCTTGTAGTCATGCACCACATAACAATATGTTTTGGTCAATGACAGATTGCATGTATGACAGTGGTCTCATAAGATTATGATGCCATATTTTTGCTATGTCTTTTCTATGTTTAGATACACAACTACCATTGTGTTACAGCTGCCTCCAGTATTCAGCACAGTGACTTGCTGTACAGGTTTGTAGCCTGGTCGCCATAGGCTACACCAAGCAGCCTTGGTGTGTAGTAGGCGATCACATCTAGGTTTCTGTAAGTACACAGCAACAAAGTCACCCAACAGCACATTTCTCAGAATGAAGCCCTGTTGTTAAGCGACACGTGACTACAGTTTTAAGTCTAACAAGATGCCTCTCGTTCAGTCCTGAAGTGCTTCTTGTTTAGTTTTTAATGTACGTTTGTTTTGTTATCTCAGCCAAACTCTTTTCAGGGCCATAGGAAATTAGTCATTTCTCTGTGTCACAGCCTCCTTATCTGGCCCCAGGACAGCGCACTACGCATAGAAGGCAAATGAGTAAAACTAAGTGTAAGCATATTCATACTTACACCAAAAGCTGCAGCTTCCACAGAGCACAGGGAATTGCAAATAACTGTCTTCTATGAGGAGCTGCCATTTGTGGTTTCACCAGTTTCCCAGCATTGCTTCTTTGTAACTCCTGGTTCTTGTATTAGAAGAGGATGCTATGTCCATGAAGAATGTAGGTATCAAGCATGTCCTTTGGGAGCCTCCTTGCTTTAACCCCTCTCACCCCTTCCACCCCGCCTTCATTAGTAACCCATCACCTGGGTCTTCATATCCCAACTAACTACAGTCTTGGCTAAGAAAACCCCATACGCCTTAACTCAGCAATATGCCTCACTATGTCTTTGTCCATTCAGTTATCCATTTTGCAACTGTTTCTTGAGTGCTTGCATATGCCAGGTCGTACAGGAGGCCAGGTCTACAAACAGGACAAGATGGAGAATCACAGTCCCCGTGGAGCTAATAGGCTGTTGTGAGATTCAGGCCGGTTAGCCTGCAAGTGAAATGGGATGTGCTGAGAGCTGTCCTGGGGAAGGGATGGTGAGGTGTGAGAGCACGCAGAGGAGTACAGGGTGGTGAGAGCAGGCTCCCCAGCAGGAGTAGAGAATGTGAGGGCGGTGTTGTGAGAAAGTGACTCCAGTGGCAGACAGGAGTCTGGTAAGCCCAGGTAAGAAATTTCTGTCGGATTCTGAAAGCAACAGGGATGCATTGAGTAGCATCAAAGGGGAGGATGTCTGTAGTCATCCGAAAAGGCCCTTAATGTACTCTCCCTTTCTTTTCTAACTGTGTATCTATGTGGCTGGATTTGCTTCATGTACTTCAAAAACCAGAGTAACAGAACAAAATCGAATGCAGAAGCAGATGGGAGAATCCAGCAACCTTCTAGTAAGTCAGACATTAAAGAGATTTGCAAAAATGGAAAACAGTGCCACTCTTCTCAGTAATTCTGTTTGGGAAAACATGGTTATTTTTTATTTCAAAAATCTATATTTATGTTAGCAAGTAATAGGCTTGTGATTGTTAATGAGTTATTAAATATTTTTAAATTAATAAAAGGGCAATGAGGAGCCAGCAAAGGGTTTCTAAGTAGAGGAGGGGCTTGACGAGATTTGTATCTTAGGAACTAACTCTGGAGCCACCCCGGCCATGGACTGTGGTCTCACACGGGGCAGTGAGAGTGAGGGTGGAGACAGTGGCGGGGGAGTTCCAGTGGACAGAGCCTAGAGATCTGGTTTATGCAGTGGATGGATGTGGATGTCACACCCCAAGACAGGGGACACAGCAAGAGATATGGGGTGGGAGATGAGTTTGTTTGGGACGTGTTCTATCTTAGGTGTCTCCTTAACATTTAGATGAAAGTGTGTTCAGGAGACAGTGGGTTACATGGCTCTGAGACACAGTGTTTGGGTTGGAGGTTCGAGTTTGGGAGTCTCTACCCCATGAAGCCCTAGGAATGGATGGGCACCCAGAACACGGAAGAAGGAGAGAAACACTCCCCACATGGAACCTTCAAGAACACCCGTGTCTGAAGGACAGGAGTGGGAGGAGGAGAATCTGAGGACACTGAGAAGGCGTAGCTAGAGGGCTAGAAAGAAAGCGGGATGCCACAAAGCCTGGGGAAGAGAATGTCGAGGAAGAGTGGTCAGTAAGACCTGGTGCTGCCAGAAGGCAGGTCACAGAGCGCTCAGGAGGATCCACTGGATCTAACAAAGGGTGCTTTGATAACCTGGAAGAAAAAGGAAAAAGTGTTTCATTATTAAAATACCAGACTATGAGCTTCTAAAAGGCAGGGAGGTTGTCTTAATTCTCTTTCTACTTTTGTTGCTGAAAGTATTACCAGGTACATTAGTAGATGTGATAATTTTGTGATTTTACATTAACTCATTCAAGTAAAACGATCTAGTCTTTTTCTGCCCTTGATCTCCGTGGTAGGTCATCCCCTTTGTCAGAGACTCCTGTTAAATCAACCTGTTTCCTAAATGTGTAAGTATTTCCTTATGGCCTGGGGTAAAGCTTCCCAGCCACTGTGCCATGGTCATAGATGGGCTGAGATACTGGTCCCCTCCCCGCTTGGGGGCAACTGGAAAGGGCCTGAAGCCACTGGGCCAGCTGTAAACAGTTTTGGCTTTTCCTGTGGACCATGCAAATCTGTCTTTTTCTGTGTGTGCCATGAGGTGGAAAACATTTGAAAGCCTTGGTCCATAGCACACTGAGTAAGTCCTTGTGTGGGCCCTGCCTCGCCTCCCGTGTGCCCAAGCACAGCACCCCTAAAGAGTCACATCGCCCTTCGCTGCCTACCCCATGGTCTCCCCCAGAACCTTCCCTGCATGGTGGCCTGCAGGGGGCCACCGATTGTAGACTGGAGGTGCCCCTGCTGTGTGCTTCACACTTCAAAACCTGGCATGCTGATAAAGGCTTTCTGAGCACCAAAGACTGAGAAGAAAGGGTGCATTTGTTTCCAATGGCCAACAGTCTTAAAATAAGATGAAGATGCTTTTGGAAGTCATTTTGGCTTTTCTAAAACATCGCATTCATAATGCCCCCTCTGTAATTGTTCTCCATTTTACTCTTTTATGGGGCACCAACTTGTACGAGCAGTCAGCTCAGGCTGCAGTGAGCTGAGAGTGGTACTGGCCACCTGGGAAATATGTTCAGGTCTTCCATCCATCACAGCCCTCCAGGATCCTGTAGTCTAGTTGGGAAGACGAGAAACAATACTGTATAAAGTATAAGGCCAAGTAGTAAGGATCAGAATAATCATAGCTAAGCTGCAATAAGCTTATAGATGGCTTTACGTTCTATTTTAAATGTTTCACATGAATTAACTCTTTTGATTCTCATACTCTCCATGTGAGGTGGGTGCAGTTATTATTACCACTTTACAGGTGAGAAAACCAAGGGTCATGGAAATGTTTGAAAATGCATCTAAGGTGTTACAATAAGAGGCAGAGCTGGGATTTGAGCCCAGTTATTCTGGCTCTAGAGACTGTTCTTAACTCAGCTTCCTCTACCTTTTTGTCCCTCTGCCGTTATTCCTTAGCATTGCTTTGCTCCTTGAAGGCGGTATAAACCCACTTAGGCCCCTTTCTTTGAACACCTTGGGGAAAATGCCTTGCTTGCTCTCTTCTCCATCGTTGAAATCATTCTCTTTTAATATTCAGCCCCAGCCCCATCCTCTTGGAAGTCTTACCCCTGTGCTTTGGCCGCAGTGGGTTGATGTCCACTCTGAGCTTTTCTAGTCCTTTTGATTTAGGCCTCACAGCTCCCATCTTAATTATATATCATCTTGCATTGTTCTGGCTTTTCCATTTCTGGGTATCTTGCCTTCCCCCGAGGAGATGGGGCGCTCTTCGGGAGCAAGGATGAGACCGCGTGCCTGGCTCACACTCTCCTGTGGACGCTCGAGTGCCCGAGGTCAGCCACCCGTGAGCTCTTCTGGCTTCTCTAATGTAGACACTGCCTGACCATCCCATCCAGAAACCTTTCAATGCCTGTAGAACATGGATTTCTGTTCCATGGAACTTCTGCTTAATAAAATGTCAGAAACTTTTACTGCTCCTCGGTTGGGAAACCATCATGTATGTATGTATGAATATATATTTATTCATTCATACATGTATATATACACAAGAATTTTTACTTCATTTGAAATCTTCTTACAAACTAATAATAAGTATTTCATAAAACGCCTGTTCAAACTGCAAGCTGTTTCCTTCTTCACTTTTAAAATATGTGGTTATTGCTTTTGAAGAAGACAAAGTAAAGGAAACATTTCCTGTTTATAGAGGCTCATATTTAACCCTACGTAAAGAGCAGATTCATGTCAAAACATCCTAGAACCTAGAGCCGTAACTTTCTGCTTTTTAAGCACTTTTCTACTATCACAGGAGTAGAGGGATTGGGGTTTTGTTTGCTTTGCCTACTCTTTGATTCTCTCACTCTCTTGTAAGAAATGAAATGGAACTCAAAGCCCATTCCCCTTCCACTGTCCTGGAGTGGGTGTGTTGTGTGCCTTTGCATGTTTTTGTATCTTTACTACATACATACTTATCAGGGTTTCTCAACCTAAACACCATTGACATTTTGATCCAGACCATTCTTTGTTATAGCGGCTGCCCTGTACATTGTAGGATGTTTAGCAACATCCCTGACCTCTACCTACTAAATGCCGACAGCACCACCATCCTGTCCCCCCTCCCCTCCTTCACATAACAACCAAAACTGTGAGCAGACATTGCCAAATATCTCCTGGATTGGGGGTAGGAGAACAGAGTCACCATGACCATATATCCATCTAAAAAAGTTAAAATAGACCAGACGCAATGGTGCACATCTATAGTCTCAGCTACTCAGGAGGCTGAGATGGAAGATTGCTTGGGTCCGGGAGTTCAGGACTGCAGTGCGCCATGATTGTGCCTGTGAATAGCCACTGCTCTCCAGTCTGGACAATGTAGCAAGACCCTCATCCCCAAAAAAAGTTAAAATAGTATATATACTCGTGTTCTGAGTATTTTTTAATTTATGTAAATAGTATTACATTTTATTTATATTATTTACATAAACTACATACAATTTATGTAAATGGTATATGTATATGTTGTATATGCATATTCTTGTACAACTTTATTTGTTCATTAAACATTGTATATTTGAGATTTACCCATGTAAATCTAATTCATTTATTGTAGCTGCTTTTATAATGGTCTTTTATATAATAGAACCACTTATTAATTTATTTCCCTCCTTAGGAACAACTGAATTTTTTTCATTTTCTTACTTAATATTACAACCAGTGCTTCACAGAAGATCCTCATACATGACCCCTTCAGCATTCACAGCTCCCTAGAGGTGAAGTTGCCAGGTCATAGACTAGAATAGTTTCACTAGATCTTGACATGTTGCTCTCCAAAAGGGTTGTGTCAGTTTATACTCTCATCAGCAACTTATCAGAGTTCCCATTTCTTTCACATCATTCCCACACTCAGTATTGTTGGGCTGTGTATTTTTGCGAGTCTTGTGGGTATAAAATAACTTGTTTTCATTTGCCTTTCCCTAACACTAGTGAGATTGAATATCTTTTCATATGTTTCTTGACTTGGGATTTCCCCTTCTGTAAATGGAGTATTCATATACATTATCTGCTTTTCTCTTGAGTCACTTATTTTTTTCTCATTGATTTATAAGTGTTGTCTTATAAGTTCATAAGTGTCATTGATTTATTAAGTCTCATTGATTTGTAACTTTTGAATTTTGAGCATATAGCAGTTATATGTTGTAAACATTTTCTCTCAATCTGTAGTTTGTCTTATTTAATTCAGTAACAATTGAACTTTTAATACAAAAGTTCTTACAGGTAAAGTAATTTTTAACCACTTTTTTCATTGTGATTTATACTTCGTATTTCTGTTTTAGATATCCTTTCCTATCCTAATGACATGAAAATAATCTCCTATTTCTTCAAAAAAATTTTCACAGTTTGGCTTTCCACATTTAAATCTTTAATCTTAGTTTTTATTTTTGTGGGTGGTGTGAAGTAAGGGCCTAGTTTTATCTTTTCCCTATCTATAGCCAGTTGTCCCAGGACTGTATTCAGTACGGGCTCATAACCAAGTGCCCATGTTTACTGTTGATTCCTAGACTCTGTCTTCTGTTTGGATTTTTTGCCTAACTTCCACTAATACCACATGACTTTAATTACTGCAGTCTAATAGTAAGTCCTAATAACTGGTAGAGAAATCCTTTCTTATATTTCTTCAAAATAGTCATGCCTAGTTTTGAGCTTTAACTTCAAGTAGTCTAGTCCCACCAAAATATACACATGTGCATACTTTTGAATTTTGAGTATATAGCAGTTAGGGAATAGGAATAATAATAGGAATCTGACTCCACATGACAGATAACACAACATAGCAGAAACTTAACCGAGGTAGTTTATTTCTGTCTTGTATAGAAGTCCAGCAGTGGGCAGCCCAGGCCGGCGGGGCAGTGTCCTGAAGGTGTCAGCCCCCGGCTCTTTGCTGCTGCTGTATCCTCAGCACAGGGCTTCCACCTGATCCTCTAAGAAGGGCGAGCCCCTGCCTCTGAGGATCTTCCTGGTCGGCCCATATTCCCTTTCTGCTGACATACCATTGTCAGAACCTAGTCAACATGGAAAGATACTGAGAAAGGTAGCAAGTCACACGTATATACACACCCAAGAAAACCAAAACTGTTTTTTCCAAAGGGGGAAAATGGATATTGGAAGTGAACCAGCAGTCTGCTAGACTGGAGTTGGCAGTGTCTGGATAGATTATAGGATTACATGTTACCAGGCTCAATTCAGGAACATGCTGAATCTTTCCATTTACTTAGAAATCTTGTAGATCTTTTGTTTGATTTTATTCTTAACTACCTTATATTTTTATTGCTATTTATAAATAGTAATTTTTTGTACTTACATTCTCTAATGATTTCAATAGAGGGAATGTTACTTTTTAATCATACTCTCTTGTTCTCATGCTTTGAGAGACATTTGTAAACACTCTTGGATTTTCTAGGTAGACAGTCATCATTTGAATAATGAGTTTTGTTTCTCTTTTTCTATCTTTATGTGAGATTTTTGTTTGGGTTTGGTTTTTGTTCTCATTATGCTGTGACTTGTGCTGAATGCAAGAATTGGTAATAGGCATTTTTGTCTCTTCATGAATGGGTATTGAATTTTGTCAAATTGTTTTCATACCTATTGAGATGAGCGTTTGATTTTTCTCCTTCAAACTGTTAATGTGTGGATTATGTTGCTAGTTTTTCTAAGATTTTTGAGATAAATCCTAATACAGCACATCATACTAGATAAGAGAATTATTTTGAAAACATTGTTGGATTGAATTTGCTGATATTTTATTTAGGATTATTGTATCTACCCAAGAAAAATTAACTATATATTGTATAATTTTTCTTGCTCATAATGGCCTTGTCTAGTTTTGGAAACAGTGTTATGCTAGTCCCAAAAAATTAGGTGGGAAACTCTCCTTCCTTTTCTGTACTCTAGAGCAGTTTATATAAGATAAGGAGTCATTAAAGATTTCATACACTTCACCTGTAGGTTTTTGGTGGGTAGATTTTTAAGTACTGTTTCAATTACATTAAAGTATGATATATATCCAGAAAAGTACATGCTATATAATAATAGTCATACAAATGTACTTTTTGTGTTTATTTTGTTCAACATCATTTGAGAGATTCAGCCATATTGTTGCATGTCATTCTGGTTCATTCATTCAAACTGCTTTATTAGATTACAGTATGTGAATGCACCATAACTTACCCATTCTATAGTTGATGGGCATTTGGGTAGTTCCCGTCTTTGACTGTTGGAAATAATGCTGCTGAGAACGTTCTAGTCCATGTCTTTTGATGAACATGTGTTTGAATTTCTTTTATTCAGGAGTGGAATTGCTGAGTCTCACATATGGCTCAGCTTAAGTAGATGGTCCTGAACAATTTTAAAAGATAATTACCAATGTCTGTTTTCTCTAGAATAAGTTTTAATAAGTTATACTTTTCTAGAAAGTTGTCTTTCATCAAAGTTATTGGTATGAATAAAGTATTCTTGTGATTTTTTAAAAATCTGCCATTATATCCCTTGTATTATTCTTAATACTGTTTATTTGTGCTCCTTCCTTTGTCTTTTCATCAAGCTTGCCAGGTTTGCCTATTTTATTTGACTTTGTAACAGCCAGCAGTAGGTTTTAGTGACTCCTTCTGTTTCTTTGTTTTCCGTTTTACTGACATTTGCTCTCAACTTTCTACTTTCTTCTTTCTCATTTTTTTAGATTATTGTTACTTTCTCTAACTTCTTAAATTGGGTATAGTTAACCCTTTAATTTTCAGTTTTCTTTTTTTAATTTAATCTCAATATTTAAAAATTACATCAACCACTTTATTACATCCCATAAACTTTGATAGGTAGGTAATAGTTTTATTCATTCTTAGCTATCTTCTAATTTCCATTATGAGGATTTTTTTGGTTTCCAAATGTGTGAGGTTTTTTGTTTTAGTTATTATTTTGATGTTGATTTCTCATTTAATTGCATTATGGTGAGAATATAATCTGTGTAATGTTTATGATTTGGTATTTGTGAATATTTCATATAGGATCTAGTACACAATTACTTTGTAAATACTTTAAATGTAATGGAAAAGAATGTATATTCTCTAAATATTAAATGCAAGGTATATATGTCCATTCAGAAATAAACTTGTTATTTTTTATATTATTTTTTGTCTGGTTGATCTATCAGTTACTGAGTTATATGCTGAAAATTAAATATATGTCTGGATGCTTCCACTTCTCTTGTAATTCTATTAATTTTTGCTTTCTGTGTTTTGATGCCATTGTGTTACATATAAATATGATATTCATGTATTCTATTGATTTTATCCCTAATACTGCCTTTTTTTGCCTTCGAGGTCTATTTATTTGGCATGAATGTAGCAACAACAGCTTTCTTTGATTAGTATTTCTCTGATTTTTTTCCATCTCTTTACATCAACTTGTGTACGTCTTTATATTTTAGATTTATCTTTTGTGGGGAGGAGGTGAGAGGTGAGAGTGGCTTCTGTTTCCCTAATTTTTTTTCACATCTGTTTTTTCTCATAATACCTTATTCTTTTCTTTAAGGTCCTCCTGTGACGTCCTAGTCTTTTTGAAGTGTGTAATCATTTTCAGATCCTCCTATATTCAGGTCCTTGGGGACCCAGTCTCTTGTGTGTTTTGTGTGCCGACTTGCTCATCATGGGTGATTTCCTTGTGGATTTTGTGGTTTTGAATTCTGAGTTTTTCCCCACTGGAGCTTTAACTATAAATCCCATGTAACCCCAAGGCAAGAGAATATCTCTCCAGAGTAATTTTACATTTGCTTTTGCTTGGCTCCTTCGATATCTCCATCCCAAAACCAATCTTTATGTAACTTTTTTGATGGGTTCTGAGACCATGAATATAACAACATATGTATAGTATAACTTGAACCCCAAATTTGCCTGTGGTTCTTAATTCTCAGGCAGGACCAAGATTCCTGCTGTCTCCGGGGGAAGACAGGCTTTTTAGTTTGATTTTTTTTTCATCCCTTTCGCTGAGGGTGCTGCCATTTGAAGATTGTATCTTTAGACAGATAATTGAGCTCAAAATTGCTGCCTCTTTCAGACCCAAGGCCGCATCTTCCGAACTCAAACAGTGATAGAACCCAAGTGGTCCTGGGTGAGCAGGGCCTCTGCTCCCCCGTCTCCCAGGCTGCTCACAGTGTGCGGCTCTGCTTCCCACGCCCACTTGTTCCTGAGGCCTTGCAACTCCACTTACTTCTTTCATATTTAGCTGTGTATAGAAATATTTATCTATTAATAGCATTTTTAGGTGTTTGTAGTAGGAAGAGTTTCAGATCTTAGTCTATAATTTTGTCAGGACTAGAAGACTTCTAGAAATAGAGATTTAAATTAATAAATTCAAAGATTGCCATATAGCTAGAAACATGGATTTTTTTAAAGCAGCATGTGATGCATTTTTCTTCCCATGGTGGCTTCTTTTTTGTTGGTGACATAGACTAAGCCAGGAACGGCATTGCTGTCAGTCTTCAGGATCCGTGGAGCCACCCTCAGAAAGATGGTTACTGATGCTCACTTCTCACCTTTTTGCTGTTTGTCAGATTTCCCTTCACACTCTCTAGCCTGTTGCTGAGGTTTTATCACAGTCTGCAGTCTTCCTCCACTGTGTGCGCTCAGGATTTACTTCAGTCATAAGAAGAAGAAAGGTAGAGCAGGGGAGCATTTTAAGGGCCGTGATGGAAACACCAGATTTCTGGCTGCCCTCAGTGATTTAGCCTCGTCTCCATGCCTTCCTTCCTATCACACCCTGCAAAGCCCTGAGCTCCTAAGAGTTAACTGGAGTTGGGACAGTCAGTGGCGTCACAGTCGGGCTGAAATTAGGAGTGTCTGTACAGTGTCTTTCACTGCCTTCCAGAGCCACAGTGCACAAAGAGCTTTTACACTGCCTATTACTTTCTTTTCTCCTGAGCACCTACTGCAGGCTGCCAATTTTGTGCTATTGACTGAAGGATGTTGTGATACTTTTGAATTTGAATTGCTTGCATAGAGCGGATCAATATGATACTTCCTTCCCAGTCTATAGATGTAACTGCATTGAGAGAAAGCTCTTCCAAGCATTATGATGATTCTGCTCCTTCTGTGTCTGATAACTGTGTGTTGATCTCTTTTTAGGGAGGAATGATCAATTGGAATCGTCTTTTTCCTCCTTTACGTCAGCGACAAAACGTAAACTATCAGGGCGGTCGGCAGTCTGAGCCAGCAGCGCCCCCTCTAGAAGTTTCTGAGGAACAGGTAATTAATCAGTAATACCTGGTACTCATTCTAAATCCATGTTTCAGAGTTGAAGCAGTTTCGATCAACAGGACTCAAAAGTAATCAAGCGTGTAAATACAAAGATGGTGACAGCAGTCCATCTGCCACCATGATAGAGACTTTGGGCTTTTTTTTGGCTATTGTGGTTCTTACGAGTTTAAGGAAGGCATTATTGGTTGGGGGGCGGCGGGTGGGAATGTATTATGGTAGCTTGTTTTAGATGCTCTTACACTTCATATATACAAGAAACTAATGAGATTGGTTCTCTGTGAAGGATCGGGGACAAGGAGGTGGGAGGATGGGGAGGGAGTGTGCCTTTGGCATGGTTTCACTTTTGTATGGTTTTGAGTCATGTTAATGTTTTACATATTCAACAAGCAAACCAAAAGGACAGGGACAAATGTAAAACTGAAAAGAAACAAACAAATGCTCTAACTGCATTTCAAATGAATAACATAATCACATTGAAGGAGGGAAAATGGATTTCAGTAACGTTTGTACCGGATATACCCTCAGTCTAATGAAGAAACAAAAAGAACTGCAAACAAATCTTAAACATTTCTTCAAGGTTTAGTTTTCATAAAGGTATGAGTATAGCAATTCTAAAATTATGCTGTGTGTATTATAGATTTGAGCAAATGAGGAACTCGGTTGATTTTATTGTGGAAGAAGGAAAATAAATATATAAAGCAGGGAAAGGCAAGGGAGAACCCTGTGGGGTTGGAAAGGAATTATCACTATCATCGTAAACTCATGAGAGAGTGTGTGTGTGTGTGTGTGTGTGTGTGTGTGTGTGTGTACACATACCCTCACTCTGACCGAGAGGGCTCAGAAGCAGTGGCCTCCTGGTAGCAGTGGGCTCACCTACTGCCCAGATCTGGTTTCTAAACACTCCTCCCCACTAAAAGGAACCAGGCCTATTTAGGAAAACGGTGGATTCCAGGCCCAGTGTAGGGAACGTACAGGATAGCCCTGGATCATCGTGTGCCAGGAAAGTAAGGAAGTGATCAGTCACTGCTGGGGCCTGTCAGAAGGACACTGGAGCCAGCTGCGGGATCCCACTGGCCACATCTAGGGCATCGGCTTGGGGATCAGAATAAATAAAGGATAGTAAGAATACATGCATTATAATAGTAGATAAATATTTATATAAATACATACACTGGAGGGAAGGAAATGCTTTTCCTAAATGGAATGTCAAGTAATAAATATACAAAGAATGATAGTATCAGAAAATCACAAATTTGCAAGCATCGTAATAAAAATCCATTCAGGGAAAAATGATCAATATATGAAGACTAGGCTATTTATATATAGATGGTCCCTGACCTATAATTGTCGAACTTTAACAATTTTTCAATTTTACAGTGGTGCAAAAGTGATACATACTCAGTAGAAGCCATACATCAAATTTTGAGTTTTGCTCTTTTCCCAGGCCAGCGATACGTGGTACGAGACTCTTTTGCGATGCTGGGCAGCGACTGTGAACCGTTCTGTTTTTCACTTGCAGCACGATACTCAATAATTACATGAGATAGTCAATACTCTAGATTTGTGAGAGATGATTTTGCCCAACTGTAGGGTAATGTTAAGTGTTCTGAGCATCTTTAAGGTAGGCTAGATTAAGCTGTGATATTCAGTAGGTTAAGTGTACTAAATGCATTTCAACTTATGATATTTTCAACGTACAGTGGATTTATTGGGACTTAACTCCATCGTAGGTTGAGGAGCGCTTGTAATCTCAAAGTATCCCTCCACAAGTTACTTACTAATTATAAAGGAAAACCGTAATTCTACAGAAGAGAAATTGGACACCACCTTAACCAGGTTATCAAAATTAACATCACCAATTATGGAACAAAGAATTATTATGTTCATATCCTGAAAAGGACCTATCAGTTATGTCCTTGTAACATATGCAGTTACAATCAACATGCATAACTTTGATCGTAAGGGAAAATAAGATAAACTTAATTTGAGGGACATTCTGTAAAATACCTGGTCTATGTTCTTCAAAAATACGATGTTCCAGATTAAAGGAGACTTGGGAGTCATGCTGCCCAAGTGGAAAATGTGATCCTGGACTGGATTTTGTACTGGAGAAAAAATGTCTGATGAAAGGCCATTTTAGGATCAATTGATGAAATTGGACTATGGATTGGATATTGGTATTATATGAATTTTACATTTCCAGGACTTGGTACATACCGACCGTGGTTAGGAAAGAGAATATTCTTGTTCTTAGAAAATACACACTGAAGTATGAAGGAAAACGGCACCATGATGTGTGCAACCTGCTCTCAAATGGCTTAGGAATAATACCTGTGCATGTCAGTACATAGTGTGTGATTGTGTGTATGTGTGACAGAGACAGAGAGAGAAAGCAGCTATGGCCAAATAACAATTGGTGAATCTGGTTAAGGAGGAATCAAGAGTTCCAGGTACTATTCTAGAAACTTTTCTAAGTTTGAAATTATTTCAAACTACAACCTTTTCAAAATCTATAAAAGAAAGTTAAGAGTGTTGCCATCATAATACTTTGAAGTTTCCCTCTGCCTGTTGTTTTTCCCTTTCAGCAAACAAAACAAATTGAGATCAGCATTTCACAGCTGACCACACCATCCACGCCATCGCCTCCCCATTCCCTGTCCCCAGAGTGAACAAATGCCACGCACCTGCCTCTGTAGCAAAACTTTGTCCTCATTTTTCCCAAAACTCAAAAGGTGCCCCTGGGCAGGGATCTCATAGCCACCCATGGGTAAGGCTGTGACAGGTGTTTTCAAGAGAAACCACTGTCACGTGCCCATTGACTTGATCCAGCCCCTCCCGCTTGCCACTTCTCCACTCAGACTGATGGTTTCAGCAGCTCTTCAGGATTAACAGGTGGAGTATGGAGCCACAGTTTTCCTCTTCTACCTCCACTAGAGAATTTCTAGACAAAGGTTATCCCCATGGATAAGAAAAGCCCAATAACCTGCCATGTGTAAAATCTTCCTATAACATGTTTAAAAAATAAGATACTGCTGTCAAGTTCAGCTGAAAAGAAATATCAAAATTCCGTTATGTTACTGTTTACTTGATACAGCAGTGAGTCACATCCCTCATGGGGCAGCCGTTAAGACGAGGTATTTAAAGGTGATATATTTCTCAGTTTGGGCACTTCAGGAAAAAAAAAGTGTCAAAAAGGGAGTGAAAGGAGTATGTGTGTGATTGAAGTCTTCAGGGTTGTTTTTTTTTTTGTTTAATGAGTCATTTTTCCTTGATCATCCCAGAATGACAACAGCGAGGTTACTTCTTGTCAACATCAGTTTAAAACAGTACTTAATTTCTTCCTCGCTCCGTGTTACGAGAAGTTGTAAAAACATGAGGGGTTGTTTTTAACATACACTTTCTTATACATTGATTTTCTAAATCTTGTTTTTGGTGTTTCTTGATTATCCTGCAAATAGCTGTTATAAACCATTGTTGCCTTAAAGATGCAAGGTTCTTACTGGCATTATTCATTCTGCAGGCTCTTGGTGTTCTTTGCAGTGGGTACTATAGAGATTATAAAAGATAAAAAAGATACTGTTGTTGCCCTCAAGATGCTTACAAAAAAGTTTATAAATTTATATTGTATAATCTCTTGGCCAGTTTGTTTAACCACTGTCTAAAATATTTGTTAATAACATGTTAAGATAACTTGAATTAACAAAAGCTTTTTTTGCTTACTTTTTCAATTAAATGTTTGTATTTTCTTCATTTAAATATCAGAGCCACGTAATTTTAATGCATTAAGAAACTTAGTAATTTTTTAAGCCAAGAAAAATAGAAATTATTATTTGAGTTTTTTCTGCTGTAAACAGATACTTTAGGAATTTAGTGAGAGTTCAAGAAAACCTGGTAGACATGAAATGTATGCCATGTACTTTGAAAGCAGAATATTCTAAGAAGAATGTGCATCCTTTAATAAATCCAATAGTAGTTTGATAGCCATAGAAATCTTTTGCCACCTTTTCTACTTTTGCTATTTTTGCTGTTATTAAGATTCAAGATTTTTAGTTCTTCAGAATCCACTCCCGTTTTTTGGTGAGTAAACCCACGGCACCTCTGCCAATTCATCACCCCTCAGAGATGCCACCCCAGCCCCATTTAAGAATATCCCAAGAAGGAGGCTGCTGTGCAGGCAGGCGGTGGGAGGCTGCAGAGTGCCAAGCCACACAGTGCGCCCTGTGCTGCCTGGCCTGCTAGCTAGACAGTCAGGATGGCAACAGCGATCCCCGGAAACCACAAGGCGAGATGTCTGCTCATGCCTTCCCTGTGCAGACGTGCGGGGAGGAAGATCAGAAGAAAACCCCACAAGTTCCTATCAATTTCACAGAACTTTCCAAGTGCTCTTAGAGTTGAAAGATAATGTCTGGGGAAAGAGAAGTCTAAATCTGATGAAAGGACAAAGGTGGATAAAGTAGGCTGTGGGGGGAAAATGAAGGATGATGGACCAGCTAAGGGAGGCAAGGAGAAGGCCCCTAATGCCCCCCAAAGACCACTGCCTGTTCTGTTCAGGATCCCCAGCATCAAATCCATAGACCCTGGGATTGCTTTTGGAGATGGGTAGACAAGCTTGGTGAGCTGTGGAATCAGTGACCGTGAGAAGCAGCCTTAGGACACCAAGGTGGGGAAGCTGCTGGAGAAAGACAGGTGGCGTCACCGGCTCTGAGTCTAAAGGGAAAATGGGTGGCAAGAAGGTCCTGCCAGGGTTGCCCAGAGAAAGGTAGACAAGAAAGAGGAGGAGGAGGAAGAAGAAGATAAATAGAAACTGTTTGTCAACAACAACAGCAAAAATGCCAAGCCAAAGACCACTTGATAAAACTCCTTCGAGTAATCAAATACGCTCAATGTCTGCTATCTTAGAAATAAGTGTATCCAGGCCGGGCGCGGTGGCCCACACCTGTGATCCCAGCACTTTGGGAGGCTGAGGCGGACGGATCACGAGGTCAGGAGATCGAGACCATCCCGGCTAGCATGGTGAAACCCTGTCCCTACTAAAAAATAAAAAAATAAAAATTAGCCGGGCATGGTGACGGGCGCCTGTAGTCCCACCTACTTGGGAGGCTGAGGACAGGAGAATGGTGTGAACCCGAGAGGCAGAGCTTGCAGTGAGCTGAGATCACGCCACTGCACTCCAGCCTGGGTGACAGAGCAAGACTCTGTCTCAAAATAATAATAATAAGTATATCCATTATTCCATCTCTCTCTTTTTTATTGTTTTTTTTTTTTTTTTTAAACAGGTATCTTTATACTACTATGACCCATACTCAAAATTAACAAATGATTAAATTTTTCTCATATTTGCTTCTGATTTTTTTAAAACCAAAGGGGGAAAAACTCATCAAGTGTATCTCTTCTGACCCTCCCAAAGCTTAGAAAATGACTGTTAGGTAAAATCAGACAAGAAAGTTAAATAAGACTAGACCAAAGCTGGGATTTAACAAAAGGAAGATGAGCAAATTTCAGCTTCCTCTCTTCGATTCATGTCTTTCTTTCCTTTAGCTGACAGTGACCAGCTGTCTGCTCTGCACCGGGGCTAAGCGCTGTGCTGAATTCTGAAAACACTAAGATGGATAAGGCGGAATGTCCTGCCCTGAGGAGCTGTGAGCCCAGGGCAGGGAAACAGGTGGACAAAGAGCTTGTGGAAGTGTTCGGGTGCTGCTGAGGCCAAGAAAGGCCGTCAGGGCAGTGGTGTTGCAGAGGAGGGGCCTGAAGACAAGTACATGGGAGGTGGGGAGCCACGGATGGGTGGGCTGGAGTAGAGGGGACTGGAGGGCCGGGGCACTTCTTGGGATTCTAGAAGCTGGACAGAAAGGAGGCCAGACAGGCTCGCCAAGGGTCTGATGTGTGGCATGTGGTTATACTCTAGACACCAAGGAACCATGCGGGATCTTACACAAGAAACACCATCATTGGGTTTCCCAAGAGGATGGACTGGACACAGAGGAGGGGGCAGGTTATAATCTTATAATTTTCTCTATCCAGGCCCAGGAAACATGGTGCAACTGCCCAGACAAGAGATGTTACCATTTGGTGCATTAATATTAATAATACATTTATAATGCATGTCAAACGACAGAATTACAGCAAATTTAGTGACAGATCTATTTGGCTTTTATTTGCAACTTATGAATTAGTGCAGCCTCCATTCTACAAAACAGAATGTGAGCTCCCGCCAGGCAGTACTGGAACAGTGCATTTTGTAAGAAGGAAACAGAGCAATAGAAAAATAACTGATAGGTTAACATTGAGTTACTTCAGGTTGCTTTTTTTTTAAGGGTTAAAGCAGAGGGGAGTTCCTTATTATGCTGACTTGTGTAGTCTGGGATCTCCTATTTTTAGAAAAAGCAGGTCTTCTTGTTTTGGGATCTGTCTGCTTCCTTAAAGTTTCAATTTGATTGTGTGGCATTTAGCATGAGTGACTCCATTTAGTTTGGTCTTCTGGTTTGTTGGAGCCCAAAACAATGGCGTCCCATAATTTTGGTCAATTCACATGACACGTCGTGTGGATTCTGTTTATGTCTCTGAGATATCCATTAGCCCAAGTAGAGAGAATGGCTTTAAACCCACAAGGTGCTTTCACTCTTAGCTGATAAATAGCAAAATGTATTTAGTATTAGAGAATCTAAATCTTAATGAGGCTGTCTCCTCTCTTCTCATCTCAGGAATCCTTACCACTGTCTCCAGAAAACCCACCGAAACTCCTAAAATGCTCACCTTCTGAAAGCAGGGCTCTAATATTTATTGGTTTTGAGACACATCTCGTGCTTCTGCTCTGAGTAGCCAAGCATGGCAGCACATTGGGTATTGGGTTAGCCTCCCATGGCGTCTGGTCTCCCTGTGGACAGCGAGCTTCCTGAGGGCTGGGGCCATGTCTGCCTTGTTTGCTACCCTATGAAAAGCCTGATACACACAGGTGCCCCAGCATCGGTCGGAGAAGGGTTGAACACGAAGGTGTGGCCAGTAAACTTCCCTTTCAGAACTCTTGTTTTCACATAAAAAATGTGCTAGAGAGTGGTATTATGCCAGGTTTTTCCATTGCTTGCTCTAGTAGATTGGAAATACGTTTTCTAACAAGATCCCAAAGTTAGATGTGTTACAATGAAATACTAGATGGTACTCAAATAGTAACCAACTTTTGTGGGGTGTCTCATTCTGCTGGGTGCTCTGAGAGATGTACACAAAGGAGCTCAGCCAGCCTTAACTAAAGACCTGCTCCATACAAGACCCTGACGAGGCTCTAGACACAGTTGGTCTCAGAGCAGCCCAGAACGCTGGCAGGGTCTGTAATAACCAGAAACCTGAGTTCAACCAAGAGATGTGAAAGGAGGGGGGATCTGCAGTTCTCCCAAGGAAGAGAGTGGTCAGACAGGGAGAGGGGGGTGGGGGCTGCACTGCCTTGCAAGGGTCTCGGCCATGCGTCAGCATGGGGGTGGGCAGCTGGTGCCAACAGGTAACCGGTGCCAGTTGCTATGACAGCAGTGGGCGAGGCAGGCCCAGCACATCTGGGCTCCCCCAACAGGGTGTGCATGCTACCCTGCACCCAGTGTGAGCTCAGGATCGGGTGGGGGCCGTCTTCAGGTGGGCATCGCTTTCTGCAAGCGTCAGAATATGGGAAGTAAAAACCCAAAAAAAACATTTGTTTTTGACGCACTTAGCTAAAAGGGAAGTTAAAGAAAACCACACTCTAGTTTGAATAAACCAAAAGGAGTCTTTCACTGAGGGGAGTTGCTAGAAATCTCATTGGAATGAATGTCCCATTTTACTTATGTCAAAGAGGAGTTGAATTGCAAGTAAAATACCAAAGTGGGATTTCATTTATTTTCTTTTCTCTTTTCCTTTTTCCCTTTTTTTTTTTTTTTTTTTTGAGACATGGTCTTGCTCTGTATCCCAAGCTGGAGTGCAGTGGTGCTATCATGGCTCACCGCAACCTCGACCTCCTGGGTTCAAGCCATCCTCCCAACTCTGCCTCCTGAGTAACTGGGACTACAGGCACATGCCACCAAGCCCAGCTAATTTTTTTTTTTTTTTTTTTTGGTAGAGACAAGGGTTGCCCAGGCTGGCATTTTCTTAAATGAGAATTATCTTGAGGTAGTAGGCACACACATCCCAATCATAGATGTTTAAAAATAAAAAATAAGGAAAGAGAAACTGGTACAGATTTATTTCCATCTCTAGGGTGTTTTCCTCATTCAGTGGGTTCTCTGAAAAGCACATTATTAGGGAATGTATTCCATCTTGCTCTCCTTTGGAACATTGTCAGGTGACAGTGACAGTGCTCTTGTGGCAACGCCTATTTCTGTCATGCTCCCCTGCCTTGGTCAGCCAGCCATGTGGAAGTGTCACACCAGGGCTGGTGAAGGGCTGCTGACGCCTGTGGTTCAGAAGCTCGTGACGAAAGGCAACTGATGGAGTCACACCTTGCTCCACTGGGGCACCCTGGACACCTCCAAGAGGGTCTTCATCCCTGTGGGGGCTCTGGTGGGGCACCCTGGACACCTCCAGAGTGGGTCTTCATCCCCGTGAGGGCGGAGCTGGAGTTTGCCATTGCCACAGCACCAGCTGCACCTTGGTGTCCTCTGAGTAGCCTTATCTCTGCTCCTCACCTCTGGAAGTCAGGTTTCCTGTTACGGAAAGCAGGCTCTGGATGTTACATTTGGGGAATGTTAGTGTCTAGAAATAAGAAATAAGTAGATGTGGAAGACAGGAAAGCAAAGCATGCTGGAGGCGAACCCAACTAGAGCTGGCTTCTCAATGAAGTTAGAGGAAGGAATCATTTCGATTTGGGGGCTAGAAACCAAGCTGCACTCTAATCTGATATTTTGTGGTGAGGATTTTTAGGCAGAAACTTCTTGTGATGCCTGAGCAGGAGGAAGGTACTCGCTGTGCTCTGAGATGGAGAGGGAATGTTGAAAGAACACCTTTTTAGAAAATTTCTTTGAGACATTTTTAAAATTTTCCAGACCAATGAATGACTGCAAGCCCATGAAGCCAACACTGACGAAGTTGCAGTATGCAGCGCCGTGCCTCGCCTCGCCTCGCCTCACCATTGCCTCCACTCACGCCAGAACAAGTGTCTATCCTAGCACAGTCTTTTCCAGAGTCTCAGTGTCCTACCAGCATTCTCATTTTGTCCTCCACATGTTTATTGGTCACTTTTGATCTTCACATTCAGCCTTCTCTAACTGGTGCTGGGCACCGGGTGTGTCAGGCTCTGTGTTGGGGGGAAGCAAGCCAGGCCTGGTGCCAGCCCTCAAGGGAGCTCACCGTCTATGAGGGAGACCAGATCCATGCAAGGCCCTAACCCAGTACCCAACTCATGCAAGTACCTAGTGCCAGTCCTTAGAGCAGAGGAGACCTGTAAACATTCATTCCTGTACTTTAACAACTTGACATCAGGAGATTTTACATTGAAACTTTCTCTTCCTGTGGATGTTAGATCGGATCAGGTGCTCATGGTGAGTTCTGATGCTTCTCATCCCAGTAGCTGGACTACAGAGACAGGAAGCAGCCTGCAGAGAAAATGAAGTAGTCCAGGGTTTCAGTGTGAGTTAATGTGTGTTGTGGCTAAAATGTGGTGCTTTCGATAGGGAGAGAGATGGGCTGACCATCTATAATACCATTATTTATATAGTCATCAGAGTTGTGTATTTGCTAAACTTTATAAATACATAAAGTGTATTTTAGAACAACACAGTCTTTTTGTTAGAATGTTATGCTCACCATTTAAAAAGATTGTTCCTGTCTTTCTGACTTCTTTAGGGCCCACCACACACCTGGCCCCGCTGCCCTCCATAGGAGAATAGTGGTCCTGAGAGGTCATGTTTATTGAGCGCTGGTCATGTGCCCGTCACTGTTCTGGGCTTCTCACATGCATCCCTCTCATCTCCCAAACTGCGAGGAAACAGAGAGTCAGAGCCTGGTCCCCTGCATGTGGTCACACGGGGCCAACTCCAAAGCTCGGGTCTCCCTGCCACCCTGCGCTGGAGTCAGACCTAAGACAGCATGCAGCTTCCCCTGCATTT